>NC_000002.12:73542625-74167625 GCF_000001405.40 Homo sapiens | reverse complement strand
TCTGGTCCAAAGTGGTAAACTATGGATTTTTCATTCCCTTGGATGTAATCATATTGTATATCCAAAGGATATAATAGTCATCGTTAAGTTAGAATTATCTCCAGTATCTTATTTTCCTGCTGTTACATGCGAGTGGATCATGAGGTCAGGAGTTCAAGACCAGCCTGGCCAACATGGTGAAACCCTGTCTCTACTAAAAATACCAAAACAAAATTAGCTGGGCGTGGTGGCATGCACCTGTAATCCGAACTACTTGGGAGGCTGAGGCAGGAGAATTGCTTGAACCCGGGAAGCGGAGGTTGCAGTGAGCCAAGATTGCACCAGCCTGGGCAACAGAACAAGACTGTTTCAGAGAAAAAAAAAAGTGTAGTATACTACAAGTTACAGTATCATTGGATTATTGAATGTCTCAAGGGTTCAGCTAAGAACCTAAATGTATTGTCTGTTTTTCCTTCAACTGGAGGTCTCATATTTTGTGTTTACACAGACATTTTGACACAATTCTATTATCTCTGCAGCTGTGGATTTCTTTAACCAGATCAACATGTTATATGGAACTATTACAGAATTCTGCACTGAAGCAAGCTGTCCAGTCATGTCTGCAGGTCCGAGGTACATATACTGCCTATTATATAGGTGTTTGGATTAGTTTTACTTTATCACCAATTGATAGAAATTAAACAGTTAAGATTTGTTATCCGTTTGTGTGAAGGTGATTCAGTTTTATTGGTTCTTGACTACTCACCTGTAAGCTTTTAGTTATTGTGTAATTTTAAAATTTTATTTATTTTGAGACAGAGTCTCGCTCTGTTGCCAGGCTGGATTGCAGTGTGTGATCCTGGCTCACTAACAACCTCTGCCTTCCGGGTTCAAGCGGTTCTCATGCCTCAGCCTCCCGAGTGGCTGGGATTACAGGCCTGTGCCACCACTCCCAGCTAATTTGTGCATTTTTAGTAGAAATGGGGTTTTGCCATGTTCCCCAGGGCTGGTCTCAAACTCCTGGCCTCAAGTGATCTGCCCACCTCGGCCTCGCAAAGTGCTGGGATTAAAGGTGTGAGCCACTGCACCTGGCCAGCTATTAGTTATTATTAAATACTTTAGTATGTGGGTACTCCCTGTTTTCATTTTTATGTTGCATCATAGTAAGTCTGAATGTTTTATTATAGGAATAAACAGAAATTTGAGTTACATTTGTCTTGAATTGCAAACATTTTATTTTTTCAATTTTATTAATAACATTTATGTTTCCTGTTTCTAGTTTTTAAATGAATTTCTTGGAAGAGTTTTTAGTTGATCTTTTAATATTTGATTATTTTTTCTTGTGCTTATTTAGTATTTAAAGCAGCACAATTTAGAAGTAATTATCTGGCTTGAAGATGCTAGATTTAAAAACATTTTGACTTTAATAAATTTCAAGAAATACTGAAAAAGATGGAACTCTATCACTCATAATATTAAGTCCATCATATGATGGGATTAATGTTTGCTGTGTTTCCTTCCAGTTTCTTTTTTTTTTCTTATAATAAATGACTGATTTTATGTGATGATAGATGTTATCAAGATGTTTGCTTCTTAGAAAAGATTGTCCTTTCTGACTTTGCTACAAGTGTAAAGGAAAAAAGATCCCTAATGAGTTTGTAGTTCTATTTTTATTATAATATTTTAGGAAGAATGTTTTTATTTTATATTGTGTTAAGTTTTATTATTCAAGCTTTAAAAGAAATGAAAATAAACAGGAAAATTAAACTTACCTATGGCTCAAATGCTTTACACAGTGATGTTTTGTATAACTCTTGTTAATCCTTCTAGCTCGGCAAAGGTAAGGGGGGAAAGTATGCATGCCTAATGTATATCTCTAACACCTGGCCCCCAAAACAGAGTTTTATAATCTTGGGTCCATTGATGATAATAAATTGATGACCAAGAATCTCAGAAGAATGTAGTGGATCCATCGGCTCCATGCCCAGCCCTCAGCAACCTTCTGCTTTACAGGAATGCAGTTCCTTTGTGTTTCCCAGGGCTGTGTTGTTAATAAAACATCTATCCTGGCATTGCCTCCTGCCACATTATCTCCCTTTTTTCTTCCAGTTATAACTGTCACTTTCTGGATAATTACATAGGGAACTCACAGTAATCTTCAGTAGAACTTAAGGTGATTTATTAAAGTTAGATGTAACTTCTATTGACAAAATGTGAATGAACCTGTTTTAATCACAACTTGCACATTTGTTAATATTTTTGAAAAATTTATCAGTAAAACATTTTTCTCTTCAGATATGAATATCACTGGGCAGATGGTACTAATATTAAAAAGCCAATCAAATGTTCTGCACCAAAATACATTGACTATTTGATGACTTGGGTTCAAGATCAGCTTGATGATGAAACTCTTTTTCCTTCTAAGATTGGTGAGTTAACATTGTCGAAGTATTCTTTCTTTTTTTAAAATTTTATTTTATTAATATAAATAGAGTTGGGGGGGTTTGCTGTGTTGTCCAGGTTGGTCTCAAACTCCTGGCCTCAAGTGATCCTCCTGCCTTGGCCTCCCACAGTGCTGGGATTACAGGTTTGAGCCACCGTATCCAGCCTGTTTCTCTTTTTGAATGATAAATCTGCTCTTTTTAACATTGTTATACTTGTAGAGACTGCCAAATTCTCCTCCAAAAAGTTTGTACCAACATGTACTCCCCCCAGCCCTGTTTGTGTTTGCCAGTGTTTCTTCACCAACACTGGTTATTACTCATTTTTTAATATTTTCTAATTTGGTTAAATTTCTGTTTTAATATGCATTTAAAAAATGTTGATGAGATTGAGCATTTTAGCCTTTTTGTTTGTTTTATTGATCATTGTGTGTTTTCTGTTTATATCTTTCATCTATTTCTGTGTAAAGGATATTAGCGCTTTGTCGTATGTGTTGTATATCTTTTTCCCCGGGTTACCTTTTGTCTCATTTTGTTCATGGAGTATTTTTGCTGTACACAACCTTACTATTTTGTCCTATTATATCTTTTATGACTTGATTTTAATATAACAATTAGAAAGCTTTTCCCTGCTTCAAGATTATAAAAATATTTATTCATGTTTTCTTTTTTTATTTTTTTATTTTTTGAGACAGAGTCTCACTCTGTTGCCCAGGCTGGAGTGCAGCGGCACAATCTTGGCTCACTGCAATCTCCACCTCCCAGGTTCAAGCAGTTCTCATGCCTCAGTCCCTGGGTAGCTGGGACTACAGGCACATGCCACCATGCCCAGCTAATTTTTGTATTTTTAGTAGAGATGGGGTTTCACCATGTTGGCCAGGCTGGTCTTGAACGCCTGACCTCAAGTGATCTACCTGCCTTGGCATCCCAAAGTGTTGGGATTACAGGCATGAGCCACCACGCCTGGCTGGGAAGTTTTTTTTCCCTGAATGCTACATTAATTTTTTTCCAAATGGAAATACTAGTCAGTTTGTCCCATTACCATTTATTAAACACATTTGCCTTTTCTCCCCTGATTATCTTATGTGCACAACAAATTGCCATATATTTTTGCATGTTTTAGTCTCTTTATCTGTTCCTATAGAAATTCCACACGTTGGTGACTGTGGCTCTGCATCTGTTAGCATCTTGTAAGGCTGGTCTCCCTTCCTCGCTCTTCTTTTTCAGAATATTCACAGCTATTCTGGGATATTTGTTTTTCCAAAGAACTTAGAAACATTTTGTCAAGGTGAAAAAAAAATTAGATTTTAATTATGACTATATTTAATTTTTATAGATAGGGATTCTTTTTACTGAATCTTCCTAGCCAAGAACAAGATATTGTTCATTTATTCATGTCTTTAGCTTTATTTTCTCTTGTAAAATTCTGTAGTTTATGTCAGTTGTTCAAGTTTCTTAATTTTATTCTAGGGATTTTATGTCTTTTATTGATAATCTGGTTTCCAGCTGGTTATTTAGTATATAGGAAAGCTGTTGGTTTTTATTGTAATTTATTTTTAATTTTTTTTGAGACAGGGTCTCACTCTGTTCCCCAGCCTGGAGTGCAGGGGTGTGATCACAGCTCTCTGCAGCCTTGATCTCCTGGGCTCCAGTGATCCTCCCACCTTAGCTTCCCAAGTAACTGGGACTGTAGGCACGCACCACTACACCTGGCTAATTTTGTTTATTTTTTGTAGAGATGAGGTCTCATTATGTTGCCCAGGCTGGTCTCGAACTCCAGGGCTCAAGCATCCCTCCTTCCTTGGCCTTCCAAAAGTGTTGGAATTACAGGTGTCAGCCACCAGGACTGGCCAGCTGTTGATTTTTATTTAAATTTTATAATTAACCATCAGACTCTTTTTCTGTTAGTTTTTGGTTGGTTCTCTTGAATTTTTAAAGTATACAACTGTGTCATATTAAGATAGTGTTCATTTTGTCTCTTCCTTTCTGATAATGTATTCTTGTTTTTACGCTTGCTTATCTGATTGCACTGAGTGGTATTTCAAGCGCAATGCCGAGTAATGGTGATGATGGCAGACATCCGTTTCTTGCCTTCTTACTATTATGCAAGTACTTCTAGTATTTCTGCAGTAAGCCGAAATCTTGGCTTTTGGTTAGAGGTGTATGGATTTTTAAAAAATTATATTAATGAAAAATATCCACCATTTATATTACAAAAATTGTTCTTAACGAGGAATGGCTATAGAGTTTATCAGATGCTTTTCCAGTATCTGTTGCCTATGACCATAAGGTTTTCTCCATTTTTTAATAAAAATATTCTGCTGGAAGAGTATTTGTTAATATTTTGATTAAGAGTTTGGCATCAGTATTCATGGATGAAATCACTCCTTGTCATTTTCAACTTAAGAGTATTTTATGAGCAACATATTTTTGAATTCCTTTTTGCAGTCTTATAGAGGCTTTTCAGGACAACAGTTTTTTTCCAAGTTGTTAACATTTGGTCTGTTTGTTGTTGGTCAGTTTTTCCATTCTGCTATTAAACCTTTTATTTCCTTTCTCATATATCTTTATTTTATATTGACTGTGCTTGAATATATCTGTTAAATTCAGCTTGGAAAGTGTTTAGATTTAAACAAATTACTTATTTCTTTACTCATTAAAGTCTCTGCTTATGGAAGGTAAATAATTCTTTTGATTTATCCTCTTTTCTCTCTTTTTTGTTTGGAGACAGGGTCTCACTCTGTCACCCAGGCTGGAGGGCAGTGGCACAGTCTCGGCTCTACTGCAACCTCCACTTCCTGGGTTGAAGCGATTCTCGTGCCTCAGCCTCCAAGTAGCTGGGACTACAGGCGCCCACCACCACACCTGGCTAGTTTTTGTAGTTTTAGGTAGAGACAGGGTTTCACCATGTTGGCCAGGCTGGTCTCGAACTCCTGACCTCAAGTGATTCACCCACTTTGGCCTCCCAAAGTGCTGGAATTACAGGCATGAGCCACCATGCCTGGCTTTTTTCTCACTTTCTTGTTCTTAAATAATTCATTCTGATCCACCACCTCTTAATCCCACTCCCCTGCCATTAGGCTATTATCTGCATCTTACTTTTGCCAGTTATTTAGTCTCAGACAGAACTGTTTATCATTAATTTTTTACTAATATATGCACATTATTAATATCCTTTTATTAGAAAGATGCCCATTTATACATTCTGATAAAAAAAGATGTTTGATTTTGAAATCTACTTTTTTTTTTGAGACAGACTCTCACTCTGTTGCCCAGGCTAGAGTGCAGTGGTGCAGTTACAGCTCACTGTGGACTTGACCTCCCAGGCGCAAGTGGTCCTTCTACATCAGCCACTTGAGTAGCTGAGACCACAGGCACGTGTGCCACCACGCCCAGCTAATTTTCAATTTTTTGTAGACACGAGGTCTCACTGTGTTGCCCAGACTGGTCTCAAACTTCTAGGCCCAAGCAACCTTTCTGCTTCAGTCTCCCAAAGAGCTTGAGATTACAGGCATGAGCCACTGCACCTGGCCAGAATACTGCTTTTTTTTTTTTTTGAGGCGGAGTCTCACTCTGTTGCCCAGGCTGGAGTGCAGTGGCATGATCTCAGCACACTGCAAGCTCCGCCTCCCGGGTTCACGCCATTCTGCCATTCTCCTGTCTCAGCCTCCCGAGTAGCTGGGACTACAGGTGCCGCCACCACGCCTGGCTAATTTTTGTATTTTTAGTAGAGACAGGGTTTCACTGTGTTAGCCAGGATGGTCTCGATCTCCTGACCTCATGATCCGCCCGCCTCGGCCTCCCAAAGTGCTGGGATTACAGGCATGAGCCACTGCACCCGGCCAGAAATCTGCTTTTTCAATACATGAATACAAGATCCTGCCCAGGAAAACATGCCTGTAAGCTCCAGGATAATGTCTGAAAAGTCACGTTAATGAGGACTGGGGTGGTGGTGGAGAATAACCACAAACATCAGCAAAATAAGTTTCAGGTTATTGAGAACTGGCTGGGAAAAAAATGCAAGGAAAGAGTGTTTTAAGCCTTTGTTTTCTGAAAAATTGAAAAAAAGAATGTGTTTCAAGAGTAGCGTTGTGGAACAGGCCTTTAAGGCCAACTAATGTAGGTTTATTTTTATTTTTATTTTTTGAGATGGAGTCTCACTCTGCCGCCCAGACTGGAGTGCAGTGGCGGCAATCTTGGCTCACTGCAACCTCCGCCTCCTGGGTTCAAGCGATTCTTCTGCCTCAGCCATTTGAGTAGCTAGGATTACAGGCCTTAGTCACCACGTCTGGCTAATTTTTGTATTTTTAGTAGAGACAGGGTTTCACCATGTTGGTCAGGCTGGTCTCGAACTCCTGACCTGTCTGTCCCTGTTTTCTAATGGACTTTGATATTGTCAGCCAAAATTCTCAGGAATGTAACCAGTTGGATCCCCATCTCCACTGCTTGGAAGGATACCAAACTCTACCCCCGTTGTTTTCTAAAAAGAGATTTCTTTTTTTTTTTGAGACGGAGTCTCGCTCTGTCACCCAGGCTGGAGTGCAGTGGCGCGATCTCGGCTCACTGCAACCTCCACCTCCCGGGTTCAAGCAATTCTCTGCCTCAGCCTCCCGAGTAGCTGGGATTACAGTTGCCTGCCACCACCCCTGGCTAATTTTTGTATTTTTAGTAGAGATGGGGTTTCACCATGTTGGCCAAGCTGGTCTCTTTGGCCAGGCTGGTCTTGACCTCCTGACCTCGTGATCTGCCCCCCTCGGCCTCCCAAAGTGCTGGGATTACAGGCGTGAGCCACTGTGCCCGGCTGCCTTTTTATTTTGCTTAGGAGAGTTTCCAGTCCTCATTGAGAGAGTGCGTATGTATGTAATTTCTTCTTTTTTTTCCTAAGGGATGAGGTTTTACCTTGTTGCTCAGGCTTATCTTGAACTCAGGCTTATGAGCTCAGGCAATCTGTCCACTACGGCCTCTCAACGTGCTGGATTACAGGCACGAGCCACCACACGGAGCCAGTGTAATTTCTTTAGAGTTACAAATTACAAAGTAAAAATATTTATGATCAAAATACTTACTCTTGTTGCATTTAATTTCAGAAAGAAACTCTCTAATATTAAAGAACTAAATCCCAGTACTTTGGGAAGCCAAGGCAGGCAGATCACTTGAGGCCAGGAATTCGAGACCAGGCTGGCCAACATGGCAAAAACCCATCTGTACTAAAAATACAAAAATCAGCCAGGTGTAGTAGTGCACGCCTGTAGTCCCAGCTACTTTGGAGGCTGAGGTGGGCAGATTGCTTAAGCCTGGGAGGTGGAGGTAACAATGAACCATGATCATGCTACTGAACTCCAGCCTGGGTGACAGAGTGAGGCTCAGTCTCCGGGGTGGGGGGGGGGACAAAAAACAAAAAACTAAAACTACAGGATTTTTGAACTTTGATTTAGCAGCATCTTACATAATTTGATACCTGTGCCTAAGGCAGTCAGAAAAAAGTGTGGTACTTTGTGAGGATTGGGGTTTGGGTTTTCATTTCCTTGGCTTTAAAAAATATATACAGAGGTAGGTTTGTGTGTATTTATGAATGTGTGTGTTTATATGTTGCAGGTGCTCATGGCAGTGTGTAAACTTTCTGCTGTTAGGCTGGGCATGCCTGTAATCCTAGCACTTTAAGAGGTTGAGGCGGGCAGATTGCTTGAGCTCAGGAGTTCAAGACCAGCCTGGGCAACATGGCAAAACCCCATCTCTACAAAAAATACAAAAAATTAGCTGGGCATGGTGGCGTGTAGTGCAGGTTATTTGGGGGGCCAAGGTGGGAGGATCAGTTGAGCCCAGGAGGTCGAGGCTGCAGTGAGCTGAGATTGCACCACTGCCTGAGTGACAAAGTGAGACCCTGTCACAAATAAACAACTTTCTACTGTTAGATAACCAAATAATTGTTTCATATGTGTATTTAATTGCAGGTGTCCCATTTCCCAAAAACTTTATGTCTGTGGCAAAGACTATTCTAAAGCGTCTGTTCAGGGTTTATGCCCATATTTATCACCAGCACTTTGATTCTGTGATGCAGCTGCAAGAGGAGGCCCACCTCAACACCTCCTTTAAGCACTTTATTTTCTTTGTTCAGGTAAGTTGATCCATGTTGATTTCTGTGTCCTGTGACTTGGACTTATTTGGATTGGGAACTTCAACAAAGAGCTGTGTGTCTTAGTTATAGATGTAGAGCCAATTACAGGCAAGCTTCTCTTTTCTGTTTTGTTCTCTTTTCCACATTATTTATTTTATTGATGTGTGCAGCAGTATAAAAAGGTATCACCCCCATTTGGGCCTTCTGCCTCTGGCCACCCTAGGTCTGTGGTTAGGATTATCCATTCAGGGTTGTGGCCTGTTGCTTTGTGGACCCTTAGTCAGAATTGGAACTTTTTTTTTTTTTTTTTTTGAGACAGGGTCTCACTCTGTGGCCCAGGCTAGAGTGCAATGGCGTGATCTTGGCTCACTGCAACCTCCGCCTCCTGGGTTCAAGTGATTCTCCTGCCTCGGCCTCCCGAATAGCTGTGATTACAGGTGCCCACCACCACCCCCAACTAATTTTTGTATTTTTAGTAGAGACGGGGTTTCCCATGTTGGCCAGGCTGGTCTCGAACTCCTGATCCACCCACCTCGGCCTCCCAAAGTGCTGGAATTACAGGCCTGAGCCACAGCACCCGGCCAGAATTGGAACTTTAAAAAATCAAAATAATTCACATTGTTTGAAAAAGATATCAAAGAATTGGTATGCCTTTAGCCTAACTTTAGAGATACTTATATTTTGCATATTGAATTACATATACATGTCTGTCTAGATATTTTATGATGAAAAAACCTGGTAGCTTTATAGTAGATACTGTGTATTATAGTTTTGTGTACTGTACCATGCTCTTCCTGATCTTCCTTCTCAGATTGTTGCATAAAAGGTCTACTGGCCCTTTATCAAAAATTCAGTTTGTAGTTTTCAGGTAGTTTCTTTTTTTTTTTTCCCCCCTCTTTTTTTTTTTTTTGGAGACAGAGTCTTGCTCTGTCGCCCAGACTGGAGTGCAGTGGCACGATCTCGGCTAACTGCAACCTTTGCCTCCTGGGTTCAAGCAGTTCTCCTGCCTCAGCCTCCTCAGTAGCTGGGATTATAGGCACCTGCCACCACGCCCGGCTAATTTTTATGTTTACTAGAAATGGGGTTTCACCATGTTGGCTAGGCTGATCTCGAACTCCTGACCTCAAATGATCCACCCACCTTGTCCTCCCAAAATGCTGGGATTACAGGCATGAGCCACCATGCCCGGCCTTTTTCGGGTAATTTTAATGTAAATTTAAATATATATACAGTTTTGATTTTAATGTTTAACACAATGAGGATCATACTGATACCTAGAGTTGGTTCTTTAATAAGTCTCCCATTGTAAAAATATGGGAAAAAACAAACTCCCTTTATCCTACTATACTCTCACCACACAGAACGCTTCTGTGACCAAACATGGGGACTGTCCCTCACACACCAAGCAAGTGATCATTTCTACAGTGGACACCAGATGAATGTCCTATAATTTGATTCAATTTTGATAATGTCTATCTGGAGGTAGCATCAGATCCTACAAGTTTGAGAGCTCAGTCCCACAAGACTGCCCCCCATTTGGGATATCAATCAAAAGTAATACATTGTCACCTATACCTCTGACTATAAACCAGGGTTCCCACAACCCCCTCCTTGGGTTTGATTAGTTTGCTAGAGCCGCTTATAGAACTCAGGGAAATACTTATCTCTACCTGTTTATTATGAAAGATGTTAACAAAAGATACAGATGAACAGCCAGATGGAAGAGATGTGTAGGGCCAAAGGAGAAGGGGCTTCCATGCTCTCTCCAGGCATGCCATGCTCCAGGAACCTCCACGTGTTCAGCTATCTGGAAGCTCTCCTGAGCCCTGTTTTTTGTGTTTTTATGGAGGCTTCATTACTTGCCCATGATTGATTAAATAATTGGCCATTGATGATCAACTCAACCTTCAGCCAGCCCTTTCCCCTCCCCAGAGGCTGTGATCTGGGAAGGGGAGAGGGCTGGCTGAAGGTTGACCAGTTCCCATCCTGAAGCTTTATAGGAGCCTCCAGCCACCAGTCATCTCATTAGCATACAAGATACTCTTAGCACTCTGGTGATTCCAACAAGGGTTTTAGGAGCTGTGTGTAAAGAAAAAGGAAGACCAAATACTTATATCACAATATCATACCTATATTTTTAAAAAGAGAGGGCTGGACGTGGTGGCTTACCCCTGTAATCCTAGCACTTTGGGATTTGGGATGCCAAGGTGGGCAGATCACTTGAGGCCAAAGTTCAGTACCAGCCTTGGCAACATAGACCACATCTGTACAAAAAAGAAAAAAAAAAGAAAAAGAATAAATGCCTACTTTAAAATGTTCACAGAGGTTATTTCATCATTCTTTTGGACTTCAGAAAACTAGAGTTGGGAATCCCTTCTCCAAAAGACATTTACAGAGTTTCAGTTTTAGATCCATTTTTAATTGTTATTTTTCTTCTCTTTTTAGGAGTTTAATCTGATTGATAGGCGTGAGCTGGCACCTCTTCAAGAATTAATAGAGAAACTTGGATCAAAAGACAGATAAATGTTTCTTCTAGAACACAGTTACCCCCTTGCTTCATCTATTGCTAGAACTATCTCATTGCTATCTGTTATAGACTAGTGATACAAACTTTAAGAAAACAGGATAAAAAGATACCCATTGCCTGTGTCTACTGATAAAATTATCCCAAAGGTAGGTTGGTGTGATAGTTTCCGAGTAAGACCTTAAGGACACAGCCAAATCTTAAGTACTGTGTGACCACTCTTGTTGTTATCACATAGTCATACTTGGTTGTAATATGTGATGGTTAACCTGTAGCTTATAAATTTACTTATTATTCTTTTACTCATTTACTCAGTCATTTCTTTACAAGAAAATGATTGAATCTGTTTTAGGTGACAGCACAATGGACATTAAGAATTTCCATCAATAATTTATGAATAAGTTTCCAGAACAAATTTCCTAATAACACAATCAGATTGGTTTTATTCTTTTATTTTACGAATAAAAAATGTATTTTTCAGTATCCTTGAGATTTAGAACATCTGTGTCACTTCAGATAACATTTTAGTTTCAAGTTTGTATGGTAGTGTTTTTATAGATAAGATACGTCTATTTTTTCAAAATTCATGATTGCAGTTTAAATCATCATATGACGTGTGGGTGGGAGCAACCAAAGTTATTTTTACAGGGACTTTATTTTTTGATCTTTATTTGAGATTGTTTTCATATCTATCTAAATTATTAGGAGTGTGTGTATCAGAAGTAATTTTTTAATGTCTTCTAAGGATGGTCTTCCAGGCTTTTAAACTGAAAAGCTTAATTCAGATAGTAGCTTTTGGCTGAGAAAAGGAATCCAAAATATTAATAAATTTAGATCTCAAAACCACTATTTTTATTATTTCATTATTTTTCAGAGGCCTTAAAATTCTGGATAAGAGAATGGAGGAAAATACTCAGAGTACTTGATTATTTTATTTCCTTTTATTAAAAAATTACTTCTATGTTTTTATTGTCTCTTGAGCCTTAGTTAAGAGTAGTGTAGAAATGCATGAACTTCATCCTAATAAGGATAAAACTTAAGGAAAACCACAATAAACCATGAAGGTGTACACATCTTATAACACAGATAAAGTTTTGGTGTGCTACCTATTCTTGAGAGAGTGAGTGAGTGTATGTGTTTAAAGGAAACAAAATGGGAGAAATAAGTTTTAAAAAAATCCTCATTTTGTTAATATTCAAAAGATGGACTGAGCTTCCACTTGGGTTTTATCTTGTTTTAATTGTTTTTGTATCAAAACTTGAAATTCCTCTATTTCTATTGGGATATAAAAGCCTTCCCCTTCAGTGAAGAAAACATTTATTTTTTATTTGATTCCTAGGATTTAGTAAACTCTAGCTGTCTATTTAAAATGTACTGAGGCACAACAAGTATTATACTGGAAGACTTGCCAAACTGGCAAAGCTTTAAGTTCATCAGCATTCTATGTGGTTCAGAGCTGTGATTTTTGCAAAGTATTTTACCAACCTCCTCGATGGCTTTGATAAAGGTTAGATTTGATGTTTTTTTTTAGATTTATTTTTCTTACTCCACTAAACTATAAAGAAAATAATTACTTAGAAACTCCATTTTAAATAATCATTTCCTAGAAATTCTTAAATATATACAGAATTTTAAAGAAAACATTTCATCTGATTTAGTTAGCATCCACATATCATTGAGGAATTAAAGTGTGGGACAGTCATTATTAAAAAAAAGAGAGAAAAGCCCTCTATTAGACATTCCACAATCCATGTTTTAAGCTTATCCAAAGGTCCAAATGTCAGCCATTCTGTATGTTCATGTTGATCATTTGCGAACAAGAAAGCAGGTTTCTAGGTATCACTTAGGATGTGAACTGCCTCTCAACTTTAAACCCTGTTAGCTTTACTTTTTTAAGTCCACAAGTGATGAAACTAGTTTCTCAGCTAGGCTTGTACTTTCCTCATTATTTCTAGTATTTCAAATATTCTCAAACAAAAGAGTTACCACTTTTCTCCATTTATTTTCAGTTATGGAAATGTTCCCTCTCTTCACCACTAAGCTCCAAAGCAAATGAAAGACGATCACATGTCAGGACAGTAGTAAAGGCAGCTTATAAATGGGACATAAATCAGAGATGTGTTGGTATTTTGAGACTCAAGACTGTCCTTTTTTAAAATAAAAATAAAAACATTACCAGGTTCCCAAGCCAATCTGGCTTAACCAACAGTGCACTGAAATATTAGTGTTTACCTCCAAGGCTAGGGAGCCAAGGGGAGGAGGAGAATTGGAGGAAGGGGAGATAATGGGAAGAGGATGGCGCCTTCCTGAGTTGGCTAGAGGGCCAACCTTTGATAACAGTTTGACGAAATCAATCTTTTTTTTTTTTTTTTTTGAGACAGAGTCTCACTCTGTCACCCAGGCTGGAGTACAGTGGTGGGATCTCGGCTCACTGCAAGCTCTGCCTCCCAGGTTCATGCCATTCTCCTGCCCCAGCCTCTCCTGAGTAGCTGGAACTACAGGTGCCCGCCACCACGCCCAGCTAATTTTTTCTATTTTTAGTCATGCCTGGCTAATTTTTTGTATTTTTAGTAGAGATGGGGTTTCACCGTGTTAGCCAGGATGGTCTCCATCTCCTTACCTCGCAATCCGCCCGCCTCAGCCTCCCAAAGTGTTGGGATTACAGGCATGAGCCACCGTGCCCGGCCTATAGAAATCAATCTTTTTGACTCTTCTCACTTTTATCTCCCCATGCCCAAGGTTTGCCTGTTCCATAACACTCACTCCCTTCCCCCTTGCTAATCAGAAGCCATCTCCTCTCAGTGTCTGATCTCTGCTCTTCATACATGATTACAGTCATGGGGTAGAGAGTGCTTGCTAAATTATGCAGTTAATCCTATGGTGCTTTAATTTTCAGGCCTTCAAAAAACACTTGTACAGTGATGTGCAGATTTTTAAACAGTTGAACTTCCTTGTACTACAGTTTTTGTATTGACAGCCAAATTTGTCTTTCATTCTTCAGATTGTGAATAAAGTGATTTTTACAGGGCTTCCAGCAAAGTTTTTCCTTTCATCTAAGGCTTGTAGAACCCTAGCTTATATAGCTGCTTACATGAGAAATGCAAAATCTGTATTCACCATGACTTTAGTAACAAAGGTAAAGTTTTTTAGTAGTGCCAAGGCAAGAGGAACAATCTTGGTGGTAGTACTAAGTTTTGTCAATATTGTGGTTTCCTGATTGTATTGTTGGCTTTCTCTCTGAGCATTGAGGTATACTAGAAGTAGAGCTTCTCAAACATAATATCATTACCTCATAAGCATTAACAAATCAGGCCCAAAGAGCGTAAGTCCTAGAAATTTGTTTTAAAGCAGCCCTAGTCATGGTGCTGGTGCTACCGCCTTGTTTTAGGAGCCTGCCTCCTGTCAGTATGAAACCCTCACCTGAAAAATGCCAGCCTGGACACCAAACACTGAGCCCCTTCAACAGGCACATTATTTCCCCCTGAGATCCATAAGGGAATTTAGTTTCTACTATTGTAGAGTTCTGAAAAGAGGTAAAATAGTAGTCCTTTGGTCATCCTATTTTTGCTTTCAATTTTGATATTTCAGACTGTAAAAGGCCTTGGGGGATGATAGTACATGTGGTAGCAGTAATTTTTTTGAAGCAACTGCACTGACATTCATTTGAGTTTTCTCTCATTATCAGATTCTGTTCCAAACAAGTATTCTGTAGATCCAAATGGATTACCAGTGTGCTACAGACTTCTTATTATAGAACAGCATTCTATTCTACATCAAAAATAGTTTGTGTAAGTTAGTTTTGGTTACCATCTAAAATATTTTTAAATGTTCTTTACATAAAAATTTATGTTGTGTTTTAAAATCCTTAGGGGCTTTATCTATTTTTCTAAGTCAGTTAACTGTACTTCTAAAAAAAGTATTTTGTATCTACTTTTGTAACTTCGTCAGAATAAAATATATTGAAAGCAAGAAATGACTGATTAAAGTATGTATATCAACACACATTTCTATTTAAATATAGAAACTTGAGAGTTTTGCAGATTCTGTGGATTTTTGAGTACAGCTTAAATTTGGAAAGTTATCTTTGCATATCATTTAGTAGCTAAAATGTTTTCTTAGCCGTTAAAAAAGGAAGTTCCTAAATGAACTAAGTATCATACTACTGGGACCGAACCCCTAAGAAACAAACTATGTCTCTGATAGTGGCTAAAACCCATCCCAAACAAAAATACGTGGTCTCCTTCCTGCCATGCAAATCAGGCTCCAGATCTCTTGTACATTCCTGGTTGTGCGATAGTAGAGTTAAAATTAAAAACTTAATGAATGTGGCTAAACAGTACAAGTTAACACTAATTTTATTTTTTTGAGCTGGGGTCTCTGTTGCCCAGGTTGGAGTGCAGTGGCACAGTCTTGGCTCACTGCAACCTCCGCCTCCCAGGCTCAAGTGATCCTTCTTTCTGAGCCTTCTAGTAGCGGGGACAACAGGCACACACCATCATGTCCGGCTAATTTTTTGTATTTTTTGTAAATATGGAGTTTTGCCATGTTGCCCAGGCTGGTCTCGAACTCCTGAGCTCAAGCAATCTGCCTGCCCCGGCCCCAAAGTGCTGGGATTACAGGTGTGAGCCACCACACCTGGCCTAGTTACTAGCAATCAGTTTTGGATTTCTTTTGACATTTTCAGTAGACTTAAAATCAATCACAAAAATGATAAGTTTGTAAGGGTATCTAATGGCTATTTCAAACTTTGTAAAATAATAGAATAACTCAGATAATCTTTGGGAGAGCCAGACTCTGGGTTTGAACCTGCACAGCCAGAAACAATGTCCAAACTATGCCATGGAGCTTCTCTGACAAATACCCCATTGATGTCCCCACTAGGTATGGACATTACAGCCTGCACTGTCCCCACTTAGGTGTGGACACTAGTCTGCACCTTTATCGCTGGCCACTAGATGCCAGTCTGCCACAACACCTCAAAAGCTAGCTACCTTTTTAGCTTTTTACTGGAGTCCTTTAGTAGGTTATCTCATTTAATCCATAAAGCAACCTGGAGAAAGTGACTGCAATTAAGAGGTATGCCAGAAATATTTCAGTATTCTTTAGACCATGCCACATAAGCTCAGACAAGTTCAAATAGCTAGTATATAGCAAGTCTGTTTCTCTGGATTGCATTTGCAAAAATTCTGCATGCTCAGCAGTGCTAGGAAGCTCTATAAAATGATGGTGCAACGAAAAATCATCCCAATGAGGTTAAAAAAGGAGATGCATCCAAAGAGTTCCTACCTAATGAATTTTCTGAGTTTCAGATGTATATATGTGTATGAAAGCTATGAGTGATCATGGACCAATACAACTGAAGAGAACAAGAGAATCTCGAGGTCACAGCAAAAAAAAGTAAGATGCAGAAAGGATTGACATTTCCTGGGACTAAATGCATTTCACTTTTGTTTTAATCACAAAGTAAAACTTACTTATTTGCTTCTGTCAAAAAAAAAAAAAAATACTAGAACTGTTGGAACTAATTTGGAAGCCCAAGATTCGTCAGATCGTCCTGCAAATCCTTTTCTAGAAAAGTTCAAACTTAGACCTATGGAGCGCAAATTGCTGAGCCTCTATCAGTTCTGTTCAGTAATTACAATGCATGCACTTTTTGTCCCATATTGGGCTGCTGACAGATGACTCAAGCAAGGCTCTGTCCTCAGGGAGCTTATAAACCAGTGAGAACAGACACATACATAAATTGATAGTTGTAAAAGGCCATAAGTGCAACAAAAGTTACAGGTAAGTTGCGGGCCCTAAGCTTACTGTGAGGCAGTCAGAGGTGGCTCTTTGGAGAAGACAAGGCTTGAACCTTAAAAGGTGGGCAACTGCATAACCAAACTTGTAGCATAGCTTATGAAGGGAGGTGCAAGTATAATATTACTGAAGGGTAGATTTCAGTTGGACAGGTAGATAGTGGTTAAATCATACAAAAGAACTTGAGAGTTTTGCCTGTAGGTAGGCGATGGGGAATCTGAAGGATTTCAAGTAGCAAATGTTTTCATTTCATTTTATTTTATTTATGTTTTTTAGACAAAGTCTCACTCTGTCGCCCAGGCTAGAGTGCAGTGGCTCAATCTCGGCTCACTGCAACCCCTGCCTCCTAGGTTCAAGCGATTCTCCTGCCTCAGCCTCCCAAGTAGCTGGGAGTAGAGGCATGTGCCACCATGTCTGGATAATTTTTGTATTTTTAGTAGAGATGGGGTTTCACCATGTTGACCAGGGTGGTCTTGAACTCCTGACCTCAGCTGATCCGCCTGCCTCAGCCTCCCAAAGTGCTGGGATTACAGGCATGAACCACTATGCCCGGCCTAAATGTTTTCATTTCAGATGGCTCTGACAGCCTAGGAGGAACTGAAGATAAGAGGAGGAGAATGGGGCAGAGAGTAGCTCAGAGTAACAGATAGTATGGGCAACTGTTAAATTATGGGGAAGAGGAAGGTTAGAGATAAGCAAAAGTACCTTTTTTTTTTTTTTTTTTGAGACAAAAAGCTGGTAGAAAGGCCACCGCAGCCAGCTAATGGTTTGTATTTTTAGTAGAGATGGGGTTTCGCCAATGTTGGCCAGGCTGTTCTCGAACTTCTGACCTTGGGTGATCAGTGCGCCTCGGCCTCCCAAAGTCTTTGGATTACAGGTGTGAACCACCTTGCCTGGCCAAAAGTACCATTTTAAATAAAGAAAAGGAGGAATTCTGCCAATACAAATCTGTGAGCTTGCCATGGGTCACTTGGTTACAAGTGACAAACCCATTAAACTGCCTTCAGTGCTCATTTCCAGCATTGCTGGTTTCCAGCTGTACAAAGTCAAACATTTGTCTCCTTTTATCTGTTTTCTTCTTTATCTTGCTTCATTTCCAAAGTAGTTCTCCCTGCATGGTTGCAAAGATGGTTGCCAGCAACTCCAGCCTTTCTACCAGCTTAGCAACATAGAGGAAAAAGATCAATGTCTGGGAACAACAGACACTGGGGAATACAAGACTGGGGAAGGAGGAAGGGGGCAAGGGTTGAAACTACCTATTGGGTACTATGCTCATTACCTGAAGGACGGATTCGTTCATACTCCAAACCTCAGCACCATGCAATATACCTCTGTAACAAGCCTGCATATATACCCCCGATTCTAAAATAGAAGTTGCAAAAGGAAGTCCCTCTACCAATTCTCATTGGTCTGGCTCAGACCATGGGGCCGACCCTAAACCAGTCTCTGATTAGCCAGACTTGGGTCCTGTTTCCATTCCTAAAGCTGGGGATAGGTGCGCCTCATCTAAACCATGCTGTCTGAATAGCAAGGGAATGGTTCACCATTACTACCCTGCTTGAGAAAAAATTTTTTTGACAGTTTAAATTGCATCATTGACAGCAATGAAGAAAACTTAGCAAATCATCTCTAAACATTTTAAAAGAATGAAGCAGAAAATGTAAGACAGGCTAGTAATTGATCCAAAGGAGAAATTCTGAAGGCCAGAACATAGGAGTCAGTTAATACTGTAATAAATAAATTAGACAATATCCATATATAACAACTATAGGTCCAATCCATCCAAGTGCAACGCTGAAGGGACGTATTGATTGCATAGGCCAGAATGTTGGCAAAAAGCTGGTAAATCCTGCAGGGTGCCACCAGACCGCGTGCTGCAAACAAATAACAGCTAGAGAGAGGAGAGGCTTGGTTGAATTTCGGCCTTGACTGGTCTGAAGACTCCAGAGGCGGGACGAATTTGCGGACAGTTCTACCCCATCCCACATGGCGTCAGCTTCCCTTCCATTCTCATGACTCCATGGTCCATGGCTCCAACCTGGGCCTCTGTTAGGCTGTGTCCTGTGGCACCTTAAACTCAGGCAAATTAAGAACTGTTCGTGGACTCTGCTCAGCCCCCACCTAACCCTCCATCCAAGTCATTGTCCAAGCCAGAAACTGGAGTCATCTCAGATACCTTCCCACTCACACCTCCACATGCAGTCGCTCGATTCCATTCACCTCCCAAGTGTCTCAGTTCATTCTTCCATCCCTCCCGCCACTGGTTTAGTTAGGCCCCTCCATTCTCACCTGGACCATCGCGGTAGCCTCGGAGCTTCTGACTGTGTCTCTGGTTGCAGCCCCTACACGCTCTCTTCCTTACAGGAGCGGAGCGATCTTTCTCAAGCGCGAATCAAATCCTTCCACGAGTCCCCGCACCTGGAGCGAAGGCCAAACTCCTCAGCTTAGAAGCTAGACTGCCAGAGTAGGGAGTGGGAATGGAAAAGTACATCAGGAGCACGAGGGGTATTCGGATGAGGGAAGGCCAGTATAGGGCGCCGAGACCTTGGAGTGTTTCTGAGCTGAGGAGGAATGAGACTTTCACGCGGGCAAGGGGACCCTATCCATGAAACAGGCCCTGGGGAGACTGAAGGAGAGCGGCGCGAGCGAAGGCAGAGGGCGGGGCCCCGAGGTCGGCAGGCGCTGCAGTGTCGGGGGTGGCGAGTCAGCCAGGGCCAGGGGATGGCGGGGTGGGGCCGGAGCCAGGCGACCGGAGGCCTCCGGGGCGGGGCCGGGAGGCTGACGGCCTCCGGGCGGCAGGGGGCGGCCTCTCCCACGGCGGCGGCTCTCGGTCCCCCGCTCCGCGTCTTTCGGGCATACAGTGACCTCGGGCGGCGGGTCACGTCGGCCGGGCATGGCTGCATGGAGCCCGGCCGCGGCAGCGCCTCTCCTCCGCGGGATCCGCGGGGTGAGCGTGGGCAGGGTCGGGGCTGCTCTCCCCGGGACGGGAGCTGCGGAGGGACCGCGGGGCCGGCGGCTGTCGGGGCTTGAGGACTGGCTCCCGGAGGGCGCGCGCGGCACTGGCAATGGGGGGCTCCTCTTCCTTTCTCTCATTCATTCTTTCATTCATTCATTCACTCAGCGACAACGGCATTCGAAATTTCAAGCTCTGGCGCGCTCTAGGGGAGCTCCCGAGCTGGGTGGAGGTTGGAGGTCAGGCGGACAGACACATGAACAGTCATAATACTGCGGGCACAGGAAAAAAAAAGGATTGGTTTACCGAGCAGAAGACAGGAGTCATAGCCCAGAGTCAAGGCGTGGGTGCGAGGGACTGCAGCGGGGCCGGGGCCTTGGGAAGGTCGACTGGGCCTCTGACCTTGATCCTCCTCCAAATCCCACACTACCGGAGCAGAACCCAAGCAGGGGGCACTTCCCACGCGCTCTCCTAATCTCTCCCCCTTTCTGAACCATCCTTTGCTTCAGCTCATACCATTCTTTCTCTTAACTTTCATTTTCCTTCTCCCCTGGTTCTGAACCTGCCTGCCCTGTGCATGAAGAGAAGTTCTTCCACTGCGGTGACTTTCAGCGTGGACAGTGATCATCTGGGGATGTCAGTTGATTGTTCCACTAAAGGCCGCTGCCCACAGATCCGCTAAGATGAAAGGCTTCTCCCAAGGATTCTGCAACGCTCACCTCTCTCACCCCTTAGTAGCTGCCGATTCTGTCTGCCATCTGGTTACTCTCTGCCTTTACCCTCAAGATTCTGCCCCCAGAAGCAGCTCCACCCCACCCTCACTCCTGGCAATCCTGTCCAGCCTCTCAACATCGAGTTTCTGTCCCTCCACACAGCAGGCAGACAATCACACTCTGGACCTTTCTCCTGTCTTGCATTTCTGTCCCTAATTGACTAGTTCTTCCCCTGCTCATTCATTCATCCAGCACCAAGTGCCTCTGAGGGCCTGCCCTGGGGTCAGCTCTGGGATGCTGCCGGACTCATTCCTGGCCTATAAGACCAGTGGTGAGAGAGCCAGTGCACAGCTCATTTTAAAGGAGGTGCTCTGAGATTCTGTGACACAGGACCCTGCTCTGAGCTATCAGGAAGGACTGAGGGGTAGAGGGGTGGGACCTTCAGCACCAGCACCCATGAACGGCCCTAGTGTCCTCCAACCTGTCATCCACGTCTAGTCAGGGACCAGTGCCCGGTGCTTCCATCATTGTAATGCCTCTTACTTGGGCATCTCTCCTGACTCGCTCCAGAAGGCACTGTTTCCTGCAGGTTACTTTGGTCCCATGAGCCTGGGTTCTATCACCTGGAGTCCCATCTCCTGTCCCATACAGTCCACAATCTTTAGCCTGGCATTCAAGGCCTGCCACACTCCATTCCCAGTCTGCCTTTTCAGCATGCACTCAGCCCAGCCAAGTGACTGCCGACCTGCTTTTCTGCTCCTTCACTACTAACTGTTGAGACGTGTTCCATCAGAAACATGGGCTCCCCTGGCCGGGCGTGGTGGCTCATGCCTGTAATCCTAGAATTTTGGGAGGTTGAGGTGGGTGGATCACCTGAGGTCAGGGGTTTGAGACCAGCCTGGCCAACATGGTGAAACCTCATCTCTACTAAAAATACAAAAATTTGCCGAGCGTGGTGGTGGGTGCCTGGAATCCCAGCTACTCAGGAGGCTGGGGCAGGAGAATCGCTTGAACCCGGGAGGTGGAAGTTGCAGTGAGCTGAGATTGTGCCACTGCACTCCAGCCTGGGTAACAGAGCAAAACTCTGTCTCAAAAAAAAAAAAAAAGGAAACACAAACACAGGTTCCCCCATGGTAGCCATTGGGGAAGGGGTGTTGTTGCCAATGGTAAACAACCTACAGATACTCCTTCTTCAGGTTCTTTCATAGAATTCTGACTTTGCTCCCAGTGAGAAGGAGTGCATGATGAAGGATAGCTGGCTAATTGAGCAGTGGGCTGTGAGGTCACATCCCACTGGGGAGGGCGAGACATGTTAATCAGGCCTAAAGGCGAGGGAGTGTGGAATTTGGCCCCACCATCCAGGGCAGTGGATGGCCTAGTGGTATGGATCTGAGGCAGGCTATCCAGCTTTTCTGGCTCTGTATCTTACCGAATTCAACCTTGGGCACATTACTGTGTGCCTCAGTTTCCTTACCTATAAAACTATCGGCATAATAGTGTCACAACATTATATGGAAGCAAACATCTCTTGAATTAGGTTTGGGGCCTCTTGTCTCTGGAGTCAAATTGAGTTATTAACAATCATCCTGTCCCCGCCAATAAAAGTTTATTCTGTGTTTTGGGGCACTTACATGGACTCCTGATACCACAGAGCCCCTCTGACATAACCCATGGCTGTGCTGGCGAGGGCTCAGGGGCCTGCCTTGCAGGGGGAATGGCAGGCGGGCCTGCACAGTGGCCCAGCTCAGGGGCAACAGCATCTTCCTCTGCCCTGACCTTCCTCTCTGTTCTGTGGCAGCTTCCACTTCACCATCGGATGTTTGCCACTCAGACTGAGGGGGAGCTCAGAGTGACCCAAATTCTCAAAGAAAAGTTTCCACGAGCTACAGCTATAAAAGTCACTGACATTTCAGGTAAGGTTTCTCTCACTCTTCCTACGGCGCTTGGATAAGATTTTGCCCTTTGGAAGGACAGAGGGTCAGGGGCTTGGAGGAGGGGGCTTGCTGCTGGTGAGTGGCTTCTCAAGATGTGTTGCTGCTGGACAGGTGGAGCTCGGCTGCCCCCACCTCATGGGATGGCAGTCAGGATTCAGAAATATCAGAGGGAAACTGAGGACAAGGCGCAGCTGGGAGGACTCAAGGTTGCCAGCCTGGCTCAGCTCAGACAAGGTCCCTCTCAGTCACCCTAGAGCTGAGGTCCACAGTCTGTCATTTGACTTTGAATAGGTTTTGCTCTAATTTTCCCCCATTCTTCTGACACCCTAGGATATCAGAGCTGGAGTGGACCCCAGAAAGATTTTCTTCAGCTGCTTTACTTTCCCTAAGAGGAAATGAGCCCAGAGAGGCCAAAGGAATTGCCTAGCTCCTCATAGGGAAGAGACAGTGGAACTGGAACCAGAACCGGGACTCAGGGGAGACTCTGTCCTAAGCCCAGTTACCAGCCCCAGCCAAGCGCTGTCCTTCTCAGGTGGCCACTGGCACCTAGAAGTTCAGGCTGGCAGTGTGTTAGGAGCAGGCTGGAGAAGCAACTTCTGCATCCACAGGATGGGGAAGATAGGCCCTTTATCCACACACACACACACACGTACACACAGAACGGCCCGTGGCGTGGGCCGCTGGATAGGCATCAGTCTGAATCTCTCCATACCCAGAGGCAGCCTTTGCCACTCAGCATTGCCATGAGGGCTCACTGACTTTACTGAGAACATAACATTTCCAAGGATTGAGGAGAAAGTTTAGAAAGTAGATTTTATTCTGGAAACCACAGGAAATAAATCAATCTAAAGATCTGCTGGGGTTTTGGAGCAGTGGCTCATGCCTGTAATCCCAGCACTTTGAGAGGCTGAGGCAGGTGGATCACGAGGTCAGGAGTTCAAGACCAGCCTGGCCAACATGGTGAAACCCCCCCGTCTCTACTAAAAATACAAAAATTAACTGGGCGTGGTGGCACACGCCTGTAGTCCCAGCTACTCAAGAGTCTGAGGCAGGAGACTTGCTTGAACCCGGGAGGCGGAGGCTGCAGTGAGCCAAGATCATGCCACTGCACTCCAGCCTGGGTGACAGAGCGAGACTGTGTCTCAAAAAAAAAAAAAAAAAATCTGCTGGGGCCAGGCGCGGTGGCTCATGTCTGTAATCCCAGCACTTTGGGAGGCTGAGGCAGGTGGATCACCTGAGGTCAGGAGTTCGAGACCAGCCTGGCCAACATGGTGAAACCCCATCTCAACCAGAAATACAAAAAAAAAAAAAAAATTAGCCAGGCATGGTAGCAGGCACCTGTAATCCCAGCTACTCAGGAGGCTGAGGCAGGAGAATCGCTTGAACCTGGGAGGCAGAGGTTGCAGTGAGCTGAGATTGCACCACTGCACTCCAGCCTGGGCGACAAGAGCGAAACTCTGTCTCAAAAAGAAAAAAAAAATCTGCTGGAATGGTACATCAGGTGAGGGCTCTGCAGGAGTCTTGGGGCAATGCTGAGGCCTTGATGTTACCAGGTCCTGAACTTGCCCCAGGCCCAGGGCAGAGTTAGAGCTTGACTCAGCTGTGGCTCTGCGCAGTCCTGGACAGAGTGCAGAAGGGGAGTTGAGGCTGAGAACCTGGGTTTAACCAAAACTTGGACTCCTAGAGCACATTATAAGAAAAACAGAACAGGCCAGGCGCGGTGGCTCACGCCTGTAATCCCAGCACTTTGGGAGGCCGAGGCGGGTGGATCACGAGGTCAGGAGATCGAGACCATCCTGGCTAACACGGTGAAACCCCGTCTCTACTAAAAATACAAAAAAAAAATTAGCTGGGCATGATGGTGTGTGCCTATAGTCCCAGCTACTCAGGAGGCTGAGGCAGGAGAATGGTGTGAACCTGGGAGGCGGAGCTTGCAGTGAGCCCAGATCGTGCCACTGCACTCCAGCCTGGGCGACAGAGCGAGACTCCATCTCAAAAAAAAAAAGAAGCAGAGCAAAGCCTGTTGAGTACGTTGCACCTCTCACACAATGGCCTGGCTCTGTAAATCATGCAGGGGACATATTCTTGCCCATGTTATTTCATGCTAGAGCTGTGTGTTTATCATCAGTCATCAGCACCAGCTCTCCAGCCAGGTGGAGGAAAGCTCAGGCAGGGGGTGGATGGCCCACCAAGCTCTGCCTCGAGGGCTTCACCAAAAAGTTCTCCCCCCAAAAGCCAGGATGAAATCCTGGATGCTGTGCTGTGGACCCAGCAGTGCCAGAGACAGCCCCGAGCAGCTCCATGCATAGCATGTTTGCTGTGTCCCTGGCTCTCATGCTCCCCTGGTTCTTTCCTTTCTTTGGACAGTATTACACAGTTTTCAAACCAAATTGTAGTGTATTTTTGCACTTCAAAAACACTGATTGTTGGTCCTTTGGAAGCTGGAACGCTGAAATTCCGTCCTTCTCATCCTCTTCCGTGGCGTTTATTGGCCTAGTGAAAGGAAACACTCTACACTCCCTAGGTTGTCCATGCTTTGTGCCTTATCTTTCCTGCCCACAAGTGGTAACCCTGGGTGGTGCAGCTGCCTCGCAAAAGGAAGAGCACATTTTGGATTGTGGCAGCCTGTCAGGAGGAGCATGTGGTCAGATTGGAAGCCATGATCTTTTCCTAATGGTCTTAGCAACTTTCCTTTGTGCTGAATGATAATATTCAGACCTTTGGATTGTACAGTACTTCAAGGATATATGGGACCATGGCTGCCATGACTTAATAATTGAAATGCTTTTGAATCATGTTTATTTTAGGAGGTTGTGGGGCGATGTATGAAATTAAAATTGAATCAGAAGAATTTAAGGAGAAGAGAACTGTCCAGCAGCACCAGATGGTTAATCAGGTCAGTAGAGGCAACAGTGCCCCTTGCCACTGGCCTTCAGCCTCCAAAGGGGCCTGCCAAGCAGGGATGGTGGTTTTTGCCGTCAGTTGCAGGAGAGAATAATGCAGTACTGCAATCACGAAACAGGACTCAAGACCTGAGAAAAATCGAATCTGGGAGTATCTGCATTGTGGCAAATAGGAATTTTATTCAAAATTGAAGACAGGCCTCCCAATAGTGATTTTGTATGTCCTCGTATAATGCTACCTATGTTTACTGTTATTGTCACATATTGATGAGTATATCTAAACACAGACACTGCTAAAAGATACATGTTTTTGTAGATCTGAAGAGGGGTTTTTTGGCCTCTCTTTGGGACTGCTTTACAGATGAGTCAGTTGATGCATGGCATGAGTGAGAATGGCTGCAGCTGCCCCAGACCCAATGACAGAACATTTGGGTTCTGGAACATCACGTTCAACCAGCCTAAGGCTCAGTTTAAATATTATCCATATTTATTTTAATTTGGAATTTATACCAACTTTGACCCTTGTACCTGTACCTATGAATTTGCCCCCTCACTGGGTGTGTTTGGCATCGTTCTGGAAGGTCTTGCCATTGTGAACTAGTGTTATTTTTGTAAAGCACAGCACTGGTAATGAGCGTCTCTTCGGTGGCCTCTCATGCATTGAGTTCAGGTGTCCTAGACTGCTGTTCACGCATTTCCCCCCACCCTTCTCTGCGTGCACCCTCCCAGCCGGCCTCTGCCCGCTGGTCTCTCTCTTTCTCTATCTGGGCCTTTGCCCAGATTGGACCTTCTGCCTGGGTTGCCCTTCCTCCCGTCCTCCACTCAGCTCAAATGCTGCCTCCCCTCCCTCCCCAGCAGGGAATGAATGCCGTTCCCCCACCCTCCCCGGCCCCCTTTTTTGGCTGTCGGTGTTTTCCGTCTTGTGTCCTGAAAACGGACATCTCTGCTGTCTGACCCTGCAACCTGTCAGCCCTTTGTGGACCAGTGCCCTTTGGGATCCATCTTTGTGTTTCTCATGGAACGTAGCCCTTTGCAGTGGATGTGACCCCTACAGCCCTAAGGCATGCTGGTGGTCTGCTGGGTGCTCCATCACTGAGCCCTCCCGGAAACTCTTGCAGTCCCATGTGATCTCTGGGGTCAGAATCAAGGCAGAAGACAAGACAGGGAAGACCTGGCTGGCCAGATGATCCCCAACCCGTGGCACTTTGGGTTTTATTCTCAGATCTGTACAAGCCACCTGGTGTGACTGGACCCATAGGTGCTGGTAATTTGAGTGTGTCCCTTGGCCTGAAACCACAGTTACAAGTGGTTAAGGAAGCAGTTTCTGGAATTGGACTTCCCACTTTCAAATCTGGGCTTTGCTACTTTCTAGCCATGTGACCTTGAGCAAGTTTTTCAACCTCACCCTTTGCCTCAGTTTCCTAATTGAGAGTAACAGTACTTGCTTCAAAGTGTTGCTGTGAGGATTCGTGATAAAGTACACGTTGACCACTGACAACACTGCCCGACACATAGTAAGCCTTCCATAAATGTGACCGCCATCACCATCATTGTCATCTCCAACACTGGAAGGAACCTGCACCAGTCTGGGGTGGGGAAGGGCTGTGATTCCCACAGTTTGGGGGAGTGTCACCTCACGGTCTTGGGATTAAGGTGTCTTCTGGCCCCCTATAGCAACATGTGCCTCTCCTCACACTTCCTGAGTAGACAGCCCAGTCACTTGTCTTTCATTCCCCCTCGAAAGCAGGCTTACTGCAGGACGGGGCTGTGTCCCCCACACCTAACAAAGGACCTGGCACATGGAAGGAGCCCAGTCAGTATTTCTTGAGAGTTTGCAGAGAGTGAGGAGAGTTGGCTTGTGTTTTCTTATTGGCTTACCCATGGAAATTATGTTTTAGTATCTGAAAGGCATTCTGTTTTGGAGAACTCACATCCTGACATTGGGGCACTTTTTAAAAATATATACTTCTTTTTTTTCCCTCCCACAGAGTATCACTCTGTCACCCAGGCTGGAGTGCAGTGGCGCTATCTCGGCTCACTGCAACCTCTGCCTCCTGGGTTCAAGCAATTCTTCTGCCTCAGCCTCCCAAGTAGCTGGGACTACAGGCGCCCGCCACCACACCTGGCTAATTTTAGTATTTTTAGTAGAGATGGGGTTTCACCATGTTGGCCAGGCTGGTCTCGAACTCCTGACTTCAGGTGATCCACCTGCCTCGGCCTCCCAAAGTGCTGGGATTACAGGCATGAGCCACCATGCCCAACCTTAAAAATATACATTTTTATATTTATATAGAGATGGGGTTCCACTATGCTGCCCAGGCTGGTCTTGAACTCCTTGACGATCCTCCTGCCTCGGCCTCCCTAAGTGTTGGGATTACAGGCGTGAGCCACTGTGCCCAGAGCAGCTGCATCCTGAGTTATTCTAGAGGCCTCTCCTCTGCCCCCAGCCAGAACAGCCCTTCTGGCTCAGGACTTGGGGGGGTCATGCAGCTCCACACTGGATGTCTGCAGGCAGCTGACATGAGGGGGTCCCCTGAGCCTGGCCACAGTACATTCTTAGGGGGCTGACACTTGTGTTAAAATATATGGACTTGGTCATAGGCAATTTTAGATGATTTAAGTCTGGAGATGTTGGCTTTGACAGTCGCATGAGAAGAATGAAAATGAAAATCTTCAGGAACAAGTCTGTTGGCCGGCAGGGTCTGAGCCGGGACCTGGAGCTGCCCTGCTCAGGACAGCTGTTGGGAATGGGGTTCTGACAGGCACTGCCCTAGGAGGAGGCAGAGACCTGGAATCAAGGGGAAGGCAAGGTGGTAACTGGACTCCACTCCCAGGGCCAGCTGGTCTCTTCAGGAGTGAGGTGGGGGTGGGGTAGGTGCCCCATCCAGATGCTCTCATGCCCAGGCTGTTTGGGTGGGGGCCTGGTGTCCTGACGGGGTGAAGCTTGCCTCATCTATTTTGCCTACTCACCCTATGCGTAGTAGTGTTCATCCTGGTGCTGTAGAGTCAGAATTTTCTGCCCAAAAGGCCTGAAAAGGTCGCCCAACCCATCCGATACTGGCATCCCTCCTGAGCTTCCCATCAGACTGTCCCTGCGGGATTCCCTGGAGGGGGCGCCCCCTGTCGGCACCCTCAGGAATGGACTCGTTCCTCTGGGACCCTGCTGCGCGGGGCTCAGCCTCTCCCAGGGCCCAGTGCGTCAGCCTTCTCTTGGGAAATACTTACTGGGCATTTGCTGTGGGCCACGCCCTAGGAGGCCTAGATGTTGAGGGTTTTGTACCAGGAGCACCTCCCTACCTGTCCTCCTGCCATCCTGGGGAGGTGTCAGCAAGGGTAGAGTAGGTAGGTAGCCACGGTGATCACTGAGTTGCCTTTTGAGGTGGACAGAGGTGAGATTTGAGCCTCATATTGGCAAATATTGCATGAGGCATTGACCACAGGTGCCCAGCGTCGTGCCTGCCACGTGGAAGGCAGTTGCTAAACAGCTGTTGCCGTCTCCCTGCCTCCGGCCTCTTTCCAGCTTAGGGGATTGCCCTCCCCTAAGGCGCCTCCACCAATGTCTTTCCCCTGCTCAGAGCCTTTACGTGGCTCCCCTGGTTGCCCAGAATCCAGTCCAGTCTTCCTAGCCTGGGATTGCCCATTCTTCATGTGATCTGCCTCAGTCTCCCTGACATGTGCCTACCTCAGTGAATCACGGGAGCTTCCCAGCCTCTCCTCACTTTGCTGTCCTGGGGCAGATGCCCTCTCACTCTTGCCTGCTCCACCTCTGGCTCCAGCTCCAGGGCTGCCTCCTGTGTGTGGCCCTTGTGCGTCCACCCCAGTCACCAGTGCAGTAGCTCACCTCGAACACCGGAAGCAGGGCTGTGCTGGCTTGAGTCTGGCAGTCCTCTGCTGCCCACATTCAGCCCATTTGTGTTGGACTTAATGCTACTTTCTCTTTCATTACTTTCCCACGCCTTTTCCTCTGTGTCCCCAGCACCTACTATAGTGCTGTGGGCATAGCAGGTGCTTAAGAATGGTTATCCAAGCTGCATCTTATTACCCATGGGACTTCGGCCAAGTCACTTCCCCCAGCAGGGCCCCAGTTTCCTTAACTGTAGAGTGACTCAGGTGATCTCTAAGACCCTGTGTGGCTGTAAGGGACTGTAGTGTGTTTTGGGAAGCCCTCAGGGGCTGCACAGAGAGCAGGGAGAAGGCATCAGGGAGGGGGAGTGCGCAGGGCCTGAGTGGGTGAAGCCCAGAAGGTTCCTCTGTCCAGGGTCAGTCACATGAAGGTGTGACTGGGCCCTCACCCAGCCAAGGTGGATGTAAGGAGGAGAGGCTGGTTGTGGTCCAGGCACAGACACAGTCTCTAGGGAGCATTCCACGCCTGCAGAGAGCAAGTGGCCCAGGGACCTTCGCCCAGTGATTATATGAGGCTTTTTCCAGGGACATTTCTGCCTGTCCGCAGAGTTGAGGGCCCTGCACTTGATTGTGGAGCTGGAGGGTGTGCAGTGTAGGCCAAGTGGGGCAGCTCATTGTCCCCCAACACAACAGGAGCTCCCGGATCAGGGCAAGTCAGGAACATGATGGAAACCAGGTATGGCCAGGACCTCAGGATACCTGGGTTCATATCCTGATTCCATTACTCGCTTGTTTGCTGACTTTGGACAAGGAGTAGACTCTATTTTTTTTTTTTAATTAAATAAGGGGATGGGACTAGATTGTGTCTAAGGATCTATAAACCTGACCACATATATTAGGATTCTTTATATTGTAAGAGACAGAGACCAAATTAAAATTAGCATAAGCAAACAAAGGGAATTAATTGGCCCATGTAACAAAATTATCTGGTTTCTGGCATATCTAGATTCCTCTCTCTCTCTGAGCTTTCAGCTTCTTTCCCTGTGTTGGTCTCCTTTTCTCCTGCTAAAGATGGGCTTTCTCTCCTTGGTGGGAAACACAGTCCATGGCCACCTCCAATTAATTTCATAGCATGTTGGCCCAAGAAACAAGGCTCCACTCTCAGAAATCCCAAGGGAGATTCTAAGTGGCCCAATTTGGGTCATGTGCCACCTCGGTCCAATCATAGGCTGGGCCAGTGGCACATAATGACCTCAATATCAGACCAATTGGTGGTTCCACCAGAATTATACAATAGAGTGGAAAAGGAATTATTCCCCAAGAGAAGGAGATCACTAAAGAGACTAGAAAAGAAAAATGTCCACTCTAGTATGATTATCAGATTTTGGCCTAGTATAAAAGGACCTTATTTCTTCCTCTGTACTGATTATAAACTTGAGCGGTCCAAGCCCCACTCTGATTCTGTAACCTCACTTTCTCCCAGCACTACAGGGGCCAAATATCTATTTGACTCTGGTAGTTCCTTCAGATTTGGGCTCTGACACCATTTGTAGCCTTAAAACAAGTCCCATAATTCCTTTGAAACTTTATTTCCTGCTCTGACCATTGGGGAATTTGTGCTAATTGGTATGATTTTAAAGAACTGCTCATTTTAAAGAATGCTTGATGCTCGAAATAACAAAACACAGGAAACAGCCTAAAAGTTCGCTAGGGGACAGGTTGAAAAGTTATAATGCATTCATATAATGGAATACTATGCTGATGCAAAAAAGAATCAGGACACCCATATATGCCTAACATAGAAAGATCTCCAAGATAGATGTTTGGGGGAAGAGCAAAGTGTAGAGCAGGGGTGTCCAGTCCTTTGGCTTCCTTGGGCCACAATGGAAGAAGAATTCTCTTGGGCCACACATAAAATATACTAACACTAATGATAGCTGATGAGCTTTAAAAAAAATTTCAAAAAAAATCTCAAAATGTTTTATGAAAGTTTACGAATTTATATTAGGCCACATTCAAAGCTGTCATGGGCCGTGGGTTGGACAAGCTTGGTGTAATGTGTTTGAAATTTTAACCATTTGCGTTTTAAAAGGTCATGGGGTGAAATATATTAGCTTGAATATGCCTGGTGAATATGCATTTTTAAGTCCCTGTAAAGATACACAAGAAACTGGCCAGGTGCAGTGGCTCACGCTTGTAATTCCGGCACTTTGGGAAGCCAAGACAGGCAGATTGCTCCAGTCCAGGAGTTCAAGACCAGCCTAGGCAATATAGTGAGACCCTGCCTCTACAAAAAATAAAAAAATTAGCCAGGCATGGTGGCATGTGCCTGTAGTCCCAGCTACTAGGGAGGCTGAAGCAGGAAGATTGTTTGAGCCCAGGAGGTGGAGTTTGCAGTAAGCCGATATCGCGCCACTGCACTCCAACTTCGGCGCTAGAGCGAGACCATGACTTAAAAAAAAAAAAAAAAAAAGATACACAAGAAACTAACAACAGTTCTTTTGGGAACAAGGGTGGAAACTGGGGAGATGGACAGGTATAGGAGGGAGACTTCCCTGAATGCCTTTTTGTACCTTTGAATCTTTAAATCATGTTAGATATTATTGATTTAAAAAAAATTGTTTTTCAAAAAAAGGAAAAATTGCTTAAACAAAGCACATACAAAGTCTCCTTCAGATGCAGAGCTGTATAAAAATACTCTCAGAGAATTACTGTAATCAACGTCAAATACACAAAAACTGATGATGCTGTTTTCTTACTTAGGCACTAAAAGAAGAAATCAAAGAGATGCATGGATTGCGGATATTTACCTCTGTCCCCAAACGCTGACCACGCCCTGGCTGCATAGATGCTGCTGCTTAAGACCTTGGATGAACTTCACTGACATCATTCTTCCCTAAGCAGTCACCAAAAAATTTATATATTTTGCTCATATACATTTCCATATTATAATTATAGAAGATGTATAATCTATTTAGATGTTAATTAAAGGAAACAAACAACTGAAGCTTTTGAAGGGTCATTAGTAATGTTTCAGGTTCCTTTATTTTGGCCAAAGGGGTCTTGTCTTTAGACAGTTCTGTCCTGCTACAGAGAGAGAATGCAGTGCCAGCTTTTTGTCTTTTGAAGAGGTTTTCCTGTTTCTTCCCCTCCACGAAACTGCTCAGGCCTCTTCATCTTACTGAAACAAAGAAAAGATCCTTTACTATTGCTGTTCTTTTCGTTTATCATTCTTTTCTTCCCCCTCTAAACTTCTTACATGAATGATCTTGGACCCTCAATTTCTTATGCTCTGAAATGGACTCTGAAAATTTGGGGGTGCCAGGATCCGGGTTCTTTTCCTGTGTTTGAAGATCCTCCACCCTTTGATTCTTGGTAGGAGGCAGAGCCCACCTCCCACGACAGAAGCTGAAAAGGCTTACTTTCCCTGCCTCCCTCACAGCTGAGGCACAGGCAGATATTCCAGACTCAGCCAATCAGATGGACCTGCCCTGAACTTGGGAGCAAGTCACACCGAGGAGCAGGGACAGTGGGACATCCATTCCTGCTGCAGCCATGGCTACAACATCTGGTGTTCTGGATGGTGGTAGTGGCAGCTGATTGAGTACTATAAGCTGCTCTCTCTGGAGTCCATGGTGGTGGTCACGGTGTCTGGGTCTGCAGTGTGATTTGGGCTCCAGCCACGGAGGCTTCCTTGTCCCTGTTTTCAGCAGCTGGCTCGCCAGTTTTCTCAGACATCTTGTGACTGCCCCCACAGACTTTCACTAAATTATTTTCTGCTCCCATCAGCCAGCACCCATGTTACCATGGCAGTGGGAGGTTGACCATCCACTCCTCTCTCACACTCCTTTGCCTTTCATGGAACCGACCACCAGAGAAGTTAGGGGTCACTATTGGTTCTGAAGGTACCTCCCTAAGAAATGAGGACATGAAGATATAACAACCTTGGGCCCCAGATTTTTGAGGGCAGAAAAAAATTTCAAATATTCTGTTCATACATTGTGCCCCCGTTTTGTAATTTTAAAATATTCTCTATCTGCACAGTGGGGTTGGGAAGGATTGGTACCTGCCAGGGCAGAACTGCCTCTTACAAGCAGTAGAATCACTCAGTTGTATCAGAGCTGAGAAGGTTGGGACAAAACAGAGAACTGTGCCTGAAGGCCCGAGCCACCTCTGAAACAGCTAGACACCCCAGGGACGGCTTTCAGGTGATACGGTGAGGAAACACCCAAGCTTGGAATCCCAGAGGCCAGCAGGACGGCAGTGGTCAGTGAGAATGGAGAGACCTCAAAATTAGACACACTGATTCCCTGCGTGGAACCTATTTGTCTTTCTCTTAAGAGTGGGCTCAATATGGTGATCTTCTAAAGAACAGAATAGGCCAGGCGTGGTGGCTCACACCTGTAATCCTGGCACTTTGAGAGGCCGAGGGGGGGGGATCACAAGGTCAGGAGTTTGAGACCAGCCTGACCAACATGGTGAAACCCCGTCTCTACTGAAAATACAAAAATTAGCCAGGCATGATGGCACGCGCCTGTAATCCCAGCTACTCAGGAGGCTGAGGCAGGAGAATCGCTTGAACCCGGGAGGCAGAAGTTGCAGTGAACCAAGATTGTGCCACTGCACTCCAGCCTGGGAGACAGAGCAAGACTCCGTCTCAAAAAAACAAACAAAAAAACAGAATAAAGTGAAAGTGACCTGCAGTTTCAGAGAATACATCATGTAGGGCACAGTGGCTTTCTCCTTGCTCTCTCCCTTGGATTGTTTGCTCTGAGGGAAGGCAGCCATGTTGTGAGGACACACAAGCAGCCTACAGAGAGGTCCATGTGGTGAGAAACTGAGGCCTTTTACCAACAGCCAGTCAAACAGACCTGCCAACAGTCAGCACAGAATGAGGCCTTCTGCCAGGACAAGAGCCATGTGGGTGAGCCACCTTGGAAGTGGATCCTTCAGCCACAGTCAAGCCATCAGAAGATTGCAGCCCCAGCTGGCATCCTGACTGCAGGTTGAGCCACAGCCACTCAGCTGAGCCACTCCCCAATTTCTGACCAAGAGAAACTGTGAAATACATATATGTGTTTGTTGTTTTAAGCCAGTGTTTGGGGTTACATTTTTATGCAGCAATTGATAATTAATATGTTTGTTCATTACTGAAGGAACACGGGGGACTCTCACTTATTGACAGACGGGTTGAAGAGCCAAACTTCGGGCTGGGCACGGTGGCTCACGCGCGTAATCCCAGCACTTTGGGAGGCTGAGGTGGGTGGATCACTTGAGGTCAGGAGTTCAAGACCAGCCTGGCCAACATGGTGAAACCTTGTCTCAACTAAAAAAAAAAAAAAAAAAAAATACAAAAATTAGCCAGGCATAGTGGCACATGCCTGTAGTCCCAGCTACTCGGGAGGCTGAGGCAGGAGAATCTCTCGAACCTGGGAAGCAGAGGCTTCAGTGAGCCAAGATCACGCTACTGCACTCCAGCCTGGATGACAGAGCCAGACTCCGTATCAAAAAGAAAAAAAGAACAAAAAAAAAGAAAAGAAAAAGAGCCAAATTGCAGAAAGGACACGGGTCCAGCTAAGAGTCAGGAACACCAGTGCCACTGGGTCTCCCCTTCATCTGCTGTCCCTTCCTCTCTACAGATCAGCTTTATTATCTCTCACTCTAGATTGGCATCTGCCATACAGTGGTGACTTGAATGCCAGTACCTCTTAATTTATATATTTTAATGTCCAGTTCAGCCAGATGTGGTGGCTCACATCTGTAATCCCAACACTTTGGGAGGCAGAGATGGGAGAATTGCTTGAGCCAAGGAGTTTGTGACCAGCCTGGGCAACAAGTAAGACACTGTTTCTACAAAAAATTAAAAAAATGCCAGTTGTGGTGACATGCACCTGTAGCCCTAGCAACTCTGGAGGCTGAGGCAGCAGGATCACTTGAGCCCAGGAGTTTGAGGCTGCAGTAAGCTGTGATTGTGTCATTGCACTCAGCCTGGATGGCACACAGTGAGGTCCTGTTCAGGCCGTGGGAAGAGCAGACTTTGTTTTCAAGTCCCCAGGACGGCCTCTGTTTGGCTCATCTTGAATTAGGAGCCACCTGGCCTAACGCGTTGTAAGAGCAAACTTTCTTTTGGAGTTCCCAGGAAGGGCTCTGATTGGCTCATCTTGAATTAGGAGCCACCTGGACTAACCAGGTGGGGTCCAGGGGGCATATAAAATTGCAGCCTCTAGCTGGACTCTGGCTTGAAGTGGAGAGAGAAGGCGTTACCAAAAGAAGAGGGGGTTCTATTCTTCAAAGAAGGGCTGGGACAAAGCAGCAGATGTTCTTGACTGGAGGAAAAGATAAGTGTGGCTTTGTGGGCCAAGCCGCCTAGGAACCTCCGGACACCAGAAGACAGGGGACTCTTCCTTCTGCTTCACCCCACCCGCAACCAGAGAACTCTTCGGGCTTGTGAAATGTGTAATCCCCTAAATGCTTCTAAATCTGGAAACAAATAGGGCCCCCCCACCCAGTTGTTCTTCCCCCCAAATTAAAAGGAAAGTTGGGAGAGGAATCACAGGTTTTTTTAATTGACGGATTAGAAAACGAGAAGAACGTGTTTAATCCCAGTGGCTAGAGTATAGCATTGCATCGGATGTAGCCACCTCCTAGCTTTTTGATTAAGTGTTGCTTGTGGAAAGTGCTAGGTTCACATGAGAGGTCTTCTGAGCTCAGTGTCGTTTTAAAAACAGTGTGCGGTTTTCCAGTGGAAAACCCAAAGTTCCCTGAGGTGCCGGCTGACTGGGCAAGTCAGTGTAGGGGAAACTGCCTGCTCCACAGCCCTCCCCTGGGCACATTTTGTTCCTGGGTTCCTGTAGTGCCCCTCAGCCCTGGTTAGACCACCTAACTAGCAGTGTAGGGGACAGGGTGGCCAGTAACCTGAGAGAGGACCTGAGGCTGCAAAGCCCCACCCAGACACAGACTGGTTAGGAGCCAATGGTTTCAATTCCCTTTCTTGGGAATCCAGAGTGGGAAAGGTGAGTGAATGACCCGCGGAGAGCCAGTCCACCGACCAGACAATGGCTGCTGGAGCGCTCAGGGCTAACGGACCTGCGAATCCAAATCGGGAAGTGCGGAGATAATGGACTGGAGAGGCCAAAGCTGAACAAATGGACTGAGAAGGTCATGAATGAAGGGTTGTGGCAAGAACGTGCTAAGAGAAAGCAGGCATTGAAGTAAAGAAGATACAGTGATTCCCATTCTGGCTGCAAATTCGAACCACCTGGAATAATTACAAATATCCCTTCCTGGGTCCCTGCCAGATTTAAGAGTCTCATTAGTGAGGGAACGGGAGAGCGGAGGCACCGAGACCAGGTAAGTCACCGTACAGGGGGACTCTCCTCTTTATCCCCTACCAGCCCCCTAGGCCTGCCCTGCCCACCGCAGTTCCCCTCCGTCCAACCCCTTTTCCCTCGATGGGGCTACTGCGTATCCATTAATTCACCTCGCCTCCACCCCCTCACCCATTTGCGGGGAACTGCCCCCCAACCCCTAATTCCGCGGGGTGAACAGCGGGAGCACTTCCAGGCAGCCAGAGCCCGGGCAGGCCCGACGTGGCCTGCGCGCAGAAGATGCCTGTCCTGCAAAATGGTCGCAGCCGGCAATTGTTTGTTAATCCTCTCATCAGAAAGCAGCCCGACGAGTCTGCGGTCCCTCAGGCCGGCTGTATCCACAGGGTGCACCCAAGCACAGAGAAGGTGGAGATGGAGGGACGGGAGGGGGTTCCGCTGCCCTCGATCCCCGGGTCCAGACGTTGTTGGAGAGCAGCAAGCGCGCCCTAGTCCGCGCTTCCTCGCCACGACTCTGCAAGAAATGTCTTACATAAGACACTCACTCTCGGTTCAAGTCCGCCAGCAGTGGCTTGTGAGCTCCAGCTGCCTTCTTCGGGCCACCAAAAGGAGCGCAACCCGCAGAGCGCGCACTCTTGCACGCTCACCGCCTCTCCACTCCCTGCCCAATCAGCCAACATTTGTACCTGCACTGGCGCTAATATTGCTGGTCGGGCTATGCTAGGAGTCAGCTCTACCCTTAGGCACCTCATTCCAGGAAGCTGACCTCATTTCTTAGCTCCTGGTAAGATACCCTGTGGCTGTGAACTTAAAAGAGCATTTGTGTAATTTATTTTTTCTGTAAGGAAAAGGTGTTTAGGGTGGCAGATGAGAGTACACCTAAAAGATGCCCGACGGGTTCTTTTCTTTTGCAATAAGACTAAGCAACCATAGTGACTATGGTCAAACAAAACTGTGAACCCAAGTGTCTATACTAAAGCCAACTTTTTTTTTTTTTTTTTTGAGACAGACTCTTGCTTTGTCTCCCAGGCTGGAATACAGTGGCACAATCTCCGCTCACTGCAACCTCTGCCTCCCGGGTACAAGCCATTCTCCTGCCTCAGCCTCCCAAGTAGTTGGTATTACAGGTGCCTGCCACCAAGCCCGGCTAATTTTTGTGTTTTTTAGTAGAGATGGGGTTTCACCATGTTGGCCAGGCTGGTCTCGAACTCCTGACCTCAGGTAATCCGTCCACCTCGGCCTCCCAAAGTGCTGGGATTATAGGCGTGAGCCACTGCACCTGGCCTAAAGCCAATAAAGCAGCCACCAGGGAATTCAGTGTGAGTGTAACAACAGACTCCTGCCTCTCTCTGGAAGATATAAAAACAAAAAAGTCATTGGGGGCACAAAAGATGATCACATAAAAGAGTAAAACAACTGATGTTCAAGTAATGCCCTTAAGGTTTTTTCAATTCATTTTTTTTTTTGAGACAGGGTCTTGCTCTGTCTCCCAGGCTGGAGCACAGTGGTGCGATCTTGGCTCACTATAGTCTGCCTGCTGGGTTCAAGCAATTCTCCCACCTCAGCCTCCTGAGTAGCTGGGATTACAGGTGCCTGCCACCACTCCTGGCTAATTTTTGCGTTTTTTGTAGAGACGAGGTTTCACCATGTTGGCCAGGCTGGTCTCAAACGCCTGACCTCAGGTGATCTGCCTGCCTCAGCCTCCCAAAGTGCTGGGATTACAGGCATGAGCCACTGTGCCCGGCCGGGTTTTTTTTTTTTTTTTTTTTTTTTTTTTTTTGAGACGGAGTTTCACTCTTGTTGTCCAGGCTGGAGTGCAATGGTGCAATCTCGGCTCACTGCAACCTCTGCCTCCCGGGTTCAAGAGATTCTCCTGCCTCAGCCTCCTGAGTAGCTGGGATTACAGGTATGAGCCATGAGCCACCATGCCCAGCTAAGTTTGTATTTTTAGTAGAGATGGGGTTTCTCCATGTTGGTCAGGCTGTTCTTAAACTCACGACCTCAGGTGATCTGCCTGCCTCAATCCCAGCACTAATCCCAAAGTGCTGGGATTATAGGTGTGAGCCATCATGCCCAGCCTTTTTTTTTTTTTTTTTTTTTTTTTAAATTGAGACAGGATCTCTGTCAACCAGTCTGAAGTGCAGTTGTGCATTCACAACTCACTGCAGCCTTGACTTCTGGGGCTCAGCTGATCCTCCCACCTCAGCCTCCCAAGTAGCTGGGAGTATAGGTGTGCACCACCATGCCTGGCTATTTTATTGTTGTTGTTGTTGTTGTTGTAGAGTTGAGGTCTTACTATGTTGCCCAGGCTGGTCAAATTTCTGCCCTCAAGTGATCTTCCTGCCTTGGCCTCCCAAAGTCTTGGGATTACAAGCATAAGCCCAGCCTTTTTTTTTTTCTAATAGTCTTTATTATTTTTTTATAGTCTTTATTGTTTTAGAACAGTTCTACATTTACAGAAAAATTTTGAAGATAGTGGAGTTCCCATATGTCCCACATCCAGTTTCCCTGATTATTCACATCTTACGTTAGTATGGGGCATTTGTTACAATGAATTTGTTACACTATTATTAAGGAGAGCCCATACTTTATTCAAGTTTCCTTAGTCTTCCCTTAATGTCTTTTTTCTAGGTAGCCCCTCCATGAAACCAGATTACATTTAGTCATCATGTCCCCTTGGCTCCTCCTGGCGGTGGCAGTTTCTCCGATTTTCCTTATTTTTGGTAAGCCTTAGTCCATATAAATATATTCTGGGGGAATTATAGATGGGTTTGACAGAAAGCAATTTTAAAAACAAAAACTACAAAAGAAGAAAGTCACAATCAATTGATTAGTTGAAAGTTACTCTATTCCAAACATCTTGGCAAACATTAAATAATCACATTTCAGAAACTACACCAAGCGAAAAAAAAAATGCCTTGAGTTATGGACATCAGGAAGCAGTAGCTTTGCACAAAAAGGATGGGTTTAAGGAGAACACTGTTTGAGGTGAGGTTTGGTAGATTTACAAACAAGGTTAGAGAAGGCTTCTATACACACATTATTAACCTGTGACATTAAATATATCTCTAAAACTTTATAACTTTTCCTTTTATTTAACAGAACTGTTGGAAGAAAACAAACAATATTTTGACTAGAAATGGAAATTCCTGATGCTTTGGGAATTGTTTCAGTACTTTTTCTAATACTTTAGGCATTGACTAGAAGAACTGAGACTAGAAAATACTCTTGCCTGTTTAGTCAGTATCACGTATCTTCATCTGTTTGTTGTCGCTGCTGAAGCACACACTTAAAATAATCATCATACATTTATGCACACAACCCCTTCTCCCGTGCCCTATACAAACCTATTAAGCTATTTTTCCGAATCAAATTTGCACAACTTTAAAGAAAAAAAAAAAACCTCACAGAATAATGTGTTTTTCAAGGCAGGCATTTTAAAAGCTAATCCCAACTTGCCCCGTTTTAGGCTTTTACAGTGTTTAACTTGCTTTCTTGGGTAGTTAGTCTGGAAATGAGTTCATCATCTGATATAGGATGGCTGGATTTTAATATTTTCTGTCTCCAATTCGTTTGGTTAAATGCCTAAAGCTGGTAGTCTACTAGTGCTGAAGGAAGAGGGGAAGCATTTATGGCTCATTAGAACCAATCCCCATGGTTTCCAGGTCAGCTGATTTTCTCACTACAATACTTAACAGCAAGATGAGAGGCTTTATTAACATCATGTCAATAAAGCCATTAATAATTCAGAAGAAATTTTAATTACAAACTTAAAAGAATTACATAGTTGTAAATTAGTCTGTCACTAAGTAAAGACTACTACATTTCACTTTGGGAGACCTTGTAAAATGTAAGCTAACTCATTGCTGGAACCTTGAAACAGAGGTCATCCGGATCAACAAGCATGAGTCCGTCCCTTCTGCCAGCTTCTGATCCCCTCATTTGAGTTTATGAGATGAGCCAATAATGAATGTAGAGGCAAGCAGCTCATTTTTCTACCTAAAACTAAGTCTCAGCCTGACACTTTTCTTCTGACCCAGTTACAGCTGCTTCTCTGGTGTGTGCTTCAATCCTCTTCACTGGGCACCATTAAACACTGGACTTGGTAGCTGTCTATGCATGTGACCAATTTCACTATCCATCTTCTGGCTTCAGTGCCAATTTTAAGAATGCTAATTCCTACGTGGCCAGATTTCTATAAAGATGGCAAATTATTTTATTCTGGCTAAAATTAATCATATTATTAATATTTTCTAAAGTTAGCGTTTACATTTACTGCTTTAAAAAAATTCCAGGCTGGGTGTGGTGGCTCACGCCTGTAATCCCAGCACTTTGGGAGGCCGAGGCAGGTGGATCATGAGGTCAGGAGATTGAGACCATGCTGGCTAACACGATGAAACCCCGTCTCTACTGAAAAAATACAAAAAATTAGCCGGGAGTGGTGGCGGGTGCCTGTAGTCCCAGCTACGTGGGACACTGAGGCAGGAGAATGGTGTGAACCCGGGAGGCGGAGCTTGCAGTGAGCAGAGATGCACCACTGCACTCCAGCCTGGGTGACAGAGCAAGACTCCATCTCAAAAAAAAAAAAAAAAAAAATCCAGCAAATATAAAATTTAGGCCTAAAAGATGCCAATGATTTAAAACTCTACACAGATCTAAGATCAATGCCTATGTATGAGTGTAGCTACTGCCACGAGGCATTCTACTCATAGCCAGCCTAGGAAAGTGTGAGCTGAATACAGGTCCTATGCCAAAAAACCTCTGCCTGAAACAGAACTACAGACGTGAGAAGCATTAATAGATGTGCACTGTATTTATATAAGCTTCTCTTTTCAGCATTAAAACAGCTGATCTACTGTGTCAATCTGGTAGAGATCAGTTGGTGCCATATATAAAAACCAACAGGTTAACTGACCAAATTTCTCCAGATTTCAATTGGCTCTATGGGATCAAATAGACATGATAGGTTAATTATGATGAAAACAATAATCTTAACCATGTTTAAGAAAAAATACAAAATTTTAGTGCAAGTACTTATTTACTTCTGTACTCAAAAAGGGTGAGAATCCCAGCTACTCAGAGGCTGAGGTGGTTGGATCACCTGAGCCACAAGTTCAAGACCAGCCTGGACAATATAGCAAGACCCTTGCCTCAAAGAAAATTGAGATTTTAAATTTTGTTTGTGATTTTCTCTAAGTGAATAATGGTAAAATTTAACAAACTAGCATAGTTCAATTTACTGAGCTACAAAGTATAACATTCAGCTGGGCATGGTGGCTCATGCCTGTAATCCCAACACTTTAGGGGGCTGAGGCAAGAGGATTGCTTGAGGCTAGGGGTTTGAGACCAGCCTGGGCAACACAGTGAGACCTCATCTCTATAAAGTTAAAAAAAAAAAAAATTTTAGCATACTTTAATTTATGGCAGGTACTATATATGAGAGCTGAAGTCTTCTGTACCTCCACAATGCCACACTTCTTATTCACAAAGGATGGTTAGAAGCTAGAATACAACTTTTTTGTTATTTATAAATGCTGCCAAAAGAAGAAATGTTTATGGAATTTCAAATGACACAGTTGTAAATTGGCAGTTAGCAGCTTTCCATGTAAAGCTTCATCTCAGCATGAAAAACTTGATTATAGTCAAAACTAGCCAAGGAAAACTCAAGTGTATGATGCCTAAAAGTCTACTGTGTGGCTGTCTGAAAACGTGTATTGTACCATGGTGTTATCCATCCAGCCAGGCTTTTGAAGCTATCTGTAAGAGTCATGTTGTAGGGAGAAACAGCGCCACAATTAAAAAATAATCCAAGTGAGGCCAGGTGCAGTGGCTCACGCCTGTAATCCCAGCACTTTGGGAGGCCGAGGCAGGCAGATCACCTGAGGTCAGGAGTTCGAGAACAGCCTGGCCAACATGGTGAAACCCTGTCTCTGCAGGTGGCAGGCACCTGTAATCCCAGCTACTCAGGAGGCTGAGGGAGGAGAATCACTTGAACCCAGGAGGCAGAGGATGCAGTGAGCTGAGATTGCACCATTGCACCCCAGCCTGGGTGACAGAGTGAGACTCCATCTCAAAAAAAAAAAGAAAAAAAATTCCGAGTAGTATTAAATATACATGTTAGCACCTTTTTTTTTTTTTTAGTTTTTAACCTTTTTCTTTTTTTTTTTTAGTATTTATTGATCATTCTTGGGTGTTTCTCGGAGAGGGGGATTTGGCAGGGTCATAGGACAATAGTGGAGGGAAGGTCAGCAGATAAACATGTGAACAAGGGTCTCTGGTTTTCCTAGACAGAGGACCCTGCGGCCTTCCGCAGTGTTTGTGTCCCTGGGTACTTGAGATTAGGGAGTGGTGATGACTCTTAACGAGCATGCTGCCTTCAAGCATCTATTTAACAAAGCACATCTTGCACCGCCCTTAATCCATTTAACCCTGAGTGGACACAGCACATGTTTCAGAGAGCACGGGGTTGGGGGTAAGGTTATAGATTAACAGCATCCCAAGGCAGAAGAATTTTTCTTAGTACAGAACAAAATGGAGTCTCCCATGTCTACTTTCTACACCTACACAGTAACAATCTGATCTCTTTTCCCCACATTTCCCCCTTTTCTATTCAACAAAACCGCCATCGTCATCGTGGCCAGTTCTCAATGAGCTGTTGGGTACACCTCCCAGACGGGGTGGCGGCTGGGCAGAGGCGCCCCCCACCTCCCAGACGGGGCAGTGGCCGGGCAGAGGCGACCCTCACCTCCCGGACGGGGCGGCTGGCCGGGCAGGGGCTGACCCCCCACCTCCCTCCCAGACGGGGTGGCTGGCTGGGCGGGGGCTGACCCCCCACCTCCCTCCCGGACGGGGCGGCTGGCTGGGCGGGGGCTGACCCCCCCACCTCCCTCCCGGATGGGGTGGCTGGCCGGGCGGGGGCTGCCCCCCACCTCCCTCCCAGATGGGGCGGCTGGCGGGGCGGGGGCTGCCCCCCACCTCCTGGACCGGGCAGCTGCTGGGCGGAGGGGCTCCTCACTTCGCAGATGGGGCGGCTGCCGGGCGGAGGGGCTCCTCACTTCCCAGACGGGGTGGCTGCCGGGCGGAGGGGCTCCTCACTTCTCAGACGGGGCGGCCGGGCAGAGACGCTCCTCACCTCCCAGATGGGGTGGCAGTCGGGCAGAGACGCTCCTCAGTTCCCAGACGAGGTCGCGGCCTGGCAGAGGCGCTCCTCACATCCCAGACGGGGCGGCGGGGCAGAGGCGCTCCCCACATCTCAGACGATGGGCGGCCGGGCAGAGACACTCCTCACTTCCTAGACGGGATGGCGGCCGGGAAGAGGCGCTCCTCACTTCCCAGACTGGGCAGCCGGTCAGAAGGGCTCCTCACATCCCTGACGATGGGCGGCCAGGCAGAAAAACGCTCCTCACTTCCCAGACGGGGTGGTGGCCGGGCAGAGGCTGCAACCTCGGCACTTTGGGAGGCCAAGGCAGGCGGCTGGGAGGTGGAGGTTGTAGCGAGCCGAGATCACGCCACTGCACTCCAGCCTTTCCTGATTTCCCACTCCTCTCTGGGGTTACCGAATCCCTCCTGCACGCCCCTGCCCTGGCTGGCGTGTTTCTTGGTCGGTTCCGCCCACAGGCCGGGTCCAGTTTTTTGTATTTTTAGTAGAGACAGGGTTTCACCATGTTAGCCAGGATGGTGTTGATCTCCTGAACTCGTGATCCGCCCGCCTTGGCCTCCCAAAGTGCTGGGATTACAGGCGTGAGCCAGCGCGTGTGGCCTATTTATTTATTCATTGAGACAGAGTCTCGCTCCGTCGCTCAGGCTGGAGTGGAGTGGTGTGATCTTGGCTCACTGCCATCTTTGCCGCCTGAATTCAAGCGATTTGACATGTTAGCACCTTTGGCATTTTAGTCCAAATCAATGTTGACAAAGTAGGGACTTAACTCTTTTCATCTTCATTTTTCCAAAAGCAGATTCACGCAGCACCTTCATTTTCCTCTATAATATACAATATTTTTGCTTCAACTATTGAAATGATTCCTTCATTCTGAACTTCAAACATGTAGAGGGTTTTCCAAGTCCCTAAGGCAGGAAGCAGTTCCTTATCAAATTCATTATCAAGGCTGGGTGTGGTTTCTCATGCCTGTAATCTCAGCACTCTGGGAGGCCAAGGTGGGTGGATCGTTTGAGCCCAGGAGTTCAAGGCCAGCCTGGGCAAAATTGTGAAATCCCATCTCTATAAAAAATACAAAAATTAGGCTGGCCACGGTGGCTCATGCCTGTAATCCCAGCATTTTGGGAGGCTGAGGCAGGCCGATCACAGGGTCAGGAGATCAAGACCATCCTGGCCAACAAGGTGAAACCCCATCTCCATAAAAAATAAAAACATTAGCTGGGTGTGGCGGCATGTGGCAAAAAAAAAAAAAAAAAAAAAAAAGCTAGGTGTAGTGGCACATGCCTTTAGTCCCAGCTACTTGGGAGGCTGAGGTAGGAGAACAGCTTGAGCCTGGGAGGTCGAGGCTACAGTAAGCCATGATCGAGCCACTGCACTCCAGCCTGGGTAACAGAGCAAGACTATCTCAAAAAAAAAAAAAAAAAAAAAATATATATATATATATATATATGTATGTATTTATATATACACACACACACACACATATATATATTTCACTATCAAAATCCACAACCAGAACTCCTCACCCCACTTTCTTGACTGGCTCCTCTATGTAACTGCCTTCTGAGTCCTTCCAGTCTTGTGCAAACCTCTCTGGGATTTTGGATTGGGTTTTTGTACATTCCACTCTGTTGTCAGGCCTGTTCACTTGATTGTGTGAGCCTGCCTTCAACCTCAGGCAGCTAGACTTCAAATTTCTGGGCCTCTTGTTTTTCTATATTTTTGTCTGAATTTTGTTAATTTGTGACTCAAACTGGCTGTATCTCCCATTTGAAGATTTCTTTTGTACATGTTTTTCATTTTTGTTATGCCATTTCTTTGATCCATCTCCATCTGTATTTATTTCATTGACTTTCTCTTGTAGTTTTTTCCTTTTCAGTTGAGGTGGAAGACTGCCAACATCCTCTGGGGTTACACCCCTTACACTACAGACTTTTTTCTTTGAGATGGAGTCTCACTCTGTCACCCAGGTTGGAGTGCAGTGGCATGATCTCAGCTTACTGCAACCTCCACCTCCCAGGTCCAAGCGATTCTCCCATCTCAGCCTCCCAAGTAGCTGGGATTACAGGTGTGCACCACCACATCTGGTTAATTTTTGTATTTTTGGTAGAGATGGGGTTTCACCATGTTGTCCAGGCTGGTCTGAAACTCCTGACCTCGACTGATCCACCTGCCTCAGACTCCCAATATGCTGGGATGATTACTGGTGTGAACCACTGTGCCCAGCCTACATTATAGACTTTTGAAGCAGCCAATATTGGGTTTGATAACGAGCTCATTAAACCAATCAGTTCCTTTTGCTGCTTTGGAGCTTTATTTATACATTTTTATGAACAGCCAGAAGTTTCCTTTCAATTTGCCACCACAGCTGACCCTGGTTTGCCTTCTCCTCAGAAATCTGAAAGACTATTATCAAGCACCTTATTGGCAGAGTGTAGTCCTCAGATGTCTCCAGGAGGCTCACACTCTGACTTGAAAGTTTTTATTACCAGCTGTGACATTTTTCTGATCATTGATTCAGTTGCCTTTACTATTCTCTCCAAGCATCTCCTATTGATTGCTATCACCTGTTGCCCAATCGCTACATATGTCTTCACTGATTCTCTCATTCTCACTATCCTCTTTCCCTCTATCTCTTGTATTTTCTGGAAGTTGTTGGAACTATTAGGATGGTAAAATTCCTGCAGCTCAGTGTCAAATTTCTTGAATTGATGAGTAATTCAATTCTCATTGAGTAGTCTGCCGTCTTCTGCCATTGGTGATGTTTTCGCAGCTTGGTGGTGTGCCTTTTTCAACATCGACTTTTAAAAACGTGTTTTTAAAACATATGGCATTTTCTCAAAATACTGATGTGCTCAGCAGCCTTTTTATAATCTCAATTGTCTTTTACTTGCCTCAAGTTGCTTCCATCAAGTCTCTGTCGGTGGTTGTGCCTTCTGGGCATCATGAAAGTGAGATTTCCTCTCCTGCTTTTGGTTTTGAACATGCCCTTGTAACTCCACGGTGATCTGAAAGTTCAAGACCTCAAAGAAGATAACTTAATGCTGCCTAGCGTGATCACTCATTTTGTTCACAGGGAGGGAAGGAGAGTTTTACGTAATGTATTCTTTCTCCTTCCAGTTCCTTTTAGGTTGGCATGTCTTTAAAAGATTCCTGAGTTGTTTTGTATAGCTGAGTTCAATCTCAGTCCTTTCCTTGGCAGATATGATGAATTTCTCAAGACTATCGATTTTCTAAGTTGTCAAACTGATCCCAGAGTTCTGGGTCCAGGCAGGCAAGTGGGTCCCACTCGGCCACGCCCTTGCCTCCTGAGCTCCTAGTGGCCGCCGCCCCGCTCCTTGGGCTCCTCAGCCGCTCCTCCTTCCGGTCCCTCCTCAACAAGATGGCCGGAAGAACCCGCGACGACGCCTGCAGGGCCGCCTGCCTTGGGTACTTGAACGTGTGAATAACCGGCCATTCGCGACTCCAGCGGCCCAGGCACACGTTCCCCCCGGGTAGGTGTGTGGAGCGGCCGGGGCGTAGCCACGGCACCAGCCCAGGAGGGAAAGACGGAGAGGTACGGACGTCGCCCGCCATCTCTCCGGAAGCTCCTGCCGGGCTGGGACCCCGGCGGAAAGTCTTGCCGAGAGGTCGCCCCCTGCCGCCGTGGAGGCCGTCGGCCAGAGCGACCGGAGGCGGAGTTTGCAGCCTGGCAAGGAGAATGGAGCGCTCCGGGGTTGGGCGGGCGGGGGAGCCGGGAGCCGGGCGCCTAGAATGGAGTTCCCCCGGGAGGAGCCCGAAGCAGCGTCCTTCCGGGAGCACCCAGGGAAGAACCTGGAGGTCCAACCTGTGGGCTCTTAAGAGAAGGGAGGCGGCCTATCGAAAGTCCTAGAGGCCCGAGGTAACAGGGCTTCAGGGGCCACTAGTACGTCTTTCCTGCTGACACCTCAGGCCTGTAACAGAAAACAGAAGCACCCAAGGAATGTCAAAAGGCCACAGGAATAAGTTTGAAGGGGCTGCCGTTGGTTGAATTTTGTATAATTTGACAAGTATTTAAAACATTCAATTAAAAAGAATCCATGGGTTCATATTACCACAACTACTACACTAATATTAATATAAAAGGAGAGAGAAGTAAAGATGCTTTTTCAAAACAGTAGAATGACAACCAATAAATATAGGAATTATAAAATTGGAAATCCACCATTTTGCAGCAATCGTGGTAATAATTGATTCAGCCAAGAATCACCAGTGGAAGCTGAAACTATTAGGTGAAAGACTGGGAATAGGTTATTCACACAGTCTTAAAGTAACACCTCCTGGATTACTTATTAATTATAAAGGGGAAATTTTTCAGGCAATGGAGACATTTGCTGGACATTGCCTTAGCCAAAAGTCAAACTTAGCATTTCCAGTAATAGGACAAACTGAGACTGTGTGCCTCCTGGTGTGAGGAACAGGAAGAACACACATCATCTGGGTAGTATTTCTAATAGGCTCAACCTGATTAATGAAGAAACAATCAGACAAATCAAAATTGAGGAACATTCTGCAAAGCAATTGACTTGAGTTCTTAAAAGATGGCAATATCTTTTTTTTTTTTTTTTTTGAGATAGAGTCTCACTCTGTCTCCCAGGCTGAAGTGCAGTGGTGCGATCTCGGCTCACTGCAACCTCCGCCTCCCCGGTTCAAGCAATTCTCCTGCCTCAGCCTCCGAAGTATCTGGGATTACAGGCACGTGACACCATACCCAGCTAATTTTTGGATTTTTAGTAGAGCCAGGGTTTCACTATGTTGGCCAGGGTGGTCTCAAACTCCTGACCTCAAGTGATCCCGCCTCAGCCTCCCAAAGTGCTGGGATTACAGGCGTGAGCCACCGCACCCAGCCAAAAGTTGGCAATATTGTGAAAGAACAAAGTGATAGGGCAGCAGTCTGCAGATCAAAGAAGGGTCAAGAAACTACAACTTACATGCATGGTGTGATTCTGGACTGGATCTTGGTTTGAGTCTTGGTTTAGGAGGAAAACACAATTATAAGAGACATTATTGCAAAAGTTGGATAAATTTGAATATGAACTCAATATTAGATAATATATCAGTTTCCTGGGTGCAATAATTTTATGTAGTTATGAAGGAGAATGACTGTTCTTAGGACATACAGACAAAAGTATTTACAGGAGAAGTGTCTTGATGTCTGCAACAAATTCCCAAATGGTTCATATATATGTGTTATATATATGTTTATATATATGTAAATGTAAATATATGTGTGTGTGTATGTGTATTCAGAGAGAAAAGCAAATACAATGTGACTTTTGAACAATGTCAGTTAAGCATTCTGACTAACCCACATATACATTTTGACTCCCCAAAAACTTTACTAATAGGCTACTGTTGACCAGAAGCCTTACTGATAATATAGTTATTTTGTATGTTATATGTATTATATACTGTATTCTTACAATAAAGTAAGCCAGAGAAAAGAAAATATTAAGAAAATCGTAATGAAAATACATTTACAGTACCGTACTGTGCTTACTGATACTGTAAGTTTCAATTGTCTTTTTAAGATGAATCGTCTGTCTGAAATGGTGGGCAACTGCAGCTGCAGACCTCAATCCATGGTACATATCAAGCAATTCAACTTGTTCTTGTAATGTCATGACTTGACTTTGCTTCTCGGGAGCACTTCCACCATTACTAGAGGCACTACGTGTGGGTGCCATGGTGTTATTCAAGATTTACAGCGTTGTGCTAAACACAATGAAAGACACGTGAAAACCACAAGAGATCACTTTTTACTATAGTATGCAATTTACTGGTGATAGTATCTGCTCTCGTGGAGATGATTAGCGTCACAGGTGTTTAAAGCAGGTACTTGGTTTTTATCAATTTTAATTTTTTATAATAGATTTGTGGGTCGGGTGCAGTGGCTCATGCCTGTAATCCCAGCACTTTGGGAGACTGAGGTGGGTGGATCACGAGGTCAGGAGTTCGAGACCAGCCTGGCCAACATGGTGAAACCCCGTCACTACTAAAAATACAAAAATTAGCTGGGTGTGGTGGTGGGTGCCTGTAATCCCAGCTACTCAGGAGGCTGAGGCAGGAGAATCATTTGAATCCGGGAGGCAGAGGTTGCAGTGAGCCAAGATTGTGTCATTGCGTTCCAGCCTGGGCGACAGGGCATGACTCCGTTATAAAAAAATATATATAATAGATTTTGTGTATTTTATGGTAGAACATGATAAAATAGACTAATATCTACCTGTATTTTATGCATTCTTGACAAACCAGTGTTGCTCAAGGGACAACTGTATGACAAAAATGCTAAAAAATGGTGAATCTAGGTGAAGAGTATGTGGGTGCTCATTGTACCATTTGTGCAAATTTTCTATAAATTTGACATTTTTTAGGATCAAAAGGTCTGTAATCCCATGCATGCCTGTGGTCCCAGGTACTCAGGAGGTTGAGGGAGGAGGATCACTTGAGCCTCACAGGAGGCAGAGGCTGCAGTGAGTCAAGATCGCACCACTGCACTCCAGCCTGGGAGAAAGTAAGACCTTGTCTTTAAAAAATAATAAAATAGGCCGGGCATGGTGGCTCATGCCTGTAATTCCAGCACTTTGGGAGGCTGAAGCAGGTGGATCACCTGAGGTCAGGAGTTCAAGGCCAGCCTGGCTAAAATGGTGAAACCCCATCTCTACTAAAAATACAAAAATTAGCCAGGCATGGTGGCACATACCTGTAATCCCAGCTACTTGGGAGCCCGAGGCAGTAGAATTGCTTGAACCCAGGAGGTGGAGGTTACAATTCAAAAACAAATCCTGATTTATCTCTTTACCTTCAAAACACAAGCACAATCTGACCCCTTCTTACCACCTCTTCTGCTCCCAATCAGAGTTCCCACTGGGTTCTTTCACATACCCCTTGCCCATCTCCCCGCTCCCCTCTCCCTTGCCCATTTGAGGTGCTTCCCTGAGTTCCCTGGTTGCTGCTCACCTCCCTCCTGGCTTCTCTTCCCTGCCAGCCCCTTAGTGTCTGAGTCCCCTTCTCCCTCCCTGGAGTGTCTCATGCACAGCTGGGGCTTTGCTCACCATGGACTGCTGACAGCTCCCCTAGCCGCACCCAAAGTGCTGGGATTACAGGCACGAGCCACCACACCTGGCAAGATGCTCTTTTTAATCTTTTTGTTTGTTCTTTTAATTTTTTTAAATTGACAAATAATAATTGTACATATTCATGGGGTACACAGTGTTTTTTTTTTTTTTTTTTAACTTGGGATGGAGTCTCACTCTGCTGCTCAGGCTGGAGTGAAGTGGCGCTATCTGGGCTCACTGCAACCTCCACCTCCTGGGTTCAAGCAATTCTCGTGCCTCAGCCTGCCGAGTAGCTGGGACTACAGGCACACACACACACCACCACACCCAGCTAATTTTTTGCATTTTTAGTAGAGCTGGGATTTCACCATGTTGGCTGGTCTTGAACTCCTGACCTCAGGTAATCTGCCTGCCTTGGCCTCCCAAAGTGCTGGGATTACAGGCATGAGCCACCGTGCCCTCCCAGATATCTCTTTGATATAATGATTTCCTTTCCTGGGGATAAATGCCCAGTAGTGGGATTGCTGGATCACATGGGAGTTCGATTTGTACTTTTTGAGGAACCTCCTTACTGTTTTCCATAGTGGCTGAACTAGGTTTACATTCCCACCAACATTGTATAAGAGTTCCCTTTTCTCTGCATCCTCACCAGCATTTATTTTTTGTCTTTTTGTTAATAGCTATCCTGAGATGACATGATATCTCAGTGTGGTTTTGATATACATTTCCCTGATGATTAGTGATGTTGGGCATTTTTTCATATATTTGTTGGCCATTTGTATGTCTTCTTTTGAGAAATGTCTGTTCGGATTATTCCCCCGCCACCCCCTCCAGCCTTTTTTTTTTTTTTTTGAGACCAGATCTCAGTGTCGCCCAGGCTGGAGTGCAGTGGTGCAATCACATCTCACTGTAGCCGTGTCCTCCAGGGCTTAACCAGTCCTCCCACCTCTGCCTCCTAAGTAGCTGATACCACAGGCATGTGCCACCATGCGAGGCTAATTTTTTGTATTTTTTGTAGAGAAAGGGTTTTGCCATGTTGCCCAGGCTGGTCTTGAACTCCTGGGCTGAAGCAGTCTGCCCACCTTGACCTCCCAAAATGCTGAGATTATAGGTGTCAGCCACTGCACCTGGCTCATTTGCACATTTTTTTGTTTGCTTATCTATTTATTTTTAATTTATAGAAGCAAATGCACCTTTAACATGTTCCATTGAATCATCTTCAACATTAAATTTTTCTCTCAACTAGGCCTCTTTCTTTTTTTAGCTCTATCCAAATTAACAAAATTTTAAATATTTCAACAGTTTTAGGGGTACAGTGGTTTTTGGTTACATGGATGAATCATACAGTGGTGAAGTCTGGGCTTCTGGCGTACCTGTTCACCCGAATAGTCTACATTGTCCCCAATAGGTAATTTTTCATTCCGTGTCGTCTCCCATCCTCCCCGCTTCTTGGTCTCTAATGTCCGTTATACCTCTCTATATTCCTTTTTATCCCGTGGCTTAGCTCCTGCTTATAAGTGAGAACATGTGGTATTTGGTTTTCTGTTCCTGAGAAACTTAGGATAATCATTTGCCCATTTTTAAATAGCATTGTTTCGTTTTTTTGCTGTTGAGATGTTTGAGTTCCTTGTATATTCTGGATATTCGTTCCCTATTGAATGAGTTGTTTGCAAATCCTTTCTCCCATTCTGTAGATTGCCTTTTTACTCTGCTGATTGTTTCAACTTTACTGTGCAGAAGCTTTTAGTATGATATAATCTCAGTTGCTTATTTTTGCTTTTTATTGCCTGTGCTTTTGAGGTCTTATTCATAAAATATTTTCCTAGACCAATGTCCTGAAGCATTTCCCCTGTGTTTTCTTCTAGTAGTTTTATTGTTTGGGGCCTTACATTTAGGTCTTTGGTCCATTTTGAGTTGATTTTTTGTATAGGGTGAGAAGTGGGATTCTAGTTTTCTTCTTCGCATATAGATAACCAGTTTTCCCAGCATCTTTTTTTTTTTTTTTTTTTTTGAGACAGAGTCTCTCTCTGTCACCCAGGCTGGAGTGCAGTGGTGTGATCTTAGCTCACTGCAATCTCCACCTCCTGGGTTCAAACGATTTTCCTGCCTCAGCCTCCTGAGTAGCTGGGATTACAGGCACCTGCCACCACACCCAGCCAATTTTTTGTATTTTCAGTAGAGACGGGGGTTTCACCATGTTGGCCAGGCTGGTCTTGAACTCCTGACCTCAAGTCATCTACCTGCCTCGGTCTCCCAGAGTGCTGGGATTACAGACGTGAGCCACCATGCCCAGCCTGCTTTTTTAACTTTTAAGAGATTTAATTTTATTGTGGTAAAATATACAGAACATAAAATTTATGATTTTAAGTGTACAATTCAATGGCATTAAGTGTATTCACATTGTTTATTTCAATAATTTTTGGCATACAGGTGGTTTTTGGTTACATGGATAAGTTCTTTAGTGGTGATTTCTGAGATTTTAGTGCACCTATCACCCAAGCTGTGTACACTGTACCCAATATGTAGTATTTTATCCCTTATCCTCCTTCCAGCCCTCCCCCCCGAGTCCCCAAGGTCCATTATATCACTTTTATGCCTTTCTGTCCTCATAGCTTAGCTCCCACTTATAAGCCAGCACCATTTGTTCAAAAGATTGTCCTTTCCCCAGTGAGTATTCTTGGCATCTTTGCCAACAATCAGTTGTCTGTAAGTATGTGGATTAGTTTCTGGGTTCTCTATTCTGTTCCATTAGTCTTTGTGTCTATTTTTATGCCAGTACCATGCTGTTTTGGTTATTACAGTTTTTTAGTATATTTTGAGGCCTGATAGTGTGATACCTCCAGATTTGTTCTTTTTGCTCAGGATTGCTTTGGCTATTTGAGGTCTCTTGTAGTTTCATACAAATTTTAGGATTTTTTTTTCTATTTCTGTGAAGAATGTCATTGGTATTTTGATAGGGATTGCATTAAATATGTAGCTTGCTTTGGGTAGTATTATTATGTTAATAATATGAATTTTTCCAAATCTGCGAGCATGGGATGTCTTTCCATTTGTTTGTATCCTCTTCAATATCTTTCATCAGTGTTTTGTAGTTTTCCTTGTAGACATCTTTCACCTCCTTGGTTAAATTTATTCTTAGGTATTTTATTTTATTTTTTGGTAGCTACTGTAAATGGGATTGCTTTCTTGATTTCTTTTTCAGCTAAGTTTGTTGTACATGTATGGAAATAACTGCTGATTTGTGTATGTAATTTTTTTTTTTATCCTGCAACTTTACTGAATTTATCAGTTTTAAGAGTTCTTTGGTAGAGTCTTTAGGTTTTTATATATATGTGATCCTGTCATCTACAAACAGGGACAATTTGACTTCCTCCTTTTCCATTTGGATGCCTTTTATTTCAAGTTCTTGCCTAATTGCTCTGGGTAGGACTTCTAGTACTACGTTGAATAAGAGTAATGAGAGTGGACATTCTTTTTTTTTGACGGAGTCTCACACTGTCACCCAGGCTGGAGTACAGTGGCGTGATCTCCGCTTACTGCAACCTCCACGTCCCGGGTTCAAGTGATTCTCCTGCCTCAGCCTCCCGAGTAGCTGGGATTAGAGGCATGTGCCACCATGCCCGGCTAATTTTTTGTATTTTTAGTAGAGACAGGGTTTCACCATGTTGGCCAGGCTGGTCTCGAACTACCTCGTGATCTGCCTGCCTCGGCCTCCCAAAGTGCTGGGATTATAGGTGTGAGCCACTGCGCCTGGCCATTCTTGTCTTGTTCCAGTTCTCAGAGGAAAAGCTTTCAGCTTTTCTCCATTCAGTAAGATGTTAACTGTGGGTTTTTTTTTTTTTTTTTTTTTTTTTTTTTGAGACGGAGTCTCACTCTGTAGCCCAGGCTGGAGTGCAGTGGTGAGATTTGCACTCACTGCAACTTCTGCCTCTCGGGTCCCATATCAAGCAGTTCTCCTGCCTCAGCCTCTCGAGTAGCTGGGATTACAGGAACGCACCACCTTGCCCAGCTAATTTTTGTATTTTTGGTAGAGACGGGCTTTCACCGTGTTGGCCAGGCTGGTCTTGAACTTCTGACCTCATGATCCATCCACCTCAGCCTCCCAAAGTGCTGGAATTATAGGCGTGAGCCACTGCACCCAGCCTGCTGTGGGTATTTTTAATCTTTTTGAAAGTAGATTGTAGTCACTGTCTAATCTCTTGTATTTCTTGCAAAGCACTCATTACTAGTCTTTGAGTTCTTAATATTTGTTTTTTAAAATAATTTTAAAAAATTTTATACCCTTAGATCTGCATATTGTTTTTTATGTAGTAAAACTTTTTATTTGGCTTTAGATAACTTGGTTAACTTGGTTTCCTGTTTATTTACTTCCTTGAGTATAATTTTGCTGATGTTTTGGTTCTTATTGATAATTTTCTTTATTTGGAGCGGTTTTATAGTTTATGTAAATGTTTTAATGGATTTCAAAAGGAGTTAGTTTCTTACAGATACTTTAAAAGCAAATAAGTAAATAAAAGGAGTGGGTTCTTGGTGGTATTACTGGCATTACCATCAGAAGACCCTTCATATTTGAGAGGCCACATGGGGAGGTGCACCAAGGAGATAATCAGATAAAAGACACCAAATGGCCTGCAGTGTTACTAAAGATGCAAGCTGGGGCCAAGTCCTGTGGGGCCCTGCGGCAAAGTTAAAATGTGTCTTATCCTGAGAGCTGTATCAAATGGGGAGTATCGAGGAGTATTACAGGGAAATAGTATCATCTGATTTGGTTTTTAGAAAGATTATCTGAGTAAGGAGATTGGCTTTGGTAAGCTGGGCAGGGAGATCAAATGGGGGCTAGAATTGAAGTCTTTCAAATAACAATACCTGTTGAAGATGCTCTGAAGAGCCAAAGTCTTCCTGTGGAGCCACTTTGTTGCAACCTGTGCCTCTTGTGCCCATAGACCCACAGACTCAGGTCATGCCCTAAGCTTTAGGTAGGTAGATTCCCACCAGTGAGGACAATGTCCCTTGGGTTTGTGGGTCTTAAGGTACAGAAGAAACAGGGGTATATTTGGATAGGGCACAAACTTTGGCACCAAATACACCTGGGTTGATTCTGGGCTCTGCCATTTCCTAGCTGGATGGTCTTGAGCAAGCCATTCAACCTTTCTGAAGGGTCTCACATTTAGACCAAGATATGAGAGGCCTCTGCCCTGGGTCCCCAGCTTTAGAGGGCTATACTGTGGTCCTTGTCCAACATGCCTCTGTCCATATCAGGGAGGAGTCCATATCTGTAATTAAGGCTTACACATGGTAGTCTGTATGAATGGTGTTCCCCAGAGTTGTGCAGTGCATAGCCTGTATGACTGTACAATGTGGGTTGCTAATAAAAGTAGCAAAGAGAAGCAGGATTGAGAATGCTGAGGATGTAGAATCTAGACTTGGCAGGTGTCAGGATATGACTGGGAGAATAGGAAATTTGGTGGAGAGTTGAGAGGTCAGTTTTGGTTAAGACTTTGACCTTACCAAAGAGCCACCCAGAGCTATCCAGCAGCCCAAACTCATGAGGCTAGACATGGCTTTGGAAATCATTGGCATTAGGGTCATAGTTGAGGCCTGGTGGCTGAACAAGTCCTTTGAAGGAAAGCTTATAGTCTGTGGAGAAGACTGAGTCGATTCTTTTGGGGGCATTTGTGTTTAAAGGACAAGAGGTCACAAAGGGGCTCATGAAAGGGGGCAGGGTCCTGGGACAATGGAATGTTCCTGGCTATGCAGTCCGGGAGCAGAGGGTTTCCAGGGCTTCACAGAGGTCAGTGAGGATGAGGATCCCTGGCTCAGAAGCTGACTATTTCTGGAGAAATAAAGGTACAGGTGAGTGAGTGGTATGGACCTTCAAGCTAGGAGGTTGTCTACACCTGCAGATATGTGGTGGTGATAGGAAGGAGTGGGAAAGGTCTATGAGGCACAGCAGGGTCAGGCTGGGGTGAACCTGAGAGCACGTGATGGGGAGAAGCCACAGAAAAGGGTTAATGGATGAAGCATGTTCCACAGGAGCAGCACAGGGTGCACATGGAGAGTGAGAGTCAGGGGTACCGAGCAGCAGGGGTGTGTGTACAGTAAAGAGGACAAACATACAGGAAGATGGTTTGAAGTGTGGTGAGGGAAATTGGGCAGGCTCCCTGGGCCTGGGGTTGGGCTTCTCAGTAGAGGAAAGCAGGCCTCTGCTAAGACCTCTGGAGTGGGGATGAGGTGCTGGGGGGTATCTAGAATTTAACAAAGCTTTGTCTTTCACGTCTTCTATGTTGTGTTCATGGCTCTGACAAGAATGTACACTGGATTATGTGTGTCGAACATGTTTTTAGGGCTTCATGTCCCCTTGCAGGGACATGATGTATGTATGGATGCACCATCCCATGGACATGGGACGTTGAATGCCCATTATTTTCAGAGTACAATGGGAGACAAAGATGACTAACAGCTCTCCAAGCTTAAGAAGCTTACAAGAGCATCAGAACACACAACAAAGTTGCTGACCAAGTTGTGTAGCTGGGTTGGGTAAACCAATATTTGACAAAATTAAGATTCAAAATAGGCAGGGAGAGTGGGTTAAACAGTTCATTTAAGATGGCTACATTTCAACTGCTGTGTGAAGCATTAAAAAAAAAAATTGCACGCAGACTTGAGTTAGTGGACCTGATTTGGCAAAAGTTCACTGAAGAGGTCACTATGTGGTCCCAAGACTAGTCTTGGATTCCTTAGTGATCTAAAGCTTTGCATATGTCAAGAGTAATAATGATAGCTCTTATTACTTGCTATGTCCCGAATGCCTGGCACTTTCACTTCTGTAGCAATTTTTTTATCCTTATATCTTATGTGGTATCATTAGCCTGTCTTATTGACAAAATGACACAGGGAGATGAAACCCTCATCAAATCACACAATTGGGAAGTGAGGGATCTATGTTCTTTCCAAGCCACAAGCCGCTGCTTAAAAAGCTAATAAACCTTGGTGTACACTCATAAAAATAGTGTGTCCAGATCGTGGGGCTCCTTGGTGTCTTTGTGCTTGGCTTGCATGAGCCGGATCCCATCTGGAACAAATTGCTCATTTCTAGAGATCCCAATATGAATAATGATGCTCTAGGTGTGAACAGACGGGGGCACGGTGGGGAGTAGTGGTGGACAGGGCCTGGACCTGTTACAAGAAGGTTTATGGAATTAAGAATGTAGTCACGTGGCAGAGGGGAATTTACTGCAACGCTTCTCAGCGTAGAAAGAAATAGACTGAGTGGGATTTACATGGAGGCACATTTAGATTAGTTCAATTTATAATTGCAACAACTTGGGATGTTAAAGAGTTTGGTGATACAGGGATGATTAAATGCTTCTGTATCCATACTAAAAACATTGCTAGGCAACTATTTAAAAAGATGCTATTCTGCATACTGATAAAGATAGTTTAAGTGCAAAAAGATTACAAGATTGTATTATTGTATTCCATTTGAAAAAATACATATGGGTCGTATTTACACACTCAAAATGTTTGCAACCAATATGCGGTTCTCTCGTGGTGGGATTTCAGATAACTTTTAAGAACTTCTGTCTTCTAATTTTCTATATTTAACATGGAACTTGTATAAGAAGAGATGGCAGCATATTTATAGCTAACCAATAGTGAAACCAGCCCCAGCTGAAGGAGGAATGTCCTGGCCCTCCCTTCAGGCTCTGCAGATGGATCCATCATGACAGGCGCTCAGGAAGGGGACAGAACTAGGTCTCTTCCAACTCAAGGAGGAAAGCAGGTTACAAAACACAGTGTGACCCCACTTTTGTAAAACATATAAACATGTTTGAGGATCCCTGGATAGCCAGGTGTGCCAAGGCATTTCCAGTGGGTTCCTTTGCAAGCAAAGTAAAATGGAGATAAAAACCTCCAAGCCGATCACCTGGCACTCATTATGATCATGGTATTTTCACTCAGATGCCCTCAGAGATGAACTTTCCCACCTAGAGTGACTTGGGATGTTGGGATATTGCTGAAGTCCTTATCAACAGCTGGGCTGGTTGTCCCTCAAAGACACTGGATCAATTTCAGTCAGATGTTTCATGCAGGAGGAAGGAGGAAGAGCAAGCAGATTCACTATTCTCTCTCCTCCTTCCTCAATTCATATTCCCTTTTCAAGAACAGCCACCTCCAGAATTGGCAATTTGAATTAAAGAAGGTAGCTCCAGGCATGGGATCTTGCGGGAAACCTCTGCCGCTGGTCAGCAGAATCTCGGGTTCCGTATATTAGCCAATCCCTACTAGACTTGCTGTTCAAGCCATCCGAACCAAGCAGCATTTGGTGATCCTTTAGCAAACCTAACAAACATCAGAAGTTAATTTTAGTAGGAGGGAGGTATCTCCCAGTGGAAAGAAAAAAAAGGACAAAAAAACATAAAAGGGAAAGAAAACAAAAAGAGAAACATAGATGAGAAAAAGGCCATCTCTATTTTCTCCCTTTAGATCCCGTTTTAACAGCTGATAGCCTCTGAACATTCCTTTATCCAGGTGGCAGAATGGACAAGGCCAGGTTCCGCTGCTGCTATTAGTGAGGGCTTCATTTGTACATCTACAACATACGGTGGGTGGGTGAGGTTACAGGGTACCTGACACATCACATTCCAGTCCTGGTTCAAGAAGGGGAAAAAGAGAACCCACACTGAATTTGAGTGCAAAAAATAAATATAAAATTTATTAAAACACCCACAATATTTTAAAGATACCAGGAGTAATACAGTTCACAAACCCAGTTGTTTGTGTAAATTATAATAAAATACAAATCAAAAAGGATACATACTTGCAATTTCTAGGCACCCTAAATTAAATTTACTGAAACACTGAGGGAGAAGGGAGGGTAAGGAGGGGTAGCTCAGGAGGCAAACCAATAAAGTGGAAGGAAAAAATATTAACAAAAAGGTAAAAATTATACAAAATAAAATTATCAGCATAAATTTACTGTACTAAGAATATCTACAGTTTAATACACATCCTATTGCCTTGAGACATTGCAAAAATCTACCATTCATCCATCAACCCCAGATAAACTTCATTTCAAGTAGCCACAGTTTACAAAGTCAAGACGGAATATTCAAGTATGGTTGTTAAGTTCACCTCCATTGGAAGCCAAGTAACCAAACAGGAATTCAAAGAGATAAGAAATAAAACACATCAAAAAGCTACAGGGGTTCTAGATTAAGTCTAATGTATTAATATGCCATTATACGACCTGCCCTTGTTTCTTTAATTGGAATACATGAAAAAGAAATGACATCACTCCTGTTTTTCTCCCCTCTTTTCCCCTCAAAAGAAAAAAAAGGGTATTGAAACCAAGAAAATTTGGAATGTTCACATGAGCCAATTAGTTTCTTAATTTAAATCCCCGTGTGAAGAGTGATGAGTTACCCCTGAATGACGGGTAGTCAAAACGCGAAGAGGGAGCAAACAATACCACTACAAAAAGCATCCCTGATATCAGAATAGAAGCCAATGAGGAAGTAGGCCAAATCGCTCGCTGATTCTTAGGCAAAAAGCAACTTTAGACCTTGCATTTCTGTGCTGCGGTCTCTGCTCAGGGGAGAAGCCTATTGCTCTGCTCTTGCCTGCAGCTCTGCAGGAGGAAGGGCTGGGAGCACCAGAGGGGGCCGCCCCTCCCCCCGCACTCGCGGAGTGCACTCGCACTCTGTGCACCTGGATGTGGGACTGTGTAACTTATGTTGGGGGTATGCACCTCAAAAATGTTTTGGTCCAGGGTATGTTGAAGTTGGCCATGTACTACAGCAGAGGCAGCTGGCTAATAAAACTAGGTTTTGAGGGAGTCATTTCAAATGACAGCAACAATGACTGAGAAAGCTCAATGAGATGGGCATAGGAAATTCACATTTTATTCAAAAGCAAAACTTAAACATGAAATACAGCCAACTACGCTCCTTCCTTTCGGCGTTCCGCTATCTTAACTGCTGAAGAATGAAAAACAAAATGACCCCAGATTTTTCAAGGTCAAGTATGTCATCAGACGGACAACCTGCAGGTATCAGACCCTCATGGAATCTACTTTACTGAAGTTGTCATGATGTCCTGTTTTTGAGGTATTTAAAAAAATTATTGTGACAGTGGATGACACAAAATGGAGCTTCCTGGTGAGTTTTTAAAACATCAACTTCTGTGGACCCAAGAAGAAATTTAGGTTAGCACCAACTAAAAAGCAGCCTCAGTGGCATCGAGTGAGCAAAGAAAGCTCCTTCCTTTAGTCCGAACATAAGGGGTTACCAATGAGAGGCAGAAGCAACGCTGGGTCAGAGAATGAAGCCCCTGCCCACCATGGTCCCAGCCAGTGCCAGGGGAGGAAGGAGATCCATCTGGTCTCCCTTGGTGTGCCCTTGGGACTCCCAGAGATGTCTGCTTAGCACCCTGGGCTGCAGGAGAAAATCTGTCCCTGGCTATGAGAATGCCTATCATGCTAGGAGAGGCAGAAGTACCCAACTCCCCTTCCTCAAAAACAAAAACTCAAAAAACCCTTCGCCCTTTCTTTCACATCAAGCCTGAGAAGACAGGTGTGGAACCAAAAAGCACCTGCCAAGCCAGGCAGGCCCACTCCCGATCACAGAAAGGGAGATAGCTGCCTTCTCGACTTGCTTTGTTTGGCCACCAAGGGAAGAACAATACAACACAACACAACACTGCTCAGAGCAGATTATAGCACGGTAAACGGGTCTAAGACAGCACCAAAAGAGGGGAGGGAAAAAAAAAAGCCAAGAGACTGGAGCCCACCTTGTTTTTGGTTGGTTGTGGTTTCAGAACGTTGATAGCACCTCAGCAAGACAGGATCAGGGACAGTCACATTAAAACACCATAGCACCATTTTATTTAGACTATTTCAATTCATAAAAATGCTTCCTAGTCCATAAAACACACTTCAGTAACAAAAGGAAAGAGATACTGGTTGAGGCACGTCAGGGATATCATATAGTTTTCCACCAGCTTTGCCTTGGTTTGAGATCTCATGGTGATTAAACCTCTAGAAGCAAGTCTGGCTGGGTTTCTCTCAATGAAATTAGGTTATCATCGACTCATTGTCAACCGTCCTTGCACATCTACTGCTGTGTGGTACAAAGCAGTTAAGCTCTGCTACTTCTTTCCTTGCTTTAGCGCTTTAAAAATCCCTTGCTCTGCAAACTACTGTTCCCAAAAGAGGCTGGTGGAAGGACCAAGAGGGGGCGGTGGGGTATCATCTCTTTCCACGCACACCATCGTCACCTTGGTGAGAAGGCAAAGCAGTACCCATGAAGCCGGGGTGTGGGAAACATTGGCCCTGCTAAAAGCCAGACCCAAAACCAAAAACCGAAAGACCCCCAAATCCATGCAACACCTTTAGTCAAGATTTCTGATGGTCAGATGATGATTTCTTGAGCTAGCACCAGTTATTTTGTGAGAACCTGCTGCGAAGCGATTTTTATTTTAAAAATCTCGTAGCACAGAACTTTACAAGCACTTCCCTTGCACGCAACAGGCAGGGAAAACAAAACAGAGCAGAAAAGGAACCAAATGTTTGCACTGCACGTGGATGGTGTCCGTGGACAGGGCACACTGGGGAGATGACTAAGACGCCATCGATTTCCGTTGCTATAATATGACTCTTCGAACTTGGTCATGCTGTTAGGTTCTTTAGTTGCAATGGCTTTATTTTTCTTCTCATGATAAAAATGTCTGTTAATCATCTTTAGGACTTAAAAAATGATAGTGCCAGTAAAAAATAAAAATTTGATTTTTCTCTTTAAGAAAGCTTCAGCAGCAAGGGGGGGATAAAGAGCTGTGCATAGTTACTTTTTAAATATATGTCTAAAGCATGCTAATTTTAATGACTGAGATTTGAGGTAGGTTAGACATGTAGTGTACAAATCAGCATGGGCTTGAGCACGGCAACCACACCGCCTAACTCTGGAAACGCCATTCTGCGGGGAGTGGGGACATCCAATGGAGACTGCCTCTTGACTCACCTCTCAGCAGCCTATCTCCTACTGCAGAAACTGATGAACCAAGGCTGTTTGGGCTGGGGGACAGACGTCGCATGCTTTTAGCTTGTATTGGTTTCTCCTTTCATCTAATGGCTTTCCTACCAAAGGGTGATGAGGGGAAGAGTTTATTTAACATACATCAGGAAGATTCACACATGCCAAGTATCAGAATCACCTGGGTTACACTCGGGACCTTCCAAACCAACAGCCAACCTGGGGCTTCCACGGGTCATACAGACGGTCACATTCTCCAAATGTTTCGTAAAATATTGTATTTCTTGCTTAAGATCATTTAAAATGAAGTTTTCAAGGCACCCCCGCATCTACCTAAGCACGGAGTCAAATGAGACCTGCATAAAAGTACTGATGCGATAAGCAAAATAGCATTTAAAGGACCCAATTTTTCCTCAAAACTAGAAAATTAGCATGCTCATTAAAGACTCTGCTTCCTTTAGCTTGTCAAACTGAAGGTCAGAGGTTTTCCTATAAATCTGAGTTCTGAATAATTCTAAGTCCTGATAAGCTCTTGGGTATTTATTTCAAAAGCAATAATATTTCATTTTTTTGTCCTGTAAAATAAATGCAACTTTACAGAATATGGTAAAAGTGGAGGATAGACAAAGCACATTAAATATTCGGCTACTATTTACAATTTCTCCCACAATTACATGTTAAAACATACTTTTTTTTTCAAGTTGCTGTTTAAATCTAGGCAAAAGTGCTTAAAAAAATCTTTCACTATTTACAGTTAAAACCAGACCACATAAATGCTCAGGACATCTTACAACGACCCTCCGCCAGTGCTTCCAAACAGATACAGTAAACACCCAGCAGGCCGGTTCTCAGCTCTTACTCAAGGCACCCGGAAGCTCAGGAACTTGCCTATAGCGGTCATCTGATTGTTAAACATGATTCATGAAGACCCATATCTGAATACAACTGCTCAGTAAATACCTGTTCATCTCAGGGCTTGGTGGTCATCCACCGTGTGGCCACATTCCCCTCTGTGTGTCCTGATGAAGCCCCCCATTCACCACACACACATCCACATGGCTAGCATGAGATCATTTCTGCTAATATCACAAGAAAAACCAACACTCCAACAAAGTTTGACTTGGTGATGATGAGTGTTGCTCCCATCAGGCCCAACCTCTCTCGACAACGTCACAAAAATTAAGCACCACATTCTCATTTCAAAGAACCGAATGAATGCACCAGAATTTCAGAACAGCTATATTAAAGTGGATGAAGAGGGGAGAAAGGAAAAAAAGAAAATGATCAAATGGAGAAATGGCACCAATTAGGGAGGAAAATTATAGCAACCTGTTGAAAATGTTTGACTCTTGCACTTTAAAATTGTTAAGTGTAGGCCCCCGAACCCAATGACAGCATGGAGGAAGCAGGCTCAGGTGTGAGGCATGCACCATTGTCCAATGTGGAAATTCAGGGATCAGGATAGATGCATTAACTGTTGTTACACTGGTCTGCTGAGCTCCTGTAGGATGTGACCTGCCCAAGAGTCAAGAAAGTCCCAGCACAACACTACAGCACCAGGCTCCGCACAGCACCATGCACAGAGCACCACTGGCTTTTCACAGCTTGGGTTCAACTTCCTGTTTTTAAAGATACAGTAGCCCTTTTTCAGTATCAGCATAGACTTTGGGGGCATTTTTTAAAAAACTGCCACTAAGACAAATTCCTTCAGCTCAGCATGCATTGGCTTGGCAACATGGTGGGCACGGCCCCTAAGAACCTCGCACTCCAGCTCCAGCGTGAGGTGCTGCCTAGTGAACCATGACATCGTGTGACTCCATAAATAACGGACAGAGGATTCAGTGTGGAGACTAGCAAGCTTGAAGCCATCTACTTCCAACCTGGTTTCTGGGGAAAGCTATGCCAGCATCTCGTGGGGCTGGCCTGGGGTGCATCTGCCCTTCGACTCCAAGCCGGGGACTGGAAAAGGGACCCCAGATGGTTTTCTGCAGACTCTCCCATCCTATCAGAGAGGACAGAAGCTGTCCTGAGGCTCCCTTCCCCAAAGGGAAGGGGTGTATGTCGGGAGGGATGAACTGGGTGGCTACCGTCCGCGCTTGGCTCTCGAGGGGCAGATGGCTGAGGACCTCGCCAGCGCCCGAGGGGCTTGGCTCGCCAGACCCAGCGAGACTGGGCGGGGGAGCACTACTGGCCTTTCCTGCCCATCCTTTACCATTACTATTGTCGCTTTTAAAAAATCCAATAAATACACATTTTAAATGGAATTTAAAACTACTCCTTTGTGAAAGGATACTATAAACTTTCTTTCCATTATTGTGATATACAAGGATAGAGTTTTAAAAACAAAGAGAAAATAAAAATAAAAACCCCCCAGACAAGGGGGGGGGACAACTTGGAGATATAAATATTAAGATCACGGAAAAATCACCCGACAGCCGTAGTTTCTTCTTCAAAGTGCTGGGGAAGTGGGGGTAAGGGAGGGGCGGGTCAGTTCTGAGGTTTGGACCATAAATACATATATATGATATGCGCATCTATATATGTATATAGAGATAAAAAGACTTCTGCACCCCCAACCCGCCCCCAGGTATGAGGGCAAAAGCACCACAGAGACAGCTCGGGCCAGGCCCGACGCTGAGGTACGCTGGCTCCCTGGCACCTAGATCCAGCGGCTGTAGGGGCCAGTGACCTTCGTGTAGGCATAGGAGGACACGGTGACCGCCGAGTCTGTGGGCACAGCCAGTGCCTGCCGGGTGGGGACGACCCCCTTCTTCTCTTTCTGCTGGGGCTCAGCAACCACAGTGCCCCCCCACTTGCGCTTCTTCCCGTAGAGCTTGGCCTCCTGCTGGCCCAGGCCCAGCCGGGCAGCCTCCTCCTGCCGTGCCCGTGCCCTCTCCGCCAGCTGCTTCATCTTGGCTTCCCAGAGGGCCAGCCCGTGGTTGGGCTGGTTGAGGTTCTTGTGCTGGTAGAAGACCAGCGAGATGCGGGTGGGGTGGCAGCGGTTGGGCTTCTTAAGCGGCGTGGTGGCGTGCAGCTCCCGCCGGGCACACTCGATGAGGATGGAGCCGTGGGCTGGGGCCACGGCCACGCCGCCGATGTTCTCGTCCAGGAAGTTGTGTTCACTGTCCGACCACAGCTCCTCCTCTTCCTCCTCCGCACCACCACCGCCCTTCTCCTCCTTCACCGCTCCCTTGCTGGGGGGCTCCTCAGCCGGCCCCTCCTCCAGGCTGAAGGGGTCCCACAGCTTCTCCTCTGACTTCAGAGCCCCAAACAGCTTCTCGCTGGATCCCAGGGGCAGACCAAAGGACTGCCAGGCCCTGTCCAGCTGGCTGGCCCCTGCGGCTGGAATCCTGCCCTCCTCTCCTTTCATGGGGTTCCACAGCTTGTCTTGGAACCCAGGACTACCTTTCAGGGCCGAGTTGAAATCCCCTGCCCCCAGCGCCCACGGCTTCTCAGTCAGGCTGGGCCCAGCCAAGGCCGAGGTGCTGTTCCCAAACTTGCAGGGGCTCCACGGTTTGCCTCGCAGCCGTCCTCCAGAGTGGGAAGCTGCCTGCTGCCCCTCACCGGGGAACAGCCCCCACTGGCCATCTGTGAAGTGGGAAGGGGCCAGGCAGCTGGCCCCAAAGGAACTGAGCTTGTCAGGGACGATGGCAGGACTCTCCCCAGACGAGAACACACCCCAGCTGCCACCCACACCGTTAGTCCTCTTGGGGGACATGCTTGGGCCTCCTGAGTACTGTCCCCAAAGGTGACTGGGTCCTCCATTCTGAGACACCTCGGACAGAGGTGTCTTGCCCATCTTGCCAGCGTCTCTGGGCACAGGCTCAGCCTGGGTCAGCGGGTCTACTGGCTCTTGCTTGATGGATCTGTTGTAGCAGTTGGAGCTCTGGGCAAAGGGGGAGGGGTCCCTGGACACTGAGTGGAGTAGGGGGGCCTTGGGAAGCAGATACTCCTTGGGGCCTGGGTACGCAGGCTGCTGGTGGTGAGGAGTGGGGTGGTGGGCGTCTGTGGGAACAGCCTGGCTGGGCAGCTCGGCAAACTCAGCACCACCGTAGGCCGGGCTCAGGCTGTTGTGCAGAGCGTGGAGGTCTGGCTTCTTCTCAAAACTGCCACTGCTGCCACTGTGCCCCCAGGCACCAGGACCCAGGAACTGAGAGGGGAAGACGGGGTTGCTGGATGGAAAGCCATAGTAGCTAAAAGACGGGAGAGCGTACTTGGAGTGGAAGCCATTGACGGAGGTCAGGCTGGGCTGTGCATAGTAGGAGTGGTAGGAGTACACGCTGTTCATGCTGTAAGGGTCGGAGGGCCGGCAGTTGCCCAGCACCGAGTAGCTCTCCACCACCGCGTTGCCGCTGTACTTGAAGGAGCTGAAGTGGTTCTGCGGCTCCACCTTGAGGGAGGGCTTCAGGCCTTGCTGGGACAATCCACCCTTCAGAGACAGGCCTGGGGAAACAGAAGGCAAGATGGCAGAGGGGCAGACAACACCACAGCCTGGAGAGGCCCTGGGTCGGGGACTGGGGATGGACCCTCCCTCTTTCCCAGGGATGTTTCCTCTTTTGGGACAGGCAGGTGAGGTGCTGAGGCATGTCCAGCCCAGAACGGGTCGTACTCCCTGGGCCCTGCTCAGCACAGGCCCCAGCCCCAGCCCCACTGGGGGTGGGAGGAGGCGATCCCTGCTGAGAAGCACCTCATGCGGGGTCCACAGTACCCCCACCGACTCCTCTCTTCACCCTAGAGAACTCCAGAAGTTGTACTGAACCACCACCACCCACTCTGTGCCCAGCCCAGTCGGGATCACTGCAGGGACCAGGGCCAGGAGAATGAGAACTCAGATGCCTGCCAGCAACCGTCTCCGCCCATAAGCCCTGCTGCCCTGGCACACACCCACATGTCCTGAAGTGCTGCTACTCACCTCAGTATCTCAGAGGGGAGCAAACTAGAGCTCAGAGGGGAGCCTCTGATTCTCTGAGGGATGCAAACTAGAGGAGAAACCCAGTGCTTCCCCTCTACCAAGCTCACTTCCACGCAGATAACAAGTCCTGCTGTACTTGCATCCCCACGGCCTCCTATCAGGCTGGCTGTGGCTGCTGCAGATACCCTTCTGACTGACAATTAAGCAGAGGCCCCAGTTCCAGTGTGATGCAGGAGGGTGCGTGGAAGAGCAGGGGCCCCCATGAGGACAGTGCCATTGTGACTCCAAGCGGGCACCCTCCCCCCACACACCTGGGTCCGACGTAATGCCCGCCAGCTCCAGGGCCTCCTGCTTGATCTTCTCCGGAGTGCTCAGCTTCTCCTTCTGAATCTTCTTCTTCTCGGCTGCTGCCTTTCTGGCTTCCAGCTGCCGCTGGCGGCAGGACTTGGCAGGCTCGGGCAGGCGTCGGACCTCGCGGGGGAAGGCGGTGAGCACCTGGATGGCTCCGCTGCCCACCTTTGCATTCTGGTTCTCCTCGCTACCAAACTCATCCGTGTTGGCCATCTTGTACAGGGGGAGAACATGCAGCTGCTCATCCTCGGGAATCTTGCCCACGCAGCGATTGTCTTCCTTGGTCAGGGTGCAGACCTGCCCCAAGCAGTGGGGGAGAGAGGACATGGGGTTGGGGGACCGAGTGCTGGGAGAGAGGGGTCTGAGCACCCAAAACACATGACCTCATCTTTCCCCACACAATCCCAATACCAGCCACTACTACTTCCAAGAGTTTGTGGAAAGCACATTGATCTTGGTTCACGGGGCAACAGTATCACCAGCATTTACAGTCCACTCATCAACTTTCAAGGCACATTATCTCCTATGATCCTAAGAAGGCTGAGAGGAGATGAGATACCTGGCAAGGGGCCTGGCCAGGACCTGGAGGCTTGCTCTGCCCTCTGGCATAGCACTGACGCCACAGCACCACGTTGCCCAGTGAAGCTCAGACCGTCCACCATTATCTTCCTTGTTCTAAACACTCAGCCTCCTTTTGCTCTTAAAATACGTTTCCTTTTGGGAGGCCAAGGCGGGTGGATCACCTGAGGTCAGGAGGTCGAGACTAGCCTGATCAATATGATGAAACCCTGTCTCTACCAAAAATATAAAAATTAGCCTGGCGTGGTGGCATGCGCCTGTAATCCCAGCTACTTGGGAGGCTGAGACAGGAGAATTGCTTGAACCCAGAGATGGAGGTTGCAGTGAGCCAAGATCATGCCACTACACTCCAGCCTGGGCAACAAGAGTGAAACTCCGTCTCAAAAAAAAAAAAAAAGAGTTTCCTTTTTATTATAAACTCTATGTGCTGATTATAGAAAATTTAGGCAAGCAAAAAGGAAACAAAATCTCCCATCCCACCACCCAGAAGTAATCACTTTAAATATCACGGTCACCTAATTGTGTACATACACAAGTACACAATTACTTTTTGCTAATTAAAGGGGGTATTATGCATATGGTCACATAATAGCTTCATTTTTTTCTTAACATAGTATAAATATTTTCCTGTGCATTAAATATTCTCCCCCAATATGATTAGAGCTGTGTAATATTATTCTACTGTATCAATGTGTTAATCTCATTATCAAATATTTCAACTTGTTTCCAATTTTTTTATACCATAAACAATACTTTTTGAAATACCCTTTTAGCTAAATTTTGTAAGATTCTTAATTCCTTAGAATGAATGTTAAGTAGAACTGCCACATACTGCCAGACTACCCTCAAAAATGATTCGGTTTTTCACTCATACCAGCAGAATGTGTTTCAACTTTCCTATATTTTTTCCACTAATTTCTTTAAAAACTTTTTGCTCACTGTTAAAATCGATCTCGTTGTTGGTGTACATTTCTCACAAGATTTGCTTTTTTATTCAAGTTTACTCTCTACTCTTGTGTTGACTATATTTTCTTATTTTCTATATTTTTGATGCTCTGGCATTTGGGGTCTTGATCCCAGAGAGGCTGCCCCTCCCAGGGCTACTTAATTCTCAGAGATAGCAAATGGCTCCCTGCGAGTGTGCCTCTGATATATGAACCAGCAAATCCAGAGCTCACACCCCCTCGCCATCTCCTTTATCAAACTCACACACCAAACCAATATTTCCCTGGCCTTAATAGAGGGCCGTGCACGAGGAACCACCCCATAGCTCAGAGCCTGCTAAAATATTCAAACTGTTCAATCCTAAACTTCCCCAGTGTAGCTACGCTGCATCACCCATTCTTCCCTGCAAAACCCCACTAAAGACTCTGGGCCATGCTCCCCACTCTTCCTCTTCTGCCTCCTGACTGGCCCGGTGCTCCCCTGAGTAGCCCCCGAGCATGACCTGCCCTCCTGTTTCTAGGATCTGAGTATAAAGTTCTTTCCTGACAATTATCCAGGTCTGCATGTCTTACCATATCCGATTAAAATCAATCCTTGGCCCATTTTAACACAATTCTCTCACTGTCTTCCTTCTTTTGCGAGTTTTATGACTTTTGCCCACTACTATATACGACTTGTCATTTTTTAAATCATGAAGTCATCTTTGCATATTAAAGTTATAATTTCTTTATCACGTTACAAATATTGTAGCAGTTGGAGCTCTGTGAATTATTAGTCATTGTTAGTGTTTAGATGACTACCCAGACATTTGAATGTATGTGTGTGTGTGTGTGTGTGTGTGTGTGTGTGTGTGCATGTATGGCTATATAAAACTACAAATCGGATTACATTATATATACATGCTATTCTGTGACCTGCTTTTCTTTTTTTTTTTTTCTTTTTCTTCTTTTTCTTTTTGAGATAAGGTCTTACTCTATTGCCCAGGCTGCAGTGCAGTGGTGTGACACGGCTCACTGCAGTCTCAACCTCCTGGGCTCAAGTGATCCTCCCATCTCAGCCTCCTGAGTAGCTGGGACTACAAGCATGCACAACCACGCCCAGCAAATTTTTGGTATTTTTTGTAGAGATAGGGTTTTGCCGTATTCCTCAGGCTGGTCTCAAACTCCTGGGCTCAAGTGAGCCTCCCACCTCAGCCTCCCAAAGTGCTGGCATTACAGGTGTGAGCCACCGTGCCCAGCCTGACCTGCTTTTCTTTCTTTCTTTCTTTCTTTTTTTTTTTTGAGACAGAGTTTTGCTCTTATTGCACAGGCTGGAGTGCAGTGGCGCCATCTCGGCTCACTGCAACCTCTGCCTCCCGGGTTCAAGCGATTCTCCTGCCTCAGCCTCCCCAGTAGCTGGGATTACAGGCGCCTGCCACCATGCTTAGCTAACTTTTTGTATTTTTAGAAGAAACGGGGTTTCACTATGTTGACCAGGCTGGTCACAAACTCCTGACCTCAGGTGATCCACCCATCTCAGCCTCCCAAAGTGCTGGGATTACAGGCGTGAGCCCCTGCGCCCGGCCTGACCTGCTTTTCTTAACTCAAGGATAACTCAAGGTATCCAGTTTGTATTGGCCTTTCAATTGTTATTATGGTGTTTTATTACGCTGAACAGAAAACTTATATTTTTATGGCACTAACTTTATTAACCCTTTCACTTAGAGGCACTCTGAGTTTGGTGTCATGCCCTACCCAGCTTGTTTCTTCCCAGACTATGTGTGGGTCTACGACTTCCTCTGCTCTGACCAGCCTCCTGTGTACTTTCTGGGTTGGACTGGCCAGCCCCAGCCCTGCTTCCTACCAGTCTGTCAGACTAATGCTATAAACAACAGACCAAAGGGAAAATCCAAAAGATAAGATGTGGCAGAAGCTGTATTTCCTACAAGAGATACTTTACAAATATCAAAAGGTAAGGGTAGCCTGATTAAAAAAATAAGTAAAGTACATAAATAGGATAGTCGCAAAGATGAAATTCAAATGTGTAAGAAGAAATAGGAAAAAATGTTCAACCTCTCTAGTAATAAACACAAATTAAAATAAGATCATATGTTTCCCACTCAGGCAGCAGGCAAAGATGAAAGAGACTGACAAAATCCAGTGTTGCCAAGTAAGTAGGAGAATTAGTGCCCCAAGCCTGTAAAAGTAAACATCAATGCAATCTCAAGCAGGTTACTGCGCCACTGCACAAATACGTGAGAAGAATGGCCTCTCCCTGTGGTTTACAGAAGGGAAATGTCTGAAAGCACTTACTGTCCATTGATAGGGGACTGGTTAAATAAATGATGGCAGAGCCATACATACAGCCTCGGAAAATGAAGTCCACTGACATAGAAAGCTTAAGAAAAGCAGGTCATAGAACAGCATGTATATATAATGTGACCCCATCTGGGTAAAATTTCATAAAGCCATTCGTGCATACATACACATTTGGGTGTCTGAATGGATGGTCATCAAACTGCTAACTGGTTATCTCTGAGATTTCAGGCAACCTTTTTAATATTATTTAAATTTTTAAAAAATGAGTCTTGTTTAGGAAAAAACAATACTTTTCATTTTGGAAGAAAATACTCCTTTTTTCAACCCCAAACTCTAGAAGCTCTGCGATCCAGATCACCTCATGGTGCTCTTGCTCTCGCCCACCTTCCAGGGCCCCCTGGGCTCCTTCGTCTCTCTAACACTGTGGGCATGCCCTTTCTGTGTATTTCACCTAGAAATCCTCACAACAGAGTGCCAGCAGGAGCTGCCCCTTCTTGCTTCTCAGTCTTGGATGCAGTGATAGAAAACAAGTGGAGAAATGAAATCCCGAGGTGGGTCCATCAATCCCCAGGGGGCATAAGCTACACTCGGAATCTGGGAGCCCTCTTTCCAGGCAGATGTGCTGGTGCCCTTGTCTCGTCCTCAGCCCCTGGAAGCCCTGTCTGCCCAGAACCTGGCTAAAAGGCAGAGCAGACAGCCAGCATCATCCCTTCAAGGAAGCCCCTAACCAAGTCCAAACTCCCTCTCTTCTCCATCTGCACTCACTCCCCTGCTGATGGCGTCGGCCTCACAGCTCTAACTATAAACCACGTGCTCTCCAGACCCTCCTTGCCCCCTGCCTACTCCACATCTCCACCTGCACGTCTAGCAGGCATCTTGAAACAGGACTCTTGATTTCTTACTCCTAAATTCAGCCTTCCCCTGTTACTTACATCTCGGTCCATGTTACCAACACTCACCCAGATGCTGAAGCAAAAAGCCTTGGAGTGCTCCTCAAGTCCTGCTCACATAACAATCCAGCCCATCTGCAAATCCTCTTGGCAGTCCCTTCCACATCATCCAAAATCTGTCCCATCAGCACCTCCCCCCACTCCTGCCCAAGCCGTGTCCCCTCTGGCCTGGATGGCTGCCCCAGCCTCCTCCTTCGCCTCCTTCCTCTTATTCCCTCCCGTTCACCTCACTCTGCCCCCACCATCACACACCTCATTCTCTAACTGCAGCAGCAGGAGTGCGTCTAACTTTACAATGCAAACTTACTGCTGCCCAGCTGAGAAGCCCTCAACAGCTTCCCATCACACTTAGAGCAAACCCCGCAACCCTCCCCTGGCCCTCAAGGCTCCCTGTGAGCTGGTCCCTGCAGGCCTCTCCAATCCCACTCTCCCTGCCCCTTGCAGTAAGTTACTCCCTTCCTGTTGTTCCCTGAACACACACCCAGCCTGCTCCCCGCTCGGAGCCTGCACACACGCTGGTCCCTCTGCCTGGAGCACTCTACCCCCAGATAGTGGCTCTCTCACTCTCTTGCGCCATTCACATCTCAACTTAAACGTCCCCTCCTCAGAGCAGCCTCTCATCTAAAACAGCATCTCCTGTTGCTTTATCCCTCACCCTACTTCATTTTTCCCTCTTGGCCTTCATTGCTACAGGACATTCCCACACATACTTGGGCAGGAACTTTGTCCGTTTCATCCCGCAGCATGCAGAGCAGTGCCTGGGCACAGCTGGTACTCAATACACATTTGTCCAAAGAATGAATCAAGGGTTTGTTTGCATTTAAATCCAAGTGTCCACAGAGACCGGGGCCCACGCTTTAGATAACTGGGCACTCCAGGTGCTTGAGGGGCTACATCCTGCAGCATCCCCCTAAGACACAGACACAAAGCCAGCCTTGTCTGTTCAAGGGTTTTCTGGTGAGGTTTTCTCTGGGAGGTGGGCGAAGGCAGGCCGTCTTGCAGGGAACCTTCCAGAGTTCTGAGGATCCTGTCTCCAGGTCCCTCCCTACCCTCAGCCTGCCTTTCTGAAAAGACCACGGTGGACTCCCTCCCACAGTTGCCCCACAGGTGGGGCTATGACAGGGCACAGGCTTACCACGGTGCACCCATTGTAGAGGTTATGCTGGTCCTTGTGGGCGTGGGCACAGAAGTCCATGCAGGCCGTGACCCCCGCGAAGGGCCGTCCTTCCTTCAGCCCCAGACGGCAGTCAATCGCTATTTCCTCGTTGGTCACCTGTGTAGACAGCCAAGGAGAGGTGCTCACATGACCTGAGGTGAGTGGCCCCGATTCTGCACCTGGGGAGGCCAGGTCTTGGAAGGAGGGATGTTAAGGATGATAGTCACCTTGCCCTTCGACTGCAGGAGGGAGGTTTTCTGGCTGAGAGGCCCCAGCTACAAAAAAGTTACTTTCAGTCTCCTGTAGGAATTACTTCCTTCTGGGTTATCCCAAGTCCCCTTGCCTTGTCTAGGAGATACAAGGGTGACAGGTGAGAGAAACTCGGGCCTCACCAGTGGATACCAGACCAGAGGAGGTGGATGGGTTACCAGGGGAAGGGAGAAGACCAGGATAGAAGAGGGACGGTGTGGGATGCAGGTAGCCTGGTGTAAAAAAGGGGTTTTTATCAAAGAACCACATCATATCGCTTTACTTCTGGACTAGGCTCTTCCCATAAGAGAGTAAAAGAGCCCACTCTCCCACTTCCCACCTTCAGAGCCTGAGCAGAGATGTGGACGGTGACATGTGGGCAGCAAAAGGCCCAGGGCCCGTTACCTGGTTCTGATAGGCCTGAGGGGCCAGTCGCTTGTACAGGGGAGCGACTTCGGTGGCCAGGTCCTGGAAACTCTTCCGGAGCACTTCTTCCTGCAGAGAGAGGGGCAGTCACACATCCAGAGCAGCCCCGCCTGGCAGACCCTGCACCCTGGAAGTGGACTGGCATTCCTGAAGCATCGTGGGGGAGGCTGGGAGGGAGGTGTTATCAGGTGTCTTTCTGGCCTTTCCTTCAGGAGGGCTGTGGTGCTGTGTCCACTTCACAGCTGGGGACACTGAGGCTCCCAGGAAAAGCTGTGGAAGCCACGGCCTGAAGGTCTAGTCATCCTGACTGCTAAACTACTGCTCCTTCAGGCTCCCGCCCAGTTCAGCCCAGAACATATCAAACGTTTCTTGCTTTCGAGTGCTGAACACCGTAGGTCAGAGGTGCGGCACAGTGGGACTGAAAAAGCCAAGAGCAACAACTGTGGATCTTTCCTCCCAGGCTACAGACAGGAAGAGAAAGGCAGGCAGGATCCATGCTAGAAATTCCACAGCCAGCCCAGCCCAGCCCAGCCCAGCCCAGAGCCTGTCATAAGCCAGGAATACAGACAGACTTCAAAGCTCCAGCTGCTAGACTCGTACTACGTAATGTTATTCACAAACCACATGAAGCTACAGAAATACAGATGAATTCTAATTTTTTTTTTTCTTTGAGACAGAGGCTCACTCTGTCACCCAGGCTGGGGTGCAGTGGCATTATCTTGGCTCACTGCAACCTCCATCTCCTGGGTTCAAGCAATTCTCCTGCCTCAGCCTCCTGAGTAGCTGGGATTAGAGGTGCCCACAGCCGGCTAATTTCTTTTATATTTTTAGTAGAGATGGGGTTTTGCCGTGTTGGCCAGGCTGGTCTCAAACTCCTGACCTCAGGTGATCCAACCACCTTGGCCTCCCAAAGTGCTAGGATTACAGGCGTGAGCCACAATGCCCGGCCTGAATTCTAATAAAAATTAAAGCAATTCAGTCCCTTGGTTGCACTAGTCCCATTTTAAATACTCAGCAGCTACACGTGGCTCCTGTATGGACAGCAGAGAATGTTTCCACACATCACAGAAAGTACTGTGGGACAGCACTGCTCTATGTGAAGCAGCAGCCCCTGGTGACATGTGGCAGAGAGTTCCAGGTATCCACAGCCTCTGTCTGGCCCTCCGAAAACAAGCAGGGCTTGAAGGGCTCCTAGGACACCACGAGCACAGGCACAAAGGGTTTATGAAGAAGAAAGCAGGAAGAGAGGAAAGAGAAAAAGAACCAAGCACACAGAATGAGAAATGGAAGGTGGAGACCCACAGCTCAGCTGTACATCCAGTGGGGTCGCCAGGGCTGCCAGCCACTCTTGACCAGGCCAGCCTGGGCCAGTGATGCCAGGCCACCTCCCTGCCTGATGTCCAGATGCTGCCACCAGCACAGCAGGGGGTGAGGCTTGTGAGCTCTAGGGACACACAGGCCTGAGTTTCAAACCTGCCTTCACCATGAACTAGCCACATGGGCTTAAGGAAGCCATCTGCCTCATCTGTAAAGTGAGGGGTAACAGTGCCTAGATCACTGGGATGGAGGGGTCGTGAAATCATCTGAGAAACCTATGAGGGGCTTGGCAAAGTGCTTAGCACATCGTAAGAGCACAGGAAGTGGCAGTTGGTAGAACAGGGAAAGAATTTGAGAGAAATTAAGCCAATGTCTTTCCATTCCTAGTAGTTCTTAGGTCCTGGTAGCCCCAGGGCTCCATTCATTGAAGCAACCACATCTGCTGCTTGTAAGGGAGGGTGAATCTTACCGTAAATAAAAATCTAATAACAAATTAGACTATTTGCATACAGGTCTATTAGACTATTTAAGTCTAAAAGCCAGGTCTGGGGTAAACAAAGAGTTCTGAATTTGAAAATGCTTCCTTTTTCTTATGAGGACCCAAGCTTGGCAGTCAGAGCACAGAAGGTGACATAGGCTTTGGTGTAGAGAGGGTGTCCCTGCACCACGGGAAGTGGGAAGCCCTTCTGGTACTAGGAGCTTGGAGAGATTTGGAAGGTTGCAACTTGAGTTCACGTATTTGGATATTTGTCTGTATCCTAGCAAAGGAAGCCAGCACTCCACCCGCTCAGGAGCCCAGGCAGAAGGAAGGTAAAATGGCAGACAACCTGGATAGGCTTGTGCCTTCCTTGCATTTGGAGCTGAGTGGAGACCGCCTCTCAGGAGGGCCTTTGCCATGCAGGCATCAGAGGACAAACAACAGAGGGGAGGCGGCCTGAGCAGATGCTCCGGCCCCCACAGCCTGAGGGCGCCTTCCCCTGCTGTCTTGGGGCTGGGGGAGGCCCTGCAGGGCAGGGGTCTGGGTAAGGAGCCTACAGAGAGAAGGTGCCGTGCCTAGCGGTCATACTGTATGGACACCAGTCCAGAGCCCAGGGACCAGGCCAGGCCCCCAGCATGGAGACTGCAAGGGCCCGGATGACTGCCCAGAGACATCTGTCCGGCAGCCAGGCAGGGTGGGAGATACCTTGGGAAGTACAGCAAAGGCCCAGAGGATGGCCCACATGCGGGAGACCGCCTTTCCTGCTAAACCTCACACCTAGAAAGGTGTCCTGGGAAGATGGGGGGGAGAAATGACCTCTGAGAGGGCCAAATTCTGACAAGCGATTTGAATATGTATCTTCGATATTTGGAGTATTTACCTAAAAGAGATGGTTTACATGGGAAGAGCCTGGGGCACCCGTAACTGCTAAGTCTAATTTTTCACACTTGGTGCCCTCCACACACCCCTTATTTCACAGCAAGATAAGGTCAGCTTTTAAAAAAACGAAAACAAGTTCCACTTCCTGTGCATCTGAGTCATGGCGTGCCAGTACTACCTCCCGCTGGACCATGAAGGACGCCAGGCGAGAAAGGATGGGAGGCAGGGTCCCCGCCCAGCTCTGCTCACCTCTTTGGGATTGTCCCCTGCGAGGCGGAACTTGCGAGGTGTCTTGCTCCGAGCATACTTGCAGCCGTTGAAGTACATGCTCCAGGAACAACCAAAGGAGAAGGAGGCACCACAGGTGTTGGGGTCTTTGCCTTGGCAAGCGCAGGTCCGGCTGCAACACACAGCACAGGTCAGGGATATAGATGCAATATCCCTTCGTTCTGGAGTATTCCTCCTCCCTCAAGGGGTGGCCCTGCTGAGCCCTGGCACCCACCAGCCTCCCAGTGACTGAGACTCATCCTTCCCCACCCCCAACCCCTTTCTCAAGTTTCCTTGAGTAGGAAGCCAGATCTAAGCAGCCTCTGCTGCCTGCACCACTGCGAGCCTGCAGGTCTAACACTGAGTCTGTTGCTGGGAGTAGCACATGGGTTTACGGAAGTAAGGGGGAAGAATCTGGTAAAAACCCATTAACGTTTATACTTTCCCTTAACTTAATATCTTAACCAGCTCCAGGACAGGCCATATGAACAGGGAAATGATGTGAGCCCCAGGGTTTGAACGTGTCTATTTCCTATAGCCCAGATGCTAACAGGCCTTTCAACAAAGTATACTGAGATGAAAATTAACGCTTAATACAATCTGGAAACAACCCAAGTGCCCCTAACTGGGGGATGGATAAGCAAACTATGATAGATCCACACAGTGGATTACGACTCATTGATAAAAAGGAACGAGCTACTGACACACACGTCAACACAGATGAACACTGAAAACACTATGTTCAATGGAAGAAGCCAGACTCAGAAAGCTACACCCTGTATGATCCCATTTATGTGACATTCTCACAGAGGTAAACCTACAGGAACAGGAAACAAGACCGGTGACTGCCCAGGGCTAGGGGAGGGCTTGCTTATAAAGGGCATGCATGGGGCACTTCGGGGGGAAGATGGAACTGTTCTATGTCTTTTTTTTTTTTTTTTTTTTTTTTGAGACGGAATCCTGTTCTGTTGCTCAGGCTGGAGTGCAATGGCACGATCTTGGCTCACTGCAACCTCTGCCTCCTGGGTGAAAGTGATTCTCATGCCTCAGCCTCCTTAGTAGCTGGGATTACAGGCATGTGTCACCACACCTGGCTAATTTTTATATTTTTAGTAAAGACAGGGTTTCGCCATGATGGCCAGGCTCGTCTCGAATTCCTGGCCTCAGGCGATCCACCCGCCTTGGCCTCCCAAAGTGCTGCGACCACAGGCATGAGCCACCATGCCCAGCCCTGTTGCATATCTTAATTGTGGTGGTGGTAGGTACGTGACTGTAAACATTTGTCAAAACTATATACCTAAGAGGATGAATTTTATTGTAAATAAATATACCTTCATTTTTAAAAATGGGAAAAACTCTGATAAGGGCAGGGTTTTTTTGTTTTTGTTTTTGAGACAGAGTCTCACTGTTGCCCAGGCTGGAGTGCAGTGGTGCAATCTCAGCTCACTGCAACTTCCGCCGCCCGAGTTCAAGCGATTCTTCTGTCTCAGCCTCCCGAGTAGCTGGGACTACAGGTGTGTGCCACCACGCCTGACTAATTTTTTTATTTTTAGTAGAGATGGGGTTTCACCGTATTGGCCAGGCTGGTCTCAAACTCCTGACCTTATGATCCACCCACTTCGGCCTCCCAAAGTGCTGGGATTATAGGCATGGACCACGCCTGGCCAAGGGCAGGTTTTGTAAATATCTTCGATACCTTCTATTTATGGGGCACATGTACTTCACACTCGCTAATATCATTAGTGCCAGTGTTATCGACCTGGGGTTTAACGGTGAAGTCAAACTAGTAGACCCTCTGGAGCCAGAGCTAGAACCCAGCTCAAGCAAGATCTGTGGATATGCCTTCCTCAACCACAGTCCTAACTGTGCAGGACAAACAGTGCCGCAGAGAGGGCCCCTAGGAGCCTTCCCCAGGGTTGCCTGCAGTCTCCTGTATTTGCTGCCCAGGACCCTATAGGTGGGCCCTGGCCCTGAAGCCCTCTGCTACATACTCATCGTTGAGGCCGCATCTCCGGCTGGTGGGGTTCCCATACTTCCGGAGGGTGTCGGTGAGCTCCTGGTAGAGGGTGTCTCCGAGGCTACGGGGAATGCCCTCCCAGGCCAGGATGAGGATGACGATCACAGCGTTCTGGCAGTGGTGGCCTGCCCGGTGCCGCACCAGGCAGAGTAGCTTCTCCTCCAGCGTGTGCCTGCGGATCACCTGCAGGGACGCAGGGTGTGAGGGGCAGGAGCCAGGTACCCGTGCTCCTCTGCATGGTGCCACCCCTCCCTTTGTCACACAGACCCAGGGTGCAGGTCTTAACGGCAGGGTTCTAGGGATGTCATGCCCTGAAGACAGCAACCTTACAAGCTAAGAGACCATTATTAGGGAACAAATAGGGAACATTATTAGGAACAAATGTTTTGTTAGGGAACAAAAACATAAAAGTTATTTTGAGAGTGAAATAAAAAATAATTACCACAAAATCTAAGTTGCTGATGACTTACATAGGCTTAGGAGTAAAAATACACAGATAAAAATTGTAAGCCAAAATACAGTCAGATTTTTATGTTATCCTAAAACATTTGCAGAGAAAATGCTGCCTACCTGTGTGTTTTTAGTTAACATGCAAGGGGCTTGGCACTGTGGAAAACAGTCTGGCAATGCCTCCAAAAGCTAAACATAGGATTACCATATGATCCAGCAATTCCATGCCTAGGAATACACTCGAGGGACTGAGAGCAGGACTCAGGCAGATCCCTGAATACCCACGTTCACTGCAGCACTATTCACAACAGCCAAAAGGTGGAAGCACCCCCAGGGTCCATCGGTTGATGAACAGGTAAGTACGACGTGGTATAGACAGACAACCAAGTATTACTCAGCCTTAAAGAGAAACAAAATTCTGATCCATGTTACAACATGGATGAACCCCAAAAACATGCTATGTGAAATAAGCCAGACACAAAAGGACACATAGTACATGATTCCACTGACATGAGACACCCAGAACAGTTCCATTCAGAGAGACAGAAAGTAGATTAGAGCTTACGAGGGCCTGGGAAAGGGGAGAATGGAGAATTATTGTTAATGGGTGCAGAGTTTCAGTACAGGATGTTGAAAAAGTTCTGGAAATAGACTAGGTTGATGCTTGTACAACAACGTGAATGTACTTAATGCCACCAACCTGTACACTGAAAAATGGTTAAAATGTTAGATTTTATTTCTACACAAACTTTTTTTTTTTTTTTTTTTTTTAGAGTCAGGGTCTTACTCTGTTGCCCAGGCTGGAGTACAGTGGCATGATCATAGCTCACTGCAGCTTCAAACTCCTGGGCTTAAGCGATCCTCCCACTTCAGCCTTCTTGAGTACCCGGGACTACAGACACACGCCACCATGCCTGGCTAACTTTTTAAAATTTTTTAAGAGACAGGGTCTCACTATGTTGTCTAGGCTGGTCTTGAACTGCTGGGGCTCACGTGATCCTCCTGCCTCAGCCTTCCAAAGTGCTGGGATTACAGACATGAGCCACTGCACCCAGCCTGTTTATACACTGTTACCACAATTTTAAAAATGTACTACACCAAAAACCATTGAATTATATGCTTCAAATGTGTGAACTGTATGGTACGAGAATTGTATCTCAATAAAGCTACTTTTTTTTTTTTTAAGCGAGAGCCCTGGGCATCCACTGCTCTGCTGCTCAGGATCCAGGTCTGAGGTCTGGGTTCTCATTAATTCCTAAACACTGTCCTGGTTTATAAAAAGATGTCAGGGCCAAGAGGCCTGGGAGCTGGGGAAGGAGGTGGCTGAAAATTGCCAGAGAATGCCAGATAATTCCATGACCAGATAAGATGTGAGGGCCTGTGGGCAGGGGAAGGATGAGGGTAGACTGGGAAGGGCTCCGAGTGTCAGGCCCAGGGGCAGGGCCTTGAGGCGGGAACTCCACGCAGGATGGTGAGCAGGGGGCTTACATAAAGAGTTTCATGCTTTAGAAAGTGGGGGCAGAAAATCGGGAGAAGGGCAAGACGGGGAGACCAGCTGGAACACCATTGACATAATGCAAGCAAAATGAATAAAGTCCTAACTATGGCAAGGGGTAAGAAAACAGGAGAAGAATGGATTCCTGAGGCTGAGGGACAAGGAAAAACCCTGAGTGACTTCCACACTTTGTGGCTCAGGAGACTGAGTGGGCATGGGTGTGGTTTACTGGCAAGTTAACTGGGAGCATCCTGAGGCTGAGGTACCTTAGAGCAGGGGTCTCTGACCCCCAGGGTGCGGACCTGTACTGGGTCTGTGGCCTGTTATGAACTGGGCTGCACGGCAGGAGGTGAGCAGCAGGCGAGCGGGCGTTACCGCCTGAGCTCCACCTCCTGTCAGATCAGCAGCAGCTTTAGATTCTCATAGGAGCATGAACTGCGCATGTGAGAGAACTAGGTTGTGCACTCCTTTTGAGAATCTAATGCCTGAATGGTCTTCCACGAAACCAGTCCCTGGTGCCAAAAAGTTAGGGACCACTGCCTTAGAGCACCTGAGTGGTCTCTAAGGATACCCCCCAGAGTGGGTCTGGAGGTCAGGAGATGCTGGGTTGCAGACAGACCTGGTCACGAGTGGATCGTGCTGGGAGACCCTGAAAGGGGTAGCCAGGCAGGCAATACAAATGAGGAAGGTGGGCCGGATGCAAGACTAGTGGGTGGTGTGGACCGTGGCAAAGTGAAAAGCATCTGCCCCATCAACAGGGGGAGGCCAGGCCTTATTGCCATCAACTACCGCCTGGGGGAAATTCCAGCCCAGTGAGGCTAATTCTTCCAATTTTGAAGAAAAAAACGGAAATCCAGATTTTACATAAAATCCCTCTCCAAAAACATGAGTGCTCCAATTTTCTTTTTTTTTTTTTTGCTGTGGAAAAATATACGAACAATTTACCATTTTAATCATTTCAAAGTACACCGTTTAGTGGCATTAGGTATGTTCATATTGCTGTGCAACCATCACAACCACCCATCTCTAAAATTTTTTCATCTTGCACAACAAACTCTGTTCATTAAGGAACTCTCCATTCTCCCCTCCTGAAACCACTGTTCTACTTTCTGCCTCTGTTTCTCTTTTTTTTTGAGACCGAGTCTTGCTCTGTTGCACAGGCTGGAGTGCAGTGGCACGATCTCAGCTCACTAACACCTCTGCCTCCTGGGCTCAGGCAATTCTCCCCACTGTCTCCAGAGTAGCTGGGACTACAGGCGCATGCTACCACGCCTGGCTAATTTTTTGTATTTTTAGTAGAAACGGGGTCTCACTGGGCTGGGTGCGTTAGCTCATGCCTGTAATCCCAGCACTTTGGGAGGCCGAGGCGGGTGGATCACGAGGTCAGGAGATCGAGACCATCCTGGCTAACACAGTGAAACCCCATCTCTACTAAAAAATACAAAAAATTAGCTGGGCGTGGTGGTGGGCACCTGTAGTCTCAGCTACTTGGGAGGCTGAGGCAGGAGAATGGCGTGAACCCAGGAGGCGGAGCTTGCAGTGAGCCAAGATCGTGCCACTGCACTCTAGCCTGGGCGACAGAGCGAGACTCCATCTCAAAAAAAAAAAAAAAGAGAGAGACATGGTCTTACCAGGCTGGTCTTGAACTCCTGATCTCAGGTGAGCTGCCCGCTTGGTCTCCCTAAGTGCTGGGATTACAGGCGTGAGCCACTGCGCCCAGCCTACTTTCTGCGTCTGAATTTAACTGTTCTAGGTACCTCATGTAAGTGGAATCATACAGTATTTATCCTTTTATGACTTGCTTATTTCACTTAATGTAATGTCCTAACCATGTTGTAGCATGTGCCGGAATTTCCTTCAGACTTTGAAAGGATACTTTGCAATGCTGAACAAAACACATCTCTGGCCATGAATTCCTGCTCTGAGGCACGGCAAGAACGGTGCTTCCCCACTAAAGCATCAATTGTATTATTCTTTTGATATGTGTATTTTGGCTATCAGTAACACCTGAACACGGTATTAAATCAGATACTGAGTTAGAACTCTCTACGTGATTGCCTGGCTTCCTGCAGATTAGGCTGAGTGCATCACGGGCATCGACGCACATCTGTGGACACTGATAAGGCCATGGTCTCTGTGACTAGGGTTTGCGAGGCACTATGGTCAACTTCTGCTCCTGGCCAGGGGGAACGCAGCCAATCACACTCATGTGTGAGGCATTCAGAGCACACAAGTCACCCAACCAGTCATGGCCGTGACTGAGGCCATGCCATTCTGGTTTCCCAAATGGCAAACACGCAATGTCATTAGACACAAGCAGACAGCTATCTGTGGCCCATCCTCACAGGCCCCTGGGTGCACTAAAAAAACTAAGAAAACAGCACAGAGGAGTTCCCTACCCACACTCGTATGAAGGAGCCTGGCAGGATGAAACACACAAAATGTCAAAGTCAAAGGCTGACAGAGGCACAAACACATCCATACCTGAGCAGAGCAAGAGAGATGGCTCCAACTCAGCCACAGGATCCTCAACAGCTCATCCAGCTTCTAGGCAGAATTCCCTGAGCACCAGACCAAGAGTAACATAACCCCCAGCAGAACCCCAACCCTGTCTTCCCACAGCTCCCACCACGGTACTTGGTTCTAACACCTGCGGCTTCCTAAGTCTGTTTTACTGTGTCCCTAATGAGCCTACAAGTACCTGCCTTCTGATCTCTGTGACCTTTACACACCAGTATGGGCAGCATCTCTGGAGTTCTTTCCCAGAGCCCATCTTGCTGCCAGGTGTTGCCTTTGGCATGCCTCTGTTGTTCTGAGCCTTCAGAGTGCAACCAGGGCACGCCTGGAATCTTCCGTATTTTGTACAGGCCACCTTAAAATCACAGATGATCAGAGGGCTCTCTGGGCTGACCCACTGCTTCCTAGGTCATCCTCTCAACACACATTTGCTGGGCACCCATGATGTACCTTGACTGTGTCCCCAAATCCTGGCCAGTCAAGTGCAGAACATGTGAGGCACACTGCTTTAAGCTGAAGGTATGGCTGGGGGCTAGGGAGAGGCTGAAACACAGGCACAAATCCTGGTTGGAAAACAAAAGCCAGGCTCTGGACACTGTACCAGGCAGGGTGGGGACATGCACAGGAGACACTGGATGCCTGCACTCACCCGTGGCCACAGAACCGGCTCCGGGCTCCTGACGCTACACTGCCACCAAGAATAATCCGTCCTTCTAAGCATCTGTGGGTCACTTTCCCTGCAGGGCAGGGAGAAGGAGCACCCAACTCCTCTTCAACTTCCAAAGGAGGTGGAACTCTTTAAACCAAGCCCTCTTACCAAAAAACATAGGGTATTTGGCAGCTGTGTAGCCAAAAGAAAACCCCAGAAATCCACCACACTAAAGGAGATGGCCAGAAAAAATAAAGCCCTCAGCACTGCCGTTTTCTTGCCACTACAATAGTTCTGTGATTGACCACCCATTTGCTCCTCCCATAAAAAAAAGTATTTCCTCTCCTTTTCTCTTCACTCATAAGACATGGGAAGTCCCACCCTCTGCAAACACTATCAGCACCTTCTATGTTCACCCACCAGGGCTCAGTGACACCCACGAGTTGTTCCCTCCTTGAATGTAACCTCCAGTTCACTGCGCCCCATGCGTCCTGCTCTGGGCATCCGTCCACAGACCCCAGAGCAATGGCATACTGAGGACAAAGTTCCTGCCCCTCCATCCTCCTGCCTTCCTCTTCCAGCCCCAGGAACTGGCCCCAGTCTGCAGGCAAGTGTGCTCTTCCCAGCCCTCAGTGGGGCCACACGAGCCCTGACCAGGACTTATCGCTTTACCACTGTAACCGGGGTCTAGAAATGCATCTTCTTTAAGCCACCCACAGGACCAGCTATTCTTTAAGGGGCCAACTGTCTTGAAGCTGGAAAAGTCTCCAACTCTACCTATGCTCCAAGATCTTCATTTTTATGTCCAAGACTTTGGAATTCCTCAATGACTGCATGAATTAGCAGGAGAAAGGGGCAGCTGTCACTCTACGGCTGACGTCTTTTCTCTGATGGGTTCTCTGGGGAGGTAACACCCCACCATGATAAGCCACATCAGACTTCTCACTGCAATGACCACCTCTCAAGAGGGTGGGGGCAGCCTGCTTCTTCATACTTATGAATACACTAAGTGATTCCAGATTCTCTGGTTGTATATAATTCTGCAATGCTGACTAAAAATTGCTAAAAATAGTAAACTTGGTAGTTCAAGTTCAGACACCTTTTATTTTCACCAAACACAAAGACACAAAGGCACAGGGTGTATACCAGGTAAAAACAGGCACATACGTCCTACACATGTTGTAGCATATGTCAGAATTTCCTACAACATGCACAGATGGACATATGCTGACAGGGGTTATCTTACCCGCCTCCCTCACAGTCAGCCACGGGTCTGTCCACCCAGCCTCTCTGCCTTTGCCCACATGATTCTCCTCACTGGGAATGCTTCCTCCCTCTCCTCAGCCTGACTAGTAACGGGCCAGTATTCATGGCCCCTGGCACGCTCACCTCGGGAAACCTAGCTTGAGCATTCCTCCTCCTCTGAACCACAGCATCAAGTCTGCCTCTCAACGACCCCAGTCTCCATGACTTTATTTCATATGTCTCTAGAGCACAAACAGCTTGAACATAGGGACCGAGCCCTCGTCTTCCACCCATACCCACTGCCCAGCACAGCGCGAGGCTGAGCTTGCAGGCACCCGAGGAACCTGGCTGCTCCTCCTCAGCACTTCTTCTGCAGAGGCAGATGCTCTGCTATTTAAAGATCTCCCTGTGGACTGGGAGGGCAAGGTCAGAAGGACTCTGTTTGGTGACTTGGGGTCTGAGTCACTGATGTTCTCCCTGTGAAGATGTCTAGGTTGCCTGGTAGGAAACTGCTTAGAAGCAAGGCAGAGGCAAGACTGGCCCACAGTGCTGCCCAGAGCCCTGGCCTCTTCCCTCAGGTTGGATCTCAGCATGCTAGCCTTCAGGTTTGTCTCTGGCTTCCAGGCAGCAGACAAAAGCACTGGCAGCTCCAGGGCACATGGAAGGGGACAAGGAGTCTGACAGTCCACAGTGGAGCCCATCAACGGGTCATGACAGCATCCCCAGTTTCCCTTCCTACCCCTCCGGCCCTGAGCCACGGGGACAGGATGAGCCGAGTGTGAAGACTAACACAGTTCCAAGGCTGACCCAAGACTCGGGGACTGGCATTTAAACAAGATGAGGACAAACAGCTGAGGCTGGGGGAAATGACCCTAACCCTGAGCCAGATTCCAGCTCTAAGGCTCCCCTGGACAGTCAACATGTTGTCTCCTACACACCCACCTGGCCCCACCCCCCGCCCTCGCCTGCTCAGCTACATGCAGCAAGGGGAACCAGGCACAGCCGTGGCCATGCAGCAAGGGGAACCAGGCACAGCTGTGGCTCTTGAGTGGGCTCAACACTCACCCACTTTGCAATGGGGCAACCGCGGGAGCTCTTTCCCTCCTTCCCCGTGTAGATGACCTTCTCGATCCGGATGGCTTTCCCCTTCTCTCCATACCTGAAGAGGGAGACAGAAGCCACCATTAGCACAGCAGAACCCCAAAGGAGAACAACTTTTGGTCAGAAGACAGCCTCAGTGTGCTTTTGTTTGAGTTTCTGGTTACCGTCGGGGGCAACAGAGAAGAAAGAGAAAGGTTTAAATGTTATTTGGTACCTAAAGGCTCTGGAGACACAGCGGCCACTTCCAGGCTTCCAGGTTCACCTGCCCCTTCTCTGCTCCCGCCCATCGGGCCCCCTCTGATCCAAGGCAGAAAGACAGCCGAGCAGAATGTCCCTGATCGTTACCTCCGAACTCCAGAAGGGAACTGAAACCAAAGGCTAAACATGGGCATTTGTATCCAGCCCTGTTAGCTGAGTCACCCTGAGAGTTAGCTATTTATAAATATAACAAATGAAATAAATGGGGGAACCCTTATTATTCTCTTTGAATAATCCCTAGATGACATTTGACCATGATGATGACAAACAGCTGAGGTTGGGGAGAAGTGGCTCTACTAAGCCCAAACGCCAGCTCTGAGGTTCCCCTGGACAGTAAACACATCTGGTTCCTGCACACGTCACCTGCCCTGGCTCCCCCACACACTCAGGGCTTCAGAACCCCAGCTCTCTAGGACTGTCTAATCAACCACACTATATTCAGAGATGGTGCAACTATGGCCCCTGGAGTTGAACTGACTTATCCAAGGCCACACAACTACAAAGAGGCAGCAGTGGTCTAAGCACAGCCCTGGACATCAGACAGACTTGGGTGTGAGTGCCAGCCCTGCCACTGTCTTGCTATATAACTGTGGCCAAATTACTAAACTTCTCTAAGCCTCAGTTTTCTCATCTGTAAAATGGAGATTAAAATGATCCCCACCTCCTGGGCTTGGTAAAGATCAAACAATAGTCCACAGGGAGTATATTATTTAAAGTGCTTTGAAGTTCCTGGCATGAGGAAAGAGTCCAATAAACAGTAATTATTTTTAATAATGTAAACGCCATCTTACAGAATCTTCTTATTTTTAACAGTTTTTTAGTTTCAGGTGCAATGTCATATCACCTGCAGATAATGGTCATTTGCCACCTATTCCCTTCTATTCTTTATAGCTCTAGCCATAAAGAAAGCACCTAAGATGGCCAGGGGCTTTCTTTTTTTTTCTTTCTTTTTGAGACGGAGTCTCACTCTGTCGCCCAGGCTGGAATGCAGTGGTGCAATCTCGGCTCATTGCAACCTCCGCTTCCCGGGTTCAAGTAATTCTCTGCCTCAGCCTCCCGAGTAGCTGGGATTACAGGTGCCTGCCACCACGCCCAGCTAATTTTTGTATTTTTAGTAAGGACAGGGTTTCACCATGTTGGCCAGGCTCGTCTTGAACTCCTGACCTCATGATCCACCCGCCTCGGCCTCCCGAAGTGCTGGGATTACAGGTGTGAGCCACGCATGCCAGGCCTGGCCAAGTTTCTGAAGGGCTGGCGGGCATCTCTGCTTCTTCCCGACTTTACTGAAAATGTTTCCAACAATTCATCACTGAGCATGAAACTGGCTAACTTTGGGAAAGCGACAGATTTCCTTACTTTGAAGGGTGCCACTAAGAGTCTCCTGTCCTAAGGATTTTTAATCAAGAATTATTTTTATAAAATATATTTTTAACACATAAGGAGACAGATGATTGAATGTTTTTTATTTGAGCAATTAACACAGCATACTATAACCTTGTATTTCTGTAATAAATTCAATTTGATCATGGCATGTTATTTTAATATACTATTTCATAGAGCATGAATGTTATCATAGCTTCTACAGTTCAGAATACACATATTCTTTATCTTACCCACTCCACTTCTAGGAATCTCCACCCCAGAAATAACCATACAAATGCACCAAGCTTTAGGAACAAGATAATTCACTGTCTCATCAACAACAGAAAAATGAAACAACTTATATGTCTAACATGAGACTGGTTAAATACATTATAATAAATTTCACAAAAAATATCAATTTTCATGCAATGAAAAACCATGTCCCATCAAAAATGATTAGGTAGAATTGTATGTACTGACATGGAAAGAAATTAAGTGGGGGGGAAAAAGCAAGCTACAGACAGTGGGTATAATGGACCACATTTGGTTTAAAACTTCTCTATATACATATTAATACATTTATCTCTGTATATATACAAATATCTTTGTAAATCCTTAGAAAATATTGAAAAATAAGCATTGAACTTTAGCGCTTTATTCGTTCTTTAGACTTTTAAAGCCTTTGTTTCATTTTTGTAATTGAAAAAGAGAACAGTTTATAATTTTTTTTTAATTAACGAATTAATTTTTTAAAACAAGCTCTTGTCAGGCCACAAACATTTTTTTAAAATGCTGATCTAAGGTTCCTCTGAGTTCCATGTTCTCTATTTCACTCAAGATCTTAGCAAAAGGATGAAAACTGTTTCTGATAATTACAACATTAAAATTCTAAGGCTCTGTTCTCTTACAGAAAGCATTTGGAGACAGGACTCAGGGGTTTATATAGCATGGTCTGGATGAAGAGGAAAAGATCACATAATGCTGCTTTTGTCTGGTTCCTGGACAACTTTCATTTCAACAAGCATTTATCAGGAAGCCACCCATAAGGGCAGGGCCTGGGCCCCTGGTGTGTCGTGGAGATCCCTGTTGGGAGAACAGCCTGAGGTGACCACACTCCTCTCGCTGAGACGGAAGCACTATCGCATTCCTCGCAGGAGGGTGAGCTGAGGACACTGCCACCACTTTCCAACCAGGACCTTCCCCACCATCCCGCCCCTGTGAGAAACATGTCCTGCAGTGAACCTCGCATTAGACAAATAAAAGGGCCAAGCACTGTCTGATCAGCTAGACTTAAAAAAACAAAAACAAAAACAAAAACAGAACTGACTGTCTCTTTGTGTTTAAAGACAGCCAATCAACTCTCATTTTAGCTCTTTCTTCTCAAGTGCCTTACTTTTTGGCCTATCATGAAGAGGCCCTTCTAGTATTCAGATTAACTATCAGACCCTCAACTAAGTCTGCATAGATAGCCTGAAATCTTATTCTAAAGGATAACTAATCATACAAGCCAATCATCTTATTCTAAAGGATAACTGGCTCTCCAAGGGTGGTCCCAGGGCCAGCAGCATCAGCATCCCCTAGAAATTTGGTAGGAATGGAACATAGATTCTCAGATCCCATTCCAGACCTGCTGGGTCAGAAACTCAGGTGGGGCCCAGTCATCTGTGCTTTAACAAACCCTCTAGAGACTCTGAGGCCCACTGAAGTCTGACAACCACTGCTCTGAGGCTTTGCCTTTTCAGGATTGTCTCTGTCACACAGTAATGAGACCAGTTCCCCCAAATCTCAGAGAACCTGCTAGTGCAGTGTTGGTTCTTTGTTCCTAGAACAAGCATTTAATGAACTCCTAGGCTGCAGAGAATCTCCTTCCCAGACAGAACACACAAGGCTCTGTGCTGTGCACCGGTCTCAGATACGAGTTTGACAACTGACTCCAATTATCTATGAAGATAAGGACCTAGGTACCCACAAAGTATGACACTCATAAATAAGTTGGGACATTTTAGGATTTGCTTTCAACCTTCCCCTCCTTTCTCCAAAATCTTTACTGGAAAAGCTAAGAGAACCAGGTTTCCCTGATTTCAGTTTACTTCCCCTCCCTGCCTTCAGCCAACTCCTGACAGCAGAGCAGTCCTGAAGAGAAAGGGTTGAGGAAGAGTCTAGGAAAAGAGACAGCCTAGACCTACCATTCACAAACTAGACCCCTACCCAGGGGATTTGCATCAATCACTCATTACTCCCCTCGTTCCAGAAAGGATCTTATGAAGATATCTATAAGATAAAACTAACAGGTGATGAAATCAGAGTAAAGGGCAAAAAAAAAAAAAGGTATGCTGGTACACAAAATACAATCAGTGGGGTTTCGTGTGTATTTTTGAGAGACAAGCCTGGAATATCTTGTTATATGAGAAATCCAAAAAAGGCTTGTTAGGATCATGTCAAAAACAAAACAAAATAAAATAGACAAAAAAAAAAAAAAAAAAAAAAAAAAAAACCCAGAGGAATGAACCTGAATAGGTTCTATGGGCCAAAGATGAGAAATTACCTTCCTCCTGATGGGGTACACAAATCTGACTCCAAGTTTACTAGCAGGCAACGTAAAGATGGAACTGCAATCTGTTACATGATTTGCAAGGTCCTTAAGATAAAAATAAACCAGTTGCTAAGGAAAAACACAAGTATTCCTGGTCTTGAGAGGAATTCCTCCCTTGGATCAGTTTCTGAAGAGTCTACAGCTGGCTGTTATTTTTAAAGAATCAGGGGGTAAAAAAAAAAAGACATATGTCAACCTTATCTTACCAAATTTCAAAGATCTCTTGATCCTTGTTTCAAAATACTTTTCTATAATGAAAAGTTGTTTAAGAGAGCTGTCTGGAAATCTTATAAAATTGTTACCCCAAAATACCCCAGAACAAAAAACCTGCCCCAGATCAAACTTGTACATTTGACTCCCCTGCAGCAAATGATAGTGTCAGGATTCCTTACAAAAATCACCGGCCCAGAAGCTGCCTGGTCTAATCTGCAAACTACAACACACAGGCATGTGAGCACATGCAGGCAAGCACGACAACACTGCACACAGCTTCAAATCTGTCTCATGCTCATGGACTCAGAAGTGCCCTCATACCAGGCTGGAATTTACAGACTGGTGAATATAAATGTTCCCAGATGGTCTAGGAAATTAACAGTGATGACTGCAGATCACTGTCCTCCATGTATCTTACCTTTTATTTATTCAGAGAAGCTGTTATAGTCATTCAGCTCAAAATCATGTTTCCTGCTACACAGACAAGAGTATCTGGCTCCTTGCCAGGCACGGTGGCTCACACCTGTAATTCCAGCACTTTGGGAGGCCAACGTGGGCAGATCACCTGTGGTCAGGAGTTCGAGACCAGCCTGGCCAACATGGTGAAACCCCGTCTCTATTAAAAATACAAAAATCAGCCTGGAGTGGTGGCATGTACCTGTAGTCTCAGGTACTCGGGAGACTGAGACAGGAAAATTGCTTGAACCTGGGAGGCAGAGGTTGCAGTGAGCCAAGACCACACCACTGCACTCCAGACTGGAGGACAGAGCAGATTCCGTCTCAAAAAAAAAAAAAAAAAAAAAAAAAAAGTATTTGGCTCTCATGGTCAGACAAAATGGGGTTCCCAAATTTGCGACAACTCTAAGCCACACAACTTTCCACTTATCTGTATGTATATGTATGGGCAAGCATATGCTTATGTCTACATCATCTTAGCTTTTATTATTAAAATACTAATGCAGCTGGGCGCAGTGGCTCACGCCTGTAATCCCAGCACTTTGGGAGGCCGAGGCGGGCGGATCACAAGGTCAGGAGATCGAGACCATCCTGGCTAACACGGTGAAACCCCATCTCTACTAAAAATACAAAAAATTAGCCAGGCGTGGTGGCAGGCGCCTGTAGTCCCAGCTACTTGGGAGTCTGAGGCAGGAGAATGGCGTGAACCTGGAGGCGGAGCTTGCAGTGAGCTGAGATTGTGCCACTGTACTCCAGCCTGGGTGACAGCACGACTCCGTCTCAAAAAAAAACAAACAAAACAAACAAACAAACAAAAAACACTAATGCTTGTTCTAAAAAATGCAATCAGTGCATTTGTCTGTGAGGTAGTTAATGACTATCTACCTTTTCCATAGTCCTCATGACAAGCACTAAGTGTTTCCACACATCAATTCATCAATTCAGTTTATCCTCGGGACACTCCTACAGTGTGTTTTTATCAGCATCTCTATTTTGCAGATAAGAAAACTTGAGTCACAGAAGAGCAGAACAACTTGCTAGGGACTCAGCAGTGAGTGGCAGGGCCAGGACTGGGCCTCAGTCTGGCTCAAGTCCCTGCTCTCAGCCCCTGAGCCATAGACTCGAACTTAGAGTGTTTACTACCTGCCGTGGACACGCACATGGGTTTCCAAGTCTCCATCTGCATGAACTGCTCAAAAACCACAACTAGTAAACAGAAACCCTAGAGTCCTGAATTTGAATTGGGAGTGTCAATATAAACTCATGATGTATATAATCACTAAGCAGTAACAAAAATGAAAAATCCAGATTCAACATAGCTCTTTCTACATAAGCAGCCTAAAAACAATGAACAACCCCTGTGTAGTCATGAGTGCCCCTAGTAGACAGAGTCTGTTTTCTAAATACCTTTTCCTCCAATAAAAGGAACCAGGACTTCTTGGATAAACGTACAATGTGAACCCAGGATATCTTGTCATATGAGAAATCAAGAAAGCTATGAAACACTCCTACGATCCTGTCCAAAGGATTTAGGGGACAACCTGAGTAGGTTTCCACTGGCCAGGAGTGAGACATTATATTCCTCTTAGGGGAGGTAAAAAATTCCACCTATGAGGTAGTTTTGGAAAAAAAGGAAAAATAACCTGATCTCAATCAGGGCTTTTGGTCTAACTACCAATTTATAGGACATAGAGGCATGTTAAACACTTTTAATGATACCACAATACCACGGGAAAGCTATCAGCAAAATTCAGATGTAGGAAACTAACTCTACAGGACATAGAGCCATATAACCATAAAAACATTTCAAGACAGAGAGAAGCAGGGGGACATGAATTGGGCAGACCTACAGAATGAAAGAAACCCAGAAACAATGGAAGTGAGGATCCCACAGTAAACCTTCCCTAAGCCCGTTATCAGGGTTTCCTTTCTGTATATTGTCTGTTACAAGGCAAAGAAAAATGAGAGGCGCTTAATATCCGTATTCCATTAACAGCACATCCATTTCTCCTTGGACATCTGTGTATCACTCACCGCTCCTCCATGAGTTCCCGGATAGAGGCGACCGTGGGGCCAGATCCCAAGTGAGTATAATATGGACCTTCATCTTTCTCCACTATTTGTTCTGCAGAAACACAGAGAGTAAACATTTTTGGAATATCAATTAGTCAATATTAATTTAGAAAAGCAAACCACCAACAGGAAAGTTAATAGGCATGCTAGAAAACAGGAAACCCACATGGCTTATGAACATGTGAAAAGGTGTTCAACTCCATTAGAAATCAGGAAATACAAATTAAAATCACAATAAAACACCATCACATATGGACCAAATTGGCAAAAATTTAAAAATCTGATAAAACCAAGTGTTGTCAAAGCTGTGATCTAAGCACTTTGGGATTCCGCCTACCATTATCCAATAAAGCTAAACAGTTGCATCCTGCCTGACCCAGTAATTCCATTTCTAGATACACACTCAAGACCAGGGGTCAGCAAGCTACTTCCCTCCAGTGAGCCACCGCACCCGGCCAAAAACATTTTGTTAAGTGAAAGAAGCCCTCCTGGGTAAATACCCAATCAAACTGAAGACAGAGGCTCAAACAGATACTTGTATGCCAATGTTCAGAGCAGCATTTATTCACCACAACTAAAAGGTGAAAACAACATAATCATCCATCAGCAGGTGGATGGATACATAAAATGCGTATGTCCACATGACAGAATATTACTCAGCCAAAAAAGGAATGAAGTTTTGATACATGCTATTACAAGGATGAACCTTAAGAACATTATACCAAGTAAAATAAACCAGACACAAAGGACAAATACTGTAGGATTTCCCTGATATGAATTATCTAGAAGAGGCAGATTCCTAGAGACAGAAAGTAGATGAGAGGTTCGCAGGGGCTGGGAGGAGCAGGAAATGAGGGGTTATTGCTTAATGGGACAGAGTTTCTGTTTAGGCTGATGAAGTTTTGGAAACAGACAGTGGTGTCAGTTGCACAATATTGTGAATGTAATTAATGCCACTAAACTGTACACATAAACATGATTAAAATGGCAAATTTAAGTTATACATACTTTACCACAATTTAAATAAAAGAAGTTCTGATACATGCTACAATATGGATGAACCTTGAAAACATTTTTTTTTTTTTTTTTAGATGGAGTTTTGCTCTTGTTGCCCAGGCTGGAGTGCAATGGCGCGATCTTGGCTCACTGCAACCTCCGCCTCCCAGGTTCAAGTAATTCTCATGCCTCAGCCTCCCAAGTAGCTGGGATTATAGGCATGCACCACCACACCCAGCTAATTTTGTATTTTTAGTAGAGACAGAGTTTCACCATGTTGACCAGGCTGGTCTCGAACTCCTGACCTCAGGTGATCCACTCACCTTGGCCTCCCAAAGTGCTGGGATTACAGGCATAAGCTGTTGTGCCCCACCAAAAACATTTTGTTAAGAAGCCAGATACAAAACAGGTCACACATTGTATGATTCCATTTATATGAAATACTCAGAATAGGTAAATCTATAGAAACAAAAAGGCAAACTGGTGGTTGTTGCCAGAGGCTGGGGGCTGGGTAGGAATGAGGAGTAACTGCTTAATGGGTAACGGTGTTTTTTTGGAATCATGAAAATATTTTAAAACTGGAGGGAGATGTGGTTGTACAACATTGTGAATGTACTAAATGCCACTGAATTGTTCACTTTAAGATGGTTAATTTTACGTGAAGCTCAACTCAATTTGTAAAAAGGAACCAACCATTCACGTAACAACATGGATGAATTTTAAATGAGTTTTTCTAAGTGAAAGAAAACAGACCCAAAAGGCTACATAGTAGCAGCTTTGGAAAACAGTGATGTGGCTGGATATTAGGAGGCTAAAAACAAAAAAACTATACACACAGTGTGTACCTACTGTACTACAGTTGGTAAGTTTGCTTCATATCTAAGAAGACATGACAATTAAATGTAATAGAGTAACCTACATTGGGTCCTATGACTGAAAAAGGACCATTGGTGGAAAAACTGATGAAATCCAAAAAGTCTGTAGTTAACAGTATTGTACCAACGTTAATTTCTTCATTTTAAATATACCATAATTACGTAAGACATTTACAAGCAAGAGAAAGTATATAAAGGGTATACAGGAATTCGCTGCACTAACTTCGTAACTCTCCCATAAATGTAAAATTATTTCAAAATAAAGTATTTAAAAAGTAAAAGAAAAAAACAGTGAGCCACAATTTGCTGATCCTTAGGCGAAATCTTAGTCACACACATTAAAACCCACATACAAAGATTTTCACAGCAACACTGTCTGCAAGAGTCAAAGCTGTAGACAGCCTGCTGTGGACTGAAGGTTTGTGTCCCTCCCAAATTTGTATGTTGAAGCCTAATCCCCAATGGGATAGCATTTGGAGGTAGGGCTTTGGGGAGGTAATTAGGTCAAGAGGGTGGCACCCTCCTGAATGGCACTAGTGTCCTTATAGGAAGGGATACCAGAGAGCTTGCTTCCCCTTTCCCTCTCCTCTCCTATGTGAAGATATAGCGAGGAGGTGGCTGTCTACAAGCTAAGAGAGGGCCCTCGACAGACACCAGATCTGCTGGTGCCTTGATCTTAGCATTCTCAGCCTCTACAGCTGTGAGAAATCAATGTTCATTATTTAAACCACCCAGACTATGGGATTTTTTTTCTAGAGACAGGGTCTCACTCTGATGCCCAGGTTGGAGTGCAATGGCATGATCACAGCTTACTGCAGCTTCGACCTCCCAGGGTCAAGTGATCCTCCCACCTCAGCCTCCTGAGTAGCTGGGACTACAGGTGTGCACCACCATGCCTGGCAAATTTTTCTATTTTTTTGTAGAGGCAGGGTTTTGCCATGTTGCCCAGGCTAGTCTCCAACTCCCGGGCTCAATCTATCTGCCTGCCTCGGCCTCCCAAAGTGCTAGGATTACAGGCTTGAGACACTGGGACTGGCCGGTATTTTTGTTAAAATAGTCCAAATAAAGACACAACCCATAATTCAGCAACAGTGGAATGGATTTCTCTTGAAATGCAGTAGTGATATTATGGAATATATTCCGCAATGAAAATCAGAAACCTGCAACAGCATGGTTGACTACAACAGCATAGTGAGTGAAAGCAGCACAGCGCAGATGATATGGTCTAGCTGTGTCCCCACCCAAATCTCATCTTGAATTGTAGCTCCCATAATTCCGTGTTGTGGGAGGGACCCAGTGAGAGATAACTGAATCATGGAGGCAGTTTCCCCCATACTGTTCTCATGGTAGTGAATAAGTCTCATGAGATCTGATGGTTTGATAAGGGGAAACCCCTTCCACTTGGCTCTCATTCTCTCTTGTCTGCTGCCATGTAAGACATGCCTCTCACCATGATTGTGAGGCCTCCCCAGCCACGTGGAACTGTGAGTCCATTAAACCTCTTTTTCTTTATAAATTACCCAGTCTCAGGTATGTCTTTATCAGCAGCGTGAAAATGGACTAATACAGCAGAATACAGTTAAGATTCCATTTAAATGATATTCAATAACAGACTCAAACTATACTGCTTAGAGATCCATACACAGTGAGTAAAAACTACTAGGCTGAAATATGAAATTGCAGACAGTTAATGATGTTTGACCTATCAAAAAATGATAATTTTATATGGTTCAACTTAATAAAAAGAAAAGCAAGGAAATCATTGTCACAAAAGTTAAGAGAATGGTTACTTCTAGGGGATGGGAGAGGAATGTGATTAGAAAGGCATACAGGTCGGGGCACGGTGGCTCACACCTGTAATCCCAGCACTTTAGGAGGCCAAGGGGAGGATCACTTGAGTCCAGGAGTTTGAGACCAGGTTGGGCAACATAGTGAGACCCTGTCAATACAAACAAACAAATAACAACAATAAAAACCTAGCCAGGCTTGTTGGTATGTGCCTATAGTCCCAGCTACTTGGAAAGCTGAGGCAGGAGGATCACTTGATACCAGGAGTTCAAGGCTGCAGTGAGCTATGATTGCACCACTGCACTCCTGCCTGGGTGACACAGCAAGACCCTGCATCAAGGGAAAAAAAAAAGATAAGAAAGGGCATAGAGGTGACTCCTGGGGGGCTAGAAGTGGTCTAATTCTTGATCCAGGTGGTGGTCACACAGGTTCATTTTATAAAATTTCATTAAACTCTATGTGAATGTTTCAGGTACTTTCCTATGTTATATAAATCACAATTTTTTAAATGTAAAAAATTAATTTAATACCTATTTTATCCAGATCATTATGCTCAGCTTTATGGGGCATACAAGATAGAATAATACCTGACTGTTGCCTTTAAAAACTGTATGATCTAGCCAGGCAGACAAGACCTACACATAAGATACCTAATGGCATTTCCTATCAATAGGGAAAGATAAAACTTTCAATGTGTAGTGTTAGGACAACTGCGGGAAAAAAGTTTGATCCATACTTAATACCTTATCCCCCAAATCCATTCCAAATGGCTGAAAGATTAAAATAAAAAAAAAAATTAAACTATACACGTGCTAGAAGGAAAAAAATGGAAGTTTTAAAAAATAATCAGGAAGAAGGGTCTTCTCTAAGTATGACATAAAATTCCAAAGCCACTCCCAAAAATAAATAAATAAAACCCTGATAAATCAACTGAAGAAAAACTTTGTAATAACTACTGAAAGTCAAGCTGAAAGACAAACATCACACTGGGAAGAGAGATCTGGAACTCACATCAGTCAAAAGGCTAATTTCCTTAATATATCAAGAGCTACTATAGCTGAACAAGGTCAACAACACAAGAGGAAAATGAAAAAAAGATACCAATGGTTCTTGAAAAATGCAAATGGCTCAAACACGCATAAAGCTACAATGAGATGTCATTTTCCCTCTTTCAGAGGAGTCCCTACCAAAAAGTCTGATAAGTCATTGTGTTGGTGAGGATACAGGCAGTATAAAGAATAATTTAGCAATACATTAAAATGACAAATGCACAATCTGTTTGAATTAGCAATTTCAAAGAATTTCAAATTCCTCAAAAAATTTATTTCTAGGAATTTGGTTATAATTGTATATGTAAAAAATGACCTATGTAACAAGAATACTCATTATATCATTGTTTGTAATGGAAAAATATCAGAAATAACCTAAATGTCCATTATTATGGACTAGTTAAATGCATTACAGCATATCCATATAATGAAATATTGAGCAGTTGTCAAAAGGAATTAAGTAGCTTCAGATTTACTGACAGAAAATGACCTCCAAGATATTTTAAGTGGGAGAAAAAAAATTTCAGTACAGCATGTATAAGATGCTAGTTCGTGTACACACAATCACACATACATTTGTACATACACACACGTACAAGCATAAAGGTATATACATATGTCATTACGAACTCTAAGAATAGCAGAGTAAAAGCAAGTTTAAACTGAGTTCAGCTGTGTTCCAGTAAAAAAAATTAAAAATTAAAAATTAAAAAAAAAATAACAGCCATGGAGTGTGCAGCCAGGCAGATGACCTGACCTGATCAAAGTAGCTTGCCACTGACGGCGTCTACTCATGGAGGCTCCTCACCCCTCCCTACTGTCCTGGGTCAGGCTCTTGCCTCAATTATCACCATGGTCTCCTAACAGTTGGTCTGAGCCCTCCTAAGTCATCCTACCCAATACCACCAGTTATAGTCCCCAAACAAAAATCTGTTTACATCACTTTCCATTATTATACCACGCTGGACAGAAGACAGAATCTAAATTTCAGAATGTGGTCCACAAAGTCCCCACCACACCATCTCCACACACCTCCCTGCCTTGCAACCTGTCCCAGCCACTAAGGGCTCTGCCACACAACCACTCGGTATCCCATGTAACCTTAAATATGTTTTCTCACTGACAACAGTGCCTTTCTGGATCTCTCCTTTTGGAAAAACTCATTTTTTTTCCCTTTCTTTCCTTGCAGCTCCAGCTCCAAGAAAGGGCCTAGTTTAAATGCCACTTTTTCTGCGAAGCCCTATTGAACTTTCTCAGGGTGTTTTCCCTCTGGACTTCTAGAGCATCTTGTATACAATGTCAATTATTGAGGCATGTATAAAACATAATTGTTACGTAATTGTTAATGTAGCACAGAATAACAAATACTGATCTTGCAGACGGAAACCTGGGCAACTACAATGAGTTACTTCCCAACCTCTCTAATCCTCATGCCTCTATGTGTAAAATACACAAAGGGCTTAGCACAGTATTTGGCACATAACATAAGCTCAACAGGTAGCTGTTGTCCAGGCTCCGCCAAACAAACTATGTGACTGTGGGCAAATTACACAACCTTTATGAGCCTCAAAGTAGTTAAAATAATGTTTTTACATAATAGAATTGTTGAAGATCAGGTGAGATGCAAGGTACCAGTGCTTAAACATTTCATGAATGAGTATTTTCAACTAAAAAGTTAGAAATGATTCATTCCAAATGGGCACTATTTTGAACCATAAAATAGAATTACAGAAGGATGCATGTGAAGAGGTGGGGAGAGGAGAAGGCCAAGGGAGAGCAGGGGGGAGTGGGGAGGGAGAGAAAGAGAATATGAGAATGTGGGTGATGGAGGCAGTGGTCTGAAAGCTCTTTATAGGTGCTAGGAGACCACACGGTATACAGAAAATAGAACATAAGAATATGCCAGAACTTCTGGGCTCTGTTCCAGTTGCTATTGTCTGGAGAAAATTCAAAGTAACAAATTGACTGCAGGGTCTTATGCTGGGAAGAGAAACATCATGTAGCTTTTGGTGACCACCTTCTGCCCTAAGTCACAAAAACTCAAAACTTACACGGTTAAGGACAGAGAAAGGAAATTTTCAAGGAGAAGGCACAAACTAAATCTTAGCAACTCCATCCCAATAGCTGGAAAACAAGATACGAAGATCTAAAACCAAGACAACCTAGAACTGGCTGGTCAGGTTTCCCTGGGAAGGCCACTAAAACACAAAGGGCAGAGAAAGCTTCAAGTGCCAAACAAAACCAAAGCCACTTTCAGCAGTTTACAGGGCAGCCCAAGGAGTCTCTTAAAAGCAGTTTCTTTTACTTATGTCTCCTCTCCTGAGTATAAGGGAAAAGATATTCTAGAGAAGAAATCTGACAACAAAGTTGCTGACTTACAACAAAGTTATCAAACTAGTATACATGTACAAATTTAATTATCCTCATATATGTTATATGAAGATATATATTACAGATACTATAATCTTCTGTGCATGCATATGTGTAACATATATATATACACTACCACCATCGATTTCTTGTTATGTAAATGTCTCATTTTCAAATAGTTTTCATTTTATATATTGAATAAATGTTATATACGGTACTTAAAGGATCCTGAGCTAGGAACTAAGATATTAAGTGTCTTATTAAGCATAACATAAAGGAGATACAAATATAAAAATCAAAGAAGTAAAACCTCTGTACTGTTAAGTCTGAATTATAAATATCATTATGAACTCGGGTCCTGTCCACTGGAGAAACATAAGAGCAATGACATTCTAGTAGCTGTAAGTACCCCTAGCTCTCTGGTTTTGATTTCTAAACACCATTATCCCTTAAAAGGAACCAGGTGGGCCAGGCGCGGTGGCTCACACCTGAAATCCCAGCACTTTGGGAGGCCAAGGCAGGCGGATCACGAGGTCAGGAGATCGAGACCATTTTGGCTACCACAGTGAAACCCCATCTCTACTAAAAATACAAAAAATTAGCTGGCATGGTGGCGGGTGCCTGTAGTCCCAGCTACTCAGGAGGCTGAGGCAGGAGAATCACTTGAACCTGGGAGGCGGAGGTTGCAGTGAGCTGAGGTCGCACCACTGCACTCCAGCCTTGAGACAGAGCCTCGCTCTGTCTAAAAAAAGAAAAAACAAAAGAGAAGAGAAGAGGAAAGGAAAGAAAGGGAAAGAAAAGGAAAGAAGGAAAGAAAGAAAGAAAAAGAAAGAAGAAAAGAAAGGGAAAGAAAGAAAGAAAAAAGAAAAGAAGAGAGAGAAAGAGAAGGAAGGAAGGAAGGACGGACGGACGGACGGACGGAAGGAAGGACGGACGAACCAGGTGACCAAGCCAAAAAAAAAAAAAACAAAAAAAAGAAATCAGGTGGTCTTGGAGAAATGGTTAATTCAAGGTCTGAGGCAGGAAAAGGATGATGTGCCCTGGATATTTCTTGTTGAACAAAAAGCAAAGAAATGATCAAAGAATGATCTGGGGTGAGGTATGTCCAAAGACCACAGGAGCTGGCCTGAAGGGGCATCCCACTGGCCAAATTTGGGACAATCTGAGCAAGAAGAATGACTGTAACTAAAACTCATTAAATATATAAATATTCATTAGTCCATAATGATGCTCAAAAAAGAGAAAAGAGGAAAAAATAACAAACACTCCTTTGTCCTTGAAGGTGACTATTCACTTCATTTTCATTTTAACTGCTATAATATGCATAATTTCTATGAGTTACCATTAAAAGATAAACCTTGTCACTTAAACCATGGCAATACTATACATAATCACTTTCACTTTTTATCTCATATTCATTGAAAAAGCTTTTAGACTTGCTTAGATGGATCTATCACTATATATACATAAAAAGAAAAATATAAGCTAAATGCAGTAAATGAGTTGCATGTTTTACAAGAATACAGTTGACTCTTGAACAACATGGAGGTTGGGGCACTAACTCCCAGTGTGGTTGAAAACCTGCATATATCTGTTGACTTCTCTGAAACTTTACTAATAGCCTACTGTTGACTGGAAGTCTTACTGATAACAGATAATTAACACATAGACTAGTATCTACATATATTTTATGTATTTGTGACATATTTACCATTTATTAATAAATTTTTTCAATATTTCTAGGCTATGCATTTTGTCAGTTTTTTCAAATTTTTTACAAATCTCCAAAAAGCGTTCCAGTATATTTATTGAAAAAAAAATCTGGGCCAGCTGTGGTGGCTCATGCCTATAATCTCAGTACTTTGGGAGGCTGTGGTGGGCAGATTGCTTGAGCCCAGCCTGGGCAACATGGTGAAACCCCACCTCTACCAAAAAACAAATAAACAAACAAAAATTAGGCAGGCGTGGTGGCACGCACGCCTGTAGTCCCAGCTACTCAAACGGCTGAGGTGGGAGGATCACTTGAGCCTGGGAGGCAGAGGTTGTAGTGAGTGGGAATCACACCACCGAACTCCAGCCTGGGAGACAGAGTAAGACCTTGTCTCAAAAAAAATAAAAAAGAAATGCTCAGAAGCTTAGTTTCCATGTTTCTACACACAATAACTTTGTTTCAATACTGAATCACACTGTACTCTTTTTGAAGACAATTTAAACAGTATTTAATCTTAACACACATAATACTAACAATATTCATAACTCACCGAGATAACAATATGAAAAGCTATGACCAAATTCATGCGTGTATACGGGTGCCATAATGGCTGCCTGGCCAACAACTAGTATAAGACATCATTGATTATAAGCTATATCCCGACTTCAGAGAGCTTTGAGATGCTTTTTAAGTAGTATAAAGCCACATATGCTCACACTTCTTCCAACTGATGAAATGTGATATTAAGCCAACTCTTATATTCTGACAATTGGTAATTAAGGGGAAAATTATGCATTATCCTGGCTTTCTTACTTAGAAAGTAATCAAATGAAGAACAGCACTTTTTTTGGTAAGAACTCTAAAGATAAGATCTACCCTTCTTTCAGAATCTATTTTACTTATTTTTTTTTTTTTTTTGTCTGCAGAGATGGGCTTTGTTGCCCAGGGTGGTCTCAAACTCCTGGGTTCAAGTGATCCTCCCACTTCGGCCTCCCAAAGTGCTGGGATTGCAGGCAGAGGTATTGCACCAGGCCAGATCTGCCCTCTTAAACTTTTAACTGCACAATATGGTATGTTTAGTATGCTGTACAGCAGATCTCTAGAACTTACGCATCTTGCATAACTGTAACTTTATACCCACTGAACAACTCATCTCCCCCTCCCCCATCCCTTAGCAATCACATTCTATTTGCTACTTCTATAAGTCTATTTTACAAAAACTCATATAAGTGGAATCATGCAGCATTTGTCCTTCTGTGACTGAATTATTGAGCATCTTTCAGGTTTTGTAAGGTATTAAACGTAAAAAAAGGATGGACAGAATTAGAATATCATCAGTTTGCAATCCCTAATGAAAAATTAACTTACACAAGGATCATCAGTAGACATGATATGACTAAAGATTGATGGGGAACTGGATAATCACATGGTGGTGAAGTATTGCCTGACAAATTATTTGCTGGACACAAAGGGGAAAACATAACTTTATAATGGCAAGACCTGGCTCTTGCTCTTACCACCTTAACCTAGTGACACCTGGGCTTCACCAACGGTGGGACAATTAGACTTCTCAAAGTGATCTTACATGAGAAGCCTGGCATACTCCATTAAAAAAAAAAAAAGTTTCAGGCCAGGCATGGTGGCTCAGGCCTGTAATCCCAACACTTTGGGAAGCTGAGGTGGGTAGATCACTTGAGGTCAGGAGTTAGAGACCAGCCTGGTCAACATGGTGAAACCTCATCTCTGCTAAAAATACAAAAATTAGCCAGGCGTGGTGGTGCACGCCTGTAACCCCAGCTACTCGGGAGTCTGAGGCAGGAGTATGGCTTGAACCCAGGAGGCGGAAGTTGCAATGAGACGAGATCGCGCCACTGCACTCCAGCCTGGGTGACAGAGTGATACTCTGTCTCAAAAAAAAAAAAAAAAAAAAGTTTCACCTGAACTTAACCAAGTATTTAGATCCTTCAGCATACGGTTCTCTTTTTTCTCACAGTGAAACAAGGTTTACTAACCTTCTTGGTGCTGTTTAATGCTATTCAATCTTAAATTCAATCTTTACCCTACTTACATTCATTGTTATAACATATATTTCCGGCATTTTATGTTTTCCATGTTTAGTGCTTCCTTGTCTTCCTCGTTTGCTGCAGATTTTGTATTTTCTATTTCCCCCATCAGCACCATCCCTGGTAATCTGGAAAATCTATAGTATGTTTTTAAAAATGCTAACGGTACTTCTAAAGAGAAAAGTTAGCACCTCTATAATTTCTCCCACCTCCTCCTTTACTTCTGCTTTTCACTGGTATCCTCAGGAACATATTTCCCTCTGCTACATGTTAAGATGTTTAACATAAAAATATATCTTAAGTAGAGTTTAAGTAAATATCTTTTGTTTTAGAAAAATAACTGTCATTTAAAGTTAGACTTTACATTTGAACAGATTTAGTGTTCATCGCCAGCCTCTCCATACTACAACTTCCCCATCTATTATTATTTTGATTCATCTCTAGAAAATTTGAGTTCTTGCATATTTAAAAATGTTTTTATGGATTTTTTTTGGTGGAGACGGGGTTTCGCTGTGTTGGCCGGGCTGGTCTCCAGCTCCTAACCGCGAGTGATCCGCCAGCCTCGGCCTCCCGAGGTGCCGGGATTGCAGACGGAGTCTGGTTCACTCAGTGCTCAATGGTGCCCAGGCTGGAGTGCAGTGGCGTGCTCTCGGCTCGCTACAACCTCCACCTCCCAGCCACCTGCCTTGGCCTCCCAAAGTGCCGAGACTGCAGCCTCTGCCCGGCCGCCACCCCGTCTGGGAAGTGAGGAGCGTCTCTGCCTGGTCGCCCATTGTCTGGGACGTGAGGAGCCCCTCTGCCTGGCTGCCCAGTCTGGAAAGTGAGGAGCATCTCTGCCCGGCCGCCATCCCATCTAGGAAGTGAGGAGCGCCTCTTCCCGGCCGCCATCCCATGTAGGAAGTGAGGAGCGTCTCTGCCCGGCCGCCCATCGTCTGAGATGTGAGGAGCGCCTCTACCCGGCCGCGACCCCGTCTGGGAGGTGAGGAGCGTCTCTGCCCGGCCGCCCCGTCTGAGAAGTGAGGAGCCCCTCCGCCCGGCAGCTGCCCCGTCTGAGAAGTGAGGAGCCCCTCCGCCCGGCAGCCACCCCGTCTGGGAAGTGAGGAGCGTCTCTGCCTGACAGCCACCCCGTCTGGGAGGGAGGTGGGGGGGGTCAGCCCCCCGCCCGGCCAGCCGCCCCGTCCGGGAGGTGAGGGGCGCCTCTGCCCGGCCGCCCCTACTGGGAAGTGAGGAGCCCCTCTGCCCAGCCAGCCGCCCCGTCCGGGAAGGAGGTGGGGGGGTCAGTCCCCCGCCCTGCCAGCCGCCCCGTCCGGGAGGGAGGTGGGGGGGTCAGCCCCCCGCCCTGCCAGCCGCCCCGTCCGGGAGGGAGGTGGGGGGGTCAGCCCCCCACCCGGCCAGCCGCCCCGTCCGGGAGGTGAGGGGCGCCTCTGCCCGGCCGCCCCTACTGGGAAGTGAGGAGCCCCTCTGCCTGGCCAGCCGCCCCATCCGGGAGGGAAGTGGGGGGGTCAGCCCCCCGCCCGGCCAGCCACCCCGTCCGGGAGGGAGGTGGGGGGGTCAGCCCCCCGCCCGGCCGGCCGCCCCGTCCGGGAGGGAAGTGGGGGGGGTCAGCCCCCCGCCCGGCCGGCCGCCCCGTCCGGTAGGTGAGGGGCGCCTCTGCCCGGCCGCCCCTACTGGGAAGTGAGGAGCCCCTCTGCCCGGCCACCACCCCGTCTGGGAGGTGTGCCCAACAGCTCATTGAGAACGGGCCATGATGACAGTGGCGGTTTTGTGGAATAGAAAGGGGGGAAAGGTGGGGAAAAGATTGAGAAATCGGATGGTTGCTGTGTCTGTGTAGAAAGAGGTAGACATGGGAGACTTTTCACTTTGTTCTGTACTAAGAAAAATACTTATCCTGTTGATCTGTGACCTTACCCCCAACCCTGTGCTCTCTGAAACATGTGCTATGTCCACTCAGGGTTAAATGGATTAAGGGCGGTGCAAGATGTGCTTTGTTAAACAGATGCTTGAAGGCAGCATGCTCGCTAAGAGTCATCACCACTCCCTAATCTCAAGTACCCAGGGACACAAACACTGCGGAAGGCCGCAGGGTCCTCTGCCTAGGAAAACCAGAGACCTTTGTTCACTTGTTTATCTGCTGACCTTCCCTCCACTATTGTCCTATGACCCTGCCAAATCCCCCTCTGCGAGAAACACCCAAGAATGATCAATAAAAAAAAATAATAATAAATTTAAAAAAAAATGTTTTTATGAAGACTTTACATATGGATGGTGACTTAAGTAAGTCGAACTTGGATCAAACTTTTTAATCTCAATACTCTACTCTGAGAACTGCAATACACGTATCCAGCTAAGAACCCATATATCCAAAATAAAGAACCCTTACCACTCAATAAGAAAAACAATACAGAAATGGGCTTGAACAGCAACTTGAATGACTTGAACCGGAACTTGAACAGAAATGACTTGAACAGGAACTCCACAAAAGACGGCATATGAAAAACTGCTCACCCTCATTAGGCATCAGGGAAATTCAAATTAAACCCACAGTGAGATACTATTATACATCTACCACAATGGCAAAGACTGGATGGCACCATTTGCTGGTGAGAACGTGGAGCAATGCTGGTGGGAGCTTAAACTGTAACAACCACTTTGAAAGACCAATGGTACCTACTAAAGCTCAACACACACAATTTCAGTCCTAGGTAAATACCTAAGTATACACATGTATACATAAATGCACCAAGAGACAGGTATAAGAATGTCTTATATCAGCATGATTCATAATAACCCCAAGTTGGAAACAACCCAAAAGACCATCAGTGACCTACTGGATACACTGTGGTGTATTCAAAAAATGGAATGCTGTACAGCTATGAGAATGAACGACGGGGCAGATAACAAATGTACATACATACAGATAACACAGGGCCAGGCATGGTGGCTCACACCTGCAATCCCAGCATGCTGAGAGGCCAAGGTGGGAGACTAGCCTGGGCAACAAAGAGAGACCTTGTCTCTAAAAAAAAATTTACAAATTAGCCAGGCACAGTGGCATGTGCCTGTAGTCCCAGCTACTTGGGAGGTGTGGGGATCACTTGAGCCAAGGAGTTCATGGTTGCAGTGAGCTATGATCACATCACTGTACTCTGGCCTGGACAACAGTGATATCCTGTCTCTCTAAAAATAAATAAATAGGTCAGGCATGGTGGCTCACACCTGTAATCCTAGCACTTTGGGAGGCCAAGGCAGGCAGATCACCTCAGGTCAGGAGTTCCAGACCAGCCTGGCCAACCTGGCGAAACCCTGTCTCTACTAAAAAAATACAAAAGTTAGCCAGGTGTGGTGGCGCATGCCTGTAGTCCCAGCTACTCTGGAGTCTGAGCCAGGAGAATCACCTGAACCGGGGAGGCGAAGGTTGCAGTAAGCCGATATTGCATCACTATGTTCCAGCCTGGTCAACACAGCGAGACTCCGTCTCAAAAAAATAAATAAAAATTAAATAAATAAAATAAAAACACAATATAGATGAATCTCACAAACACATCATTGAGCAAAAGCCAAAATATGAAAGAGCATATGATACATATTCATGATTCCATTGTATGAAGTTCAAGAACAGGCAAAACTGATCAGTGTGGTAAGAAGTTAGAATAGAATAGTTACCTTAGGACAGGGGTCAGCAAACTTACTCTGTTAAGCACCAGACAGCACACATCTTAGGCTCTGCAATCTCAGGGGCAACTACTCAACTGTGCTGCTGTAGTGCAAAAGTGGCTATAGACAACGGATCAACAAATGAGCCTGGTCATGTTTTCATAAAACTTTACAGACTCTGATATTTTCATGAGTCGTGAAATGTTATTCTTCAACTGACTTTTTTTTTCAACCATTTAAAAACATAAAAACCCCTTTTATACATGAGTGTGGGCCAGGTTTGGTCTGCAGGCTGCCAGCCTATGCTTTAGGGGATTGGGTGCCACGTGCCTGGAGGGGTGGACTTCGGAGGCTTCTGAGATGCTGGTAAAATTCTGTTCTGCTGTTTACATGAGTGTGTCTTTTATAAAACTGTATTGAGCTGTACACTTGTGATTTACATATCTTCCTGTATGTGTATTTCAATACAAAATGTTTTTTGAAAGTGCTTTTAAAAAAGAAAAAAATTTAAAAATTAAAAAAAATTTGTCTACAAAAACCTAATATAGGTGACCAACTTTTTTTTTTTTTAAACTTGTAGGTGATTCTTCACCCTTGAAATTTAATAAGTTAATCGGCATTGTTATTTGTCAAATTTCCCTCATTTTCCCTGGGACATGATAACTTATAACACCTTTTCACTTCAAAAATGTTTTCTATTCCACCTTTGACTCTCACGTTTGTTCAGTTTGCTCCACACTGTTCGCCGAGAACACCGAGTGTTCCCAAGATTCCCACCAGAATGAATCTGTGTGTGGGGTCCCTACTGTCCCTCTCTTCTGCTTCCCTCGCTGTCTGCCACAGTGATACTGTTCATTTCTACATTTTCCCGTTTTGGGGTGAACTTTCAAGACCATGCCTCTTCCTCACCGATCTGCTTTTTCTGTTAACTCTGATTCTGCTTTTTGTAGCTTCTCAATGCACTTTTTATGTGCTTTGTAATGGCATGCTTCTTCTGGAATTTAATCCATAACTCTCACAACTTCTTTATAACTTAGCACCTCATCTTTCATTTTTTATTTGATAGCGACTGTTTTCTTCAACTTCCCTGAAGATATAAATCAGCGGTTTAAACAATTCCTGTATTTTCTCATGTAAATTTTCTTTTTTTAGCTTAAGTATTTGTTTGCAACTAAGCTTGTTAACACTAATGAAAATGTACAAAGAATTATAAATTTTCTTATTAAATGTTATATTAATCCCTCCACTTTTCCTACAGAATTTGAATGGCTACCATGTTGATTTTGTTTATTTGTTAATCAATCTTCTCACAGGAGAAGCTGATCTCTAGTTTCTCCCCCTTGACAGAACTGACATTTTGGATCAACTAGCTCCTTACTGTAGGCACTGTTAGGAGGCTTAGCAGCATCCCCAGCTTCTAGACGCCAGTGGTTCCACACCACTTTTGATGACCAAAAATGTCCTCAGATATTGCCAAATGTCCCCTGGGGGAGAGGAATGGAAAGCCTCCAATTGAAAGCCACTGGTCTATACTTATTTGCCCAAAAATAGAGTGGGCAGAATTTCCTTACTCCTGTTTACCTGGACAGTGCTCAAATTCTTTCCTTAAAAATTCAGGTAGATAACTGGATGCTTGTAGAGGTTTCAATTATTAGTTTGAAAGTTCAGCAGTCTGAGAGGGGATAGGAGAACTGGGGCTGGCTGTGGACAATTGCGACTGGGAAATTTCATCTCCAAGCCCTTTGTCTGTTGGAGCCAATGCCTCTAAATTTTTATGTGTATGTTGAGGGTTGGGTTGTACTCTGTCCTGATGTGGAGAGACACTCTTAGGATTTTGGTTCATTCCCTCGAAAGGGACTGAGCTGGTCACTCTGATAAGATGTCAAGTTAAAATAAAGCCCCACAGTTGGCAGGATTTTTGTTTGGTGGTTCAGCATATATTTTTTCTTTGTACAATAGCCTTTTCGGTACTGTTGGCCCTCAGCTACAAAGCCAGCTCTTAGGATATGATTTCCCATCTCTCCAGCCCACCATCCTCATCCTCAGCCCAGACCTTATCCCCTTCAAAAGCTGGAGCAAATGGGGAACATGCTCTGCCTGCATTCCCTGGTTTCCAGAGAGCATGGCTTCTAGATGGTGGTCTCCCATCTTCCAGCCCATTTCTCCAAGTTGTGGGGTCCCTCTGTTACTTTTCCCAACACTGGGAGTTGTGTACTCAGTGTGTCATTCTTTAATTCAATTTGATCTCAAAGTGGCAGAGAGACCTTGGAATTCATGGTTGAAGATTGGGGCTATTCCCAAATTTCAGCTGATGAAAGCTTTTCCTCTATTTTTATTGATTTGGTTCCTTTCACCAGGTTTCAGGAAAGGAGTATTTTACCATCTTGCTGTTAAGTCACTATTTTACCTTGTAGTCCCCAGGGTAATATTTCTTCCTTCTCCATAAAGATAAAGTGGCATCGCTGGGAAATGGCTCAACTCTTCTTAAAGAAAGATCTATTTTATGTCTTGTTTTGACCACTGAGAGAAGAAGTGAAGGTGGTTCTTTTTTTCCCCCCCTTTCTAAAATACATGGTAGAAAGCTCTAGGGGAGAGCTCAGGAGAGCAAAATCCAATTTTTGAGAAAGTGCTCGTTATACAGCTTTAAGTGTTTTTCTTAACCCTGTGCACTTAATTCTATACTCATTAAAATAGAAAAATATGTTCTGTTCCATTTCTGCTCTAGGCTGGGGAGAGAATGAATATATCCTTTCTGCTATCAGCAAGAGACACTTAACACAAGAAACCACTCATTACTACCTAACAGAAAGAGAGATGCTTAATTTCTAAAAGAACCTTCCACCTTTCCACACTCTCTACACACAGACTAAGGCATCCACATTTTTCCAGTGGGGAACCAATGGCCAGGAATGTACACAGGAGCACAGCTGAGGCATTTCTTTTTTATGACATTAGTACAGAGAGACAGTATACAATTAATGTACAGATGTCAAGATCACACAAAGGCTCCATTTGTACCTATCTACTCTTTCCAAACAATCCTATATAATTGCCCCAGTTTCTTAGTCCATTTTCTGTTGTTTATAACAGAATACCTGAAACTGGGTAATTTATAAAGGAAGGAATCTATCTGGAGTCTGAGAAGTCCAAGGTCAAGGGGCCACACCTGTTGAGGCCCTTCGTGTTGATCGGGACTCTGCAGAGTCTCAGGTGGTGTAGGACACATGGTGAGGGGCTGGGTGTGCCAGCTCAGGTCTCTCTTCCCTTTCTGAATAGAGCTACCAGTCCCACTGCCATGCTAACCTGTTAATCCATTAACCCATTAATCCATGAATGAATTAATCCATTCATGAGGATAAAGCCTGCATCACCCAATCACCTCTTAAAGGCCACTCTCTCAATACTGCCTTTAGGGGATTAAGTTTCAATGTAAGTTTGGGGAAACAACAACATTCAAACCACAGAACTCAGTTTCCTGATATAATTTTAGTGGACTTAACGCTGAAGAGCATAAGATTATATAGATAATTAGATTCCACTTTAATGACAGTCAATGACTGCTAGCATGATGCCTCCTGATAGTTACAAAGCCACAGCCATGGGCAGGTAGAATGTTAGGCTTTACTCTGGATCAGGTGTGCTGGATGAATTTTTTAACACTAAAATCTCAGGTCAGCTGCCTGTGAAACCATGTACAGCATGCTGGGCCTTTATAATAATGGGCATATTCAAGACCATAAACATTAAAGGTAAGGAGATCATTCCTAAACCCATTTGACACCTTTGCAGAGTATAAATATGGAGGCAGAATAAGGCTGACCAGTTGACCAAAAAATATGAAGGGTACTTGCCATAGGCTTAGCACCAGTCTAGATGCTTTATAAATACAACACGCGGCCAGGCATGGTGGCTCACTCCTGTAATCCTAGCATTCTGGGAGGCCGAGGTGGGTGGATCGCTTGAGCCCAGGAGTTCAAGATCAGCCTGGGCAACATGGCAAGACCCCATCTCCTCTACAAAAAATTTAAAAAATTAGCCAGGCATAGTGGTGCATGCCTGTAGTCCTGGCTACTTGGGAGGCTGAGGCAGGACGATCGCTCAAGCCTAGGAGGTCAAGGCTGCAGTGAGCTGTGAGTCTGCCACTGCTATCCAGCCTGAGTGACACAGTGAGACCCCATCTCAAAAACAACAACAACAACAACAACAAAAAACATGCAGTCCTTGTGCTTAAGGAATCTGGGCTTTAACTGCAAAGACTGGTGCACATAGAACAAATAATGTAAGACAAGAAAGAATCCAGCATTAAATCCTAACCCTTCTTTTCTGATGCTGTTAGCCCTCCCGACCTTGAAACTATCCATTGGTTCTTTAACATACCCTCTCCTCAATTTCTTCCCACATCTTTTCCACACTTTCTTCAAAGCCTCCTGTTTGAGCTCCTCTCCCCTAAATGGTGGTAACTTCCATTCTGGGGCTTCTTTTTGATCTACACAGTCAGCCTGGTGAAAAGATCAGGACTGAACATTTTCAGTTACCATCAGTCTGCCAAAGAACTACCAGTTCACAGATCTGACCAGATGGACACTGCCAGGTCCCACAGACATTCAAAAGCCAGGTACCCAGACTTGCTGCCCTCCCAGTATTTCTAACCTTGGTGAAAGGCAGCACCATCAACCCAGTCGCCCAGCCTGAAACCTCAGGAGTCACCTGTGACCACTCCTCCTCCCTTACTCCTACATCCAACCAGTCACTGGAGCAGTTAATTCTTTTCTTATTCTTTCTCTTATCTGCCCCCTCCCCTCCTCCTTTCTACTCAAGGTCACTCTAGTTCAGAGGCCCATTATTTCTTGCCTGAACTACATCTGAGCCTACAAACTGGTTTCTCTGGCTTTGGTATCATCCCCTCTTCCCCTGAAACTCTCCTCTCCAGCCACTCCCAATCTTTCATCCTCCACACCCGTCACACCCGCATGACCTGTATTTCCCCATGTTCTCTCATCTTCCGCATCTTCATGTGTCTTTCCACATGTCTTTCATCTGCATAAACTTCAGGTCCCTTCTCCCTGTTCCTCTATTAAACTTCTATTTATCCTTTAAAACTCAGTAAGACATCCTCTCCTGCAGGAAGTTTTCTCTGATACCCTCCTACTCACCGTCAGATTCCCCATCCTTTATATGGTGTCCAAATAGTCATTGTTTCAAAAAAACATTTAAAAGATAGGAAGTTTCTCTTCATCTCAATGCAGTGGGGTGGGGGGTTTGTGTGATACATTCTCATAGAAATAAAAACTGTAGAAAACAGACTTTACACGACTGTAAACAAATAACTTTGTGTCCTCCATTCAGGACTATGTCCCATTTGAAATTCCCTGATGGACATGCCATCAGCCACATTCGCTGGACAATGCCACTCCCTCACCCAGACTTTCACCATGCTCCAGGCAAAGGAGATATTTTCCCTGTGGCTTCTTCAGGGAAGAACAATCAACTGATTAAAAATACAACATATTTCTATGAAGGCAACCACTAGCATCTACACCTCCTAACCTCTTGCTTTTGCTGTGGTTTAGTCTCTGCAGCTTCCTGTTGGCTGCTCCCCAGAGACATCAGGACAACGCTTACAAACTAACACAGATACCTTCCTCATCTCTAAGATGGTGACTAGATGAGCACAAAGGATGCTTTTCCCACTAAAAAGTCATTTGCATTCATTCTCCGTCCTAAACTGGCTCCTCTTGGGAATTTCCCTGTTACTGAAAATAGACAAAATACACAAAGGCGAAGGGAACAACAGTCTCTATAGCTCCTTGTCCTGTTTCTGACAATGGTGTTATAGGATGGTTGGGGGGGGACTCTCCAATGAGTATTTTTAAATATCCACATCCACAAGTCACTTGCAATAATTCAACATAGAAATTCAACTTGTGATAAATATTCTCAAAGCTGCAAACATCATATTATCTTTTAGAGAATGGCATTTCCTTTCATAGCTTATAAGTTTACTTCTTTGAAGCTTTAAGGGGTGCCTTTAATTCTAGAACTTCAAGATTCAGATAAAAAAATCCATATGAGTCCCATTCAGACCTTCAGAAACCCATCATTTTTACATAAAGGGGTTGGGGACTTTGGTTACATGGTGATGCTCATATTGGCTAAATTGCTTATTTGGCAAAATTACCAAATAACTTGAATAATAGAGGGTTTTTTTGTTTTGTTTTGTTTTTTGAGACAGAGTCTTGCTCTTTCGCCCAGGCTGGAGTGCAGTGGCGTGATCTCAGCTCACTGCAACCTCGGCCTCCCAGGTTCAAGTGATTCTTCTGCTTCAGCCTCCAGAGTAACTGGAATTACAGGCACCCGCCACCATGCCCAGCTAATTTTTGTATTTTTAGTAGAGATAGGGTTTCACCATACTGGCCAGGGTGGTCTCGAATTCCTGACCTCATGATCTGCCCGCCTCTGCCTCCCAAAGTGCTGGGATTACAGGCATGAGCCACAGCGCCCGGGCCCCTCCCCCACCATTTTTTTTTTTTTTTTTTTTGGCTATAGGAACTTGTATGCTTTTATAAAGTTGTTCCCATATTCTGTTATCAGCTCTTAGATGGCTTCATGGAGTCTCCATATTTCACCCCCACTTCTATGGAAAATTCTTCCTTATATTAACCTATAACTCTCTACCTACCACTGGTGAGGGGATGAATTTCTGGAGTATGGGATTTTCCCATTGTCATCCCAGAGTGAGCACCTTGATTTCTAAGCCTTGTTCTGAGCCTGAATTCACAAAGACAAATTCTACCATACCAACTGAAGAAGCACCTGTTCAGGCGTGGTGGCTTATACCTGTAATCCTAGCACTTTGGGAGGCTGAGGCAGGTGGACTGCCTGAGCTCAGGAGTTTGAGACCAGCCTGGGCAACACGGTGAAACCCCGTCTCTACTAAAATACAAGAAGTTAGCCAGGCATGGTGGTGGGTGCCTGTAATCCCAGCTACTCGGGAGGTCGAGGCATGAGAACTGCTTGAACCCAGGAGGCAGAGGTTGCAGTGAGCCAAGATCACGCCACTGCACTCCAGCATGGGCAACAGAGCGAGAAGCATGTGGCCAGACAATTCTGGAAAACAGAATGGGTTTTCCTAACATGAACCTCAGGCCCTCCAGAAGCTGTTTCAGAGCAAATCTCTTCGTTGGTTCTCTTCATTCTACTACCATTGTTTTAGTGAGGACTTGTTTCCCAACTGACCAATTTCAATCACAATATGACATGGTGGTTAAGAGTCCAACTGCCTAGGTTCAAATCTCACTTTCACTAGTTTGTATGACCTTGGTAAATTACTTAATCTGTTTCCTCATGGCTAAAATGGAGCCACTGACAGTATTTACCTCATAGAGCTGCTATGAGGATTAAGTGAGGTGGTGACTATTAAGTACTTGGCAGGGTGCCTAGACCAGAGCAGGTGCTTCATAAACACTTTTACTCTCAAAAGCTTCCTAACGGGTCTCCTACCACAGGGTTATCACCCTTCACCAATCCACCTTCCATGCTACTGCTAGCATGCACTTTCACAAATATTTCTGGGTTATACAACACAAATTTCATTGTAGAAAATTCAGAAAACACATGAGGGAAAGGTCATCCATACTCCGACCATACAGACAATCCACTGTTCATATATTTTCTTCTAGTCTTTTTTCCATTTTCTAAAACTCAACTGAGATGATTGTTCAAATTTGTTTCTGCTGTTTTTACCTAAGTATTTTCCTCTAATTTAATAATACAAAGTGTTGTTAGCTCCCAGTTCCTGGAGGTCTGGTTTCTCTGATGCTGACAGATGCCTGCATTTTTGCTCACTGCCTACAAGCGAACATGTATCCTCTCTGGTGGAGGCTCCTCATCCGAGGAATGCAGGAGAACAGAGGTTTCAGGTCACCCTTGCAACATCCCATCCTGCAAGCTTGCTCCTTCTGCCCCAAGACTGTGCTTATGCACTACTCAGTCTGGAAAGCCTTTCTGCCTCTCCCCATCTGTGTTCACCACAGTTTTCAAAACCCAGCTCTAAACAAGAGTTTCCCAGATAAAACATGATCTCCCATGATGACAACTAAGTCTGTGCTACAGGGTACCCCTGCGATATAGCCACTTCCATACAACAGCATGGGCCTCGGAGGTAAAAGGCACTCAGCACACACTGGCTGAGTGGGTAACTAAATATTTTATTGTTGTTTTTTTTTTTCCTTAAGTAAACCATAGGCTGGGTGCAGTGGTTCACGACTATAATCCCAGCACTTTGGGAGGCTGAGATGACAGGATCGCTTGAGCCCAGGAGTTTGAGACAAGCCTGGGCAATATAGTGAGACCTCGTCTCCACAAAAAATTTTTAAAAATTAGCCAAGTATGGTGGCATGCGCCTGTAATTCCAGCTACTCGGGAGACTGAGGTGGGAGGATTGCTTGAGCCCAGGAAGTGGAGGCTACAGTGAGCAGAGATCATGCCACTGCATTCCAGCCCCCGCAACAGAGTGAGACCCTGCCTAAAAATAAAAAAAGGAAACCGCAAAGTCCTTCAGTGATGAACCATTTCTCTTAATTTTATCCTTATTGGTAGTTATACATGGCTAGGTAATTAATATATGGTAACTAAAGGAACAGCCAACTTTTTTTTTTCCTTTACAAGGTATGGTTTTACTTTTCTTGCCCTATTGGACTTGATAGGCTTGATAACAGCTGACACTCTTGTGCCAACACAGCACTAAGTGCTTTACACATAGTAACGAATTTCATCCTCACAACAGCCCTGGTGAGGCCGGTACTATTATCGTTTTCATTCTACATATGAGGAAGCAGAAACCGTGATGGGTTATGTAAAGTGCCCAAGCACTCCCAGCTAGTAAGTGATGGAGTTGGGATGCAAATTTAAAAACTAGTTTGACCACACATAATATCCATATAATTAAATTCAACAATTAAAATATTGGCTAAGGATCAACTATGTCTTAAAACACTAGGTAAGGATATTTCCCACGTTGTAGAAGGAGAAACGAGGTGCTAAACACAGGCGGATGGGACACACACATACACGCACAGAGAAAAGGGTAAGCGGACCCCATGATCAAAACAAGTTTCCCCCATATGCTGGTAAATAAGAGGGCCCTCGAAGTCATGTCGTTACTAGTCATATCTAAGAATGGACAGGGCCAGTGGGAACCATCATCTAGGAGCATGTCTCTTGAGTGCCTGGCAGCATATCTGTTCACCCCCAAGTAAGAGCCCTGGGGCCAGATTTTCCTTGTTCTGCATGTGACTCCTTGTCACCCACCCCTCTGCCTCGTACCCCAGGATCGGGGAGGGGTAGCTGGAGGAGGCAGAACAGCCCAGCTCCTCCCTACTGACCGGGAAACAACATCCCAGCAAGTACATGACTTACTTGATATTTACGTATTTTTCACAAGTAGGGAAGACAGCCTTTTCCCAAGACCCGTCTGTGTATCACAAAATCACAAGAATTCAATATGCTCATCGCCAGCACCACTGTGTTTTCTGTCAACATCTGAAACACACATATCTTTTACAGAACACTCCCTAAACAGAGTGTGGGGGCCGAGTGGACCTGGAGCTTACTACTGCCTCCAGGACTTCCCAGAGACAGTATGCTTATTGGGGAGTGGTCCTCAGTGGCCCTGCACCCTACTCTCATTCCAGAAGGCAAGGCTTAGAAGTGGACTCAACTCCTCAACGCGTTCTCACACACGGCACCGCTTCAACCATGACTTGCATGCTAACTAGGTCCAAACGTGTAACTCAGACCCTGACCTGGTCTTCTGGCCACTTCAGATGTGGCTCGTCCAGTGGGAACTCACTTCCTGTCCTCCCAATCCGAGTTATCAGTGAACACCACCACCCCCAGGCAGAGACCTGCAGTGTCTCATCCCCTCCTCCCACAAGCCTTCCTCTGGAGACCTTCCAACCCCTCCCTCTGCCACCGGCTCTTTCAGGCCAGGCCCTTGTCATTTCTTGCCTGGCTCATGACAACACCTTTCTTACAGCTATGTCTCCTCAGTGCCCTCAAGCTTCCCTCCCCACCATAAGCCAGAAGTCTTTCAAAAGCACAAGGTGACAGGGCATTCCTTGCTTTAAAATCCTCAGGAGCTCACTATTACCTATGGGGTCAAGTCAAACTCTTGGCCTTGGCTCCCTGGGCCCTACACAATCTGGCCCCTGACACCATCCTCCTCACCCACCAAGCCACCTTTTGTTCATCTCCACATATACCCAACCCCTTTTGCTCCTGCCTGAACCAAGAATAGTCCAAGTAAGTTCCACTCCCTCATAGCCACTAAGCTGTTGCCCAAGCTACTCCCTCTTCTAGAATGTGTCCTTTCTATCTGATGGCTCTGTAGGGCTCGGCGCAAGTACTACCTCCTACAAGAAGGCCTCTATTATGCCTTCAACTCCATTTGTGTATTAAAGCACCTATGCCCATCTCAGCCGACGTGGCATACACGCACAGTATCACGTCAATTTCTTTCAATGTCTTTTCCACTAGGCTATGAGCTCATTTCTGTGTTCCCAGAACCCAGTGTGGCAGTTGGCACAAATAAATGTTTGCCAAATGAAAGGCAGGGCCTAGAAATCCTAGCTCACCAGGCCACAGCCCTTTCTCTGCCCTTCCCTGATACCCAGGCGGACTTACCGACGCAATCGCAGGTGGGGAACTCGGCCTGGGCTCTCTTGGCAGGTGTGTCCAGCAGACTCTTGGTGGGTGTGTCCAGGTACTTAAGAGGTGACTCCAAGAAGCCACTGAGGGTGGGTGTGAGTGGGTTCTCAGCCTTGGTGGGTGTGGCCTCCTGTCCTCCCTCCTCTGAATGGAAGCAGGTGGTTGAGAGCACAGTCACAGCCCCCGAAGACTCAATCTTGATTTGCTTGGGGGAACGGGTAGCAAAGGGGCTCTCAGGGGCTGGGAGACATGTTTGCTGGTTCTCGGGGTCCTGAATGGGCACAGAAGGGGGGCCGGGAAGCCCAAAGCTATCTCCAAATTCAGCCTCAAACTGCCGGATGAGCTCTTCCAGCTTGTCATCGGCAGGGGGAAGAGGGCCAGTGGAGCCTGGCTGCAAGGCTGTCATGGGGCTGGGGGACCTCATTTCCTGAGTAGGGGGCAGCAGGCTGTCCCTGGAGGGACTAGGTGCAAATAGCGCAAGAGAAGGTTCTGGGGGCAGGGGCACAGCAGAGCCCTGTGAGGCAGGCAGAGGGGCCGGTGGATGAGCCTGCACTTCCTGGGAGGCTGGGGACCTAAGCCCTTCCAGGACAATCTGTCGGACAGGTGGGAAGAGGGGCTGTGCTTCCCGGGGCCTGGACTTCTTGATCTGAATGGGCTTTCGGACACTGGGCTTGATCCCAGGGGCAGCTTTCTCCGTTCCCACGGGACCTCCAGCTGGTGTTGGGAGCTTCTTCTTCTTCTCCTTGGGTGGTCTGTCTGGAAGCCGTGGGACAGGTGAACTTGGTGGGGGCCACCAGCCAGGAGCAGAAGGCTCTGAAGGAGCAGGGAAGGAGGTGTCGTGCACCTGTTCTAGGAAGAGGCTGCGCTTGTGGTGGAGGTGCTGCTGCAGGGCGGTCTGGGCCTTCTGGTGGGTGTCGGGCTCCGAGGATGGCGTGGGAGCCTCCCTCTGAAGTACAGGGGATGGGGCCGGGGCCGGGGAGGAAGAGGGTGCCTCCACCTTGACCTTGGGCTTGGTAGGCAGGGCCTCAGGCCGCTTGAATACTGACTGGATGTAATCACTGGCGCTGCCCAACAACTGCTCCAGTTCAGCCATGGGATCGGGGCTTGGGCGAGGCATGGGCCAGGAGCTCCGGGGCGTTGCTGGAGGGGTGTCAGTGCCCCAGGCTTCAGGGAACTCAGTTCTAGGAGTTGCTGGAGGGAAGGCAGAGCTATCAGGAGCAAAAGATGAGTGCTCTTCAGGAGGAACCACAGGCCATGAGGGAGCCCGGAGGTAAGACTGGGGAGATCTGAAAGGGGCAGGAGGTGACAAGGCCTCAGGAAGGGGGCAAGAAGCCTGGGGGGTGGAATGAGAAGGCTGCGGGAGGGCAGAGGAGAGCTGTGTGAGGGCCTCAATGGCAATGGCGGTCTGCAAGCTGATGTTTTTTTCCTTGGCAATGCTCAGGGCACTCTGGGACAGGGGCAGGCCCTCTTGGGGAGAGATCTGGGGCACCTCTGAGCTGAGGAGTGGCCTGGTGCTTGGTGCTGGGAGGCCGGCCTCACCAGGAGGCAGAGGCCCTGGGAGCCTGGGCCGCTCCTCCCCTCCTTCCATGACCACAGACTTGATCTTCCCCTCCAGCCACTCGAGGTAGTCAGGGCATTCTGGGCCATCGCAGTTGCAGTTGGGTGGTTTCATACCATGCCGCGCGAGGGCCAGGGCCGTCTGCAGTGTGTCAAGGTCTTCGCTGCCAGCAGAGCAGCCCTCAGGCCCTGGCCGGGGTCCCCTGCTGTTGTTCCCAGCCTCACGACTCATCTCACGGTTGAAGGTTTCATAGAGCCGGGTGCTAAGGGCCCCATAAGAGGACACAGCTTCGGCCACAGCCGAAAAGGCCACCAGATCGTGGGCATCTTCCAGGCGAGCAGTATGAGCTGGGCCTGGGGCAGCCTCCCAGTCGGGCTTTTGGTCTACCCGCCAAGGACCCCCAGTCCCCAGCAGACTGGGTCCAGCGGGCTCTCTAGCACCATTGACCGGCACCCCTGAGGCGCTTAGCTGCCGTGAGTCCCCATGGTACACTGGCCCTGAGTCCATCTGACCTGGAACAGGTCCATCAACTGGGCTGAGCTCTGAGCCTGTCTAAAGAGAGAGAGAAGGGGGAAAAAGGAAAAAAATGAACCACACTATTTGAAAAGCATTTCCCTGCTTCATACCACTCAGGTGCACATCTGACCCCAACTTTTCTTGCAAATCCTCTCTCTGGTACTTCTTGAGCCTCCAATTCATCTTCCCATGTCTCTGGTTCCCTAGGGAGCTTCACCAGCAGAAACAAAAAGAAGATCTTTAAGATATTTTTAAAGAGAAGATCCTAATGAGACATTCTTAATGTTGCTCAGAAACTTTTAGAGCCTCAGATCAATCACACAAATGAGGCTCTCCTAAAACCAGAGACACACAAAAAGGTCCTTAATTCACAATGATCAAAGTCACACTAGGACTTTATTTTGTTTTTTGTCAAGATGGAAAGAAATCCAACCAAGCCTGTGTGTACACACGTGCTCTAAGTGTGAAGTGTGGGTTCGTAGGGGTAGGGAAAGAGGAGCTTTGATGAACAAATTCAGCCTGGACCATGGGTCAGCCATGGCTTCCTAGTGGGGACCCATAGTTCTTTTCTCCCCCTAAAACTGTCCTCACTTAAGCCCAGGCTGAGCACAGAAAGCTGGCAACAGACCACATTCCCACACACAGCCCCAGGCCTGAGGGAAACGCCGATGATCTGACACAGCATGCGTTTAGCCCCATGCCAGGTCAGTCCTGCCAAAGACAAGCAAGTTGCTGCTTAGAGAAGGATTCAGGCCTCTCCCCAAGCACGAGAGCCACCACCATATACCTCATATCCCCAAAAGCACACCAAAGGGGAAGGATGAGAGGAAGAGAAAAGTGAATACAAAGATGTGAAATTGAGTTTGCAGACCCATCCCTTAGGAAAGGAAAGCTCTTCCTTACTGTAGAATGCTAAGAGAAAACACAGAAGGACTGATGGATTTAAAAAGACATCAGTGGCAGCAGGTGAAAGCATGATGAGGTACAGGATGTATACACGGTCTCAAAGCATCTCTAAAATTACATAATTACAATAGTAACTGTAGTGGAGAGATCTGGTAGACAGACACCACCTTAACCCAAATGACCAAAGTTACAATCATCACCAATACTGAGACAAAACAACACCATGTGCCTCTTGATGTAAGACATTGCGGATGACTTAACACCACTCACATAGAACTCCTGCCAAAATGTATAACCTGAATCTAATCACAAGGAAACATCAGACAAACCCAAATTGAAGGGCGTTCTAGAAAGTACCTGTATTGTTTTTCTTGACTTTGAAATTTTTTGAAGAGAACAATCTCTTCCCTTAAAAAGAACAGCTAAATGCGTGTTCATGGCTTAGACCTTAGACTGGGGAAAAGCACACTATTTTTACTTGGGACAAGTCATGAAATGTGAATATGGATGTGGATAAGATAATATTCTGTCATCCCTAATCTTGACTTGGATCATTAGACAATGGGTTATGTAAGAGAATGCCCTTGTTCTCAGGATACACATACTGAAGTATTTAGGAGTAAAGGGACAGTACAGACAGTCCCCAACTTACGATGGTTCCACTTAAGATTCTGACTTTGCGACAGGCGTTCAATAGAAACCATACTTTGAATTTTGATCTTTTCTGAGGCTAGCAACACTTTCGCGATGCTGGGCAGTGGCAGCAAGCCAGATCCCCTGGTCAACCACGCCATCACCAAGGTAAACGACTGAGGCTCCACAGTGTTCCATGCTGTTAGGGCTTTCTGGATATTGTGTTCTGTGTTTTAGCAACCCATCATGTCTATAAAATGCCTATTTTTGACTTACAATACTTTCAATTGATGATTAGTTTATTGGGACGTAACTCAGTCATAAGTTGAGGAACATCATGTACTCAATTTAATCTCAAATGATTCAGAAAAAAACCATATGCATATGGAAAAATATGTCTATACAGACAAGATGATAAATACATGAGACAAAACCTACACATTTGGGGTATGTGAAGTCCCAAGTATGATCCCTGCTATTTTTCTATAAATTTTTAAATTCTGTGAAAATAAAAAGCTAAATAAGAAATCAGTCCCTCAAGTATAACACAAAGTGTTTTATTTATTTATTTTACAGACACACTCTCACCCAGGCTGGAGTTCAGTGGCATGATCATAGTTCACTGCAGCCTTGAACTCCTGCAGTGGTGTGATCACAGTTCACTGCAGCCTTGAACTCCTGGACTCAAGCGATCCTCCCACCTCAGCCTATCAAGTAGCTAGGACTTGATGCATGTACCACGCCCAGCTAATTTATTTTATTTTTATTTTTTTTAATTTTAGAGCCTGAGTCTTGCTGTGTTGCCCAGGCTGATCTCTAACTTCTGGCCTCAAATGATCCTCTGGCCTTAGCCTCCTAAAGTGTTGGGATTATAGGTGTGAGACACTGTGTCTGGCCTCAAAGTGTTTTAAGTAGGTGGCTAAAAAGATGCCAGTGCTAAGACTGTCAGACAAGGCCATCATGGGCTCCTAAGTGTGGTGGGAAACTAGGGTTTGGGATGAGCTCTGTGGGAGGTTAGCAGAGGCCCCAGCCCGCAGTTCCTGTCTCATCCTCACCCTTGCCCCCATTCTGGCCACAAAAGACCCTCATGCTTTTCTAACAGGCCATGTTCTCTGATGTCACCAGGCTTTGTACACGCAGTTCTCATTGCCTGGAATGCCCTTCTCAGCCTCTTAGAGCGGCCTCCCTGGCTTATCAGCTCAGTGTCACCTCTTCCCCTACCTACTACATAGAATTATCTGTGGCTCCTTCCCTGGATTCCCAGGGCACCTTCATTAGCACTTATCGCATGCCACTACTGTTATTTGTTCAAGCAGCTGCCTCCCTCCCCCACTTGATGGTGGCTCCAGGCAGGCAGGGTCCAAATCTCAATGACTCCTGTGCTTCCTGCCCACAGCTGGAGCAGTAACACTCAGGCAAAGGAAAGGCCTGCCATCCCCACAGGCCATGGAATATATCAGCTTTTCCCTGACCCCAGTGGGAGACTACTTTTCCGAAGTCTAGGAATGTGGCAGATCACCCAGCACTCTCTTCTTTCTTAGAAGCCTAAACTAATGTGGCTAACAAGGCTATACAATCTGAAGTGGTCAAATCTTACATGCTTATGTAGGAAGACGGAAAGAGCATGCATAACCAAGAAGAAACACCCGAGAGTAGCACAGATTTACAAAAACAGTGTCAGGGAGACTAATGCTACATGAGTGGAGGCTTCCCCAAAATGGTCAAGACAACTAAAAGGGATTTAAAAAGTTATTTTTGGTGTGTGAATAAGAACAAGGAAGGGCTAGGATGGCTCTTGTGCCTCTGAATTCCCTGGGAAGGAAAATGCTCCTCGGACCAAAAAGAGGAGAAAGGGAAAAGTAGATGTAGATATGAGGTAAGTGAAGCCAGTATGGATAGGAAGATCTTAAGAAACTCTAAATTCCCATTTCCCAACCAAGAGATCCCACTGATACCTTTCTCAACACCTGTCAGTAATGCTGGAGGAAACCTGCCAGCAGGAGACGGGGCCAACAGGCAAGAGAAGGAGAAGCGTCCTTCCCAACTCTCAGTCTGCTGCATTTAAGAACAGCCCAGGTAAGAACCACAAGGAGTCAGGTCCACAGAAGGCCATTAACCTACCAACATCCAAACAATCTTAGTGCTTTGAGTCATGGGGTCATTGGACAGTAAATGGGGAGATACTGTGGCTGACAGGTCACAAAGGTGAGAGCTTCGGGCCAAATCTCCCACAAGTTTGTTTTACTTGCCTATATGGTGTTAATGTTTTTGTTTTGCCAACATTCAAAAATCAAATTCCACATGAAACCTGGATTTTCTTGAAGATCCACACTTCTATGGGCAACTATGTCTGTAACTGAGCAGTGGCTACTCCTTACATAGGATATAACTACTCCAACTCACCCCCAGCTTCCCCACTCCACACTGCCTTCTTGAAACCAAGGCTGGGGTCAGGAATTACTTATTAATTGCTTGAATTAATTATCACTTCACTCACTTGTGTTACCTGCCAACCCCCTGTAGGCCTTTGACTTTGCAACTTCGGCTGTGGATGTTCAAGTTTCACAAGGTCTGCCATGACCCTTTTGAGGCCAGCTACAGAGAACTACAGGCTGAAAGGGCCGGTTCACCACTGGTTAAATGACCATGCTCAAAGGGTACAAGAGGTGTATCAACTGGGAGAAGGGTCTTTAGTGGTCTGCCACAGGGCTCTGTTCTTGGAACTATCCTGTTCAACATATTTATCAATAATGATAGAGAAGGCTCACTTAATAAATAAGTAGATGTTGAAAATAGAAGGGATAAAGCTATGTTGAGTGACAGAACCAGGTGCCAAAAGGTCAACAGGCTAGAAAGAAAAAAAATCTAAAAGGGTAAACAGGGTCTCATACTTAGGCCCCAAGCCACATCTGTGCAAATAAATTAAAGATGGAAGAAGCACATAATAGCAGCAGCGGTACCCATAAAAATGTCTTAGGAATCAGAAGAGGTAAAATCCTGAGAGCTAACTGATGGCACACCCAGTATGATGTGATGTGGCAGCTTCAAAGGGTCTTATAACCCAGTTTTTTTCAAAAATTTTCACTACAATCCACAGTAAGAAATACATTTTATGCTGTGATCCATTAGCTACTTATATACAAGTTTTGTAAAACAGTACTTCGCCTTAACAGATACATTAATGTATCTTTCTTCTTTATTTTTAAATGCAGGTTGCAACCTTCTAAGTTGATTTCGGGGTCTACTAATGGGTTCTGACCCAGTCTGACACACACAGCTATGACCTGACCTGAACAGGACTACAGCACAAGCAGTGACAGCCCTGCTTGTGACCCAGACAGTCCCCCACTGAATGGAGGCTTCCCTGTGGGGCCGCACCCTCTGGGCAGAGAGGAAGGCGAGCATGAGGGTTCAAAACCACAAGAGGAACAGCTCCCTTTTGGTTCTGAACAAGATAAAACTCCAGAAAGTCTTTAAACATCTGAAGGCCTACTGTTTGGGAAAAGAATTAGACTTGTTTTGAGTGGCCTTAAGGGATGGAATTAGAAAATGGGTAAAGAGAGAGAAAAGCTTAGGTTCCATCTAGGGAAGAATTTGCTTAATACTTAGAGATACTAGAAAATGCACTGAAACCAGTCCCCCTAACAACCAGAGGAAACAAGTTCTTATCAATGGAGATGCGGAAAAGAAAAGCAAGCAGCTATTTGGCAATTATCGGCAGGGAGGCAGGACAATGCCAGAGGAGGATGGGGACCAGTTTAGCCCTTTTGAAGCCTCAGCTCAGACCCATCCCAGCTCAGAAACCCTCCGCTTTTCCCCTCAATTCTCATGCCCTTCTGGGCTCCAGCAAACATCACTGTGAGATGCTCCTTTTTTTGAGACAGGGTCTTGCTGCTCTGTTGCCCATGATGGAGTGCAGTTGCGCGATCGTGGCTTAATGCAGCCTCAACTGATTCTCCCACCTCAGCCTCCCAAGTAGCTGGGACCACAGGTATGCACCACCATGCCCAGCTGATTTTATTTTTAGTAGAGACAAAGTCTTGCTATGTTGTCCAGGCTGGTGTCAAACCACTGAGCTCAAGCAATTTTCCTGCCCCGGCCTCCCAAAGTGCTGGGATTACAGGTGTGAGCCCCCATGCCTGGTCTAAATGTCTGCTTTCTGTCTGGACTTCTCAACTACCCTCCAGCTAGCTCCAACCCCTAGACCATGCCGTAAGCCCACTGAGAGTCAGCTTGTCTAAAACAGAACTGAACTCTCCCTCCTGAGAGCAACTTTCCCAACTTTCCTATTTTTGCATTCACCAACATTCCCAACCCAAATGTTACCCATATTCTTCCAATGTGTGCAGTCATTGGATCCAAACAATTCTAAATGTGAACTGTCTCTCAATTTTATCTCCTCCCTTTCCATCCCTGCCTTCCCAATCTGGGTCCTTCTGTGTGTATGTTTTAATTGTCTCACCTGACAGTCGGTCCTTTAAGCAACTCTATGTATCCCCAAGCCCCCTCCCTGACCACACATATGTGTGCATGCACACACACCACACACACACTCTTCTCCACTCTACAATCTCTTGAACATACCCTCTCTTAAGACTCCCAGCCACCAACTTCATAACTCTTCCTCATTGTCCACCCTGGCTTCAATCTTCAGTTTAAGAATGCCATTCATATGCATCGAGTGCTTAATACGTGTGACATACTGTGTGTTCCAAAGATAGCCACAACATTCCCTCCATTCCACATGCTCTTCTTACTGTGTGACTTGGACATTTCCCCCATGGAGAGGTGGGGGTCTATGTTCCCTCCTCTTCAATCTGGGTGGGCTCGTGATAATAGAAGTGATGCTACATGACTTTCAAAGCTAGATCATAAAAGGCAATTCAGCTTCTGCCTGGTTCTCTTGGGATTCTCACTCTTGGAGCCCAGTCACCATGCTGTGAGGAAGCCCAGGCCATGTGGAGAGGCCACATGGAGGAGTCAGCTGACATTCCCAGCTGAGGTCCCAGCCAACAGCTGCCATCATCTGCCAAATGTGTGAGTGAAGGAGCCCTTCGAGGATTCCAGCCCAGTCATTAAGTTACCTCCAGCTTTTATGCCTTCCTAGCTGAGACCCTAAATATTAAGGAACATATAGAAGCTACCCATGCTGTTGTCACTTCTGACTTCCCAATCCACAGAATCCCTGGGCATAACAAAATGATTACTGTTTTATACTACTGTGTTTTGGGGTGATTTGTTGCCTGACAATAGACCAGACTATGTATTTCAGGACCCCAAAAAGTTTTAAGATGAAAAGGAAGAAAAAGGCCTATATATAAGTCAATGCCCTAAATCATATCAGTGCTGTGAAAGCAGTATCTACAGGGGCCTGTGGTGGCTCAGTATATACAGCTATCTGGGCAGGTGGGCAGGTGGGTGTCCAGGAAGGTTTTATCTCAAAGAAATCTCAGAGAGGCTGGAGAAAGTAGCAGGTATTTTGGAAGAAGGGGAAGAATTCTGCAGGAGTTCCAGATGGAAGGAATAGCATGTGAAAAGGCACAGAATCATAAGCCCTGGCAGGCTTGGAGATGCATAAGCTGTTGAGTGTATCTTGATCGCAAAGGCAGGGGAGGCAGGTGTGTGGACCACAGCCTGAATGCTACAGAGAGCAGATTTACATCTCAGGAGGGGCATTCAGGCATCTTGCAGAAGACAGACTGCAGGGTTCGAGGCTGGTGACCCAAAGACCAGTTAGGAGACTATGCAACTGTCCAGATTAGTAACAATAAGGACCTGAACTAAGGCACTAGCAGACAGATGGGGATGAAACGTGGTTATGGAGGTTAAGTGATTAAATTTAGCAGTGAGACAAGGAACAGAATCAATCCCTCCCTGAGAAAGTCCTCCTTGACCAGTCCTTTCCACCACAGGCTGCCCCAGAGCCTACAGTTACCGTGCACAGCCACGTTCTGTTAGGGATCTTTTCGTAAGAGTGTATGGTCAACTACACCATTTGCTCCTAGGGAACCAGGCATCTGCCACACCTTCAAAACCTACCGGAGTCTCTAGAATGCATTCAAAAAGCTCTGTCACTGCTTCCTCCCTAGGGACCTGGCTGGTGCAAGCCTCATCACCCCTATACTTTGAGATGACCCATGGAAGCTCTAGGCAGAGTTGGTGATCTCTCTGCTATTATGGCACCCATTACAATGCACACATGGTAGAGGTCTGCAAAGGCTACAGGGGCCTCCAGAGAAGCCCAAGGTGCTAGTGCTGCACATCTTACTGCCAACTTCCAGGTGCAAACCCCTTTTCCCTGCCCTCGCTGGGTCCTCACACCCAACCCCATCAGGTTTCTTCCCTGCTTCACAATATCACTGAAAGGGGGTATGCCCATCCCAGGCTAGGTCTTCCCCAAGTTGGAGGTGTGTTCCCATCACCTAGGGGCAGCAGGAATTTGTTACTAGGAGACTGAGAGGCAGGAAACATTACTCAGGCAGAGAAAATGCCCTTCTCAGATCCAAGAAGAGACATAACTCTTCACTACACTCCATGAAGAGTTCATATGTGCATACAGCATCGCCAACCCCAGTCACATTTCCCACCTTCAGAGAGCTGGGGACCCTGTGCTGAAGGTGACCCTGCACCCCGCCTGGCTAGCTCACAAGGTCCCCTGCCTCCTCCTCTACAGTGCACTGTCTTCTTAGACTCCCAAATCCCCAGAGCTGGTCCTCCAGACATCTGCAGGCATTCAACAGCAGCACCCTGCTCTCCCCACCCAGGGGACTCCAGAGCCCCCCAGATGCCAGGCAAGGCTGGAAAAGTGTGGAACGCCACTCCCCAAACACCTCGTTCAGTCAACAACACAGTGAAGGATACAGATATGACACCAGGTTTCCCAAATCCTTCCTTACTCTCAACACATCAAAACCAGATCAGCAATTCTCTATTAAAGGAAAATAGGGAAGAGAGAAGACAAGAATGTTATCTTGAAAGAGCAAAGTCCTGATTGGCTATACCTTCTTAAGGCCTTTAAGAAAGGGGAAGTTACAAGAGGAACAGAGTCTGGAGGGCTGTTTTGCTGACTGTCAGCAGTTACACACCATATTAGAAGAACCATGTCCAAGAAGGTGTTTTTGGCCAGAATGAACTAGCCTGTAGTCAACCTTCAGAGCCCAGTAGCCCATTCTCTGCAAAGGAATCTCCTGAAGCGAATTCTCATGGGACTCCAAGATAGTGGTGGCAACACCCCACCCTGCTAAGCCAGTAAACTCCACCCAGTACTTTCCCAACCACACATACCACCAGCTCAGCTACTCTGATCCACAGCAGCTGTTCAAGGGGCTGCTCTTTCCAGCCTCATCCTTTATCTCAGTCCTAGAGTTCAGAATCCACCTCCTTACAAAGCTAATTCCTTCTTCCTTGCCACCAAATGGATGGCCCCACTCTCTCTAATAGCAAATGGGTTGTATTTATGGCATGTTCTGTCTAGGGTTGATCAATTATTCATTTCTTAAGAGGATTCTCCCTTCGGAAGATTTATTGATAAAACTAATAAGCGAGTGCAGAAAGAGAGTTTTAGGGGAACCCTTGCAGAGGAGGTGCACATCTGCCTGTTCTTGCAGAAGTGAGTGTGTGCCCATGGGCACACTGGCTAGCCCAGTCCCATGTCTGCACCCTCCATACCCAAACTGGCCACCTCTGCAGACAGCAACTCCAGGATTATGTCTAACTTCTTGAGAGCATTATACGTTGGCAGAGGGTATTCTTATATGGGGGGAGGGGGAGGCAGTTGTTCTTGTGGTTACTACATGCATACCAGTAAAACATTTTAAAATCTAATTTTTTTTCCTACTACAAAATGGGCAGATACAGCAAATCTGTCAGTGGCTGGGGTGATACTTAGAAAAAAGCTGAAATGGGCCTAATTCCCTGAGGTCATCATATCTGGCAGAAGCACAGGACTTTGTTCATGTCCTCTGACCTAACAGTAACTAATGTGGGTTCGAGGAAGAAAGGAAAAGAAGGAACCAGGAAAAGTCTCTACGTGACTCTGATGGAACCCTCTTATGACAGGCAGAGTATCATGCAAATTGTCGCACATTCACTTATCTCATTTAATCACCACAGGCTCCTCCAAGGTGGAGATCAGAGATAAGGACACTAAACACAGAGAGGGCAAGTAATTGCCTCAAGATCACAAGGCAATGTGGAAGAGCACAGCCATTTTTAACCACTAAGTACTCTTAATTTCACTGGAAATGTAAAAGTAAACAAGCCAACAGAAGACATAAAAAAGCTACATGTGCCAATGATTTTCCCTCAAGCATGAACAGCAGAGAATTACAAACAACCTGAGTGCCCCAACAATAGGGAGATGGTTTTAAATTTTATATTTCTTCTTCATGAAAAGGGAATAAACATATGAAAAAATACTCAGTATCATCAGTAATCAGAAAAATACAAAAGAAGATCACAAGAAGATTCCATTTTACACCTATTACGTAGGACTGAAGAGGAAGAACATTTAGTTTGAATCGTGGCCCCACCACTTACTAGCTGTGTGACCATAAGCAAGTTAGCTAATCTCTCTGCGCCTCTGTTTTGTCACCTGTAAATTGGGGATGAGTAACAGTACCTATCTCACAAGATTATTATGAAAATTAAACAATATATGAAGAGCATTTATAACAGTACCAGGTACATAGTAAGCACCGCGAGAGGGTATTTTAGTTTAATACCAAGTGCCGACGGGGTTTAGCAAGAACTTTTTTTTGAGACAGAGTCTCACTCTGTCGCCCAGGCTGGAGTGCAGTGGTGGGATCTTGGCTCATTGAAACCTCTGCCTCCCGGGCTCAATGATTCTTGTACCTCAGTCTCCCAAGTAGCTGGGACTACAGGCGCACAACATCACACCCAGCTTGCTTGCTTATTTATTTATTTAGTAGAGAAGGGGTTTCATTATGTTGGTCAGGCTAGTCTCAAACTCCTGGCCTCAAGGGATCCACCCACCTCGGCCTCCCAAAGTGTTGGGATTACAGGCAGGAGCCACCACATACTTTTTTTGAAACAGAGTCTCACTCTGTCGCCCAGGCTGGAGTGCAATGGCACGATCTCGGCTCAATGCAACCTCCACCTCCTGGGCTCAAGTGATTCTCTTGCCTCAGCCTCCCGAGTAGCTGGGATTACAGGCGCCCACCACCATGCCCAGCTCATTTTTGTATTTTTAGTAGAGACAGGGTTTCACCATGTTGGTCAAGCTGCTTTCAAACTCCTGACCTCAAACCACCATGCCCGGCCCCAATAACTACATTTTTTTTTTTCTTTTTGAGATGGAGTCTTGCTCTGTTGCCCAGGCTGGAGTGCAGTGGCGCGATCTCGGCTCACTGCAAGCTCCGCCTCCCAGGTTCACGCCATTCTCCTGCCTCAGCCTCCCGAGTAGCTGGGATTACAGGTGCCCACCACCATGCCCAGCTCATTTTTGTATTTTTAGTAGAGACAGGGTTTCACCATGTTGGCCAGGCTGGTTTTGAACTCCTGACCTCAAACCACCATGCCCGGCCCCAATAACTTTTTTTTTTTTTTTTTTTTGAGACGGAGTCTCACTCTGTTGCCCAGGCTGGAGTGCAGTGGCGCGATCTTGGCTCACTGCAAGCTCCGCCTCCCAGGTTCACACCATTCTCCTGCCTCAGCCTCCCGAATAGCTGGGACTACAGGCGCCCGCCACCATACCTGGCTGATTTTTTTTTTTTTTTTGTATTTTTTAGTAGAGACAGGGTTTCACCATGTTAACCAGGATGGTCTTGGTCTACTGACCTCGTGATCTGCTTGCCTCAGCCTCCTAAAGTGCTGGGATTACAGGCATAGCCACTGCGCCCGGCCCTCAACAACCACTTCTTATACCTCACTGGCAGGAAGGCAAAACAGAACAAATACTTTGAAAAGGTTTGTGGTGCTACCTTTTAATGTCAAACATGCACATCTCCTACAGCCCAGCAATCCGACTCCTAGGAAAGCTTTGTACACATGCATCAGGAGACATGTACAGAAATTTTCATGGCAGCATTACTCATAAAAATCACATCATGGAAGTATTTCTAAAGGAGCATAAACTACAGAATGGACAATGGAATATTATAGAGCAGTGTCAATGAATGAGCCACAGGAACATCAATGAATCCCAGAATCTACAACAGGGTTTTTTTTTTTTTTTTTTTAATCAATGCTCGAGGACTACATATGTCCTACTGAGTCTACAAACCTCAAACAAGCAAGCAAAATTAAATGTATTGTACAGAAATGCAAACTTATATAATGAAGACTTTAAAAAGCAAGGGAATGATAACAAAATTCAAGGTAATGGTTACCTCTGGAGGTGAAGAAGGGAGATAGGGCTGGGGGAAAACACCCAGGTAATTTCAATGATGTTGGCAATATTCCAGCTAACTTGGGGAACTGGCATGTGTTTATTATTATGCTTTATCTGTTTAACATATATAAAATACTAGGGTCAAGTATGGTTCAAGTAATACATAAAAAAAAAAACTATAATACAGCCATACCTTGTTTTATTGTGCTTCATTCTATTGTGTTTCACAGATACTGGGGGTGGTTTGTTGTTTTTTTTTTTTAATGACGAATTTAAGGTTTGTGGCAACCTCACATTGGGCAAGTCTCTTTTTCTTTTTTTTTCTCTGAGACAGAGTGTTGCTCTTGTTGCCCTGACTAAAGTGCAATGGCACGATCTCGGCTCACTGCAACCTCCGCCTCCTGGGTTCAAGCGATTCTCCTGCCTCAGCCTCCCAAGTAGCTAGGATTACAGGTGCCCACCACTATCCCTGGCTAATTTTTGTGTTTTTAGTAGAGATGGGATTTGGCCATGTTGGCCAGGCTGGTCTCGAATTCCTGACCTCAGGTGATCCGCCCGCCTCAGCCTCCCAAAGTGCTGGGATTACAGGAGTGAGCCACCGTGCCCAGCCACATTGGGCAAATCTTACTGGTGTCATTTTCAATAGCATGTGCTTACTTTGTTAGCATTTTTTGGCAAAAATGTATTTTAAAATTAAGGTATGTACACATTTTTTTAGCCATAATACTATCACACACTTGCTAGACTACAATATAATGTAAACACAACTTTTACATGCACTGGGAAACCAAAAAGTTCACGTGACCAGCTGTACTGCCATATTCACTTTATTGCAGTGGTTTAGAGCTGGACCTGCAGTATCTCCAACGTATGCCTGTTTATAATATTTAATCAGTAGATGTACACAACTGCTTAAAATGATATGGAATAAGAACATAAAACTAAATGTATTAAATGAAAAAGTGAAACTTGAGAATGTACTTATTAAATGAATGCTTTCAGAAGGTTTTTATGATGGGGGAAGTACATAATATTTGAAATGGGGGAAAAAATAGGATTCAAAATATTGCCCAATTTAACAGTTCAATTCAATCACAACGCATGCCTGTGTAAACACACAAAACAGCAAGGGGAATCATACAGAAATGTTAACAGTGCTTATCCTCTGCGTGATAGAGGATGAGTAACTTTCTCGTTTATAGTTTCCAAAATTTATCATAGGTATTTTCATTTTTATTTAGGGGAAAAAGATTTAAGAATAGAACACCTATAAAACACCTGAAACTGCAAACTACACATGTCTGTGAACGAGACGAGAAGGGAGCAGTCAGGGAAAATTTCTGGGTATTTTTTGTGCTATTTCTGTTGCTAGAGAGCTGTACGCAGTTATAACACAGAGGCAGATCACACATAATGCAGAAAGAAAATGAAGAAAATTTCTAAGAGATGAGACGCACTGGAAGGTGAAGATAAGCCTAGTTGAGATGGGGTGCCAAGCCTGAAACTCCCACCCATTAAAAGTTCTATGTAACTAACTTGCTGTTCTCGGACCAGAACTCCAAAATATAGCCCTGCAACTCTAACCTATGCAAAGTTATCGCCTGGGCAGCACACGCTCCCCTGCAGCAGGTGGGGGTGAAGGGGGAGCACAGCTGCTGGCTGCTCTGCAGGCTCCCCATGCCCCACCCCTAGCCTCTTGATCTGCGGCCCAGAGCAGGATCCAGCTCTCCTGACGGAAGCCCCTGCCTCAAGCAGCCGGTGGACAGAGGCCAGCCGGGAGGAAATCGAGCCTAACCACATCTGAGGCCTGGCAAAAAGCAGCAGCAGCTGCTCTGAAGCTGCCAGCACACAAGAACCAGGTCATGACGCGGAGGCAGCTCCTCAGCCAGACCCAGCAAGGGCCTCAACTCCCCTAACACACACACACACACACACACACACACACACACACACACACACACACACACACACAGAGACACACCCCTCTTGCAGCCGCTGGGGCCATCGCCCAAGCCCCATGGTGCACGTCCCATGGCCAGAAAAGCCCCCATCAGTTCCCAGCGAGGCAGGGCATTCTCACAACTCCTCCCACCCAACAGCACAGATCTACTCCTCATCACCCACACCTCCTACCCCAAAAGTCTAATAGGCTAAAGAAACAGAAAGCATGCATTGCTAACACCACAGTCCCCCGCAGAGCCAGTCCTTCACTAAAGGCTCCATGTACTTTCCCTAAAGAAGCCCCCAATCCCTCAAAACCCACTGACAGCTCAGGTGTGTCAAAGGGGCCAGGTTTAGAGAAGGAGGACAGCAGCCCACAGTTTTGAGTGCTGAGTGCAAACTTTAAATAAGCACCTTTACGTTTAAATGTAACCTTTCTATTCTTCCAACAATTCCACATCCATTTTAGTAGATGAGGTACAGAGAGGATAACTAACATACTCCAAAGCTCAGAATTGGTGAGTGGCAAAGTAGAATCCAACATCAGAGTCAATAGTGGATGCCCATGGCCTCCCAGGTACCAAGGTTCTAATCATTCTTTTGGAGAATGAGCTCCCACATGTGCCTCAATAAATATTCATGGATTTCAGCTTTTCACAGGAATCCCTGTGTGTTTGCCCCCACTCAATCCTTTCTGAAGGACTTAAGACCTAAGTTTTTCATTCAAAGAAATAAATCTTTAAGTGACCACCCAAAAATCTAGAGGAAAATTAATTTTTGGCAGAGGGTATCCACCTACCAGCCACAAGATCAACTTCACAGAGTAGGCTAGGAAATGCCATTTAGGGAAGCCTGCTGCTGTCCAGAAGGCAGGAAATTGGGGAGCACAAATTAATCCTCTTTATCCTAAACTTCAACTCCTGGAAAAGTCACACAACTCATCTTAGTGTGTAAAGCTTCATTATCCACAGTCACTACTCGTTTATTAGCCCAGATAACTGAAAGATGCCAGTAATCTGGGTTTGCACATGTTCATCTGAAAGGCCTGGGTGCAATGCTGGAGAAACAGAACAGGAACCTAGGCATTTGCGCAACCATTATCTGTTTCTGAGAGTCGGGGTGATGAGGAAGGCCACGGGGGTCCCTCGTCTCTCTGGCCTGTCTGTGGCAGCAGATCACCCACTCACCTGCCCACCCTGGGTTTCCGTGACCCTGCCGGTTACTGGTCCTCCTCCATTCTCCTTTTCCTCCTCCGTCCCCTCAACAGAGCTGTTCTCCACTCTCCTGCCCTCACTGCTCTCCATCGCCCCATGCTCCCCTCAGAAGCCTCCCCTCCAATCAAGGCCCCACCGCTCAGCCTGCACCAACAGCCCCAAAGTTTCCTTTTTCCTTGACTGCTTTCCAGCTACCAGACACACTTCCACTTGAATGCAACTTAAGCCCATCACATTTACAACTTAACTCAGCGCCTGCATCCTTTTCCTCAGCAACTCCCCCCCGGACATCCCTTTACAAAAAAAAATCACGTTAAGATCCATTCCCCTGGGCATCCTGGCTAAACCCTTCCATCCCCTCTGATGTCCTCTTGATGTTTCCATATGCAAGCAAACCCTAGTCCTGCCAACTGCTCCTGTAGAGCATTTCAGATCTGCCTTCTTTTTGTTTTCTCCTCATTTATCTCTCACAAGGACAAACTCAGGAGGTGGCTCCTTGACTGGCCCCCTGCCTCTGCTTCCACCCCAGAACACTACTGTTGGACTCATATTCAACCCACTGAGCCTTGAACCCCCATCACCCAGCTCCCAGGCCAGGGTGCCTTCTAATTCACAACTTACAACTTCTGTCTTGGTTCAAACAGTAAAAATAAATAAGTAAATAAATCTGTAGATAAGCAAATAAATGAACACATGAACAAATGTTATCAAGAGCAATAAAGACTACTTCCATCAAGCAGTGCTATTCCTAGAAACTTGAGCTTATAAGTTTGCATTAAAAAAAATCTTTCCACACATTAGTGAAAGCTGAAAACTCAGTATGAGGGGCTTGGTTTGGTAAACTATGATACAATTCAACAGAGTATTATACACTCATCTAAACCTGCAATTATAAACACTAAGGAAAAAAGCTAGATGAAATAGGAAGAATAGCAGAATACCATACTGTATGAAGTTTAGACTGCCAACTATGTAAAACCAAGCACACAAATGAGAAAACTAGGTAGTTTTTTTAAAAAGTGAAAATAAGTATTTGCAGCCCACAGAATTATGAGATGTCACTCACTGATGCTATCAGCACATCATAACAACCATTCCTTTCCTATATGCATACATAATTATGTATTCATTCATTTATCTCTCAAACAAATATACATTCCGCATCACTTCTTTGTGGATAGAGTAGTGAACAAACAGAGTCCTTTCTCTTGGATAGGGACTTTTTAGACGTTTGATTTTGTCTTAGATCCTATTCAAAGGCAAGTTCCTTTAGGAACTGATACTGTACCACTATCACTAACATGTGCAGGGCAACATAAACCCATGTTACATACATACTCTGTGGTTTTGAGTATGTGATGAAAGCAATGAAAACTGATATTAACAGTGACTTTATCTCCAAGTGAAGCTGCCACTAGTGTAGTTACTGACAGGATATCAAAGGCATACTACAAACTCATTATAGAGCCAGAGAAAACCCTGGTGGATGATCCAAGAGAATAAAGAGAGGTCATAGGCATAGAATAAGGAACAGAAAGGACAGCTTCAGTAGAAGTTGCTGAGAGAGACAGAACAAGAGGTTCTTTTCACTGTGGAGAATAAAAAAGATGTAAAAATCTCCCACTGCCTAAAGATGACTATAGTTTGTATTTGGTATCTTTTTTAACTATGCAACATACACTTAATTTACAAAACTGGGATGACTGAGTATATCAGTGGTTTTTTCTCATATGCTAATTTCTTCCCTAACTGTATAAACATTTTCCTATATTGTTAACTATTCTTCAAGAATTTCATTTTTAATAGCTGTACTGTTTTCTCTGGCATGTATATAGCACACACAGGGCCCCGGAGGCTGAATCTCTAGGTTTTCTCCTGTTTGCTATATTCCCAAGGGACGTATTGACTGTTGGAATAGTGTCTTTCCTCCTCCTTCCATGTCTATTTGGGCTTATTATTCCCTTGAGAACAGGGATGGCAACTTGGCACTAAAGGCTGAATGGATGGATTCTACTCAACCTTGAAGGCTGTAGGAAGCAACCTTGATAACAACAGGTAGGGGTAGGATTTTACTCACATTAGTACAAGGGCTTCATCTTATTTGGGTGACTACAAATATAAAAGGTACGTGTCTAGTAAGCCTTTGGGGACAACTGCCCCTTTCAAGATTGGAGGAGAAGCAGTAGTAACACTAGTATTTGCTGTTCCAGTACCCCAAGGTAACAATCATGAGACCCCCTAAGGCCCATGGTTCTACAAACACTGGTTGAAGACATGCCCAGCAAGAGATAAGCAGATTGAGCATGGCCAGCTGAGTCTTGGCCAGGACTCCTGTAAGTGTGATCTATGGACTAGCACTATTCTGCTATCTCCATTAGTCTGTGACAAGGTAAATACAAAAGCTAAGAGTGTTAACTTTAGACACTTGTATCACAATTTGACATTGTCATGGCATCTAAGCACATGATCATTTTTCTAGTAATTCATTCTTATTTTTACAAAATTATCAGTCCATGAATTAGAAATTTTTAAAACTTAGTCCTTCACCAGAAATTTTGAAGATAACTGATGTACATCATGTAAATGTTAATACCAAACAATACATGCAAGTAACCAATAAAAAAGCTATAAAGACCAATCTAGCTCTCTCATCTACTATAAACATCTACAAAACAGTGAGAAGACACTAAGATAATTAAATGGGAAAAGAACAGTCTTTTAATTGGGACAACTGGTTATCCAGTTGCAACAGCATGTGAACCCCTGCCTCACACCATATACAAAAACTCACTCAAAATGGATCAAAGACCCAAGTGTAAGAACTAAAACTATAAAACTCTAAAACAGACATAAATATTTATTATCTTGGATTAGGCAGAACTTTCTCAGATATGAGACCAAAAGAAAAAAGATAAACTGTACTTCATCAAAATTAAAAACTTTTGAGTTTCAAAGGACACCATCAAGAAAGTGAAAAAAAAAACGGCTAGGCATGGTAACTCAAATCTGTAATTCCAGCACTTTGGGTGGCTGAAGAATTGCTTGATGCCAGGAGTCTGAGACCAGCCCAGGCAACAAAGCAAGACCCCTGCTCTACATAATTTTTTTTTTAAAATTAGGCAGGCATGGTGGTGGCACACATCTGTAGTCCTAGCTACTTGGGAGGCTGAGGCAGGAGGATCCCCTGAGCCCAGGGGTTCCAGGTGCAGTGAGCCATGATCACTCCACTGCACTCTAGCCCAGATGACAGAGTAAGACCCTGCCTCTTAAAAAAAAAGTGAAAAAAACCCACACAATGGGAAAAAAATTTATAAATCATATACATATATACATATAATCATATTCAAGGAACTCATATAGAAGAGATAACAAACTCTTACAACCCCTTAACCAAAAAACCCCAATTTTAAAATGGGCATGTTCACACAAAAACGTGTATATAAATGTTCATAGCAGCATTATTCATAACAGCCCAAAGTGAAAATAACCTACATGTCCAGTGACTAAAGAATGGATAAACAAAATGTGGTCTGTGCATACAATGGAATATTATGCAGTCATGAAAAGGAATAAAGTATTGACACAGGCTACAACATGGATGAACCTTGAAAATGTTATGCTAAGTCAGCCAGACACTAAAGATATATACTATAACATTCCATTTATATGAAATGCATGGATTGGGTAAATCCACAGAGACAGAAAGATAAGTGGTTGCCAGGGGCTGAGGGGGTTAGGGGAACAAAGAGGAGTGAATGCTATTTGCCACAGGGTTTCTTTTAGGGATGGATAAAAATTTTGTGAACTAAGAGAGTGGTGTTGGTTGCACAATCCTGACTACACTAAAACCACTGAATTATACACTGCCAATGGGTGAACTGTATATGATTTATATCTCAATAAAACTGTAATTTCAAAAAAAAAAAAAAAAGTCACTTCTCATCACCCACCTTCTACCCCGAAAGTCTAAAAGGCTAAGAAAACGAGAAAGCACACATTGATCCTTCATCTGCATCTCCATAAGCAGCTTTGAGGCAAAAGCAGAAACTGAACACAAGCTCAAGGAGGGTGGGTGAGCCAGTGAGCTCACCCTCAAACAATGGTTGGGAGACAGGGACAGAGGAAAGGGAAAGGCAAGAGTGTCGTGCAATTCATTCTCTGCAACTCGTTCATCAGCATTTCTCTCTCCTTTTATTTCCCTACTGGGTTACAAGTGAAAGTGAAAACAGGAGGGTCTTATCTCAGGGAAAGTAGTGGTGGTCCCTTTTCCGTCAAAGAAAGATGGGAAGAATACCTCCCACGTCACTGCAGGGGACAGTAGGAGTGGTGGCAACTCTTGAGTGGGGAGAAAAGCAAGCTGGGACAGCCCTGAGCTCTGGGTTGGGGAAGAGAGAGATGAGCTCTGGAAATGCATGGGCAGGGGGCCTGGAAATGAGAACCACTGACTTAAAACCAGCTGATTCCCTGGGTAGAGTCACAGATAACTAGAAAACAGGAAATGGAACTTGGTTCAAAGGCCCTTAGAATTAAAAAAAAAAAAAAAGTTGGAGGGGAAGTTTGCGAGCGATTCAATAAAATAAAAATAAGTGAGACAAAGAATGCATAATATGCAATAAGCATGACCTTAAAAAGCTAAATGCAAATCATTTGTTAAAAAACAAATCATGTTTTTAATATCTATTATACAAGGGAGTTCTGCTACTAAAAGATAACCTAACAGTCAATTATCTGTTAAGCACTGCCCTTGTAATGCAAATAACCACTCTGGAACCTCCTTAGGTCCGAGAACAGGCAACCTGCTCCCTCTGGCTCACCCTCGGGACATACCTCAGTTGGGACACACACCTCTGACTGGGGATTAACAATCCCCGGCCACTGGCCTCAAAGTTTTGGGGTGGGGGAGAGGGGGGTGACAGGGGTGTTAAAACCCACATCCCCAAACCGAGGGTGTTACTCTTCAGAAAGCAGCGGCTGGGCCCTACCCAAGGCAGTGATCTCTGTTCCTCAGCCCTGATCTCAGGGAGAGGCAGTGGCAGACCAGTGTCAAAGTCCCTCTCTCCCCCCAGCGATGGCCTCCATCCCAGGCTAACACCAAACCAGCCAGGGAATGGGTGGGGTAGGGTGGGGTGGGATGCTGTGGCCTGGTATTACAGAGGGGCAAAGGGGAGAGCAGAAGGCAGCTTCCTGGGGAGCTGGGCCCTGCCCCACCTCTCTGCCTTAGGCTTTGCTGATGACACACAACTAGGAGCTGAGTGTTCCCTGGGAGCTATGAGGACAAGGAGTCAGCTTCCTCATGTGCTTAAAAACAATTATTATTATTATTTTTTTTTGGAGATGAGGTCTCACTCTGTCGCCCAAGCTGCTCTCAAACTCCTGGCCTCAGGTGATCCTCCTACCTTGGCCTCCCAAAGCACTGGGATTACAGGCATGAGCCACAGCGCCTGGCCAAAAACAATTCTTTAAAAATATCAGGAAAAACTGAGAATCTGCTCCAGATTAAAGGAGACTTAAACAAACAACAAACTGACCACTGGACACAGCATGTGATCTGGGGGGTTTCTCTTACAAGAGAGGTTGTAACGATTGGTAAAATTTAAGTAAGCCTAGGTTAGCTGGTATAATAATGCTGTATCCACATTAACTTCCTGATTTTGATGGCTCCTTTGTGGTTATTGACATGATTTTAGAAAACCTACATTCAGGCCGGGTGCGGTGGCTCACGCCTGTAATCCCAGCAGCGGATCACGACATCAGGAGATCGAGACCATCCTGGCTAACAAGGTGAAACCCCGTCTCTACTGAAAATACAAAAAATTAGCCGGGCGTGGTGGTGGGTGCCTGTGGTCCCAGCTACTCGGAGGCTGAGGCAGGAGAATGGCGTGAAGCCGGGAGGCAGAGCTTGCAGTGAGCCGAGATCGCGCCACTGCACTCCAGCCTGGGCAACAGAGCGAGACTCCATCTCAAAAAAAAAAACAAAAACCTACATTTGACTATTTAGTAGTAAAGGACATCAGTTTTGCTACTTACTTTTTTTTTTTTTTTTTTGAGGCGGAGTCTCGCTTTGTCACCCAGGCTGGAGTGCAGTAGCACAATCTCGGCTCACTGCAAGCTCCGCCTCCCGGGTTCACGCCATTCTCCTGCCTCAGCCTCCTGAGCAGCTGGGACCACAGGCACCCGCCACCACGCCCGGCTAACTTTTTTGTATTTTTAGTAGAGACGGGGTTTCACTGTGTTAGCCAGGATGGTCTTGATCTCCTGACTTCATGATCCACCCGCCTCGGCCTCCCAAAGTGCTGGGATTACAGGCGTGAGCCACCACCACGGCGCCTGGCCTGCTACTTACTTTCAAATGGTTCAAATACAAATTACAGAGAAAGAAAAGGATAAAGCAAATGTAGTAAAATATTAACATTTAGGTATCCAAGTGAAGAGAATTCTTTGTACTATTCCTGCAACTTTTGTAAAACTCTGAAATTATGCCGAAATAAAAAATATTTTTTAAAAGAGTGATGTTTACTGTATGGTATCTATGGCTTTTCTAGTTTCTGTGAAAAGGTAACATTCCCCAAATCTTACAACGAGGAACAGGAAACGGTGAAACAAGCAGTCACTGACAAATGGCTGGTTGGAGGCAGGAGGGGCTCCAGAACTCAAGTTCTCTGACTTAATCCCATCCCCCTTCCACCAGCCCTCAGCTCATCTAACACTGAGGGACACTGAGCCCCAGACACCACCCTGGGTACCGGATGACCACCGCAGAGCAGAGGGCAAGGAAGAAGGGGGCCGCCTGGATGGTCTCCAGGCTGGGCAACAGCCTGAAGAGGCAAGGCTGACAGGAGAAACAGAGTGCCTGGGAACAGGGTCCACCCTCTCTCCTCCCAAGACCCCTTCCCTCCACACACAGAGGGCACAGACAGCCCCTGTCATGTGCATGCCAGAGGGCCAACTCAAAGTTTCAGCAACACACCTGCACAAGTTCCAACCATGAGCATACAAGACCATGCAGAGCACAGACTCACAGACTGGTCTGCAAACGAGTAGGGCCCTGGGAAGGCAGCCTTCAAGCCCTTGCTAACTGAAAGGAATACAACATCTGGAAATCCTAAGCAAGTCTCCTAAATAACTCCAGGATGAAGGAAAAAAATAAAGTCACACACAACTACATATCTAAAGATTAAATATCAGTGAGAACAGTATCTATTAGAAAAATTCATGTTTTCATAAATAGTTTTACTAAATGAGAAAAAAGTAATTGAGGCTTCAATCCAAGAAGCTAGAAAATAAAAACAAAGAAAGGTAGGAAAAACTGAATCAGGAGGGATAAAGACAGAAATAGTGGATTAGAAAACAAAATGTAGTGGTATTTATAAATGAATCCAAGAGATGACTCTCCTGAAAACCAATAAAACAAACAAACCTCTGACAAGACTGGTTATTTTAAAAAGAAAAAAACAAATATTAGAAATATAAAAGGAATATAACCACCATCTGTGAAATGCTTTACTAAAAACTTTGAAAACATGAATTAAAGAACAATTTTCTAGGAAAACATATTCAAGAAGTCATAGAAATACTGATAATATCAATCACCAGAGCCACTGGGAGCCACTGTCTGGAAGTCACCAACCAGATGTGGCCAAGCTAGGCTCAGTCCCACAGCCTAAAGTCTCTGGATTAAGGTGCAGAAAAACTCTGAGTTCCAAAATGCTCCTGAAAATCATAACTAAACTGTGCGCTGTGGCTCACACCTGTAATCTCAGCACTTTGGGAGGCCGAGGGAGGACGATCACTTGAGTCCAGGAGTTTAAGACCAGCTCAGGCAACACAGTGAGACCCCATCATTACGAAAAATAGAAAAATTAGCTGGGTGTGATGGCGCACACCTGTAGTCCCAGCTACTCAGGAGGCTGAGGCAGGAGGAGTGATTGTGCCCAGGAGGTGGAGGCTGCAGTGAGCCATGATCGCAGCACCGCTGCACTCCAGCCTACGTGACACAGCAAGACCTTGTCTCGAAATTAAATAAAAATAAAAATAAATCAAACTACATATCTGAAAATTAATTAATATCAATGCTGATGAGGTACCTCTGATGGTCACCCAGGTTTGGAAACTCCTGGCCCCTTGCTACTCAAAAATGTGGTCCAAGGAACAGCAGCATCAACATGACCTCAGAGGTTAAAAAATGCAGAATAAGGCCGTGCGCAGTGGCTCACGTTTGTAATCCCAGCACTTTGGGAGGCAGAGGTCAACAGATCACTTGAGGTCAGGAGTTCAAGACCAGCCTGGTCAATTTGGTGAAACCCCATCTCCACAAAAAATACAAAAATTAGCCAGGCGTGATGGCGAGTGCCTGTAGTCCCAGCTACTTGGGAGGCTGAGGCATGAGAATCGCTTGAACTGGGAGGTGGAGGTTGCGGTGAGCCAAGATCATGCCACTGCACTCCAGCCTAGGCGACAGAGCAAGACTCTTATCTCAAAAAAATAAAAAAAATAAAAAGCAGACTCTCAGCCTCATCTCAGACTCACTGAATTTGAAAATGCATTGTAGTAAGAATCCCAGGTTATCTGGATGAAGAAGATAAAGTGGAGAAGCACTGGTCTGGCCTATACCTGCCTAATTGCCCCTCAATTCCTCTTAATTTGCAAAAGCAGTGCCTGTTCTGTGTTCTGTCTGGCACAACCAAAAGAAAAAAAAATAATAAACCGATTAACTACTGGAGCTAGATTTGATCACACAAGCATGTAAAAAAAAAAAAGTTTGGCAAAAAACAAAACAAACAAAAAAAAACCCTCCAGCCGGGGCAACAGAGTGAGACTCTGTCTCAAGAAACAAAAAAACAAAAAACAAACAAAAAACCCCCCAAACATACATTAAAAGAAATTTGCAATACTTGCCAAAGCATGATAAAGAGTTAATACCACTAATACATGAAGCTGTCTTACCATTCATAAAAAAAGCATACACAAAAAATAAAGGAAATAAAAATATATTCACAAAGAAAAAAGATCACAACTAAACATAGCAAGGAAAGATTTGCAAATCAAACATTTTGCACTCATTTTTATGCCAATCAGAAAAGAAATAGTTTTACAATAAACATGTATTATTTTGACAATCCCAGAGGGAAAAGACCAGAAACATTTAAAATGGAAAAAAAAAAAAAAAAAAAAAAAGTGTCCTAGAAAGACTGAAATAGTAACAGGAGTTCTCTCTGAGTAGAAAAATTATGGACTTTTTTATTTTTCTCTATCTGCTTATCTGAACTTTCTGATTTTTCTACAGTGAATTTTTATTCTTTGTAATAGACAATGGCAAAAAAAAGTTTTAACTATTTCCTAGAGTTTGATCATATCTGAAATGTCTTCCTGTGTTTTCACAAGTGTTTGCATAGCACCTGGCCTTTTCACAAACCATCATGGCATTTAAAGGCATATCTTTTCAGTCCTGATCAAGTACTGGAAGCCCCAAACAGGCAGCCTCTTTTGTTAACATTAGTTCACAGGCCAGCAGTTCTCAAACTCCATTGGGCGTGGGAATCACCTGTAGGAAGCTGGTTATGGATGCAGATTCCCAGGTCCCACCAGAGATCAACGCTGCCTGACCATGGAAGGGATTCTGACCCAGGTGGCCCCTGAACGACCTTTTGAGAACCCCTTCCCATAATCCTATGGGGTTGAGGGTGAGTGCAGATGAGGGGAAGGCCTCGGCTGGTTCAGAAACCAGGTGAACTGAGGTTCTTACAGGCTGACCAGGGACAGTAGTCTCTTCCCACCTCCCATATGCACATGCAGGCCTGGCCATTCAGTGGTCAGTGCTGATGCTCTCTGAAACGCCAAAACATGGATGGAGGTGGCAGTGTAGAAACAGACTTTGTCCAACGGGTGGGCTAAAGCCCTAGGCAGCCCTGCATCGTGGCCTCACTGCCAGAATGCGCTCTGCTCTGTAAGGAGGCATCTGGAACAGCTCCATCGGTTCATGGAGGTCCATCTGTCAGAGTCTCTGCTCAGCACCCTGAGAAAGCAGCTCCTCCAGAGCTGGCAGAGATGCAGCTGTGGATGCAGCTGGGGCCTCATGGGGAGCCTCAGGGCCACCTGGCTGGGGAGACTCAGAGGCCCCAGGTGGGCACTGGGAGATGAAGTAAGAAACCAACAGCAGGGGATAGGGGCAGATAGAGCAATACTTCCAGATCTTTTCCCCAATCCAGTATTTCTTGAGTGTCCTCTTGGTTCCAATGTTTCCCAGGGATTAAAACAAACCAGCAGAGGAGCCAGAGAAGCATTTCTATGTCCTCTGCCACCCTGAGCATGGGAGATGAGTGAGTGGGAAGGGGAGGGTGAGCACAGACCACGGGATAAATGAGGAACAGCTTACTGCTGCGGTCAAGCAAAACCCAGGGAAACCCCGGGACACGCTGAACCAGATGCACAACTGCTAGAGAGGGATTAGAAATCAGCTCACGTCCTCACTCCCACCTTCTTTTTATGCATGTTGAGAGGCAGAAATCCTGACCCCTGCTTAACAACAGCAGGGATTCCCTTCTCTCCAAGGGCATAGCCCTCAAGCCCTTGAACAAGAGGTGGGAGTTCCCTTGTTCCTGGGTCCCTCCAAGGCAGGTAGACATCACCATCCTTGCTCCAGGGGCAGCAGAGACCAGTGGGGGCAGGGACCTGAGAGTCTGGAACCACTGCCAAGGGTACAGAGTGAATTGGCATGCCCCAGACAGCTCCATCAAGGAATAGTGCCTGCCATTCCCCAATTACAAACAAAAGCTTACATATAAAATGCAAACACCAAGCCTGGGCACTGTGGCTCATGCCTGTAATCCCAACACTTTGGGCAGGCAGACCACTTATGCCCCAGAAATCAAGACCAGCCTGGGCAATATGGTGAAACCCCATCTCTAAAAAAATACAAAGAATAGCTGGGTGTGGTGGTATGCACCTGTAGTCCCAACTACTAGGGAGGCTGAGGTGGGAGGATCACTTGAACCCAGAGGCAGAGATTGCAGTAAGCTAAGATCATGCCACTGCATTCCAGGTTTGGTGACAGAGTGAGACTCTGTCTCAAGGGAAAAACAAATGCAAACGCTATGGTAAAGATTAGCACACGGATAGGAATAAACTTCACGTAGGACATACTGGGTTGGGGGGATGCATATACTCTGGAGGAGAATAGTAGAAGAAAAAAGAAAGGCACTACCATATGAGAGAAGGTGACTGGGCACATAGGTGTGAACCCATCTCACAATGTTCTGTACAAGCTCTGCTTCCAGCCTTGATGAGTCCTCATCCCCTAAGGGAAGCTGCAGATAAGTTTGTTTGTGCTACCTTGAAATGATTGGAAGCTAAGAAAGCAGTTCTCCCAACTAGTTAGCACTAATGAGGGCTAACAACAAGGGGGCTGTGGGTCTCAGGATAATAATGAGATAGAGGCTCAGAGGGCTCCTCCCTGATGTCTGCACGTGGAAAAATGGCCCAGGACCTCCTTTTTCCTGCGGGGACAAGGAGGGTGCCCAATCTGTTATCCAGATCACAGCCTGCAGGGCCTGGAGCCAGGGCTGCTTGAGATTCTGCTGCTCACATTGGCCCAGGCTGTCACACTTTGAAGAGGTGAAGCTCACTGTCCCTCTCATCAATCTGATGCCACGGCGTTTATTAAAAGGATTTACCGCATGCTAGGCTTTGTGCCAGGTACTGGTGACATGAAATGGAGTGAGATGAGCACCCCACCACTGGGAACTCACACTCAGGCACACAGTATTGCCACGGAGGTACAGACAATATACCATGAGGACTTGAGGGAGAAAGGGACAGAAGTGTCAGAAGAGGCAGCACAGAGCAGCTGCATTTCTAATATGCGGGCAAAGATGGGATACAAAGTATAACAGAAAAGATCCCATTCCCAACAGCAACAACAGCAGCTACAGCATATCTAGGAAGAAACTTCACAAGAAATGTGTAAGAAGAAAACCTTAAAACGTTTCATTTATTTTGTTTGTTTGGTTTTTATTAGAGACAGAGTCTCCTTCTGTCGCCCAGACTGGAGTGCAGTGGCCAGATCATAGCTCACCGCAGCCTCCAACTCCTGGGCTACAGCGATCCTCCCACATCTGCCTCCCAAGTAGCTGGGACTACAGGCATGCGCCACCACACCCAGCTAGTTTTTATTTTTTGTAGAGATGAGGGTTGGCGGGGGGTCTCACTATGTTACCCTGGCTGATCTCAAACTCCTGGCTTCAGGCAGTCTTCCCGCCTCAGCCTCCCAAAGCACTGGCATTATGGGGCATGAGCCACCACACCTGGCCTTAAAACTTTGATGAACACACAAAAAAGACTAGAATAAACGGAAAGGTCTACTTCCCTTTCTCTGGATAGGAAGATTCATTGTAAAGCTATCTATTCTCCCCAAAATAACCTGTACGTTTCATGTGATTCCAACTGAAAAATCCCAGTATTTTTCGCAGAACATGGTAAGTTGTTTATAAGCTTATTTGGAGAAAGAAATGCCAAAAAAAAAAAAAAAAGTAAGAAGTATGTTTTAAACCAAAGTATTATATAAAAATGGTGGTAATTAAAACAATGAAATACACAGAATCAGACAAATAAGTCAATGGAAGTAAAAAGAGGCCTTAAAACACCCATGACTGTAAGAGTACTTATGAAATGCTTAAGGTAGAATTCATACACTACAAGGGAAACTACAAATACCCAATAAATAGATTGGGGATAACAGGCTTTCTATTTAGGAAAAGTTCAATCCCTATCTTATATCGCATGCAAAAATAAATCTCACCTTAGAAATCTGAACATCTAAAATAAAACTTAAGTAAGAAAAGCCAAAATACTGATGAATTCTCGTTGTATAAAAATCAAATTTTTATGATAGACACAATGAAAGACAAACAGGCCAAAATTTTTTTCAAAACGTAACAGAAGTTAGTATCAAAACCCTCATAACGATGAAAGCTATACTATGTTTTCTCACTTAAGATGACAGAAGAAGGCCAGGCACGGTGGCTCACACCTGTAATCCCAGCACTCTGGGAGGCCAAGGCAGGCCGATCACTTGAGGGCGCGAGTTCGAAAACAGCCTGACAAACATGGAGAAGCCCCGTCTCTACTAAAAATACAAAATTAGTCGGGCACGGTGGCACATGCCTGTAATCCCAGCTACTCGGGAGGCTGAGGCAGGAGAATTGCTTGAATCCGGGAGGAGGAGGTTGCAGTGAGCCGAGATTGTGCTACTGCACTGCAGCCTGGGCGACAAGAGCAAAACTCCGTCTCAAAAAAAAAAAAAAAAAAAAAAAGAGACAGAAGAGGTTTCATCTTATCCCAGTTAAAAAGGCTGTTAAGAAAAAGACAAAAAATAAATGATGGTGAGGATGCGGAGAAAGGGGAACTCTTACAGACTGTTGGTGGGAATGTAAATTAGTACAGCCATTACGGAAAACAGCATGGAGGTTTCTCAAAAAAACTAAAACTAGAACTACCGTATGATCCAGCAATCTCACTTCTGGATATACGTCCAAAAGAATTGAAATAGGTGTGTCAAAGAGATGTCTGTACTCCCATGTTTACTGCGGCAGTATTGACAACATCCAAGATATGGAATCGACCGAAGTATCAGTCAATGGATAAAGAACACGTGGTACGTGCACATAATGGAATACTAGTTAGCAATTAAAAAAACAACAACAACAAAATACTGTCATTTGTGGCAACATGGATGAGCTTGGAGGATATGTTAAGTGAAATAAGCCAGGGACAGAAAGATAAATACCACATGTTCTCACTCAAATGTGGAAGCTAAAAAAAGTTGATCTCATAGAAACAGAGAGAAGAACAGTGGTTATCAGAGGCTGGGGAGGGCAGGGGTGCAGGGGAAATACCCAAAGGTTGGTTAACACATTAAACAGCACAGCCAGATAGAAGGACTAAGTTGCGGTGTTCTATAGCACCATAGGGCAACTATAATTCACAATTTATTGTTTGGTTGTATGTGTGTGGAGTGGAGTGCAGCGGTGTGAAAATAGCTCACTACAGCCTCAAACTCCTAAGCTCAAGCAATCCTCCCATGTCAGCCTCCCAAGTAGCTGGGACTACAGGCATACAATGTCGTGCGGGGCTAATTTTAAATTTTTTGCTATACAGAGAGGGGTCTCACTTTGTTGCATAGGCTGGTCTTGAACTTCCCACCTCAAGCAATTCTGCTGCCTCAGCTTCCCAAGTAGCTGAGATTATAGGAGTGTGCCACTGTGCTTGGTTTATTGTATATTTTCAAATAGCTAGAAGAGTAAATTTTGAATGTTTTCAACACACACACAAAATAATATTAATAAATGTTTGAGGTGATGGATATTCTCATTACCCTGATTTAATGATTATACATTATATACATGCATTGAAACATCATACTGTACCCCACAAATATTTATAATTATGTGTCAATTAAATAGTAAAAGCAAAAAAAAAAAAAAAAAGACAGGAGAACCTATACATTTTTATTGGGTTTGTGGGTTTTATTTTTTTGTTTGTTTGTTTGTTTTTGAGACAGAGTCTCACTCTGTTCTCCAGGCAGGAGTGCAGTGGCACCATCTTGGGTCACTGCAACCTCCGCTTCCCAGGCTCAAGCGATTCTCCTGCCTCAGCCTCCCAAATAGCTGGAACTACAGGCATGCACCACCACGCCTGGCTAATTTTTGTATTTTTAGTAGAGACAAAGTTTCACCATGTTGGCCAGGCTGGTCTGGAACTCCTGACCTCAAGTGATCCTCCTGCCTCAGCTTCCCAAAGTGCTAGTATTACAGGTGTAAGAGCCACTGTGCCTGGCCTACATTTTTGGATAATGTTTATCATAATGCATGTAAGAATCATGTCACTCTTTTTTCTTTATCCCTACCTAACAGCACAGTGCCTGGCATACATGAGTAAGTAACAGTCCATTGAATTTTTTTTTTTTTTTTAAAGAGACAGGGTCTTGCTCTGTAGCCCAGGCTGGAGTGCAGTGGCCTGATCGTAGCACACTATAGTGTCCAACTCCTGGGCTCAAGCAAGTTCATTTTTTGTACAGATGGGGTCTCACTATGTTGCCCCCACTGATCTAGAACTCTTGGCCTCAAGCAATTCTCCTGCCTTGGCCTGCCAAAGCACTGGGACTATAAGCATGAGCCACCACGCCCAGCCTGAATTTTTTTTTAAAGAAATTAATATTGATAATATATCTTAATATACTGATAATATATTAAGAACTTTTGTGGATCAATAAAAAGACAATCTAAGAGTAATATGGATGTAATAGGCAATGGACATAGGTAATACACAGAATAAATGCAAAATGGCTAACGTTTTAAAACATTCTCAATTTTACTAATAGAAGATATTAAAATGAGATATTTTACCTAGCCAAATGGCAAAAATTAAGGACTGATAATTCCTCACTCAGTGTTGGTGGGAAGGTAAATTTGATAGATATTATCAAATTACCTTTGGGGAGAGTAACTTGGTAATGTCAATTAAAATTTCATTTGTATGATTTTGTTCTATACAAACACTTAAGTAACCAAAAAAATCTATATACAAATATATTGATAACCTCAACATTTATAATTGCAAAAAAATTAGAACTGTAAATGTCCATCAATAAGAAGTTAAATTATAATACAGCCATAAAATGAAATATTCAATAGTCATGTAAAAGGCAAAGACAGATGTACTGACATGGAAAGGTGTCTTCAACCTATTTATGAGCGAATAAAAGACTACTCAAAAATAAGTAGGGTACAAACACATTACTGCAGGAAGGCAGTAAGTTCATGTACTCATTTTTAAGTCTGGAAAGATATATATAAATTGTTAATAGTGATTATACTGGGATGGAGAAGAAATAGGGATTCTCAGTTTCTAATTATGTACTTTTATATTGATTTATTTAAATGGGCGTACATTATTCTCATTTAAAATTCAAAACTTTCTGCATTTTGGAAAAAAACAATCCGCTACCATTGGTTTCTTGGTTGAACTCAAAAGTCCATCCTTTCTTCCTCTCCCTGCCTATCCCTTTCTCCTGACCATCACGGCTCTCTAAGGAGTTAGGATAAAGGGTAAGAATATCTTCCCCCAAGGCACTGCACCTTCTCCCTTGGGTGCGACCCTTGGGCCAAGTCATTCCTCTGATGGCTTGAACAGGTTCAGACTGGGACACAGAGGGCTGTCCCTACTGCACTAGGCGCTGCTGGACCCAGAGAGGGGAGACTGTGCCTTCACCACATGATCACTGTTACCCTATACTCTGCACTCTAAGGGAGAAATCCAGAAATGGGTTTTCAGTGGAGCCCAGGAGGTGGTGTCTAAGAGATGTCCACCACATTTTTCCTGGCACTGTGGGTCCCTCTCTTCTGTTCTCTCCATCCTGGGACACTCTTCATGGACTGAAGGATCCCAACTGGACCATATTTTCTAGAGGCTCATGAAAGATGCAGGGAGCAAGCCTTTAGCCTGCAGCCTAGACCAGCTCAGCAAGGCCATCAACTCTGGGTCAAAGTCTCAGTTTTTTTTCTCTCACTGCCCCAGCATATAGCTTCATTTCTTCTGGTGCTAATGTACGAGGCTTTTCTAAATACTACCAAAACTTCCATTTCGGCCTAGGATATGCTCTAATCCTAGGCAATAAATTCAAACTGATTTTGCTTAGGGTAAAAAAGAAAAAGAAAAAAAAATTCCACAGGTCCTGGTGGCTAAGCTGGTAAGCTATTACTAGGGTCCCTATTTGGGGGTTTAGAGACAGAGCCCAAGGGAGTCACCAAGTGCTGCACTGCCTAGCTGTGCCACCAAGCCATGCACAGGGACTCTCCTCAGGGCCCTTACTGGGAGGAAGGGTGGTCAGGCTAAATCGGGGCTCGGAATTCTCATGCTGGGTATATCATCGAAACCTCTCCAAGAACTCCAGACATAAAATATCAAAACCAAGAGAATTAGGCCACAGTGGAACTTGGTGAAAGTCATATTTTTAAATGTATTTGTTATCAAAGAAGAAAAAAATAGAAAAAATGTGCTAAGGATCCAACTGAGAATCCAGAAAAAAGGACATACCAAATAAACCTAAGGAAAAGATGACAATTTATATAAGACTACAGTAGAAATTAATACTTTAGAAAACAGCACAACTGACAGATCTGTGTGCTTTTAAATTACATAAAACTCCAGCAAAGCTATGGAAGAAAAAGAAAAAATATACAATGTTAGAAATGAAGAAAGTTAAAAAAAAACCACAGCTACTGAGGGAACTGAAAAGCAGTAGCTGTAGACATATTATGTTAATAAATTTGAAAAGGATCATTTCTATGGAAAATACAAAGTAAATATTTGATAACATTAGTTATGGGGAGTAGAGGGGAGATCAGAAAGCTGCAAAGACCCACCCCTCATAAAAGAATGGAATTATTATTACTATTTTTTTTTGAGATGGAGTCTCGCTCTGTCGCCCAGGCTGGAGGGCAGTGGTGCGATCTCGGCTCACTGCAAGCTCCGCCTCCTCAGTTCACACCATTCTCCTGCCTCAGCCTCCCAAGTAACTGGGAATACAAGCACCCGCCACCACGCCCGGCTAATTTTTTTTTGTATTTTCAGTAGAGACGGGGTTTCACTGTGTTAGCCAGGATGGTCTCGATCTCCTGACCTCGTGATCCACCCACCTCGGCCTCCCAAAGAGCTGGGATTACAGGCGTGAGAGCCACTGCGCCCAGCCCCAATAAAAAGAATCGAATTATTATTTAAGCAGTACTATTTAAATTATACCAAAGAATAAAGAAGAAAAGCCTTCACAGTCCATTATATGAAGTTACTATTATTCTAATACTAACATCTGACAACAAAAACACAAAAGGAAAATTATAGGTCAATCTGATTCATAAATATAGATGCAAAACTCCTATGTTAATAAATCAAATCAAACAGCATGTTAAAAAAATACCCCATCAGGCCAGGCGCGGTGGCTCATGCCTGTAATCCCAGCACTTTGGGAGGCCGAGGTGGGCGGATCATGAGGTCAGGAGATCGAGACCATCCTGGCCAACATGGTGAAACCCCATCTCTACTAAAAATACAAAAAACTAGCTGGGCATGATGGCATGTGCCTGTAATCCCAGCTACTCGGGAGGCTGAGATGGGAGAATCCCTTGAACCAGGGAGTCAGAGGTTGTAGTGAGCCGAGATCATGCCATTGCGCTCCAGCCTGGCAATAGAGCAAGACTCTGTCTCAAAAAAAAAAAAAAAACACCCCATTACCAAGTATAGTATATTCAAAGAATGCAAAGACAATTCAATAGGAGAAATATCATTTGATCTTCAAACCATGCTAAACAGACATGACAAAAGCAAACATCCACTACTAATTGGAAAAAAAAACTTCTTAATAAAATGTAATGAAACCATTTCTTCAACATGATATAGAAGAATTCAAACCAACAACCAGAAGACCTCAAACAATCAGCAATACCCACACTTAAGTGTAAAACACTAGAGTCATTCACATTAAAGTGGAAAGGAAAAAATACTAAGGAAAAGGATGTCCTCTACTCAATACATATTTGGTAAATGAGTTCAACATGCAAAGACGGTCCTAGGAGGGAGGCAGCAGTCTACAGACACAAGCATCAGCTCTAATGTCAGATATCCTTGGCTTGGATTCCAGCTTCATCCCTTGTGAAACATCAACCTCTGGTCAAGCTCCTGGACTGAATCTCAGTTTCCTTTCTGAAAGGTGGGGCTGCTACCACCTGCCTCGGAGCTGTCCTGAAAACTAAGAGAGAACTATGAAAACTTTACCCCTGTGTGCCTGCCCCACACATGGTAAATGCTCAATAAATGACTGCTAGTTATTACACAGAGGAAAGTGTGCTACAATGCAGCATGACTCCATTTCTACAAACGACACTAAACAGATATGAAATATGCATAGAATAAAGTCTGCAGGGATACTCCGGTTAACAATGACTAATGGGGCCTGAGGAGGTGGCTCATGCCATCCCAAAGTGTAATTGTAACACTTTGGGAGGCCAAGGAGGGGTGGGATCCCTTGAGCTCAGGAGTTTGAGACCAGCCTGGGCAACATGGTAAAACCCTGTCTCTACAAAAAATACAAAAATTAGCTGGGCCTGGTGGCATGCGCCTGTAGTCCTAGCTACTCAGGAGGCTGAGGCAGGAGGATGGCTTGAGCCTGGGAAGTGGAGGCTGCAGTGAGCCGAGATCGAGCCACCGCACTCCAACCTGGGCGGCAGGGCCAGACCCTGTCTCACAAAAAACAAAAAACAAACAAACAAAAAAATGACTAACTGGACTGTGAAATTATGGACAAATTCCTCTCTTTTGCTCCCTTTCTTTTTTTTTTTTCCTTTTGGTAGAGATGAGGGTCTCGCTATGTTGCCTAGGCTGATCTCAAACTCCTGACCTCAAGTGATCCTCCCACTTTGGCCTCCCAAAGTGCTGGGATTATGGCATGAGCCACCACACCCAGCCCTATTTCTATTTTCTAATTTTTCCAAAGAATATGTATTACTTACAAAATCAAAAAACAGAATACAAGGCAAAAAAAAGGATATGGATTTTTGGATTCACCGAAGATAGGGGACTGGGACACCTAAGGCCCAGGTAGAAAAGAAACTAAAGGTGATAAGGGAGAGAGTGACACCGGGGAGGAGCTGGAAGGGTGCCCCTACCCTGTGCCCTATCACAGGGGGAACCCACTCAGTTTCAGGAGCACCCACATAGGTGTGAAAAGTATTTAAAGGTATTCCAGTGGAGGCCAAGCTGAAGCCCTCTAGGCCCAAAGCCAGCACGTACTACTGTACTATGGCCTGGCCTGACCTTTGTCCAAATGCCGTAGAAATTCTAGGCAATGGGAACGGGGTGAAGGTACTTATTTCTTGATCCAGGTGCTGATTACACAGGCATTTACTCTGAAAATTCACCAAACTGTACACAGCATATGCCTTTCCGTGTGTATACTATACTTCAATTTTTAAAGTGTTTTTTTTTTTTTTTTTTTGAAACGGAGTCTCTCTCTGTCGCCCAGGCTGGAGTGCAGTGGCACGATCTTGGCCCACTGCAACCTCTGCCTCCCGGGTTCAAGCGATTCTCCTGCCTCAGTCTCCTTAGTAGCTGGGATTATGGGCACCCACCACCGCACCCAGATAATTTTTAGTAGAGACGGGGTTTCTCCATGTTGGCCAGGCTGGTTTTCAACTCCTGACCTCATGATCTGGCCACCTCAGCCTCCCAAAGTGCTGGGATTACACGCATGAGCCACTGCACCCAGCCTTAAAAGTTTTTAAAAATTAAAAACTGAGGAGAAAATTCAGTTTCTATCATTTGCTATAGTTTCCCGCTTAAGTTCTGGTTTTAATAACTATGAACTCATGGAACAGTCTCATGGAACAGAACACTGAATCCAGTGTTTGGTCTGACATGTCTGTCTTCACTTTTGCAAACTCTGTATTGATCAATAAAATTATCAGTGAATGAGAAAAAATTTCTGGGGCAACCCAGGGACATGGGAGAGGCAGGGAGACCCAAACTGGATATGGCAGCTGCTTTCAACTCTGACTGCACATTCAAATTACCTGGGGAGCTTTGAAAAATGCTGGGGCCCAGGTTCCACTGGAGACCAATAACAGCAGACTCTCAGGGGCTGGGGCCAGGCATTGACAGTTTCTTTTCTGAAATCTACTCAGATGATTCCAATAAGCAGTTGGTGCTGAGAACCACCAAACTCGTTGAACCAGAGGGACCAGTCCCTGGAAACACTCTTGGCAAGTTGAAGCATGGTCCTGCCTGTGCCGGTGGTGGCTGTGGGGGTGGGAGCATTTAGGTGAGGTGAGCTTAGGGATGAAGTGCTCTGGCACCCACCCAGGTCCTCCTCCACATCCGGCTTCCCCCAGACCTCGGGCAAAGACCCAGCGGGGAGCAACACCCCCCACATGGAGGCGGCAGCATCTGGAAGGTGACGGGGAGGAGCTTCCCAGGCTTCCCGGGTTGGACACGGAGCCCCGGTTTCTGGCTCCTAGCCAGGGTGTTTAGACTGCTTTGGCCCACTTGCCAGTACAGCCCTAAGACACACGCCGCTCCAACCACACAACCCCAGAGCTCAGCCCTAACTACTACCCAGGGTCCAAATGACGCCTCTGGGAACCCACAGCTGGAAAACAGGAAACCAAGGAGAAATAACAGTGGGAGGAAAGGCCACAGGGCAGAGGTCCCCATACAGCTCAACCATCAGGTAGCACCTGGCTCAGGGACAAGTGGCAGGGCTAGTGAAGAGGGAGATGCCACACAGCCCACCTGCCCAGAGCTTCCAGCCCTCATACCTGAGGCCCCTATGCCACCCTTGTCTTGAGCCCATTCTACCTAACTGTGCAGCAGGAGCCCATGGGTTTGATTCTAGTAGACAGCTGTCCTGGCTGGGCAGCCCCCTGGCATCTTACACATTCCCTGGATGATTGACATAGAGCCCTGGGCCCATGCTTCACAAAGCATGTCCTTAGAGGCCCTCTCTGCTCAGTCTAGGTCTTAAAGCTGAGATCAAAGCACAAGGGGCAGGACTAGGGATGGACTGAAGCCATGAAGAGTGTCCTAGGATGGAGAGGACAGAGCAGAGAGATCCACAGTGCTAGGAAAAATATGGTGGACATCTCTTGGACACCACCTCCAGGGCTCCCCTGAAAACCCATTTCTGTATTCCTCCCCTAGAACTAGGGTGTAAGGCAATAATGATCCATGTGGTGAAGGCACAGTTTCCTCTCTCTGGGTCCAGCAGGGCCTGATGCAGTAGGGACAGCCCTCTGTACCCCAGCCTGAGCCTATTCAAGCCATCAGAGGAATGACTTGGCCAAAGGGTCACACTCAAGGGAGAACATGAAGTAGAGAAAGTTGGTCTATGGATCCAGGCAGGGTTCTCAGCTCAGAATCCCTTTCCAGGGCCTCTCTCTGCCTCCTACAGGAGTTACCAGCCTCCCTTGGCTCTTCCCCATCTGCAGAGTGGCCAGCAGGGTCAGAGATGGCACCTCCCCGAGGTACAGGAAGGTGGACTGGCAGGAAACGGCTCCTTCTGTAAATTCCATCTGCTTAGCAGGGCTAGGAACCAAGGCCTGCAGGCTAGAAAAACAGACTCCTGGGGACAAGGATTTTGAGAGAGACGGTGGATGCTGCAGAGGAGGCAAAGGAGGAACACTCAGTCGGCAGGGCTCACAGCTCAGGAGCTCAGTGTCAGGGACAAGTTGCAAACCCTTTCAATGCCTTTGTTTCCTTTGCAAAGCCCATGAGGTTAGGATTACACGGGGGAAAAATGCCTGGAGGCGGGGTTGAGAAATCCAATTACTTAAGCACCAAGGGCGTAAAAGTTCCAGGCCTCGGAGGTAACCAGGATTTCTTTAGACCCTAATCTTCCTATCCTTGGAATGTTTGCCTCTTAAGGAATATTTCTGTGGCAAGATACTGTTACCTCCCCCCACCCCTCCCTTCCTACTCTCCTCTAGCTAAGGCAGCCAGAATAGAAGAAAGTTAGTCATTTTTACTTTTTGTCTAATCTTTAGCATCTCAAAAAAGGCCGTAGATCCTCAGCAACAGAAAGTAGGGGGAAGATGGTCAAGCTCATACTGTCAGAAATATTAAGATGTCTTTGTTTATAGAAATCAGGGTAGAATCTGCAATCAACCCCCAGGGGAAAAAGGGTATACCTCTAGGTTATTAACAAACACTGCATGGAATAAGCTCAAAATTCAAGGTGCCCTGCCTGTGGCAATGGAGCTTTAGTCTCTTGCAGGGTCCAAGTCCACACCAGCATCTACAGGAGACTTGGCTTCCTCCCCAACTGTTCTCTTCCTCCAAGGCATGCAATTCACACACACACAGTACAGGGGCTCCAAGGGCTCTGACGGGCCTCCATCAGACTCCCAGACTTGCAGAAGTGAAAGAGAAGGCAGGAGGCATCCTTATCTACAGAAGCTGAGATGCAAGTAAATCTTTTGGGGCACTCAGAGAACTTATGGGACAAAAAGATCTCTACTCTTTCAAGCGGAGGCTTTGTCCCCAAGATGGAGGGTATAGAAGAGTGGAAAAGTCATGTCCAGAAGGGGTGGGGAGGCATCAAAACAGAGACCCTATGCTGTCCCAGATAAAAGTTCAAAAGCAGTGCTATTCAGGATATGGCCCGTAAACTGCTTAACACCAATCCACCACAACATAAATACAGGAACCAAGAGGAAGCCTTTAGGAACCTTTATAGCAATTTAAAGCTACCATGACATCCAAGGGCATGATCACTTGGCTCGCCTCACTGAATGGCTCACAGACCACTTTGGATGGTGCTGAGCCACACGTGCAGCAGCTGCAAACTCGCTGTACAAAGTAAGTGGGACCACGTTTTAGTTTTGCAATCTTTTGGGAACACTGAAAAACAAAAAACAAACAAACAAAAAAACTGGTCCTTCCCCAGATTTAGTCTGAGAAAAACTTAACTTTGGAAGGCAATCCCCTCACTTTACCCAGAAAGCTGAAGTCCAAAGACAGTAAGTGACCTCCCCATGGCTAATGACAGAACCCAGGAGTAGGAGTAGAGTAGAAAACAGAGTGGAAGGAAACTAACAACTGCACTTCTCACCCTCCTCCTCTCAGTCAGTGGGTCTCACTGAAGCCCCCTGAAGCAGTAAGGGCTGCGGGGCCCACACTCTAAATGAGTCTAAGGCAATTTCAGGTTCATGGTAGATTGCTCAGGCACAGTATTTCCATCCAGCTTTCAGAATCTCAAATCCGAAACATCTAATGCCAACATGTGCCTTTCAAAACTAAGCTCCCTTCCCAGCTAGCCCATTTCTGACCCCACTGCCCTCCTCTGTCATTGCTAGATCCGGGAAACAATGACTTAATTGAAAACAAACTTGGCATGTTGAGTCAACCTTCGAAGTCCCTTGAGGTTCTCTGAGCCAGAGAGAAAGCAAATGTAAAGTGCTGGGTGCATCTGGGGTGAGGATTCTGTCTGCCATGTGCAAGTTCACAGCCCCAAACACAACGCTGAAGTCAAAAGCATTCAATATACAAAACACAAAAGCTTCCAGTGCTGGCTTTCCCACTCAAGAGTTATAATTTCAGGTAATAGTTTAGTCAATGTCTCTTACTTCCAATGGTTTTGTGAGAATCAAATAATAATGATTTCTCTTATTTTTCAGGACCTAATGCTGTACCTAGAACATGATAAATACTTGGTGGATGTTGAAAGACAAAGGGAAGAAGAAAGGGGGAGAAAATAGATAGAGATGGGGGTAATAGTCCTAGAGAATACACTAATCTACAGATTTTAATCCTCCAAGTTTTCCCTGCCTTCTATTTGCCTAAAGGCTTCCTAATGTATCTCCTTCTCTGAAGCTGTAGAGACGCTGAGAACAAGGGGGAGTCCTCAGCTAACTGCCAGATGCCCGGGTGTGAGAGGAAATGAGGCCGAAAGCCCAAGAGGTCAAGGGTAGGAAAGAGGACTTAAGAGGATTGTGAGACCCAAAAGCTGAGCCAAACCGTAGCCCCTCCCATACTCCCTGCCCCCACCCCCATCCAGCCAAACCATTTGCTGCAGCCTCCGGGGTATGGGAGGGGACTTGGCAAGACCACAAAGCCCATTTCTAGCAGAAACCTCCATCTGCAGCTGGAGGGAGCCCAGTGCCCAGGCCCCTCCTCACCAGGCCCAGCAAAAGGGCTGTAGTCGTCCCCACGGTGGTCCCTGAGGGCAGGTCCAGGGCCCCTGCACCACTGTGGACAGGAGGGCTCTCCCTTCAGCTCACTCATGTGTATGTCTTGCAAGGCTCTCTCCCTCTCCCATGACATTCAAAAAGGGTGAGGGTCACCAAGGAGATGGAGCTGAGCTCTGGGACTCTAACTCCAGTTCTTATCATGGATGGGGAAAGCCCCCTCTTTCTCTCCATCCTCAAACTCAACTCTGAAAATCTCTTGCTTAGTTCCTTCACTTCTCTAGTTTGACATGCTCACCTGCTTCCATATCTTCCCAAGCTGGCTGCTGCTTATAAACATACCCGAGAGAGAAGTGGCTGGAAGTAGGAAGAGCAGGCAAGAAACAAGTAGTGGGAAGGACCCAGAGTGTATAGAAAGTCGAGGATCACAGGTCCTTGAGAACAGGGCATTTTTTTTTTGCAGTGGTCAAAAGGAGAGACAGAAGGCAGAGATCCTGGGCACAATCCCAAAATAGTTTCCAGACATCCTCAGCCAGTCAAGGGTTCCCATGGGGCAGAGTGTGGGAGCCGTGTGGGAGCCTTGAAAGCAGGGCGGCCCGGTGTTCTCGGCACTGGGCACTCACTCCTCTCCAGGCTGCCAACGAGGAGGTGGTAGCAACAGTGTCTGCTATAGCATGTTCCTTGAGATATCACGGGTAGACATGTAATGCACCAAACAATAAAATGTCAACTTGCGTTTATCAAGCTCAACTCTGTGCCTATGCTAGGCACTATGTGGACTCATACGTACATCATAGGTATTCCTGAAACCCTGGCAGGACTTAGCACATCGTATATGTGTCTATTCCCACTGGCTACCAGATACCATTCTCCCATGGGGCTTCCTCAGCCAGCACCCATCTCGTGACACCCCCGTGTCCCGTGTCCCAGGGTCTTGGTCTGATCTCACACCAGACCAAGATGAGCTCACACATCAGACATATCCTTCTTACACCACGACCTGAAAATGGAAGGGCCTCTGGCAAAACTGCCTCACCCTGGGTATGTGGGACACTGCAGCCAACTGGCCACCCAAGGAAACTCTATGTGTGAAGGTGGCACCAGGGACAGAAGACTCAGACCTGAGTGTTTGCTGGCAGTGCCTGAGCTGCATATGATTCTCAGACAACTGAACAATAAAAACAAGCATAGATACAACCTCAGAGTTTTAAAAACTCAGCCAGCTCAGGCCCTACTCTGAGAAGGCGGAAGGAGAAAGACTTGTTAGGAAGGCTTCCTCTGGATTTTCAAGTAGCCCCTGCCACATGTCCACAACACTAAGGCTGGGGCATTAGGCTGGGAGCTTCCAGCAGGACTGCGGAAAACCAGCCTCTATCTGGGGCCAGCAGGCAGGGAGACACGGAGAACACACTTGGAAAGAGCTGAAGAGAAGCGGGTCTGCCAGGGAGAGCCATCACTACAGCGGAAGGGGGTGCTTTCGGGAGTAAACAAACCTGCCAGCCCGTCCTTTCTCCCAGCAGAGAGGGAAGCTCTAGGCTGACAAGGCTGGAGATACAGAGGAGAGAGGGGCCTGCCCCCTCCCTGAGTCCATCTGTCCTCATCCCGTTGGCCTGCTTTCCCCAGGCTGGGAGACAGAGCAGATCTACTCTACGATCTCTGTGCCCACACCCCTCCAACAGCACATGAGGTGATTACAACTCCTCCAGCCAGCAGCGGGAGGCGAGGGGAGGAAGCAGAGGTGGAACCTGGGGGTTCTGCTCCAGAGAAGGCTGTAGAAAAGAGTGTGTAGTGAGAGCCAACTTGAGGTGAGCTCAGCTCTCTCCTCCCCACCCACAGTATCGCCCGTATCAACTGCCCTCTGTCACCTCCCAGCCTCCCACCGCCTCATCCCAGGTGATCATCCACTACTCCCAGTCTCACTAAAGCACACCCGCTAGACGGGGAAGCCGATGCCCCCTGGCTCTTCTCCTTCCCAGAAGCTGCTCCAGAAGCAAAATTCACACCCTTCCCCAAGCACTTACTTGCCTCAAGTTCCTTGGGACAAAGCCAGGGAACTATCTAGGCCTCCTGATACACCCTGCAGCCTCACCTAGAAGTCCCTATCCCCCACGTGGGAAGCAGAGCCCCTCCCTACCAGCATCCATATCCAGTCAGTAAGGTGGCAGGATGCCACTTCCAGCACCTCCATGGAGCTTCCCACAGCTTTCCCAGGGGGCGGGAAGAGAATTTCCAGGGAGGAAACTAAGGGTATCTGGGGACACTTGCAGCTCACCCACCTGCTACCCAAGCAACCAAGATCCCCAGCTCCCTGAAGACTCCAGCGGCTGAGGGGGCAGGTGGGCTGAGGCAGGGGCAGGAACGCGCTTCCTCTCCGCTAGGAAGAGTTCCATGAGCCCTGACCCTGCCCACCTGCCCCATGCTCCCTTCCAGCCTCTCTGCTCTTGGACTTCAGAGGCAGCCACACAGAGCCACCTCCCAATCTGTTTTCTCCGCCCTGGGCCAGCAGAGGATACTGCTGAGTAATCCCAAACTCACAGTGGCTCCTTAGCCCTGAAAAGGGGGACAAGCTCAAGGAAACCTACTGATCGGGTCCATGCCAACGTGGGAGGAATATCTGTGGTTTCCTAGTAATGGCTGATACTCTACTGGACTCTCCCCTCCCCTGTCTCAAACACCCCAGCTCCCCGCCCCCCAGACAACCACAAGGAGAAGCTCAGTGCCCCCTTCTCTGCTTCCCACGCACCTGGGAACACTCTCTTCCCAGTCCCCTAGACACCAAGTCACACAGAGTAACAGCAGACGCCCGCCGGATTCCCAGTCATGATGTTGCATCAGCCCCCACCCTACCCAAAATATCCTCACCCCCACCACCTCCTCTCCTCTCCAGCCATCTCCATGGTGACAGCAGCATGACTAATGACATCCTATCAGCTTCAGACTCAGGAGCGCAATTCTCCCTCCCTCTTACGCCCCCCCACCCCCCCTCCCCGCACACCGTCCCCCCCGGGATTTCTGCAGATTGGATGCAAACCAACAGTGCCAGGGACATTCTCGAGAGATTTCCAGAGGCAGGGGTGGGGAGTGGGTTGCATGTCTTAAAAAGAAAAAAAAAAAAAAAACAGTTCAACAAACCAAGCCCCAACTGCACCCAAAACCATCCAGCTGAGAAAGCAAAAAGAATCCAAACAAAACCCACACAGGCCTGAGAATTCATTGGCCGCCCACACCCCCGCCGCCCCTCCCCCTCAGCTGCTGCTACACACACAGTGGGAGATTAAGGGATCACCAGAGGAGACCCTTTATTTTTATCCAATCCGGTCAAACACTTCACCGCCACCACACACACGCACACACACGCACGCACACACACAAGGTACCTTGACAGCCGCTCCTTGTCCCCACGGCCCGGCTCCTTCACCAGCCTTTATTTCCACCTGCAAAAGAAGCCAGAGGAACGTGTGAGCCAGGCGGGTACCAGGAAGGCAGCAAAGTCCTCCTGCTACAGCCCCCAGCCCGGCCGGAGGGGAAGAAGGCGAACGGGAGGGGATACAGCCTGGGAAAGAAAGGCTATCTGGGACCATCTTCCTGCCTCCAGCTGCCGCCTGGATCACGGCAGACAGGCTCCCCCGCCTTCCAGTGTGTTTTTGTTTTCATTTCTCCTCTGAGAATCCCCCCGAGATCCGAGAGGACGGCGACCCCCGGCCCGCGTCCGCCCGGCCATCCCCGGCCCCGCGCGCTCTACCTCGGCCGGCCTCCTCTGGTGCATCGGCCGGCGGGCCTCCCATTATCCCCGCCGGAGGGAGCGCACGGAGGGAGGCACTGCAGAGGAGGCGGCGGCCAGCTGCCGGCTGCGCTCCCCTCCCCGCCGCGGGGCTGGTGTGCGAGGGGGCGGCGCGCTCGCCAGCCAATCCCCGCGGCCGGCCCTGCCCCCGCCTGGTGGACCTGCCCAGCCGGGAGGCGGGGGCGCAGCCGAGGGTGCTGCTGAGCCGCGCTGGCTGCTTCCCAGGCCCGCCGTGCCGCTCCCCGGCAGGCTGGGGCATCCCAGGGCACCCCCGGCCTCCTCCCGCGGGGACCCCGAAGGTAATACCCAGAAGGCGTCCTCTGCGCCTCCAGGATCAAAGATGACAGACTGCGCCTCCGGGTGGAGCGGAGCGGAGCAGACGCCGGGGGGGTGGGGGGGGATTCCCGCTTCGCCACTCTCTAACCCCAGCATCATCCTGGCAGCAGCTGGGACGGCACCGGGCCCTGTCACAAGGGCATGAGGTGCAATAGCCCCTTCATCCTCAAAAAAGAAGAAAAAGCCCAGGCAGCACGAACCTTTACTCCATTCTGCAAATGAGGTGATAAAATAAGTGAAACAACTTACCCAAGGTGATGCGGCTAGGAAACAGCAGAGCCGGGACTCTGAGCCAGGTCTGTCGGCTCTGAAGACCATACTCTTAACAGCTATGCAAGCTCTCTGCTCCTCCCTGCTCCAGCGCCCACCTCAGAAAACAGGCTCCTCGGAGCCCACACCTCCTGTGTCAACCCTGCCCTCCTCCACACACACAAACACCCACACCTCACTCTAGGATCACCCCCCAGCCCCGCCAGAACATACCCATCCAAGACAGCCTCCCCACCAACACCCCACAATGGGTTCTCCACTCTTAGGCTACAGGAGGTAACCCCCAAGACCCCAAGGGTCCCCAGACCTCAGGGCTTCCCATCTCCTGGAAAGGCAGAGGAGGGGAGGTAGCCCAGACCCCAAGAGCTCCGGTCTTCCAGTTTCCAGACTCAGCCTTTGAAAGCTGCATCAGAAGACTGAAAGGAGGGCAGGATGAGAAAGAACAGAGAGGGGAGAGGCAGACCCTGCAATCCACTCCTAGATTTACTTCCTGGGCCACCCAGGGCACATCGTTCCCTACCCCAATCCCTCCCTGTAGCTGAGCACCCCAGAGCTTCTACCTCCCAGGAAGCGACTTCCACACACTTTGGTACCCACAAACTCCAGGCTCCATCACTACCTAGCTGGTTGTAACTTACCTCTCGTAGCCTCTCTTTGCTCATCTTATAAAACTGAACTACAAATAGCAGCTACCTCATCCAGTTGTGAGGATTCACTGCAGGTGAATCAATTTCTGGAAGAGCTCACTGGGTGCTCCTTCTCATTCTCACAGATGAATAAGCTGAGGCCAGGGAGAAGTGACTCACAGGATTAATTAGGATGTTTGAGAGCCCCTGACCCAGTGATTCGCTCTCCTACCCACTACACCACAGATGCCTAATTGCTGTCCCCTCCCCGGGGGCCCAAAGGGGGTACTCAGAACAGGATGAGCGGCCTTTGGAAAGACAGCAAAGCTGGCCTCCAGTGAGGAGACTCCAGGAGGCATCAGGGCCCATACCTGCCTCCCCCTGGGAACACAGGGCAGGGAGGGAGGCAGGTGGCAAAGCATGACAAGGAACAGTGTCCTAAGCACAGCTCAGGTGGAACAATGGGTTTCTGTGCCCCTCAACTTTGACAATGACCAGGCCAAGTGGAGTCCCTCCTTTATCCTGGTCCCCAAAACCCCTGCCCTCACACCTACCCCCCATACAGTCTGCTGCTGGATAGGAGAGACAAACAATGCTTGGAAAGGAACAACTAGTACGGTTGCTGCAGCGGCTGCCACAGTTTATCAAACCCCTGCTACATGCCAGGCCCTGTGCCAACCATGTTGTAGGATCATCTCATTTGACTTACTCCCCATACAAGCTCATCTCTAACAGGGCAACGGAAGGACTTCGCGATGTTAACTTACTTGCCTGTCAACACAGCTGGTGAGTGGTGGGCTAGAATTCAAATCTAGGTCCTTCTCTTTCCAATTCTCTAAGTTCTGTCTGTCTCTGCCAACCCCAGGGAGATACAAAGAAGACCGAGGTCACTTGAACCCAATCACTTCCCTTTAAGCTATGGATCTAGTAATGTTTTCATGCCTCAGAGACTTCCCGGTGCTGCTCCTTCTGCCTGGATCCCTCCGCACCTCCCCCGACCTGGCAAGCTAATGTGGTACAAGACTTAGTTTAAACATTGCCTCCCCCTGCCAGTTTCTCAGATCACCAAGCTCCCATGAGCATCATCTGCTCCTCCCGGGTCCTGACAGAGCAGTGTACTGCCTCTTCCACAGCACCAGTCACAATAAAGTGCAGTTATTTATTTACACGGCAGTCCTCCCACGTGGGCGGGGGCCCTGTCTTCCCTACTTTCCTAGGCTCTGCACAGAGCTGGAATGTGCTGAGCCAAGTTTCTACACAAGGAGGGTGGAGAGGCAGGGGGCTGGGCACTGAGAAGTGGAGGCCCCTCTTCTGGTCAGCCTTCTCCCTGAGGTCCTCAAGGATCTGAGAGACACCCGCTGTCCTGGGAGGGCAGGACCTGCCAGAACTGAACTGTGATCTACTCCCAGACTTGCTCAACCAGCACCTATCTTCCTCAGCAGCCTGAAGGAGCCACAGAGCAAAGTTCCCATCCCAACTCCTGGCTCCACTCATCTCCCGGTGGTAATTCAGCCCTACCCCAAACACAGGTCCCCACCCTGCCTTCCAGCAGCCCTCGGCTACACCAGAGAAGTAGCCCAGAGGAGGAGCCCATAGTCCCCCAGGCAGTCCATCTGCTCCCATCCCCATCTCACCCTGGCCTCATTCCCTCTTCTGAGACTCGTGGAATGCCGGGGCTCAAGGGAGTCACAGAGGTGCATGCCAGGGCCACTCTGCCTCCAGCCGGTATGCTCTCCGCTCCCCTCTTGATCCTCCTCCCATCTCTATCTGCCCCCTTTTCTAAATTTTGCACTTCACAGCGATCACTCACAGGTACTTGGAACCCCTCTGCATAGGGGCCAAGGGTCCCTCCCCTCCCCATCTTCTATCACAACCCCCAGACCCTACTGTGCTCCCAGCAGGAGGAATGGAGCCACAGCCCTCCCCACTGGAGAGGTGAATGGATTTACTCGCTTTCAGGACACACAAAATGCCCTAACACTGAGAACCTCAGGAACATGGATACCCACAGGTCAGATTCCACACAGATATTCAAAGACGAAGGAACACAGACACAACCAGACACATTCTTGGGGGAATTTACAAGAAATCAAGCAAGCACCAACCCCATGTCAGGCCCCATAGAGCATGATATACTGTATCTTTTTTAACTCTCTAAACAAACCAATGAGACAGGAAATATTTGTGCCCATTTTACAGACGAAGAATTGGGATACAGACAGGCTAAGTATCTTGCCCAAGGTCACACAGCCAGAAAATGAATGCACAGGGTTCTTGCCACCCCCTCACTTGCAGCAGCACAGCCAAGGCTGCTCTGTGTTGCTCTACGATTTTCATATCCACCTACCTCTTCTAGAGCTGGTAGAGGGTAGAGGGAGACAGGCTTCTCATCCTCCCTCACCATGGCTGTGTCCTGAATGAGGTCACTCTTCACAGGGCTTTACTTCAAAGCTCTGTTTAAGCCCTGCTTCCTCCAGGAAGCCTTCTCTGATTATACCAGTCTTCTGCCAACCAACGGCGCTTCTAACATTTCTCATCTGACCCCTGGTACTGTTGTCTGTCTCTCTGTGTGTCCTGCATTCCCAACCAGAATGACTGGAGTTGTGCCTCTCCAAAGCCCCTGCAGGGCTATGCCTACGTTCCACACACTGAAGGCACTTGGAATTGACTATGAGGGAAGTCTGTGACCTCCTTTTCTCTTCATCACACAAAGGATCCTGCCAAAAAAAAACCCAACACCCCCTCCACCTTCAGAGCCTATGTTTGAAGTCCCCGGTGTCCACGCATCAATTTCCACCCAAGTAATTGCCGCCCATCACACACACATCATCCCCTATATTTGAAACTCTTTACGGTTGTCATGGGAACTGCCTTTGCCTTCATTCACTGATCAGGCCTCACAATTAGCTTTGGCAGCGGAAGTCTGTGTCAACGACAATCACAGGGAGGAGGAGGCTGAGGAGGTGGAGCAGCAGCAGCAGCAACAGAAGAAGAAAAGATGCTTCTCTCCTTGGAGATGCGGCAGAACCAGACTGAACCAAGGCACCCAGCAACACTGGAGGGAAACAAGTCGGAGCCAGCCAACAACTCCATCTTCGTGCTTCCTACCAGCAAACAGCATGCATCCAGGGCCTCCCAGGCTGATAGGTGACACTCTGCCTATACCCTACATGCCCTTTGAGATGCTCGTGAAAAGGTCTTATAGTCTGTGAACCTTGTCAGGGTCTCCTCGCCCCAAATTCAACAGCCTTGAACCATCAAATGTTCCAAGGACCTAAGCAAATAACAACGGACTGTATGATGCTGTTGAGAAGGTGGGGCACGAATGCTGAGCTAGAAACCCGGGGACAGCCCCAGCAGAAGACTTCCAAGAGGAATTAACACAAAGCGTCTGACCTTCCACCTCTAGGATTCTCACGCGGTACCCAGCAATCTGTCCTCATCCTTCCACACCCCTGCCGCCAGCATCAAGTAGCATCTCTACACACTGCAAGATCAGGGAGGTGCTTCCCCCTCCTGGAAGTCCTTCTCCTCCTCATCCTTCACATGTCACTACACTCTCAAGACATGTTCCTTCCCTTCCTGGCTGGCCTCTATGGGCCCAAAGGTGACTAAGGCCAGTCTCTGCCCTCAAGGCATCCCTCCCTTTTAGCCCTATCAGAATGTACTGTAGTTATTTGTTTCCATGCTTGTCTCCCTCCCCAGACAGCAAGATCATTAAGGACACACAGAGTTAATGTGCCTACCTTTACCCACCGCTCAGACTCAGTATGGCACCCAGCAAAGAGCTAGTCCCAGGCGAGGTTTGCTGAATGGGGCCAGGAGGGCCACCTGCCTGTCTATAGGTCAAAGCAGATGATGTCCTGCCTCGGGAAACTGAAGCAGCACCAGAGAGAGGGGCTGGCTGCCTCCAGTACAAGGGACCTTGTAGATCCTGGGACCCAGGATACACCAGGAAGGTGTCTCTCTCTCCTTGTCCTCCTGGCACCAGCTCTTCTCCCACTGGCCCTCACAACCCCCTCTCCCCTCACTGCACCTCACCCCATCCTGCAGCATGAACATAGTACAGGCAGGACCCAGCCCTCACAGTAAGAGTCTGCCGTCCCTCTCTCTTCTAGGGCTTCAGGATCATTCCCAGCATCATTAAGGGAACTGGGGCACACAGAGCTTACCTTAAACGGCAGATCAATCAATAAAAAATAAGACAGGAAAGAGCCACCCATGTCCTCCCCAGAAGAAAAACTCAGCAGTGGAGCAGACTCTAGTCTAATATTTTGTTACTTCTTTTTGACCCAGCATCTCCGTACTCATTTCCTGAGACTTCCCCCACCCAGCAGTAATTAGGAGGGGCAGGAGGCATGGGGGACCCACAGTCTGGCCAATACCACCAAATAATTCCATCCAATGCAACTTCCCATCCATTCTGAGAATCTGGAATTGCTGCTCTAGCAGCAGTCAGAGATGCCTTATTTTGTCCACTAACACCCTCGTTAGGTGTGGTAGAGGTAGGACACAACAGAGCTAGAATTCGTACCAGTCACAGCCAGCAGTGCAGGAACAGCCATCAACAGTGCCCCAGCTGCATGCTGGTGCTACCTGAAGCAAGCAGGCAACAAACCCCCATACCTGTGGCCACCTGAAGGTCAGCCAGTTATCCCACAATGGGCTGCCGGCCTTCTTTTCGATCCCTCCCTCAGTGGTTAATAAAAACTTAGGTTATCAAGCCGGTCATGGTGGCTCATGCCTGTAATCCCAGCACTTTGGGAGGCCGAGGCAGGCAGATCACCTGAGGTCCAGGAGTTCAAGACCAGCCTGGCCAACATGGCGAAACCCTGTCTCTACTAAAAATACAAAAATTATTCAGGTGTGGTGGTGCATGCCTGTAATCCCAGCTACTCAGGAGGCTAAGGCACGAGAATCGCTCAAATCCAGGATTGGAGGTAGCAGTGAGCCAAGATCATGCCATTGCACTCCAACTTGGGGGACAGAGCAAGACTCTGTCTCAAAATAAAAAATAAAAAAAAATCTTAGGTTATCAGATTTCCTATGCAAATGACAGCAGACAAGGCCACCATGGGATTTGTCCACCCTGGGTGTGGCAACTGTCTGTGCAGTGCCTATGCCCTGCACAGACATAGGCAGAGGCCCACAGCAACTCTAAAGGGCCCTCCCAGAAATAGCCAGCCAGGTTGAGCAGGGCTAAAAAAGAAGATGAAGGGGTCTCTTTCCTTTCCAATACCTCCTCTCTTCCTGAGCATCGTCCCCTCATTCCAAAAAGGAGCTGTAACGGAGTGAAGGGGAATGGAGTGGGAAATTAGTGACAACTCCTGAGACCCTGGACCTGGTCTTCCGGCCCGCCCAGTCACCACACTGCCTTTTCCAGAACAAGAAAACCCACAACAGAGAGGACAACTCTGGCAGGACCCAGGAGATAAGGTTGGAGCTGGAAGTCAACATGAACACAGCTCAGTGGGGCTGCTGACCAAGACTGTAGGTGGGGAGGAGTCATTTTCCCCACTAGGGACCCACAGAGAGCCTCTGGGTGGCGCACACCACCTCACTCCTGTCCCTGTGCTCTCCCATAGCGACAAGTAAAGCATGGCCGTGCCTTCAAGGAGAAGCAGTGGACTGGGCAGTGGGTTAGAATCCAGGAAAGTTCTGTCCAGAGACCTCACCACTTACCTTGGGTGTGGGGGCTGGGATCTCAAACCCTGAGAGCTGCCAATTCAGACAGCTATTTCCCCAACCTAAAAAGAGCCCTTGGTGAGGGTTCAGGGACCACACAGGGTCACTCTAAGGCTGGCTCCCAGCACTGTCCTACAGAACCTCCTGTGATGGCAGAAATGCTATCTGCACCGTCCAATACATGAGCCACAAGCCACTAGCCACATGTGGCTAATAAGCATTTGAAAGTCGACCAGTATGACTGAGTCACTGAATTTAATCTTAACTAATTTAAATTTAAATAGCTACCTGTGGCCGATGGCAACTATATTAGAGGGCTCAGGTAGGGCACGCTTCTTAAATCTGGGGAGGTCCTGAATACTCTTGACAATCTGCTAAAAACCACGGATCCTCTCCCCTGAGAAAACACACCCCTGCACATTCACATAACATTTGGCTGAAATTTTCAAAACAGTTCACAGACCTTACCCCAACTGAGGTCTGAGATTAGGTCTAGGTCTAAGATTAAGTCTAAAAGTTGACCAAAATACTGCAGTCTAAGATAGATGCCTCTCTTGCATGTAGTCATCTAAAAAACATGCAAACAGGCCAGGCACAGTGGCTCACGCCTATAATCTCAGCACTTTGGGAGGCCAAGGTAGGCGGATCGCCTGAGGTCAGGAGTTCAAGATCAGACTGGCCAACATGGTAAAACCCCGTCTCTACTAAAAATACAAAAATTAGCCAGACGTGGTGGTGTATGCCTGCAGTCCCAGCTACCTGGGAGGCTGAGGCAGGAGAATCACTTGAACCATGAGGCAGAGGTTGCAGTGAGCTGAGATCACGCCACTGTACTCCAGCCTGGGCAACAGAGCAAGACTCCGTCAAAACAAACAGACAAAAAAAAAGAAACATGAAAATAGACCTGATAGGCCAGGACAGTGGCTCATGCCTGTAATCCCAGTGCTTTGGGAGGCTAAGGCGAGTGGATCACCTGAGGTCAGGAGTTCGAGACCAGCCTGGCCAACATGGTGAAACCCTGTCTCTACTAAAAATACAAAATAAGCCAGGCACGGTGACACGTGCCTGTAATCTCAGCTACCTAGGAGAATGAGGCAGGAAAATTGCTCGAACCTGGGAGGCAGAGGGTGAGTGAGCCGAGATCATACCACTGCACTCCAGCCTGGGGGACACAGCGAGACTCCGTATCAAAAAAAAAAAAAAAAAAGAAAGAAAGAAAGAAAGAAAGAAAAAAAATAGACCTGATAATATACTTCACATAATCTTAGCAAGAGACCACCAAATGTGAATCTCCCTCCCAACCTTCCCGCAACCCAGAGGACATCCTCATAACTTCCCTGTTAGGCAGCACCCAGACTCGTGCAGGCACTGGTCACACAGGACCTCTCAGGGCTAGTTCCTCAGTACTGGAATAGTCATAAATGCTAGACAATTCTTTTTTCTAATGTGGGTTCAGTCTGTCTAATAACTTTCACCCACTAATAAAACTCCTGCATACTCCCTCCAGTGAGGGAACTGACCTCTTCTTCATACAAGCTTTGCCTGAGCCTGTGTTCCTCTACTCATCAGCAGCTGAACAGCCCTGCTTCCTTCAACTGTCCTGCATGTGACCACTCTGACAGATTTCAAGACAGACTGTCAACATTCTTTTTTAGAGTTTCAGTTATTCCTACCTGCTAGGAAGCCAGAGTTCGTACATTTCTTTTTTAAAACAAGTACAGGCCTTTGTACTTGCCCTGATTAAATCCCATTGAGTCTTACTGGGACTCACTGTACCTGACTGCCCCAACCTCCTTAGCCCCTTGTTCTATCATGCAACGTAATAACTGCATCATCACTGCCACCCACCTACCCACCACACCCACAGATCTGACTCGCCTACTACTTCATCTTGTGAAAAGGGCACACATCGATTCTGCTCCATAAGCTTCCAGATTGTTCCATGAGACCTAAGATTCTATGGACACACCCCTTCCTCTGCACAACCACCACCATCTACTACTGGGTCATGGAGCTCCAACCTCCTGAATCAGGCTGCTGAGCAGCAAACATCTTCTGAGAGCCCTTTCCTGACTGTTGTCAGAACAAATTCACAAGTTCTCTGATAACTTTGTAGATCAGTTTTATTGATAGGTTTTACTGATAACTCACTAAACTACAAGGAAACAAATGCCAGAAGAACAAGCAGAAACATGCAGTAAATCTCAAGAGGTCCTTGTCTCCCCGGCTTAGAGGGTCAGGAAATGGGTTGGGTCATCCTCTTTACCCTGCTGGCACTTGGAATTCTTTGCCTGTTCATCACAGCTTATTTGTCACTGCCCCCGCCCTCCACCCCACTGGCTCCGTGTCCCATTCCCTTCTGGTCATAGAGATGTTGTAGACAGCTCCTCAAACTTTCATGGACATACAAATCACCTGGGGATCTGGTTAAAGTGCAGATTTCAATTCAGCAGGTCTGGGGTAGGGCTGGACATTCTGCAGTTCTATCAAACTTGCAGGTGATGCCAATGCTGCTGGTCCACTGAGCAGCAAGGTGGAAGTGAGGCTGTGGAACATACAGGTGTCTCAGGACTCAGGTGAGCAATTTGCCATAGAATAGTCCAGGTAGGTGCCCATCACCTCACAGTCTCTCACCTGCATCAGAGGGTTTCCATGCTAACTACACATTAGGTACACCTGGGAGCCCCAGACCAGTTTGGTCCACCCTGGATCAATTAAATCAGAATCCCTTGGGAGTGGGGCCCAGGCACCATGTTTTGCTACGTTTCCCAGGTGATCCCAATGTGGAACCCCTGATCTACATGGCTGACAGACTGAACAGGGCAGTCATATCAGTGGCCTCCCTCTCTAAGATGACTTTAAGTCAAAAACTGGACTTCTCATCTGTCCAAGCTGGCAGGAGATGCCATCATTTATTTACAGAAATCTAGATCTGTTCATTTGCCTCAGCTGCTTTGAAAAGAACCACAAGCACCCTCAAAGTTTATCACCTGCCTTTCTAAAGTTTCACAAAACACCTTTTAAACAATCTGTTCTAGAACTCTCAAAAACTGACATTAAGATTATATATTTACAATTTTCAAAATCTCTTTGAGAAATTGGACTTTTAGCCCATCTCTGGTTTTTTGGCCCTCTTTCAATCATCATAATTCCATAAAAATTGTAATTCACCATGAGTTCACCAGGCTGGGCAAAATAGCGACACTCTGTCTCTATTTAAAAAAACAACAAGGGCCGGGCACAGTGGCTCACGCCTGTAATCCCAGCACTTTCGGAGGCCAAGGTGGGCAGATCACCTGAGGTCAGGAGTTCAACACCAGCCTGGCGAACATGGTGAACCCCCTTCTCTACTAAAAAAACAAAAATTAGCCAGGCGTGATGGCACATGCCTGTAATCCCAGCTACTCGGGAGGCTGAGGCAGGAGAATCGCTTGAACCGGGGAGGTGGAAGTTGCAGTGAGCTAAGATCACGCCATTGCAGTCCAGCCTGGGTAACAGAGCGAGACTCCATCTCAAACAAAACAAAACAAAAAAAAAAAAGAAAAGAAAAAAAGATTGTGATTTTGCAATCACATCTGCAGGTGTTCAGTAGGAAGTGAATGACTCAGACTCAGGTAGGGTAGCTGGCTGGCTCTGTTTTCCCCAGGTTATATCTTCTGACACCACAGGGACCCAGTGTCTGTCCACTCTCTCCATCCCTAGAAAGTTGTAAGCCTACCTCTTCCCTCTCACTCTTGCTAGAACCATATACAAGACATTGTTATCAGCATTTTCCACCAGCCTTAGCACATTCTGGCCACTGGACTCCCTGATGCTCCTCTTAGGGGCTCAGACCACACTCCTGACTCTGCTTCAGTGCCATGTCCCCACTTTCCACATAATGTGCTTGGCCTTTTACCCCCTCACTCACTAGAGAACAGCCCATACAGCCACACAGATGGCTCAGTCCTTCCCCAGTCCCACCAACACCTTTCTCCTGAAGCTATCATTCATGACTGTTCTATCAGCGTTTCCTTCTTTTTTTTTTTTTTTTTTTTTTTGAGACAGAGTTTCACTCTTGTTGCCCAGGTTGGAGTGCAATGGCGCAATTTCAGCTCACTGCAACCTCTGCCTCCTGGGTTCAAGGGATTCTCCTGCCTCAGCCTAGGTACACCTGGGAGCCCCAGACCAGTTTGGTCCACCCTGGATCAATTAAATCAGAATCCCTTGGGAGTGGGGCCCAGGCACCATGTTTTGCTACATTTCCCAGGTGATCCCAATGTGGAACCCCTGATCTACATGGTTGACAGACTGAACAGGGCAGTCGTATCAGTGGCCTCCCTCTAAGATGACTTTAAGTCAAAAACTGGACTTCTCATCTGTCCAATCCTCAGGAGCTGGGATTACAGGCACCCACCACCACGCCTGGCTAATTTTGTATTTTTAGTAGAGATGGGGTTTCTCCATGTTGGTCAGGCTGGTCTCGAATTCCTGACCTCAGGTGATCTGCCTGCCTTGGTCTCCCAAAGTGCTGGGATTACAAGCGTGAGCCACCGTGCCCGGCCAGAGTTTGCTTTTTAACAAGCAATTCTATCCCTCCAGCTAATTTTCATTTAGAATCTGTGGCCGTGGAGTTAAAAACCGCTTGCATTTGAAAGACGATATTCTAAAGACTATCCATAAAAATTGTAATTCACCAGTTCAAGACCAGCCTGGGCAAAATAGCGAGACCCTGTCTCTATTTAAAAAAACACCAAGGGCCGGGCACGGTGACTCACGCCTGTAATCCCAGCACTTTGGGAGGCCAAGGTGGGTGGATCACCTGAGGTCAGGAGTTCAACACCAGCCTGGCCAACATGGTGAAACCCCATCTCTACTAAAAATACAAACACTCCTCCCTGTCCAACCTTCTTTCAGGCTTGACAAATGCTCAGATGCGGTCCCTTTCTCTAAAGATTCTCATCACTTCCACTTCTCTAGTCAATTCTCCCTTTGATGCTGAGACCAGCCTGAACACATTCCTCTCCACAGCCTCCATCTTCAGGAAGATAGAACTACCAGCAGGATGGGCAAGGATTCATCAGGTGTTCTGATATTGTTGAAAGATTCCCAATTCCAAGGTATCTTGACTCAAATCTGGCAGAGATCTGTTTCAAGATGTAAATCCAGTTGGCTGAGGGCTAGAAAGTATTCTCATCACATATATCTTTCCATTTCTCTCATTTTCACCCATAATATTCTCAGTCATGCTTCCAAACTTATGCATACATTTTTCTATGCATTTTTTTAAGGGTCATTCTCCTACTCTAATAGTTATTTACTTCCCTCATCCATGGTCAACTTTTCAGTCAGGCCTAGGACCATAGTGACTCCTTGGTGTCTAGCCTCCTCCCCCAGCACAGAGGCTGGCAAACTCCTCCCTCCCTCTGCCTGGCTCTACTGTTCTGCCCCACGGTTCTTCTATGAGCAAGTGAGGTGAATGCCTTGAGATAAACGCTTAATTTGTATTGCATCTGGAGTTGTATGCAGGCTGGAGTGCAGTGGCTCAAATATTGCCCACTGTGGGCTCAGGCGATTCTCCCACCTCAGTCTTTCCAGGAGCTAGGACTACAGGCACATGCCACCATGCCTGGCTAATTTTTTTTTTTTTTTAGCAATGGGGTCTTGCTATGTTGCCCAGCCTGGTCTCAAGTGATCATCCTGCCTCAGCCTCCCAAAGCTCTGGGATTACAGGAGTAAGCCACCATACCTAGCCCTTGTATTGCATCTTTACAGCTCGAAGACTAATGCACAGTTGTTTATGCATAAAGATTCATCATTTTCTAGATGTTTAGGAATGTTTTGTCATCATGCATTGATTACCTACTATGTGCCAGACATTATGCATATTTTATCTCATTTAATCCTCATGACAACCCTACAAAGCAGGGTTACTCCCATCTTACAATTGAGAAAATGGACACAGAAGGGATGGAGCACTGGTTGCCCAAGAGAGTAAGGGCACAGCACTTACTCTGGGTTCTCAGCCCTATCCACTGTGCTTCCTTACTCACCAAACCCTACTTTTCTACTCAGTCATCTTCATTGTACTACCAAGCCACCACTCAGGTAAAAAGAATATGAAATCAAACAACCTCCTCTAAAGTCTTCCTGGAACTAGGAAGGAAGACCACAGCTACTACCAACCTGCCCCAACCTCACATTAGGACCCAGAGAAGTAGTCACCGCCTCCTAGGGCAGGAAGGCCCATCCCTGGGGGACCTGTCTCTAGCCCTAAAATGCTGAACTTCTTTTCTGAGGGATTCCCCTGCACCCTTCTCCCCACCGACAAAGCCCAGAGAAAAAGAGTGAGGAGCAGGGAAAGAAGATGGAAAACCCAAGATAATCTCCTCCTTACAGGATGATATAAAGTAACTGCAAGCAGACAATTCAAAGGAAGCCCCAAAGTCAGCTACGAGAGATGGAGACAGAAGGGAAGTAAGGAAGAGTGCCCAGAGGAGCACAGCACTCTCACAGAGAGGAGGAAGTACCACACAGCAGGAATGCAGGTAAATGGTCTGATGTCCGAGAGGATCCTAGGATACTGCGTCCCGCCCCACCTGAACAGTCACAGCCAAAACAGCCTCCCCAATCCCGGGACATGTTCCCTCTGCCACACGGCTGCTAAGATCTAATGGTTATGGTCCCAGCAGTCCCCAGCATCTGCTAAATGCTGGGCTGGTCTTGGGGTCTCATCCACCCTGGCAGTCTCTCAGGAACATCTCAGCTTTTCAATTAATTATGCCACAGATATGCCCGTTAAATGTGGTATACCCTAGACAGTGACTCTCTGGCATTCAGCCTTCATGGACCAAAAAAAAAAAAAAACAAAAAAAACTTTTTTTTTTTTCAGAGAGAGGCACTGGTTACCATTTTGTATTTTACCAAGCTAAGACTTAAAAAAAAAAAAAAAGGTCTAATTTCTATTACACCTTCACTTCATAAAGCACATTTTAAGAAAGCGTATTTTAAACATCGAGAAGTAGAAAGGACCTATCCTTAGAAAAAAAGTACTGCTCTTTGAGTCACAGAAAGTTAGCTTTACGAAAAAACTCATTCCACTGTCCCCTTTTGTTTCTCTAGAAACAGAGAACTCCACAGATCAGCATGTAGACCCTCTGTCCTCGGACACCCAAGGCTGTCCAGCCTCACCTTACCTGACCCTGGGGCTTAGAGAGGCAGTTGGCCATGGCAAGGTCAACAGGGATGCAGACATCTCTCAGCAGGGGTGTCTCTAAGCCTCAGCCACCCCAGATCCATGATATCTTAACCAAGACCACCCGGCAGCCTGGGCCGACAGCTTACACACAGGATGACAAGGTCCTGGCCTCACTCCCAGCCCCTTTCACTCAGGTATGTTCTGTTGTTGCCAAAAGCAGCACTTCAACTTAGTTCACAAGGGCCACTGCTTCCAAGAACATCTAGCCCAGGAAGCTCAGCATCCTCATTCCTCCCGTTTAATTATGGGAGGAACCGAGTAAGATAATGGGGGCTGGGGAAGAAAAGGAATGCTAGAAGGAAAGGCGCAAAGGAATCAAGCTTTGCAAAGTAGACTCAGCAGCTCCTCCCTACACCAAAGCACCAGCTCTTACATCCAGAAGTAAAGCCTCCCCCGCTTCATAACACCCTGCTTTCAGTAGCGACCCATGGGGCACTGGGCCAGCAGGACGATAACTACCCCCAACACCAGCAACAGAGAAGTCTCCCAGGCTGGGGCTGGGGGCTGCATATGTGATCCAGATGTCTGCTTTAACCAGAAACAAGGGAAACAGGGCCCCGAGTCTGCAGTCCCTGGGTCAGGACATACAGCTTCCACAAGGCACGGACAAGACAAGGTGAGAAGGGGCAGAAATATCCAGCAACCCCATGTCCCTGTCCTCAACACTTGAATCTTTCTTCCTAGCCACGGGACCAGCCCCACCAGCTCGCTGTGAGGCTCTGCACTCAGCGGTCAGGGAAACCCAGAGCACGGGCTGCCAGCCCAACGCCAGCCACAGGGACCCGAGTCCTCAGAAGCAAGCAGCTCCCAGCCCAGCTGGAAGAGGCTTTGAAAGCCATCAAGTACAACTCTTCCACTTCCCCCAAGGAAAAGACAGGCCCAGAGAGGGGGCCCGAGTTGTCTGGGCCCTTGGACAAATGAATGGCAGAGCCAGGGGGAGCTCGAAGACAGCGCAGGCCTCCGTCTCTGTCCAGCGCCAGTTCTACTGCCTGGAGCGACCTCAGCGGCTACACCGCTCCTCCTAAGCTGCTCAACTTCGCTCAGCCCTACTTCTGCCAACTCTCTGCTGTCGCGGCTGTCACCAACCTCAAGCCGGCAGTCCGCCACTATAATGGGAGGGAAAGACGGCCAATGCAAGGTCATGGTCTCTCCCATTCCTTCCCACCCTGCCTGCTCTCACCCCAAATCTCCTTCCCTCCTCCACCCTACTACCCCAAATAAAGGGAGTACACCTCCCTGGGGTTGACAGTGTCTCAAAAGCATGTCATCCATTCATGCAATTAGTATCTGAGTGCCTACTACCTGCCAAGGAATTGTGCCAGGTCCCGAGAACACAGAAATAAAGTTTTTGACCGCAAGAAGAACTAAGATAGGGGAACCCAAAACATCAGTTCGTCACTAGATTCCCCAACAGTTTCAACTGGCTCTCTGGCCATCTGAGAAAAACGATGAAAGAAACATCCCACTCCATCAGGGCATCATAAAACCACCCTGTCAATCCAAAACTTTGTCTCCAAATCCATCAGCCTCCATCTCTTATCTTACACCCTCACTGACCAAGTCATCCAAGCATTAGCATGAGCTTGAAATACAACATCTGAGGCTTCAAGCAGCAGGACAAGAAACTTCTAGAGGTAAAGGTAGACATCACAGTCCCGCCTCAAATGCAAACATCAGAGATGAGGGTGCTAGCTCAGATCCCCCTTCTACCCAGTTACTCATACAAATTGTCAGCCCTGCAAAGGAGTCCAAACATGTCAGTTACACTCCTACTTAAAGTTGGACCAAGAGGATCAGAAATGAGAGAATGGACTCAACTGGACGAGCCTTGCTTGAACAAGACCCCCGTGATCACCGTGCCCTCGAGGAAGGAACAGGGTAGCCCAGCAAGGGCCGGCTTACCTCCTTGAGAAGCCCTACTTTTTTCTTCAGCACCTCACATTTTCGCAGTTTGCAGATCTGGTGCGTGCGGCGGTTGGTACAGCTAGTGCAAGCGCCACAGTTTTCCAGCCGCCGGCAGGGCTCACAAGTACCACACCGTTTCCGTTTCTTTCGACCATCTCCACCCCCTCGGAGTTGGGACTCACTCCCAGCCATGGAGAGCCCAGACCCCGGGAAGCTCCCTACCATCACCTGGCGCTGAGGGAAGTCATAAAGGCCTGGCAGGTCCGGCTGGACGGCCAGGGGCACCTGAAACTGGCTCATGATGCTGCCAGAGGTGGGGTCATAGGTGCTGGGGCAGAACCACAGTCGTTTCCTGCCACCTCCAAAGGCCACCAACAGGTCCTTCTCGCCTAGAACAGTCAAGAGTCTACAAGGGTGAAGGCAAGTGGCTTCAGTCTCGTGGATGGATGCCTCTTCTCAACCCCTCTTCACCTCCTCTGCAGCAGTCTGATCGGACTCCGTAGGGGGCCACTCTCCCACCTGCTGGGGCCCAGGATCTGGGGGAGGACACCAGCAGCAGCCCTCAGAAAAGGGATCATCTTGGCCCGGTGGGTTCTTCACCCTCACCCACCCTGGACCCAGGCATGAGTTGAGCAGGTAGGGGTGTGGTGGGGGCAGAGCTGAGTGAGCAGTTTCTCCTGGTATTTTTCCTCCAGGGTCTGGACGCTGGAGAAGGCAGTGCTGCCTGAAAAAGACAGAAAGGGGAAGCGCATCACTCGGGGCTCAGGGACAACTTTCACGTGTCACTTCTTCCTGTTTCTGGGAAGAGAAAATGGGGGAAGAGATGGGGCTTGCTCAATTGAGGTCCTGCCCAGAACCTCAGGCAGGACGCACCCAGCACCCGCTCCCTGTCTGAGGGAGGCGGCCTCGGGCCTGAGGGCTGCTGGGGGCCCTGGATTCAAGGGGGTGATCAAGGTGAGATTTCTAAGAAAGTTGCCCTCTTCCCCACCCCCACGGGCTGGTGAGAGTTTCACCAAAATTCCCCCACACGCCCTGGCTGGAGGCCGCCGGGCCCTCCCTAGGGAGCTGAGCTTTCAAAATAAAGTTTGCTGAGAGCCTCGCTCGGCGGGACTGCCCCGGCGCCCCCGGCACGGAAGCCGCCTGGAGGTGGGGGCGCGCCCTGGGCAGCCCGCGCCCGCCGCGCCCGCCGCCGGAGCGCAGCCCGCCAGCCCGACTGGGGAGGGCGGCCCGCGCCGCCGAGGGGCGCGGGGAGGGGGGCGCGCTCGAGCCGCGGGCCGGGCCGCGCGCGCGCCGCCGCTCGGGCTCCTTTGTTCTGGGGCCTCCGCCACTCCGCTCCGGCGGCTTCGCAGCCCCCGCCCCCGCCCCGCCACCCCCGCCCGGCTCAGCCGCACAGCGCCCCGCAGCACCCCAGTCCGGCCCCCCGCACCGGAGGAGCGGCCCCCCGCCGGATCCGGGCCGTCCCCTCCCCCTCCCCCGGGCCGGGCCCCCCGCGCCTCCCGCCGCCCCTCCCCCACTCCGGAGCCGGAAAGGCACCGACTGCACCGACCTGCCCGCCGCCTCCGGGGCGGAGCGCACAAAGGGGCAAAGTTTCCCGGCCCGCGCCGCCGCCGCCACCACCGTCGCGGCCGCCGCCGCCGCCGCCTGGGGCTCCCGCCTCCCGGAGCGCCCGGCCCGACCGAGCTCAGCGCGCGGAGCCCCCCGCCCGGGCCGAGGAGGGGACGGCGCAGGAGGAAGGAAGAGGCAGCGGCGGCCGCGGCGGCAGCAGCAGCAGCAATGAAGGCGTCCGCGGGACTCCCCGCCCCCCGCGCACCGCGGCACGTGCTCGCCCGGGGACTCCCCCGCCCGGGAGGGCGCACACGTGCGGCCCCGCCGAGCCCCGCCGGCCCGGCCGGGCCCCGGGCCGGGCGAGAGGGGGGTGGTTCCCGCGGAGGGGAGGGGTCGGGTGGGCGGCCTGCGAGCGGCTTGGGGCAGGCTCCGGCCCGGCCGCCGCTTCTCTGCACCTGCAGTGGCTCCCACCCACGCGGTCGGCCCTCCCGGGAGGCGGCCGCCCCCTTCGGGTTGGCCACCCTCGCCCTCCGGCGGGGCTGCAGCCGGGGCCGGCGAGGCGGGGTGGGGCACGCGGACCTTCCAGCCTAGGCCCTCGGCCGAGCCTCGCTCGGTGTCCCCACTTCCTGCCACTCCCTGCGGGCCAGATCTGTCCGGGACAGCCCCGGCGCCCCCGGGAGGCCTGAGCGCCGGGCCCGACTGACCCCCCTGTCCCAGCTGCCGCTGGCTCATTCCGAGGCAGGACAATGGGGGACATCGCGCGTTTGCGTACCGAGTCAGCCTGGCCGGCAAGAAGGGGTTGCTCGGGGGCAGAGGCTAAGGGCACCCTCGCAGGGGTCACGGCCGAATGCCCTGTCCAGGTGGACCCCACGGCCCTGCCATCACCAGCCTCCCCCGCGCCGCGCTCGATTCTTTCGCGTCGAAAACAAAGACTAATCCGATACCCCCGCCCTGCCTCCCAGAGGAGGGGGAACGGGCGCGTCGCGGAGGGTAACTGAGGAGGACAGCGTTCAGGAGGGCCTCGGACAGCCTCGAGGGGGCCGTGGGGCGACTAAGCCCTAAAACCCGGCGCAGACACTTTGAAGAGTCACCCTGGGCTACGTTCCAGGCAGGGGGTAAGGGGCAGGGCTCAGGAATATTTCCAAGTTGCCAAACTGCCCGTTCTCTCTGCTGCTTTTTTCCCTCACCTGTTGTGCAGGCCAAGTTGAAATTCCAGGTTAGATTAATTCAGCCCCACCCATCTGGCCTGACTGCCAGGCTGGTGCCTGCAACTGCCTTCCACCTACCTCGGTTGCAGGGGAGCAGGGTGGGTCTCTGACATACACGCGCACACACACACTCGGGCGAGTCCTGGCAGAAACAGCCACAGGACGGACTGGCCTGACCAGTTTGGGCGGTGCTCACGGAGCCAGGTACCTGGCAGGCGTCGCCGCCCGGCTGCAGCTAACAGCTTAGCCAGAACTGGAAAAAGAGCATTCGGCCGGCTATTTAGAAAGAAAGAAAAAAAAGTAACTGATCTGAAGTAGCGCTGTCCAGAAAGCCCTAGGCGGTAAAGCAGCCCGGGTTCTATCTGGAACTTCCCTCTGATTTTGACAGCCTGCTCCAGGGTCCAGGTTGTCAGCGAGGGAGTGGGTGGGGGTGAACATGGCTGCAATATCCACTTCCTACCATGGCCTTTGGGAGGACTGAAGAGTTTCTGTTCAGGGTAGTAAGACTAGAACCGAGACGAAAAACCAAGAGAGTGCAATTTTCAAACAGGGGAACAGGTTGCAGACTCGTAATTGTTTTTAATGTAATATATTTTTAATAAGCAACTTTATTAATAAAAAATGTGTATAAAGAAGACGTGGAGACTACAGATACTAGAGGGGAAAAATCACCAAATTACAACCATATTTAACCATTTGCTATATTTCCTTGTAGCCTTTCCTATTTGTGGATTTACTCACACTGATTATACAATTTGCCATCCTCTTTTAACTTAACATTGTACCATAGGCATTTCCCTGTTTGGTATACAGTTTTCAGAAAGTGTGACAGTGAGGTGAAGAAGATGGCTCAGGAGCCAGAGAACTCTGGCTTCCAAACCTGAATCTGCCACTTGGTAACAGTGTGACCTTGGACTAGGTACTCCATCTTCAAGGGAATCCAAGTAAAAGACTTAATATAGGGCTCAATGAATGACAACAACTAATATTGTTTAATCCATATGACAACCTTGTGAGGTAGGTACTATCATCAAACCCATTTTATGGATAAGAAAACAGATTAAATAACTTGCCCAGGATCACTCAGCTAGTAAGTTGTGGACTTTCAGAGGAGCCCAGCAGCCATCCTCTTGTATTCTGTCTGGGTAAATGGCACCAGCAAGTTACTGTGTCATTTACTCTTTGCCAGCAATCTATGAGAGGGTCATTTCATAAAGCCCTCTCGTTTAGGTAACTGGGTGAATGCTGGTGCCATTCACTGTGACAAAATGCAGAAGGAAGGATGCCTGGGGATGGAGACATTCGTGTGAAAGTGAGTGTGCAACTGAGGGGGTGAGGCCTGGGTTTGAGATTTGGGCCCCATCAGTGAGCAGACAGCGAGGCCTCAGTTGTGGAGGAGCTCATCCAGGGTGGATATGGAGTGTGAGAGGGAAAGGCTGCCAGGACAGAGCCCCAGGGAATACCAGCCCATGAGGGACAGGAGCTGAGAAGGCGCCGCCAGAGAGGTTGGAGGGAACCCAGCCAGGCTAGAGAGCTGCCTGTCATATCTTCCCGGCCTCTGGAACCTTACACTTCGGCAGTCCTGTTGCTCATTCCTTCTGCCTGGGGAAAAACCCTTCCCACCCCACCCCTTCTCAGCTACCCCTTGTACCTGCCAAATTCCCACTCATCCTGCAAGTCATAAGTGCCAGTTCCATGAAACCTCCAGCTGCTCAGATGATTCCAGAGCCCCACCCACTCTCCCTCCACAGAAGTTTGACTCTCCCTGCCTAGGAACAGTTATCTCATCGGCGCTGGGCACTGGAATGGTTTGCATGTTTCTTTCCCAGTTACTACAAACTCCTGGAAGGGTAGCACGCTGTCTTTCACCTCATAACCCTAGACCTAGCAACCAACCACTGTGTTGAATGAAGAGACGAGGTGAGTAGACCCTAATGAATGACAGACCCCAGTAACACTGAAGACCCATAGGCTTCTTTCCTGCTTTCTTTACGACTTGCACAAACTGGTCAGGGGCGCCCAAGATAAAACAGCCTAAACTCCTCAGGTCCTGCCTTCTGGTTCTCCAGCCTCCTGGGCTGCTGCGGCTATTCCCATTCACATTGCGCTCAGGGCAGGAGAGCAGCGGGGGTGGGCGTAGGGATAGGGCGAGCCCTTCCTGGGGCTGCATTAGCCTAGACGCAGTGGTTCCGCCAAGAGAGCCCCGGCACCAGCAGCATCACCATCTCCTGGGAACTGGCTAGAAATGCAAGCTCTCGGCCCCATCCTAACCCCACTGAATCAGAAACCCTGGGGGCGGGCCCAGCAATCTGTTTTAATTAGTCCGTCAGGTGAAGTCAAGTTAGAGCAGCACTGGACTACAGCAAGCGGGGGAGAAGGAAGTTCAGCACCCAGGTGGAGACTGCGATTAGGCCCCCAAGGCGCTTAGAGCAGACAGAGGGAGAGAGGCTCCTTTTAGGAGCGGGTTTGGCGGGCGCCACCCCAAGCGGCCAAGGGCGGAGCCTCTTTTAGGCGACTGCTCCCGCGAGGTCAGAGCCGGGCTGTGCCGCTGCCCCCGGGACTAGAAAGGGAAATCTCCTTGCTAGAGGAGGAAGCCCTAAGAACTCAAGGGAGATAGGGGTGGCAGGGGCATTTCCCTGGATGCCTGGAGCATGGAGGGTGCGAAATAAGGAGGCTTTCCTACCCCATTGATGAGCTGAAGTTGATTCCGCACGGGGGAGGAAAGGGACAGGAAGCATAATTGGATGTGCAAGCCTGTGGTTCTTCAGGAAGTTAACACGTGGAACTAACACTGTTGGATGCTGCTGAACTCTCAGGTGATTGATGTGACTAACCTCCTCAGGTACTTGACCTCTCTCCTCTTCAGCTAATGAGTAATTTGTCCTTATTTAAGAATGAGATTTGCGTATGGGGACCTTTTGCAGAAATGTAAATACATCCCGATATCCATACCTGGGCTTGGTTTTAAAGACTGAAGGTATTGGGAGGTTTATTTGATTTTGGATGTATTACTTCTTTGGTCATGTATTGGCTAAAAATATTATCAACTAATATTTGCATAGATCTTTCCCTTTTCAAAGCACTTCCACACACATTATCCTTCTGTCTGCACAGAGTGGCAAATACAACAAATGTGCAAATGTTAACTTTCCTTATCTATGACATAGTTTTTATTATCATCACCATTTTACAGATAAGAGAACTGGCGCTCAGTGAGGTAATTTGTCCAAGGTCATTCACTACTACATGTCAGAATCCAGGACCTACAATCCAGGACCTCTGAAATTAGCCCACGAATGCTAGAGCTGATACCAGGCAGAAGCTGGCATTTTGCTCTCAGGGAAAGGGAGGTTCATTAGTGGGTTGCTTGTGGACCTGCATTGGTGAGTGTGACACGTGTAGGATATCTATGCTATGCGTTTTTGGGTTTTTTGTTTTGTTTTGGTTTTGGGTTTTGGTTTTTTTTTTTTCTTTGAGATGGAGTCTCACTCTTGTCACCCAGGCTGAAGTGCAGTGGCGCGATCTGGGCTCACTGTAACCTCTGCTGCCCAGGTTCAAATGATTCTCCTGCCTCAGACTCTCGAGTAGCTGGGATTACAGGCACCTGCCACCGCGCCCAGCTAATTTTTGTAGTTTTAGTAGAGACTGGTCTTGAACTCCTGACCTCATGATCCACCCACCTCGACCTCCCAAACTGCTGGGATTACATGAGTGAGCCACCGCGCCCGGCTACTACGTTTTTCAATAGCCCCGCAAATGTCCTCATGTTTTATAACTAGTTTTGTGACTGCATTTTGAATTTTTTGAATCAAATAGGCTTCATTACTTGCAAGGAGAATGCAAGGGTACCCATCATAATGGAAGGAATACCCAACAGGGATAAAGGCCTTGGTGCCCCTGAGCCTTGGTTGACAGGGTGTATCAGTCAGGATCAGTTAGATTGTGCTGGAGTAATAGACAATCCCCAAATCACAGTGGCTTTACATAACAAAAGTGTATTTCTCAATCACAAAACGTGTCCATTATGAGTCATTAGGAGCTCTGTTTCCCGTAATCACTCGGGCATCCAGGCTGCTGCAACTGGACATGCATCTCCTCAACCCTGAAGGCAGGAAACAAGAATGGGGCAAATCTAGCACTGGCTCTTAAAGCTTTTCCCTGGAAGTGACACACATCACTCCTGCTGTCATCTCACTGGCCAAAGAAAGTTACAAGGGGGCAGGGAAGTGCAATAAGTACAATCCTGCTATGTGCAGGAAGGATAAGCAGAAGTATTTGGTTAACAGCACTAACACACAGGGAGTGTGTGTGAGTGTGTGAATGTATATGTGTATATTTGAGGTATGTGCAATTACACATACTGCCCATTTCCAGAGCATTCCTCCCTCCTGGCGACACATATTAGAGATTCCTAGTGTAAAGGACTGTCTTACCTTGCACTAGAGCAGGTTCAGAGATTTAAACTAAAGCGAAAAAAAATAAGAGTTGAAGGAAACATAGTAGAAGAGGTGAGTGGCTGTGGGACAAACTCAGTAGAAATTCGTTTGTAAATAGAGAAAGAAATCCAGGAAAGGAAGGTACTCAGGGTGTATGACACAAGGAGCCTGCCTACTAAAGGAAACTTCTAAAACAGCGTAGCTTTAGCAGAGGCGTTTCCTGCCGCCTTGCCATTAACTCCCACTCATCCTTCCTGGTTAAACTCAGGTGACGCTTCAGGAAGCCTTTGATGATCTCTCAAGATTGGGTAAGGGGCCCACCAATCAGATCACAGGTATGCCTGGGTCTGTCCCATCCCCTCAGCTGTGGACAGGACCACATCTTACTCAGTGCCAGCTGCTATATAGAGAATACATTAGAGGAGGGTGTCAGAATAGAGGCAGAGAGAGCAGCTAGAAGGCTGTTGCAGAAACCTAAGTGAGAAAACAAAAATGATGGTCTCCATTAGGGTAGTGGTGGTGGGGAGGGAGAGAGGTATCAAGAAAGATTTACGAAGTCAAACCCACAGGACGAGGGCATAGGAAGGGAGGTTTCTGGAAGAACAACAGGGTAGTTGGTAGTGCCAGGGGGCCCAGAGAAGGTGGAAGTTGATCAATGAGGTCAGCAAGAACACATCCCATTTGAGGTCCATTTTGACAGCGCCCACAGAGAGACCCAGGAGCAGCCCCTGTCACAGCCTGAGATTCCGGGGGGGGGGAGGGGGGCGGTGGAAACCAGGTCCTATGAGCTGCCTCTTGGTTAAACTCTAACATCGAATCAAGGTTAGTATTTTCTTGTTTAAAAAAATATCAAGCCGGGCCTGGTGGCTCACGCCTGTAATCCCAGCACTTTGAGAGGCCAAGGCAGTCGAATCACTTGAGCTCAGGAGTTCAAAACCAGCTTGGGCAATATAGTGAGACCTCAACTTTACAAAAAAATTAGCCAGGTGCAGTGGTGCACACTTTGAGGTGAGAGGATCACTTGAGCCCGGGAGGTTGAGGCTTCAGTGAGCCAAAATTGTGCCATTGCACTCCAGCCTGGGCAATGGAGTGAGACCCTGTCTCAAAAAAAAAAAAAAAAAAAAAAGTATGTGTGTTGGGGGAGCGGGAAACACAGAAAATACATATAGTATAAAAGTGGTGAAATTCCTGAACTACACATCATAGGAATCCATTCAGAACAGTGCTTTATAGAAAGAGCAGAGCATCCCTGAAAGATTGGTTCAACTTCAATTGGCTTGTCCCCTGATCTTGTTTCCATGTGTTGTTTCTGTCCCATCTCCTGCTAAGTAGGAGCCTGCTTGTCCCATTTGAGACTTGAAGATGATATCAACCCCTTTCACCTTCGAGGCTTCCCTTCCTCATGGCCTTTTGTGGGTGAGGATTGAGTCCCATTTGTAGGTACTTGACAGTGCTGGGGCACCCATCCTCAGAGACCCTGTTCTTCCCACTTGGATGTAGTGCTCCCCTATCCCCCACGATATCTTCCCCCTTCCCCATGCACTGAGATGCTCCCGCTGGTTCCTCGAGTTCCATTTTCAGCTCCTGTGTGTACCAGTTTTTGGCTGCAGGTGAGGTAACTCCCCCCTCCTGGCCTCCTTCCAATCTCTAAAGATGGGACTCATGATACCTCCTAAGCAGACTCCTTTGCAGAGGATCGAATGAAGCCAACCTATGCCAAAGTCCCGCCTCAGACCTTGGTGGACAGTAGGCACTCAAACTGTCCTATACTTTCATTTCCATTGAGTCCCCTGATTCTTCCTCCCACTTATCAGAGAAATGGTCTTACCCTAGTCTAGCCATAGGTAACCATGACAACCAGAGTTAAACTATATACAATAATCAATGCAGACATTATGTATTACAGAGGGTCATCAGATATAATGGCATTCAGGTGCCCAGGATAAGATTTGATATTAAGTAGGAGCCCCTAGCCAGCCTCCCCAGGTGGAGACAGTTTGCCAAGTGCCTCCCTTGTTCTCTCTTTCCCTGCATATTCAATCAACACTAGGTCCTACCAGCTCCAGACTAAACTGTCCTGAACTGGTGCCCTTTCTCAGGCTTCCTGCTCTCCCCTTTTCAGCCTGCCTCCCTTCCCCTCACTCTGTAGTTTCCCCTCACTCTGTAGTCTCCCCTCTCACAGACACAGATTTCGTTGCCGTTGATTCAGACCTCCTGGGCGTGGGCAGGCAGGGTCCTGGAATTGAGATGACGAAGTGTCTGGGCCATCCTGTAGCCAGTCAGGAATATAAGTTTCAAACTCCTGCTACTCAAAGTGTGGTTGGTCTGTGGGCTTGCAGCAGCGGTACCACTGAGAGTTTCTGGAAGTGCACTATCTCAGCAGGCCTCAGAGCTACTGAATCAGACTTTTTTTGTTTTTTGTTTTTTTCCTCAAGAGACAGGGTCTTACTCTGTTGCCCAGGCTGGAATGCAGTGGCCTGATCATAGTTCACTGCAGGCTTCAACTCCTGGGCTCAACTGATCCTCCTGCCTCAGCCTCCTCAGTAGCTAGGGCTACAACTGTGTGCTACCCACCCTGGACTAATTTTTAATTTTTTTGTCTCACTATGTTGCCCAGACCAGTCTCAAACTCCTGGCCTCAAACCATCCTCCCACATCAGCCTCCCCAACTGTTGGGATTATAGGCATGAGCCACTGCACCTGGCCAGAATCTGCATTTTGACAAGACTTTCAGGTGATTCCTAGGCACCCTAATAATTAAGAAGCTCTGCTTTAAAATCCCTCAGAAGGTAGAGTTAGTTAGGATAGAGATAAAAAGGACACAGGCATCCCTCGTAGAGCTGGGAGAGGCCTTCTTGGAAATGCCTGCACTAATAGATCGAGTCATATGGTGTTAACACCAGCATCATTCTGGGGAGATACGCTGTATTCTCAACATTGTACTATTTATCTGCTAAACCAGGGAGGGATGTGATTAGCAGATGTCTCGGTCTTCTTGCCATTCTTTAGGACATCGACATGACACCCAGCCATCTCAAACCATGTTAAAATTGAATTTTAACATCCAGCCTCTAGAAAACAATCTATTTATAGTGAATCAAAAATCTGTAAGATAGGCCAGGCGCGGTGGCTCACACCTGTAATCCCAGCACTTTGGGATGCCGAGGCGGGCAGATCGCTTGAGGTCAGAAGGTTGAGACCATCCTGGCCAACATGATGAAACCCTGTCTCTACTAAAAATGCCAAAAATTAGCTGGGCATGGTGGTACGTGCCTGTAGTCCCAGCTACTCGGGAGACTGAGGCACAAGAATCGCTTGAACCCGGGAGGCAGAAGTTGCAATGAGCCCAGATAACACCAGTGTACTCTAGCCTGGGCGACAGAACAAGACTCTGTCTCAAAAAAAACAAAACAACAACAACAAAAAAAAAAACCTGTAAGATAGAAAATAGGGTGTTAAAAGCTGAAAGAGGCCAAAGGGGAACTGACAGATTGGCCACTCGGACAGGAGCATGCAGCGGACCAAAGGCATGTGAGCGAGGTGATGGTGGCCACTCAGATCCATAGACCCATGAGCAGCTTCATGGCTGCTAGAAAAAAAGAGGAAGAAGGACAATGAAGTGCAGGAAGCCTGGAAGCAACCCATGAAGTCTGGGTGAAGAGCTTAGGTTTATAAGCACATGGCTGATCTGTGTAGAAAAGGTAAATGCAGTGTTTTTGTTGTTGTTGTTGTTTTGTTTTTGTTTTTTAATGTCTCAGGGGCACAAGGGAGAGGCTGCCCCTTGGCCATGAGAACCCTCTTTGAAGGTAAACAGGTAAATTCCTTTATGCAGCATGTTGCCAGGTCTGCTGCTTCCTGTGGGCACTCCTGGGGCAAGGGCACCAACATTAAGACTGAGAGAAAAACCACAGGATTAGGGTTGTCAGATTTAGCAAATGGAAACACAGGACTTCCAGTTGAATTTGAGTGTCAGATAAACAACAAATAATTTTTTAGTATACATATGTCCCAAATATTACATGCCAGAGTAACCCTCCTCAAGAGCAGAGCCTGTCCCCGAAGCACTTGACCAGGAGAAACTTGAGCTGAAGGAAAGTTTCTCCCTAGGGCTGAGAGAGCCCAGTGGTACTATCCTAAGACCCACCCTATTTTTCAAAACAGGATGGAAGTGGGCTTTGTTAGTTTTGGGGTGGGGCAGTCTTTTGTGAGAGGCTATGCCATATTGTTTGCTTTGTAAAATGTTTTGCCCTGCAAAATGTTTTTTACGTTATGCTGTATTGGGCAAGGTAGTTCAAGGAACATACACCATAAAAGCAGTGTAGTTTTGATAATTCCAAGTCAGATTCCTGTAGGAGATGGACAGTTTCTTTTTTCTTTTTCTTTATTTTTTTTGAGACGGAGTCTCGCTCTGTTGCCCAGGCTGGAGGGCAGTGGCGCAGTCTCGGCTCACTGCAAGCTCCGCCTTCTGGGTTCACGCCATTCTCCTGCCTCAGCCTCCTGAGTAGTTGGGACTACAGGCGCCCGCCACCACATCCGGCTAATTCTTTTGTATTTTTAGCAGAGACGGGGTTTCACCGTGTTAGCCAGGATGGTCTCGATCTCCTGACCTCGTGATCCACCCTCCTCGGCCTCCCAAAGTGCTGGGATTACAGGCGTGAGCCACTGCGCCCGGCCAGGAGATGGACAGTTTCTTAGTCCGGAACAATAAAATCCCATGTAGCCAGATAAACTGCTTCTATATAACCAGGCATTTATTTATTGAGACTTGTAGAAGAAAATGTTGGTAACAATTTACCTCATCAAGGAACATTTCTAAGCATAAAATCAATAAATCCTTTTGTATGTCAACAAACCAAATTAAATGATAAACTGAGGAAAAATATTTACAAAACAAATGAACAGGAAAGGTGTTATATACTTAGTAGGTAAGAAAAGATGGACACTCAAAAGGGAACAAAAAGGCAAAGGATGTGAACATTCACAAAAGAAGGAATGCAAATGGCCAATAAAGACATAAAATGTCCAGGCCCGGCATGGTGGCTCAAGCCTGTAATCCCAGAACTTTGGGAGGCCGACGTGGGCAGATCACCTGAGGTCAGGAATTCGCGACCAGCCTGGCCAACATGGTTAAACGAAACCCTGTCTCTACTAAAGAAAAATACAAAAATTAGCCAGGCATGGTGGTGTTCCCCTGTAATTCCAGTTACTCGGGAGGCTGAGGCTGGAGAACTGCCTGAGCCTGAGAGGTGGAGGTTGCAGTGAGCCAAGATTGTGCCACTGCACTCCAGCCTGGGCCACAGAGCAAGATTCCATCTGAAAAATAAAATAAAATAAAATAAAAACTTTATTAATTAATAACTATAGCAAACTGGCAGATCACAAAATAGAAATACTCAGTTTTGCAAAGACTATAAGGATCTAAGTACAAGGATCTTCTTGGAGGACTTATAACAGCAAAAAAAATTAAATTAAAATAAACTTAAATGTTCACATTAAAGAATGATTAAGGCCAGGTCCATGGCTCACACCTGTAATTGCCACACTTTGGGAGGTCAAGGCATGAGGATCACTCAAGCCCAGGAGTTTGAGACCAGTCTGGGTGACATAGGGAGACCCCATCTCTACAAGAAAAAAAAAAGAAAAAGAAAAAGAAAAAAAAATTAGCTGGACATGGTGGGTGTGCCTGTGGTCCCAGCTGCTCTGGAGGCTGAGATGAGAGGATTTTTTGAGCTCAGGAAATTGAGGCTACAGTGAGCCATGATTGTGCCATTGCATTCCAGCCTGGGTGACAGAGCAAAATACTGTCTCAAAAAAATTACATAAAATATACACGAGGATTGGAAGCAAATATATCAAAATATAAACATTGGGTCTCTGGATTATTTTTGTTTTTTTCTTAATACCTGTTTTCCCTAAAATTTCTACAACAAAGAGGTAGTAGCATTCCTATCATTGAAAAATAGAGAATTATGTTTGAAAAAGAAGACAAGTGGACCATCAATGCCTTTAAGTAGGTCTTTGAGAGAGAAGGAAGCAAATTCTGATAATTCTCTAATAGAATGACCAAGACTTTTCACAGAGGAATCACTTGGAGAACTTGAGGAATACCAATGCCAAGGCCCCACTTCCAGAGATTCTGGTCGTATGGACCTGGTGCCCACCCCATGGGGTCTTTGGCAATGTCAGGTCATGCCCCGAGGCGTGGGGACTCCAATGTGAAGCCAGGCTGGGAACAACTGCTTGCAGGAGTGATCAGGAGTTTTGGAGTTTAGGATCCTGTGGCCTGTTGGAGGAGCTGCTGCAGGAGGAACGGCAAGACCTGGTTTCAAGCCTAGTAAGTGGTCCTTTAGGCACATAATTTAAGTGAATCTTTGTGTGTCTATCTGTAAAATGAGAATATTTAATGTCTACCACAAGAGTTGTGGCTTCGAGGAGAGGATAAATGAGGAAGTAGTGTGTGAAATAGAAAGCATATACAAATGTACTCTTGTTAGAACCTGGAAATTCAGACTATAGCAATGACTTTTGATCAGTGGAATATCCTTGACAACACTGGGGCAGATGCAAATAAGCAGGTTTGTTTCAAAACTGTCCATCCTATAATTTGATTTGATTTGCAGATCTTTTAGGCAGGTGCTCTCAAACGTGGATGCCTGGGGCAGTCCTAGCCAGAGGGCTCATGAGCAGGGGACAGCAGCCAATAGATCTGGGTTGGTTCAGATCATTTGGTCGTTCCTGCTTTGAAAAGTGGCTGGTCTCCAGGAGTCAAAACCTTGTTCTCCTGACAATGTGCCTTTGCACTTTTAACAAACACACCAGAATGTCTACTTCCAAATAAATATTCTTATCTAAATTGTTTCCTTGTGAGGTTGTATTACCATAGCTTAAAATGTCTTGGGAATTCCTCGTTTGAGATTGCCTTTATCTAAGCTACATCTCTTTTTTCTGAGTATTTTCAATCAGTGAATTTATTCTCCATCCTCTGAAGAAGAGCTTAATTTTAGAAAGCAGCCAAAAATATCTTTCAGAACCAAACCTGGTGATTAAGGTGGTAGTCTAACCTAGGTAAGACATTTTATTTTTTAAGTAGAAAGGTCACTTGTAAGGTACATGTGTATCTGTCTTGCTACTCACTGTACTCTGTGCCTGACATACAGACACTCAGTGTGTTCTTGTTGAATGATGAACAGAGCCTGGCTCTACTGGGACCCATAAACTGGCTCCAAAGGCAACTCCGAAGAGGTTTTTGAGCAACGCCAGCCTATTTGGCAATAATAATTTTTAGCCTGTATGTTGATTAGAAGTCAGTCCCTTTCCTTTATAAGTATTCTACATCTATACCTTATGCATTTGATCAAGGAGAAACTGTGGTAGTTCCTTGTACCTTACTGAGGCTAATGCTGGACTTAGTCTTCTAAAGCAAGCACTAATCAGTGACATTGGACAAATCCAGGCATTTTTGGAATTATTTTGCATGCCAACCCAAACCACAGAACATCTGAGCATGTGGTGGGTTAACAAGGACAATGCCTGAAACCCAACTCACTTTTTCACACAATGATTTCAAGATGCTGACATTTGAGGTGTACAGAGTTAAGCAGCTCATAGGCAGGGCAGCAAGCACTGGCTTGAGTGTCAGGACACCCGGGCTATTCCAGCTCTGCTGCTAACTAGCTGTGTCTGCTTGGGAAAAACGTGTCTTACACACTCCCATCTGTACAAACACACCCTTAGTCTTTATTTACGTACCTATACAATGATCTAGCACCATTAAAATCATCATTCTAAACTGAAAAAAGGCAGACAACAGTAGACACCCCACCGGCAAGGTCTGCCCAAGTACTGGGGAGATTTTTGGTGCTGCAAAAACCAGTTTGAGGCCGGGCTCCGTGGCTCACACCTGTAATCCCAGCACTTTGGGAGGCCGAGGCGGGTGGATTGCTTAAGGTCAGGAGTATGAGACCAGCCTGACCGACGTGGTGAAACCCTGTCTCTACTAAAACTACAAAATTAGCCGGGTGTTGTGGCGCATGCCTGTAATCCCAGCTACTCTGGAGGCTGAGGTGGGAGAATCACTTGAACCTGGGAGGAGGAGATTGCAGTGAGCTGAGATCGCACCACTGCACTCCAGCCTGGGTGAGAAAGCGAGACTCCATCTCAAAAAAAAAAAAGCCAACAACAACCACCACCACCACAAAAAAAACCCAGTTTGAGCAGAGAGAAAGTCTCTGCTCTGAAGGAGAAAAAAAGCCAAAGATGAAGCTCACTGCTGCTGGCACTGAAACTGAAGGGAACACGCAGGTCATCTGAGGTCAAGTTCAGGGCATGCAGCCAGCCACCAGGCAGGAAGGAAGCAGAGTGAATGCCTGCCTGCTCTCCCAGCCCTCCACCTTCTGAGCAGAAGTCCCACACCGGTCCCCTTTGCTGGGTCTCCCAAGGGACCTCAGAGACTCCTTCCAGACCCGGGCATTTGGGCTCTGGCCTCAAAGATACAGCCTACGTAGAAATGCTGAAAGAAACAGATAAGACAACAGTGTGAGCAATGGAGGCTTGGCTGGCCTGGCTTGTCTTTGCCAAGCACTCTATTTAAAACATTTGAGCATTTCTTGCCTGCTATTGCCCTCTACTCTAGCCTTGCGGTCTCCCTGCCCAACCCCACCCCCTCACAGGCTCTTTTCTTAGCTCCCTGCCTTTGCTTATGGTGTTTACTCCAAATCACCCTCAACCCAGTCTTGCTCTAAAAATCCTACTTCACTTAATGCCCAGCTAGAATGCCATGTAATCCAGGAAGCTCCTTAGCTGGAAGCAGCACTCATTTTGGTCCACAGTGGTATCACGCTTAGGGGCATGAGGTCTGATCCCACAAGGACCTCGACGCACCCCACCCTTCACCATCACATCCTGTGTGTTCCTTCCTTTGCCCATGCTGCTCCCCTGCTTGGACCGTCCTTCCCACCCTACCTGCCCGAATGGTCCTCACCTCACCCTTCAAGGCTCAGCTCAGCTGTACTTTGTGAAGCACTCACCAGCTCTTTCTTTCTCTCCACTCACATGCACCTACCAGTTCCATTTACTGAGTGGCTACTCTGCCCAGAAGTTTGTCTACAATATTTCTAATTCTTGGTACCACTTGAAAAATAGTTGCAAAATTAGTTTCATTTTCAGATTTAAGGAAAACAGAAGCTCAGAGAGGCAAGTTGTCCAAGTTGCGCTGCTGGTGAGTGGCCCAGCCAGGATTTGGAACCAGATTTGTGTGATGTCTAAACCCAAGTCCTCCATGTACTCCATGCTGCTTATTCATTCATAAGGTGGATATTTTAAGCAGGAGACTGTCAGGACCTTAAAGATGGTCTTCCTTGCTTTCAAAGCAAGGGACCTAAAATATAGAGATGTTCAGTGACTTGCCCAGGGTGATACAGTTTCTCCCAATCCCCTTCTCTGATTCCTCCCATGTGCCAGCGCTGGTGGCCAGGGAACTATCTATCACTGCAGAGGCTGTCCAGTACCAGGTAACGTTTGTCCGGGGTCCCCAGTCGTAAGCCATGGGGCACACACCTGCACTGCAAGCAGGGCCCCAAATTAGGCAAGAGAGAATGTTGCAACAAGCTCAGAGCCACAGGATATATTAGCACAATTGTATACAATGATAAAATCCTAAACAGTGGCTTCAAAGTTTATAGCTTTCTGGCCAGGCATGGTGGTGGCACATGCCTGTAATCCCAGCTACTCGGGAGGCTGAGGCAGTAGAATAGCTTGAAACCAGGAGGTGTAGGTTGCAGTGAGCTGAGATTGCACCACTGCACTCCAGCCTCGGTGACAGAGCAAGGTTCTGTCTCAAAAAAAACAAAACAAAAGTAGTTTACAGCTTTCTCATGTAGAAGTCTGAGGAGAGAGTCCAGGGCTAAAGTTGCAGTTCTGTGAAGTCAGGGCCTGAGGCTTCTTCTGTCTTTTGCAATTCTCTCTTTATGAGGCACTTCATGATTCAAAGTGGCCTCCAGGATCATGGGGGAGGGGGTGGCTCTGAGGGCAGAATCAAAGGGCTCATCATCATCATCTATTTCTACCATCCGTTCTAAGGATCTTACAGTCACGTAATCTAGTCCAGAGTCAGAGAGGCTGCTCAGAGCCCACCTGCAGCTGGCCTGGGTCTTAGCGAGTACGTAGCTAAGTATGTTAGCAAGTATGTTGCTCGCAGCATGGAGGGGTAAGGGTGTGGGAGGTGTTTCATTGCTTAGTGCAAGGGGTCTTTCTCAGGCTCAGCCTGCGTCCCTTTTTCTTCTTTCTTCCTGCTTTCCATTTGTCCAGTATCTATTGAATTACCCACTCCCATGTGCCAGGCACTGGAGATACAAAGTGGGATAAGACATAAGCCATGCTCTAATAAAGAGACAAAGAGATGATTTTAGACCAGGCATGGTGGCTCACACCTGTAATCCTAGCACTTTGGGAGGCTGAGGCGAGTGGATCACCTGAGGTCAGGAGTTTGAGACCAGCCTGGCCAACATGGCAAAACCCCATCTCTACTAAAAATACAAAAATTAGGCGGGCATGGTGGCGGGCACCTGTAATCCCAGCTACTCTGGAAGCTAAGGCAGAAGAATCACTTGAACCCAGGGGGTGGAGGTTGTACTAAGTCGAGATCACACCACTTCACCACTCCAGCCTGGGCGATGAGTGAGATGCCGTCTCAAAAAAAAAAAAAAAAAAAAAAAAAAGACAGAGAGAGATGATTTTAATACTATGTGTAAGAAAAACAGATAAATGCAAAAGGCATTTGACAGGAGCTCGAAGGGAGGTGCCTGACACAGCCAGGGTAGAGTCAGCAGAAGCTTCCTGAAGATGGCAATTGGGGATGCCGAGGGGCTTAGAGGTGAAGGGCACTCCAGGGAGAGCGCACAGCATGAGCAAAAGCAATGAGAGTGTGTGTGTGTGGGGGGGTAGGGCAACCATGAGTTTAATGTAAACACAAGCAGAGGAGGGTTTGGAAGGATGTGTGCTTGCTCAGGGCCCCCGGGGGGCCAAAGGCACATTCTGGAGGCACCTGGTGGCGTTCAAGGCCCTCTGGCTCCTCTGTGGAGTAGGGATTTGGGGAGGCCATAGCAAGAGGCAGAGAGCCTGGGTGGGAGGGCTGGGTTAGGAGTGGAGGTAGGAGAGCAGGCAGATCTGAGAAATGTTAGCGGGAAATTGGTAGCACCAGACATTTGCCTGGCTGCTGGAGATGAGTGACAGAGAGGAGTCAGAGGATCCTAGTTTTCTAGCTGGGTGGCTGGAAGGATGATGGGGTCACTGCTGATATAGAGAATACAGGATCTACTGTCATGCCACCCTGAATGCACCTGATCTCATCTGATCTTGGAAGTTAAGCAGGGTCGGGCCTGGTTAGTATTGGATAAGAGAATAATACAGGGTCTTCTCCCAGAAACCTTTCTTGCCTTGGGGAATACTCCCAGCTTCACAGTAGGATATAACCTTTCCTATGTTGCCTTTTGCATAGCTGATCTTAAAGACATGCACATGGGCCCTTTTCTTTCCTTCCTTCCTTCCTTTTTTTTTTTTTTTTTTTTTTGACAGAGTTTTGCTCTTGTAGCCCAGCCTAGAGTGCAGTAGCAAGATCTCAGCTCACTGCAACCTCCACCTCCCAGGTTCAAGCGATTCTTCTGCCTCAGACTCCCAAGTAGCTGGGATTACAGGTGCATGCAACCACGCCCAGCTAATTGTTTTTGTATTTTTAGCAGAGACAGGGTTTCACCATGTTGGTCAGGCTGGTCTCGAACTCCTGACCTTAAATGATCCACCTGCCTTGGCCTCTGAAAGTGCCAAGAGATTACAGGTGTGAGCCACCATGCACGGCTGGGCCCTTTTCATTTGAAAGATTTTAATTCAAGTGTCCTCAGGAGATGAAGTTCCCTTCACTCTGGTGTAGTGAATGAAATATAGGAACACAGTTTGTACCATGGAGTCTCCAGGCCAAACCAAGCTGGAGTTTCAGCTTAGGTAACAAATGTTACCTAAGCCCAGTGGTTCCTAATGGAAGATTTGGTTCTAGAAAACCCATCTGTAGTAAACATCTGCCATTCTTTTTGGAGAACTAGTAAATCATTCCCCTTCCTGTGTCTGAGGACTTATTCACCTTGGTTGGGGATAGACCCCACCTCTCACAACGAAGATGTGATGTCAGATACTGTATTTCTCAGACTCCCTTGCACGTACTTGGCATGTCAAGGGCATGTGGTCTAGGTTCTGCAAGTCAGATGTACCTACCAGAGTCTTGGGTCCATGAGGAGTATTCTGTGACAGCAGTAGTAATGACAGGGAAATCACATTCTCATAACAGCCATAGTGGACCCTCCTGGGGACTTGCAAGTGATGCACCCTAAAACCTAAGCTTCCTTAGGTTCACAGTAACTTCCTGCTGTTTGCGATTAAGGACTGTGACTAGTGGCATATCAGTCCAACAGGGTACATGGCTAAGGCAAAAGTGGAGTCTAGGAGAGCACAGACATTGTTAAGAGGACAGTAAGTGAAACCATTTAGCAAGAACAGAGGATTCTTTCACAGGGGTGGGGAAAGATAAGGCTGGAGGGCTCCAAAAGCCCACTTAAGGAGCCTGGTCATCATCTTCTAAGAGGTATCAACATTGTTTTAATGATTTTTATTTTGGAATAATTTTAGATTTACAGAAAAATTGCAAAGACAACACAGAGTTTCTGTGTATCCCTCATCCAGATTCCCCTAATGCTAACATCTCACATGACATGGTACACTTGTGAAAACTGACAAGTTACATCAATTAAACTCCAGACTTGATTTGGATTTCACTAGTATTTTCCACTAACGAACTTGATCTGTTCCAGGATCCAATTCAGGATACCACTGTGCATTTGGATACCAACTTTTTTTTTTTTTTTTTGAGTTGGAGTTTCGCTTTTGTTGCCCAGGCTGGAGTGCAATGGCACCATCTTTGCTCACCACAACCTCCGCCTCCTGAGTTCAAATGATTCTCCTGCCTCAGCCTCCCAAGCAGCTGGGATTACAGGCATGCGCCACCACACCCAGCTAATTTTGTATTTTTAGTAGAGATGGGGTTTCTCTATGCAGACTGGTCTCGAACTCCAGATCTCATGATCTGCCCACCTCAGCCCCCCAAAGTGCTGGGATTACAGGTGTGAGCCACCACGCCCGGCCACCAACATTTTTAAAGAAGAATATTAACATGATTAAAGGTTTTTAGGCTGGGTGTGGTGGCTCACACCTGCAGTCCCAGCACTTTGGGAGGCTGAAGTGCGTGGATCACTTGAGGTCAGGAATTTGAGACCAGCCTAGCCAACATGGTGGTGTTTACTAAAAATACCAAAAAAAAAAAAAAAAAAAAAATTAGCCAGGCATGGTAGTGTGCACCTGCAGTCCCAGCTACGTGGGAGGCTGAGGCAGGAGAATCACTTGAACCCAGGGGGCGGAGGTTGCAGCGAGCTGAGATCATGCCACTGCACTCTGGCCTGGGCGACAGAGCAACGCTGTCTCAAAAAATAAAAATAAAAATAAATTTAAAAAAAATAAAGGTGTTTTAAGAAAATCATCTGATAGCAACATAAAGGGTGAGCTGGGAAGTGGAGTAGAAGGCATCTGTAAAGACACTCCAGAACCTTCACCAAGCTTCCACATACATTCTAATGGCTAGTGCCTGAAGGGCACTTTATGAAGGTGCAGTTGCTGAGAAGAGAAAATCTAGCCCCCCAGAAACATCTCTCCACCTGTTCAGGGACCCAGGGGCCAAAGGCACAGCTAAGATGCACCTGGTGGCCTCCACCTAGCAGTGCTGGCAAACTAGGTTTTCCTGCCCAGGCTACAAAATTTGGCTGGTAAATCCAGACAGGCAGCCAAGGAAATGCTTGCTTGCCTTCTTTTCTGAAAATCTAGTCTTATCTCCCTTATGTAATGGTTTGGTGTTATGCAGAGAACAGGCTCTGGAGTCAGGATGGACCTAGGTGTGAGTCCCAGCGCTGTCAGTTACTGTGGGACTCTCGTTGAGTTACTGAACTCTGAGCTTCAGTTTCCTCACTGGTAAAAACTGGCACCTTAAACCTCCTTCACAGGATTATTGAGAGGGTTGAATAACATTTAGAAAGTGTTCAGTAGGGTAGCTGGCACACAGTAGGCATCTGATAATCATCAACTCCTTTGACAATTTAAGAGTAGAGTCCAGGCCCCAAATTTCTTGCATATTCTCAGTGCTTAGTACACAGAAGGGACTTCCTCAATTGATGATCGTAATATAGAGCTCACAAATAACCCAGGAACCTGAGAAAGGGCGGAGCGTGTCTCCAGTCAATAATTTCTTTATTTAAAAGTCTATGTTAGGCACTCATGAAACAGCAATAAATAAATAAATGCCAGGCATTGTACTAAATGACCAAGACATGGTCTATGTCAAGAAGGTCAAGGCCAAGGACATCAAAGAGATGTCTCCAGACAACTTTCATTCAGGTATGACACGTTTGACAGAAGTTTAATAAACAGGGTGCTCAAGGGCACAAAGACTGGACATGGTGTGGGGTGAGGGAAGGGCTCCACAGAGAGAGGAATGGTGGGCTTGGGCCTGGCAGGGTGAGTAGTTCTTCCAGTGTAAAAGCTTGGGGTGGTGGGTGGGGGGTGGGAGAGAAAGAGAGAGAGAGAAACATTTTGTCATGTGGGAAAACACATCTGAAGCTATGGGTGGTCTCGTGGGGTTTATGGTAGGAGTGATGGGAGATAGGGTTATAAAAACATGGTAGCTCTCATACCTCCACATAGGAGAGGCTGAGGGGCAGCTCTCTGGTGGCAGGGGTGGGGCAGGTGACCTGACCTAGCAACCACTGTTCTTTTTTATACATCATTTAGTTGATGTGGCTTGGGGAAGAAATGATTACTGGTAGTAGTAATTGGGGGGCAGGGGAGGGGCCATTCCTGCCATTCCTAGGCATGGCCACTGCTACAATGGGGACCATATGACTGCTATGGAAGAGGAGGAGAGGTGGGATGAATGCTGGGGAGTCAACCACAATTTCCACTACACCTTCAACTAGAGAGACAGAAACAGGTGCAGAGAAGATTTGAAAGATTTCAGAGATGAATAGGCAGAATTTGTTGAGAATGAGTGTAAGTGGGGGGTCAAAGATAACACCAAGGTTTTTAATGTGGCCAACGGGGTGAATGGAGAAGCAGGGGAAATGGCTTTGCTGGCTGGGTTGGGGTAGGGTTGGTGGTGGGTATGCGGGTGGGGAGAACTGTTTTGTACCCATTGAGCATAAGGGATCCGGGTTGTGAAATCCATAGTTTGATATAGCTCTAGCTTTAAAAGACATCCTCCTGTTTGGGATTTGCTTCAGAATAATGAGAGTGGGGGTAGGCTGTAGGTGAAACCAGATTGGTTCTGAGTAGATAACCGAAGTGGGTGAGAAAGTCGAAGTTGGCGAGAAAGTCGAAGTTGGCGAGAAAGTCGAAGTTGGCTCATGCTAAGAAGGTAAAAAGCTGCCCTGCGACTCAACAGGCTGGGAGGACATTACACAGCTAAAGCCAGTCACAAAAGTTACCATGAAACAGTATTTCTCCCACGAGCACGTTGTAGCCGTAAAGTGTCATAATGACCCCTTTCCTTGTGTGACTACTGCTTTCTGACTCATAGAGAAACCTTGTTCTTTAAAATCATGAACTATCAGAAACTTTGCTGTGTGAAATGTTAAATGTTATCAGTAAAAACTTTGCTGTGTGAAATGTTAAATGTTATCAGTAAAAATTCCTTTTTTTTTTTTTTTTGGCCAGAAGATTCTAAGTCACTTTGACACAGAGAAGTTGTCTTGGTTTCCAAGCCAGGTTCAGAGTTTCACGTAAGGAGCTTCTGAACACAAATTCCATGTTTGTCTTAACTTTGTACTTTCTAGGGAAACAAACCTGAGTTCACCGAACAGTTCAGAACAGACTCCTTTATACACAGTCCTGCTTTGCTTTGCACCTATCCAAACAATGCTTCATTCAATTTTACCAAAACTCTAGTTTTCCTTAAAATCCTGTAACGGTATATTTTCCTGTTTGGTGAGATGCCCCACAGTTCCTCTGGTATGTGGTCTTCCTCATTGCAATCTGACCTTCTCAAACTCAAGGTTCGTTTCTGGTGATCTTAGGCTGATTGGGCTAGAATGTGGGTATGGGGGTACAGGGGTGCTTGATACCATTCCCTCTTGCATATGATTCACATTTTCCATAAAATTTCCAAGTTCATAAGAAGTCTTCACCCCATGAGAATAGTAGGAGCCATGATAGTGTTTGAGATCTGCGGAAAGCAGAATAGCAGCCTCCCTCCCACCCCGCAGCTTAGATTTCCCAGAGGGGGCCAGTGTAATCACGTGGGTCCTTGAAAGCAGAGAAGGATTCCTGGCTGTGGTTAGAGATGCAACACTACTGGCTTTGAAGATGAAGGGGCCACAAGCCAAGGAATGTGGGCAGCTTCTAGAAGACAGAAAAGGTAAAGAAACGGAGTCTCCTCTAGAAACTCCAGAAAGAAAAGCAGCCCTGTTGATAACTTGATTTTGTCCCAGTGAGACCCATGTCAGAGTTCTGACCTCCAGAGCTGTAAGATAATAAATGTATGCTGCTTTAAGCTGTTACATTTGTGGTAATTTGATAATGGCAGTGATAGAAAACAAATCCAAGATCACGCAGAGGGAGTGGACGAAGACAGAAATGAGCCAAGGGTACCTTGGGGACACCAACACTTTCGAGGAAAAGAGAAAAAGATGGCAGCCCAGGAAGCAGAAGGGGAGGCATCAAATGTAGGGGAGCCAGGAGAGACCCATGAAGGAGAAAGTGGTTCAGAAAATGTAAACTGCTATTTAAGTGAGGGCTGAAGAAGGTTAAATAGTATTAAAATTTTAAAGTGCATGTTATTTCGTTGCATCACTTCCTCTGTGATTCTGGTATTTGCATATAACAAACAATCTCTTTTACTTGAAATTATCACCTTCTGAGAGTTTGAGAACTTTCACAACCTTGATCCTTGTTATAAACCCATCAAGGTAATATTCAGGTTCCAGAACAGCAGGTTTTACCACATCGTAAGCCAGAAAGAAATGCAGCTATTTCTTATGTGTTAATCCAAATTTTTTGACGCTGGGAGTTGGCCTAAACCAAGAATAACAGCCATCCAGACTGGCCTGAGTGTAGAGTAGGGACCGTTTTAGTGTGACCTCCACTCTCTAGCGTCCACTTTAAAAACCCACGGTGCCCAAGGTTTCAGCCTGCCTTCCTGTGGTCCTAATCTGCACACTTACAGGCTCCACCCAGACCTACTTGTCCCTCCCCCACAATTTAAGATTCAAAATTACTGCTGCTCATTAATATGTTTACTCTCTACAGATGATCTCGGCTACAAATTTGGAAAATGACAAATATCACCTAGGTTACACTGTTGATGGCCCGCACTATCCTAGAGGATATTTACTTTTTTTTTTTTTGAGACAGAATCTCGCTCTGTCACCCAGGCTAGGGGGCAGTGGTGCAATCTCGGCTCACTGCAGCCTCTGCCTCCCAGTTCAAGCAATTCTTCTGCCTCAGCCTCCCGAGTAGCTGGGACTATAGGCCTGCACTACCATGCTCAGCTAATTTCTGATTTTTAGTAGAGATGGGGTTTCACCTTGTTGGCCAGGCTGGTCTCGAACTCCTGACTTCAAGTTATCCGCCCGCCTCGGCCTCCCTAGGTGCTGGGATTACAGGCTTGAGCCACAGTGCCCAGCCAACGTTTACTTTCTAAAAGGCAATATTTACCAATAGAGATGCTGAATTTGTAGACTTTCAGGCTTTAAAACTAGGTGAAGAGTGTAGTGGCTTACATCTGTAATCCTAGCACTTTGGAAGGCTGAGGCAGGAGAATCACTTGACACCAGAAGTTGGAGACCAGCCTGGGCAACATAGTGAGACAGTCTCTACTAAAAATAAAATAATTAGTGGGCGCGGTGGTGTGCACCTATAGTCTCAACTACTCAGGAGGCTGAAGTAGGAGGATGGCTTGAGCCCAGGAGTTCAAGGCCGCAGTGAGCTGTGACTGCACCACTGCACTCCAGCCTGGGCAACACAGTGAGACTGTTGTGGGGGAAGAAAGGAACGAAGTACTGATACATGTTACCACTTGGATGAACTTTGAAAACATTATGCTCAGTTAAAAAAAAAAGTTACAGGAGACAACATAGTATGATTCTATTCATATGAAATTGCAGGAATAGGCAAATCTACAGAGACAAAAGTAGACTGGTTGTTGCCTAGGGCTGGGAGTTGGCAGCAGGGAAACTTGGGGGAGATGGGGTATGGGCTTTCTTTTTGGGGTGATGAAAATGTTCTGGAATTGTGGTATTGGTTATACAGCCCCATGACTACTATACTACAAACTATTGAATTGTATACTTTATTTTTTGTTTTTATTTATTTATTTATTGAGATGGAGTTTTGCTCTTGTTGCCCAGGCTGGAGTGCAGTGGTGCGATCTTGGCTCACTGCAACCTCTGCCTCCTGGGTTCAAGCGATCCTCCTGCTCTGCCTCCTGAGTAGCTAGGATTACAGGCACACACCACCACACCCGGCTAATTTTTTGTATTTTTATTGGAGACGGGGTTTCACCATGTTGGCCAGGCTGGTCTCAAACTCCTGACCTCAGTTGATCCACCTGCCTCAGCCTCCCAAAATGCTGGGATTACAGGCGTGAGCCACCACGCCTGGCCTGTACACTTTATTTTTAAGAGATAGAGTCTCGCTCTGTCACCTACAAGTGCAGTGGCAGGATCATAGCTCACTGCAGCCTCCTGGGTTCAAGCGATCCTCCCACCTCAGCCTCCCAAGTAGCTAGGACTACAGGCTCACTCCACCACACCTGGCTTATTTTTTTAATTTTTACTTTTTTGGAGAGCTGGCCTCTCGTTATGTTACCTAGGCTGGTCTCAAACTCCTGGCCTCAAGCAATTCTCTTACTTTGGCCTCTCAAATCTCTGGGATTACAGGTGTGAGCCACTGTGTGTGGCCTGAATCGTACAGTTTAGATGAGTGAATTGTATAATATGTGAATTATGTATCAATAAAGCTATTAAAATGTTTTAAATAAGTAGGATAAGGAAATTGCCATACTTTTATATTAAAACATTACTTTTTTTTTTTTTTTTTGAGACAGAGTTTCGTTCTTGTCGCCCAGGCTAGAGTGCAGTGGTGTGATCTCAGCTCACTGCAACCTCCGCCTCCTGGGTTCAAGCGATTTTCCTGCCTCAGCCTCTCAAGTAGCTGGGATTACAGGCATACACCACCACGCCCGGATAAATTTTGTATTTTTGGTAGAGATGGGGTTTTGCCATGTTGCCCAGACTGGTCTTGAACTGCTGACCTCAGGTGATCCACCTGCCTTGGTCTCCCAAAGTGCTGGCATTACAGGTGTAAGCCACCTTGCCTGGCCTATGTATTTGTTAGAAACCAATCTCACATTCATTTCCCCAAAGCATAAAGGACAGAAACACAGATTTCTGTCTTCTGGGGCACTCTTACGTCCCCAGATCATTCATCTTCCTGTGTACCTGCAGAACCGTCAAGGGTTCAGTGCAGATCTGCTCCTGTGAATCATGGACCTGCAGGCTTCTGGCAATGGAGCACTTCAATCCTATAGAGCCATGTATTTTTCTTCCCTTAACAATAAATTCTATTTGAAGGGTAAAGAGCACAACAAAAAATTTTTTTTTTTTTTTTCCTGCACAGAGAGATCCACTCCATTAACGTTATCTGGAAGTCATTGGGTAAGGTATTTAGACAAAGATAGAGTGCCGGGCGGGCCAATCTTAAATGTCAGATGCTTAACTTTTGGGTTCTTGCTGTTTTCTACCTTTTTCTTTTGGCCAGGTTCTTTAGCTCTAGGACAAGGGTTTAAGTTCCCCACACCTGTCCCCTATGTCAAGAGTGGCAGATGGGAAGAGATAAAGAAGCTTCCTGGAGTTCATGCTCCATTTCCTGCTCTGGGGGGCTCACATTTAAGATCCCACCCACTCTTGAGCCACTTTATTTCCCTTCTTCATGCATGGCAGGTAGGGCTTGGGTTAGAGTTCTGGGAGCAATTTGAAAATTGCTAGTTGATATGGTTAGGCTTTGTGTCCCCAGCCAAATCTCATCTTGAATTGTAATCCCCAGGTGTCAAGGGAGAGACTTGGTGGGAGGCGACTGTATCACCGGGACAGGTCCCCCATGCTGTTCTCATGGCAGTGAGCTCTCAAAAGATCTAATGGTTTTATAAGGCAGGTTTCCCTGCTCTTTCTTGCACTCGCTCATTCACCTGCCACCATGTGAGATGTGCCTGTTTCCCCTCTGCCATGATTGTAAGTTTCCTGAGGCCTCCCCCACCATGCGAAACTGTGAATCGATTAAACCTCTTTCCTTTAGAAATTACCCAGCCTCAGGTAGTATCTTTATAGCAGTGTGAAAACGGACTAATACACTAGTCTAGAGGTGAATTTAGAGCAAGCACCAAGAGATACATGCTGAAATAAATGAGCAACTGAATTAGAAAAACAAGCATAACTTAAGTAAACTTTATTTTCAAAATGCTTCAGGTACAAAAGAAAACAATGGCAAAGTCTAACAATAATTAACAAACCAGCTCTTGAGCGGCAGAGTGCTCCAGGGATGAGAGGGGCTGGGGATGGAAAGGTGGTTGGGAGACACAACATTTTTCTAGCTTCAGAAAGTCAGGGAGCCCAGATCACAGCCTGAACTTCATGGTATTGGTTACAGATTCTTTACAAAGGTGTTTACCTGTGGGAAGGAGAAAATCAGAAGTTTAATTTCACATTTTTAACAGAATTTTCAATGGTCCACCCCCAATGCATATGCAGCCAAGCCCATGAGGTTTTTGTGAGGAAAGGAAAATAATAGGCATGGAGAAGAAATGTGGGCAGCCCAGGGTCATATAGCATCAAGTGGCAGAGCTGGGAATAGAATCCAGTAGTCTCATTTCCCTAGTTTTAGGATGCCTTAGAGAAGAAAGTCAGCTGGCAAGCACATGTTACAAGTCAATTATTTAACAATTATTAGTCCAGCATACTTTAGAGAATAGGGATATTTGTAATCTGCACAAGATTCCATAGGCCTTGGAGTGTGAAATGCAATGTGAGATGCAAAGCACAAGACCCATGATATTGAACTTTGAAGCAAAGGCCAGAAAGATAAAAGTACAACAAAGGAAACCACCAGAAAACAGGAGTTAAAGTCCTTCCCACCTCTCTCATGAGGTCTTCTTGTTTGGTTACTTCCTCAGAAAAATCATCATTGACATCCAACACCAGCACTGGAATGTTCATCAGAGCCTCAAAGTGGAGCCTATAAGAAGCGTGAACGTTTGGGGGACAGAAAAAAAGAAATGTAACTTGAGTCAAGTTTCACATACTCGCCAAGTCTTACTCAGAGAACAGATCTAAATTCAACATGACTTTTCAAAGAAACTGCATGTAAACTGCATTTAAAAAAACAAATTCAATAAAGTTGGCCGGAAACAGAAAGGTTGAGGTTTCTCTTCATTCTTGAGAGTGATACTAACAAACAGTCAGAGCACCAAACATTTTAAGTGGACAACAAACCAAGCCTAAAGGGAGGACAGGCAGAAACCAGGAATGCCAACTTAGTAATACTGACAATTTCTCTAACATTTTCAGCCCTTCATGCTGAGCCAACTATCACCATCAATCACAATGTTCAGTCTAGGGAAATGTTAAGAAACAAAGAAAAAGCTGGAGAAATACAATCTAATAAAAAGGCCCTTGGAATGTAAAGATTATATTCAATATTAAACTTCTTCTGGGCATCTCACTCTGTCGCCCAGGCTGGAGTACAGTGGTGCGATCTCGGCTCACCGCAATCTTTGCCTCCCAGGTTCAAGCGATTCTCCTGCCTCAGCCTCCCGAGTAGCTGGTATTACAGGCGCCTGACACCACACCTGGCTAATTTTTCTATTTTTAGTAGAGACAGGGTTTCACCATGTTGGCCAGGCTGGTCTTGAATCCTGACCTCAGGTGACTGCCTCAGCCTCCCAAAGTGCTGGGATTACAGGCGTGAGCCACGGTGTCCAGCAATATTAAACTTCTGAGTTGGAAAATGCTTGACATTTCCAACCATTTCCAGTATATTCTGAACCTTCCTACAGGGGGCTGCATGCTGAACTTGTTTTTAACAACTGGCTGTTGGGAGCCAGGTCTCTGTCTCTGATACATTCTTTTCTCCCCACTTACTTCGTTGTCTTGTGAATAAGCCAGGCTTCGTGTTGGCCATGCAGCTGCTCTAGATAGGCCAGCTCAATTCCTTTCTCCTCCTCCCTGGCCCTCTGGTACAGTCTCTTCAAACAAACCTAAAAGACAGTCCCCAAGCCCTGATGAGCTCTTTGCTGTTTTGGCTGCTACAATGCAGTCTTCGGGGGCTCTGAGGCCCACCCATAATGTCTATCTTGGGCATTACAAGCCATGCCTTTGCTTCTGCTGTCTTGTTTTCTTATGCAATCAGAGGATCTACACCATTCTTTTCCCATCTCCACCTTAAACCTGCTCTTCCTCTGAAGTATCCTAAGTCGGTTAATGATGAACATCATCCATCCAGTCATCCAAGCCACGGACCTGGAATTTTCCTTGTTTTTCCTTCTCCCTACTATATCTGGGAAGTCACTCAATTCTCTTTCATCTCTCTAGAATGTTCTCTCCTTGCCTCTCCTCTCACCTCTGCCCTGGTCGGGTCCTCTTTACTTCTTACCTGGATTATGGCAAGAGCCTTCTGGTTCTGCCTCCTGGAGGCAGGGAAGCATATGGACAGAGTACAGGCCTTAAGGTCAGAAAGTCCAGGAGTAAATTCCTGCCTTCATAAGGTACTAGCAGTGCAGTCCTTGTGGGCTTCTATTTCCTCATTGTCTACCCATCCACAGGTCACTGAGGTAAGTTGTATTGAGCTCCTGGCAAAAGCTGTTCCCTCCTTCCAGTTTTTCCCCTTCACTCCACCCGTCTGTAGTACGGCAATATAATGACATGACTTTCCTTGCTGAAAATACTTCACAGGCTCTTTACCGCCTACAGCCATAGCCCCAGGGTTCAAAGCAGTATGTATGAATAGCATTGCATTTATAAAATGTTAGGTAATTTGAAATATCTCTTTCATGTCATACCAAACATTCACTCAGGAATAGAATGTAAAATTTGCACAGGTCAAAGATAAAACAAAGAAGTGGAAAAACAAGTGAGGCTTGAGACTAACTCTCCTCCCCCGCTGCTTTGCAGAGTGTACATAATTCTATTCTGCATTCATCTGGTAGTGAAGTTTGATGCACACTGGCTCAGAAAATGACATCTTCTTTACCTGTCACACAAAGCTACCCCTCCTACTTCTCAACTGCCTTAGCTCTTCCCCTGGACTCACTGCTTTAGCCAGATTTGACCTCTTTCCTGGGGAACAGGCCAGGCTCTTTCACACCTCAAAATTTTTGCTCCAAATGTTTGTTTTGACTGAATTATCCTCAGTCCTCTCTCTGCTTGACAAACATTTCATTATTCAATATCATCTGTCCTGGAAGAACAGATGGATTAACCCACTGATTTAGGACTTCACTCTTTTTTTTTGAGACAGAGTCTTGCTCTGTTGCCAGGCTGGAGTGCAGTGGCGCGATCTCAGCTCACTGCAACCTCTGCCTCCCAGGTTCAAGTGATTCTCTTGCCTCAGCCTCTCAAGTAGCTGGGACTACAGGCGGGAGCCACCACGCCCAACTAATTTTTTGTATTTTTAGTAGAGATGGGGTTTCACCATGTCGGCCAGGATGGTCTCGATCTCTTGGCATCGTGATCTGCCCGCTTCGGCTTCTCAAAATGCTGGGATTACAGGCGTGAGCCACCGTGCCCGGCCAGGACTTCCCTCTTTCAATAACTTACTTAAGAAATGAAAACTTAATTTCCAAATGTAGTACACAATAATCCCAAAGACTTGGGAGTCTTTGCTGTTTCCCTCTTATCTTACCTTTTCTCTAAGGAAATGAAATTATAGAAACAAATTTTATTAATGATCAAAAGGTATATGCACTTGCAATTATATACTGCCAGACTGCCTCCTTAGAGGTTAACCAATTTATATTCCCACCAGAAAGGTAGCTTTAGGATTTCTAAGCATAGCAAAGCTATCATCTCATTTTCCTTTCTGAGAAAAAAAATGTTGTCTGTTTCGTGAAAATAAATTTTTTTAAAATGTGACTTTATGTTTCCAAGTACACACACAAAGGCAGAACAATTCTTTTTAGGAAAGCTATTTATAATTATTCATTCACTGCTTGCAGACAAACCTTGACACTAACATTGATCTATTAAAATAAGCTAACATATTTCTATTTACTATTAATTTCCTTAACAGAGCAAATGGATTTCCCTGAGAAGTCTAAGTCTTAACTGGTGGCAGTATTGAGTGGGGAAAAAAAAAGAGGTCGAAGTAAACTCCTACTATGAGCATTTGGCATAACTCTTGCTTTACTGATATCGCTATAACAAATTCTATTTAAAAAAATCCCGTGCAAACAGTGCTTTAGTCTGACCCCTCTTCATCTCAGTCCTCATGAGGAAGACACACCTGAATGTGAACAGGAAAGATAGTGTAGCTACAAGTGGCGAGGGAGAGACCCTTTACTGGTCTTCTTAACCTGTCCCACCCAGGAAGAAGAACTGCTGCTCTGCTTGCTTGGAGTCAGAAACAGAAAATGGAAAGTGACTGCTAGTGGGTCTTTTCACTATGCCTCTCAAGCCCAAACCCAGGTGCCATTTGTCCCATGCACCTCCTGCATGCTGTCCCCATGCTGTGCCAGTCCCAGGTAGGGCCTGGCTTTTTGATGTACATTGATCAGCTGCACTCTCTTGATTCCATGGGGCTGGCTAGGAACACTGAGGCCTAGCTATTTCTCTTTTGAGTTTTAAAATTGTTAGCTTGCTTGTGTTTTAAAAAAAATTTTTAGAGATGGGGTCTCCCTATGTTGACCATGCTCGTCTTGAGCTCCTGGCCTCAAGCAATCCTCCCATCTCAGCCTCCCAAAGTGCTGGGATTACAGGCGTGAGTCACCGTGCCCGGCCTGAGTTGCCTTTTCTAAAAAAAAAAATTTATTTATTCATTTATTTGAGACAGGGTCTTGCTTTGTGGCCTAGGCTGAAATGCAGTGGTGTAATCCTGACTCACTGCAGCCTCAATCTCCCAGGCTCAAGTGATATCCCACCTCAGCCTGCTGAGTAGCTGGGAATACAGACACACCACCATGCTTGGCTAATTTTTAAATTTTTTGTAGAGGGCAGGGGGCTCTCACTATGTTGCCCAGGTGGGTCTTAAACTCCTGGGCTCAAGCAGTCCTCCCACCTTGGTCTCCCAAAGTGCTGGCATTGCAGGCATGAGCCACTGCACCCGCCTGGTCCAGTCTGGCCCGGCTTGCTGGCTTTTAAGAAGTTAGGGGGCCAGACGCGGTGGCTCATGCCTGTAATCCCAGCACTTTGGGAGGCCGAGGCGGGCGGATCACGTCAGGAGATCGAGACCATCCTGGCTAACATGGTGAAACCCCGTCTCTACTAAAAATACAAAAAAAAATTAGCCGGGTGTGGTGGCGGGTGCCTGTAGTCCCAGCTACTCGGGAGGCTGAGGCAGGAGAATGCTGTGAACCCGGGAGGCGGAGCTTGCAGTGAGCAGAGATCGTGCCACTCCAGCCTGGGCAACAGAGCAAAACTCTGTCTCAAAAAAAAAAAAAAAAAAAAAAGAAGTTAGGGAAGAATAGGTAGAAAGGAGCAGAAGGACCTACGAAGTCCATCTGACATGCTCGAAACTCAGTATTTACGAGGGCTCTGAACTGGAAGATTGGGCACTTGCACAGCTTTTTACATAGTGACAGGACAACTTCTATTCTGCTCTTCCCTTGGGCACAGTTACCTCTGAATTTCACAGAAGAGGTCAAGTGTGACTTCAGGGAAGAAACATGGGCATTCCTGCATCTCTGGAACTAATGCCATCAAAACAGCATTAAAATCCCCATCTAATCTCAAAATGAATAAGCTATTTTTCTTTTCTGCCATTAAGTTGTAATAATCCTTCAACTCTTCTCATTCTACTCCAGCTGAAATATTTCAATTAGCCTCTCCAAAAGGGCAGATCTGCCCCCAAGTGACGACGACGACGACGACGACGACGATGATGATGATGATCATCATCATCATCATCACCATTTGCTATGGTTTGAGTGTATCCCCCCAGAATTCATGTGTTGGAAATTTGGTCCTTAGTGTGGTAGTGCTGAGAGGTGGGGCCTTTAAGAGGTGATTAGGTTGTTAAGACAGATTAATGCCACTCTCTTGGGACTGGGTTAATTCTCGCCGGAATGAGTTCTCACTCTCGTGGGATTGGACCAGTTGCCATGAGAGTGGGATGTTATAAAGCAAGGCTGCTCCTCCTATCTTGCCCCTTTTGCACATGCCTGCTCCCTTCCACCTCATCATATGATGAGGCAGCAGGAGGTCCTCAATGGAAGTTAAGGCTGCCCAATTTGGACTTCCCAGTCTCCATAACTGTGAGCCAAAATAAGCCTCTTTATAAATTAACCAGTTTCAGGCATTCTGTTATAAGGTCATTCAGAGTGCACAAAGAAGAAAAGCAATTAAGACTTTCTTGTTCTCCTTGCTGGGTCCAACTTCCACTCCCCAGAAACAAGAGCCTCTTCAGCTGGCCCAAGTAGCCCCATTTTACTCCCAGGAATGAGTCAGCCCACTTCCTCTCTCACTCCTCCCCAATGCTGGCTTCATGGCACTGAGCTGAATGTGCTGTTCTCTTGGAAAAGGTTAAGTCAGCATTCTCACTTCTCCTAATGCTCAGCTCGTCCTGAGAACCTCCTGCTTCTTTCAGTCCAGCCATCCCAAGACTCCCATAGGAAACCTGTCACTTCTTCAAATTCCAACCAGGATCTTTACTCAATCCAACCTCACAGCACTCTCACTCCTCTTTGGCCCAGGCCACAAGCCTTCCTGGGGCTCAGGACTTCTCTCCCAACTTGAACCCTACACTTTGACACTTCAAACTGTCCTCTTTGAGAGGGGACTCCTCTCCCCACAATCGCTGACACTAATCTCTACCCCTAAAGTATAATCCCCTTCTTCTATTCTGGCTCTCAGGCAATGAAGACTATTGAAAGAAGTCACATAAACATGACCCACCTTGTCAACTTGCAATCAATGCATCTAACTTTAGTGTGGTTCTTTCCATGGAAGATTATTAGCCCTCTGGCCTCACTGAATCTTTAGTTCAGTTTTATTTTATTTTAGAAACAAGTTCTCACGCTGTCACCTGGGCTGGAGTATAGTGGCACGATCACAGCTCACTGTAGCCTCGAGCTCCTGGACTTAGGTGATCCTCCTGTCTCACCTCCCCAATAGCTAAAACCACAGGCACACATAACCACACTCAGCTAATTTTTAAACTTTTTTGTAGAAATGGAGTCGCACTATATCGCCTATGCTGGTCTTGAACTCCTGGCCTCAAGTGATCCTCCCACGCCAGCCTCCCAAAGTGCTGGGATTGTAGGCATGAGCCACTGCACCAGCCCAGTTTCATTTTAAACTTTAACCCTTATTTATTTCTGTAGAATCTCTTATTCCCTCGTACGATCTAGCTTTTGCCTCAAAATGTCCAGAAACTCTCAACACAAAGATCCCCAATATCTGGCCCCAGTCACATTCAAGGGCCTTTTTTCCTGGTTGCCACCTTCTTAAGGCAAGACCCTTCCTTCCAGTCCTCTCCTCGTTGGCTGGTGTGAGGCTCTGTGATGGGAGCTCTCCCACTCATCCTCTGGTTCTGCTCAGTCTGTTCTCGGCTCCTTTCTGCCCACAAGTCTCAGTTCCATCTCTAAAAAGCATAGCCTCTAGCTTGGAGACAGCTTTCCTTCCTTCTAACAGTATGTGGTATATCTGGCATTTGACTATATATTGGATGTATATCTCAAAAGCTGAGAGCAGTACATCTCTAAAAAAAAAAAACTCACCTTGACTCAGAATCCCACTCCAGAAGAGCCCTTAGAGATCGTCTAGATTGAACCAGTGGATTTTACAGGCAAGGATCTCTCCAGTGGAAAGGTCTCCAGGGGCTGCCCAAGGTCACTACCAGTCAGCAGAAGCCACAGCTCACTTCTATCTCCAGAGACTCTGGTGCTCCTGCCGTGACATCATCCTACTTCATGTAGGATGGCACCAGCCAGAGAGTCACAGAATGGAACTGCTATAGTCCATCCTGCCTTCCCAATGGCATCACAGTTCAAAAAAGGGCTATAAATTAGGGCAGTATCATGATGAGGTGAGAAAATTCTCCTCTTCCTCCTCACATCTTACTAAGGAAACCACTGAGACTACACACTCTGATGACCCAGTCAGAGTAAAGGAGGAGCTGAGGCAAGTGGCTACAGGTCAGAGCGTCCCACCTGCAAACCCTAAGCGTCATCATAAAGATGACACTCGATTTGCTCTGTTGTTCCTACATCAACAGCAATCCTTTTATGCATAGTCAATGGCTTTAGCACTCTGCTACACGAAGCCAGTGGGGAACAGGGTGCTCAACGCTGGGACAGGAGGGTGTCCCCCACTGCTCTCTGTGCTGCAGGTAATGTCTACGCTCTAATCTCTCCAACCAGAAAATCAGGGGCTTGGAGAATGTCACTTCTTAGGTTTCATATGGCCCTAAAGTCTAAGGTTGTAGGTTCAGTGTTACCTGGGGAGAAGCCTGGAGGTAGATGAAGCCATGTAATGTGATCCGGCTGGCAAACTCCCACAGGAGAAAAGAATGCCAGTCCTGATAGATATGCCACTCGATGTCACTGAGGGAACCATTTTCAAAAAGATTCTTTGCAAAGATATACCTGGTTGGAAGTGGGATGGGAATGGGGAGGGCAGGAGAATGGGAAATGGAATGAAAGGCACGAGAGAGAGAGAGAAGCAGAAAAATCAATAACCAACTTGTTCCATGTCTGTTCAAACCACTTAACCTTTCTAGCTCCTCATCAATCCTTAAGAAATCTGAATTCTTAACCCATATCTCCCTCCCTGCTCAGTACTAAGATGGGAAATAGGATCTAGACTTTGGAGGCTGAAATCACACCTTTCCAGATGGATTGATTCACTGGAAGAAAAGAGACAGAAGATAGTATCATTGGTCCCTAACAATTTTCTCTGCTAGAAACCAGTCAGAACATACAGCAAATATATGTAAACTTGAACTTTTGAGATTTCCTTATTATTATTATAGCAAGGCCCAAAACAAATAAACAAGTGAATCCAGTATAAATCCACCCACTAAATTTCATACAAGGACTGAGGGCTTCTAAGTCTCCAGGCTACTGAGCCATCCTTTTGTTTAGCTGAGACATGCAGAAGAAATAGTATTTATGTGGTGTCCTCTATGGAGCAGAAAATGCATTTCCTACTAATTTCAGTATTACTAAGAAAGCAGACTCTCCTGCAAAATGCATTATGAGCTCCTGCTTGCTTGCTTCCTCTGCTGCTGAGTTTCTAGTTCAGATAAAAGAAAGCTAAAGCTAAAAATCAAACCAGCTTTGCCCCCTGCTTATTTCTACAACCAAAAGAGCATCTGGTAAACAGGAAATCAGAGCTAAACATAAACCATGGCTTCAGACAAACCAGGGGTCAATCCTGCTTTCAAACCTCAGGCATTTTAATAAAAAACACAATTTGCATCCTAAGCAAGGGACTCCAGTTTCCAAGGCAATGCTCAGCAACTGGCCACTTTGGAGAAAATAAAATTCAGAACCCTTGTGTATGATGGCTCAGGAAAGTACAGACTGCAAGGCTGTGAGTGTCACCACTGAGAGAATACCTTCCAGAATAACATTTCAGGGTCTGATACTGGCTGAAACATTCACTAGCTATGTAACTTCAGGCAAGTCACCTAAATCCTCTCAGCCTGTTATGATGATGTCTTGTAATAATCCTCACAAAGTGCTTAGAAGAGTGACTGGCACATAGTCTTCTAGATATCTTAGTTATTATTATAACTGCTTTTTGTTAGGCTATGAAGAAGCTAACTTAGAAACTCCACAAGTAAACTTTCCCAGTCTGGAATGGTTTAGCCATAGTCTAGTTGATGAGAACAAATAAAAGGGTAACATTTTAAACTCAAAATGTTTTTGAGTTCTTTACAGATAACTAGAAGATGAAATTAAGATCCTATAAAGTGGCCACGCACTGTGGCTCACACCTGTAATCCCAGCACTTTTGGAGGCTGAGGCGGACGGATCACCTGAGGCCAGGAGTTTGAGACCAGCCTGGCCAACATGGTGAAACCCCGTTTCTACTAAAAACACAAAAATTAGCCAGGCATGATGGCGTGTCCCTGTAATCCCAGCTACTCAGGAGACTGAGGCACAAGAATTGCTTGAACCCAGGAGGCGGAGGTTGCAGTGAGCCAAGATTACACCACTGCACTCCAGCCTGGGCGACAGAGCGAGACTCTGTCTTAAAACAAAAAAGGATCTTATAAAGAGAAATTAAAGATTTGCTAATAAGCCCTATGAAAGGGGTTCTTGGCTTTCTTGAGAAAGAGCACTTCCTTTATTTCTTCAAAGCTTGTGGTGGTGATGGGGTGAGGGGCAGAAGGGTGTGGTGCTGAGTGGGAGGGAAGTACTGCAGACTGAATGCAGGGGCTGCAGGACAGAACAGGGCATAAGGATCTAGGAGTCAGGGCCTCTGCTCTAAAACCATATGCTAATGTTTCCTTTAACTCAAACAGAAAAGACTAAGATTTCTTCCTCGCTATAATCAACTCTCCCAGATAACCTGTGTTCCTCCTTTGGAACAAATATCACACACGTGAGCATGTGTTCAGTCCCTGTTAGGCAGGGACTGGGTCTGCCTTATTCACTGCTGCAGCCCCAGGGCCAGCCTTGGTGCTTCAACACAGGAGGCATCCAATAAATCTGTGCAAGTGAACAAAGTCTAAATTACCCTCGGGATTAGAACTTGTGATTAGTTTTCCTTTCTGTCTCGAAAATGCCCTCACTGAAGATAGCACCTGGAATGTTGTATGCCCACAGTGTAATCAATTATTACCTCTTCCTTTACAAGCAAAGGTTAAGATCCATGCAGCTTCTTAATGCATTTCTAATTAACAAAGTGTTTCTACTTCTCTATTTTCCTCTGAGGGTCTCACACACCTACTTCATGAAGCGGCTAGAAATAAAGACTGACTATGTTTCCAAACAACCCATGTGGTTATATGTAATTCAACTTCGGAGTCCGAGAGGCATGGCTTGGGAGAGAAGAGAGGAAAACAGGCAGGTGGGATATCCAACAGCTGAAAAAGAAGTAAAACCTATAGCCCAGCCATTTGTAATTCACATATTTAGCTTTTATAAAAAGTAGGCTCTCTCGGGGTACGTACACAAGGAACGGATAGCCTATAGGGTTTGTTTTACATATCTTCCATGATTTTAGGGTAAAGTCAGAAAAATCACTTGTCATTTACAAATGTATCCTTATTTTTTTTCTTCTAGGAGGCTTTCCGGAAGCACTAAGAAATAGAACTAGTTTGTCTAATTTGGAATTAAAAGAGTAACCAACTGAGTGTCTTCAGCAGTGACAATGAAAATGTACCACTTCCCATTTTGATAATTCAAAGAGCCTTAAGAAAGATCGTTTTGCTTGAAAGCACTATTTCACACTGACACTGGTCATTCATAGGCTTCAGATAAGAAAAACTCCAGCAGTGTCCAGATCAAGCCATCCTGACTTTGTCTCTAGGCGGCTTAACCTCAAGTCACAGCCTGGTCTCTGCAGCAGAGCCAGGCATTCCGGAGCCTGCACGGCCTAGCTCTTCTGGAGCAGATGGGCTCACTTCCCAGGGTGCTGCTAGCTTGCATTCAAAGTGACTTCACATCTCACTCCCTCAGGTGGTCAGGATGATGCCCATCCCTGATCTGACACAGGCACTGATGTCCACTAGACTCTGGCCAGCAAAAAGCCCTCTCACAGAAGAAGGGGTCAAAAAGGGCTAAATCTGAGACAGAAGCCAGTTTCTCAGATGTGCTATTTCTGCCTAAGCATCCTTTCTTGAACAATAAAAAAAAAAGGCTGAAAATATCTCTTATATCATTTTCAGGAACACAAATTTTAATTTCGTCTGCTTTTTTCTTAAAGGGGATAATCAACCACTGAATCATCTGATTTCTTAGAATATACACTGCTACTTAAGTGTCTATTATGTGCCTTTTAGCATGTGATGGTTACATTAGGTGGCTACCAGCTTGCTCCATGCCAGAAAATAAGGAAACATAAGGTAATCAGTAGCAATGTAAGAAATTCAAAGCATTCAGTTGATGAAAAACCCAATTTCCTTTCTTGACATAGATGACAATCTGGTAGAAGTACAACTCTGGACAAATCTGTATAGTGTTGTCTTTAAAAAAGAAGATAATTTTTCAAATTATAATCATCAGTGACCATAGCAGTGCAGGATCTGTGCAAGATCAAACAGGCAGCACTGAGCATGGGGCTTGTGACTGGTGGAGGGCTTGGCATTTTACCTGTCACTGTACACAGACCTCTCAAAGATCTGTACTGGCTTCCTGGCCTGTAAGAGTTTCTCAGGGAAGGGCTCCAGCTGTACTTTCAGGCGGCTCAAAAAGGAAAATGTCTGGAATGTGTAGGACCATCGTGCTGGCTCCCGGTACATCATATCCAGCAAGTTTCCAAGACTTTGGGCAGTGCAGGCCTAGAGGGAGATGAAAAAAAGAAGAAAATTTCCTAGAAAGCATATTTACTCCATGGGGTACACCCCTCCACACACACCCCTACCTCCCCAAACAGGTTTAATAATCAATGAAAGAAGAAATTACAAAAGTTTCCTTCCACCAAAAAGGTAGAATCAGATCCCCAGCTTAGTCAAAATTTCATAATCAGGTATGAGATTTTCCTACCTATTAAATAAGACTCTCTAAAGGGAGATGACATGCCACTTCAATATAACAAAAGCAGAGGAAGAACCATATATAGAATTAACACGATCACTGATTGAGGGATTTGTGAAGTCTGTCTGGGGAGGAGTTAACAGTCAACAACCATCTAAAATTTAACTCTGAATCAAATCTTTCCACTATAACACTATGTTGCCTCTCTTTTGAGCTTCCATCTGTAGTTATGTTTATAAAATGTCAAGGCAAACCAGAAAGCAACTGCTTATTTGAAAATCCAACCAATCAACCACCAAATAGAATTTTATCTTTCATATAAGGAGTACAATTTGTTTGTTAAAACAAAACCCTACTTAATTCTAGAGACTTTATGAAACATAATTAAAACGTTCCACTTACTCGGCATGTGCAAGTGGGCACAAGTGTGGGATGTTCAGCAGCCCCGGATTTTTTTTTTTTTTTTTTGAGACAGAGTCTCACTCTGCCACCCAGGCTGGAGTGCAGTGGCACGATCTCAGCTCACTGCAACCTCCCGGCTCACTGCAACCTCCGCCCTCCTCCCCACCCCAGCCGAGTTCAAGTGATTCTCCTGCCTCAGCCTCCTGAGTGGCTGGGATCACAGGCACCCGCCACCACGACAAGCTAATTTTTGTATTTTTAGTAGAGACAGGGTTTCACCATGTTGGCCAGGCTGGTCTCGAACTCCTGTCCTCCCAAAGTGCTGGAATTACAGGCGTGAGCCACCACGCCCAGCCCCAGATTCTTTTCTGGATCTGCCATTGACTCAACAATGCAAAAGTGAATTTTGTACAAAAGCACTTTGGATCTGTATTTTTTATTCAATCACCAATCACTGAAGGCCTGTGTGGATGAGGCGCTACATGGGCAGGGTACCGTAAGGGTATAGAAAAAGGAATTAACATTTATTTCAACCTTTACTGTGGTATGTTACCTCAATTAATCTTCAAAACAGCTTCATGAGGTAGGTACTGTTGTAATGCCCATTTTCCAGAGGGGAAAATCCACTCAGAGGTTAAGTAACTTACTTGTGCAAGGTTTCATGGCGAGTAAATGTTGAAGGGACTCAAACCTGGCTTCCTCTAACCTCATCATTCCAACACCCTCCATCTAAAGGTGAACAAGACAGTTCCTGAACTCAAAGAGCTCACAGTGCAAAAAGGAAGAGGGTGATGAGGATGTACGAAGCTGGAATGTAAGGCAGAACATGTGATGAAGGGACGATTACTGATGGTGGAAGGAATCTCAGGGAGTTTCTGAAAGAAAGTGGCATTAAGCTGGGAAGTAACTGATGAGTAGAATTCTCACAGATGGAAATGGAGATTAAGAAGATTGTACTTCAGGTAGAGACAACAGGACAGAAGGAGAAAAAAGATTCAACAACAGTAAGAAGTCCAATTTGGCAAAATAGCACTATTAGATTCCAAAGAAGGGTCTTAGCCCTTTGAAAGGCTTCAGCAGAAACAACACATATAGAGCAGAGTGGACCAGAAAAGCATTTAACTCAGAGGTATTTTCGGGATTTCCCTCCTTCTGACCCCGCAAGCCCACACATACCAGCCTCACACGTGGCCCCTGACTAAGAGCTGGAGGTAGAAGTAGGAGGACAAATTTGTGTCTCCTGTAGTCTCTGTGGTGTCACTAGAGATGGTTGGGAGCAGCCCTGGGCCTGTTGCACAATTCACACACTGTATGTGGAGCGGAGTGCTGTGCTGGCAGATGCAATAGGTTGACTGGTGGGTTCTATTGCACCAGTGGGCTTTGGGCTATCAAAGAGAGACTCTTCTGGAACCAAAAATGTAAAAGAAACCAACACAATTTCTGAAAGAACCCATCTCAGCTACAGAACAAATGCAAACATCCTTCCAAAAATATAAGCAAACAGATGAACAATAATTGGACACAAAAATACTTAGCAATTCAAAAGGAGAGGACTAGTCTCTGTGCTCAGACAGGGCTGTTGTCAGAAACAGGAGAAAACAAAAGATACGGCCTTGCTGATAAAACAAGAATAAGCTATCATAAAAAAGGAACAATAAGAAAATAACTTTCTTAGAGGTGAAAAATGCAATTGCCCAAGTAAAACACCCAATGAAGATAATGAAGATGGTAGCTAGCAGACTGTATAATGCAGTAAACCTAATTAGTGAATTAGAAGATCCTTACAGAGTATCAGTTTAAGGGCTAGGTATGGGGGCTCACACCTATAACCCAAGCACTTTGGGAGGCCAAGGCAGGAGGATTGCTTGAGGCCAAGAGTTCAAGACTAACTTGGGCAACATAGTGAGACTCTGTCTCCACAAAAAAATTTAAAAGTTACCTGGGCATAGTGGTGCATGCCTGTAGTCCCAGCTACTCTGGTGGCTGAGGTGGGAGGATTTGCTTGAACCCAGGAGTTCAGTGCTACAGTGAGCTATACACTTGATCTTAGCCAAAAGGCTGAGAAGCAATGCTGCAGTGAGCTATAATAGGGCCACTGCATTCCAGCCTGGGTGACAGAGTGAGACTCTTTAAAGAAAAAGAAAAGAGTATCAGCTTAAGAAATTCTCCCTAGGGGCTGGACATGGTGGCTCATGCCTGTAATCCCGGCACTTTGGGAGGCCAAAGTGGGTGAATCGCCTGAGGTTAGGAATTCGAGACCAGTCTGGCCAACATGGTGAAAGCCTGTCTCTACTAAAAATACAAAATTAGCCGGGCATGGTGGTATGCCTGTAATCCCAACTACTTGGGAGGCTGAGGCAGGAGAATCGCTTGAACCTGGGAGGCGGAGGTTACAATGAGCTGAGATCGTGCCATTGCACTCTGGCCTGGGCAACAGGAGCAAAACTCCATCTTAAAAAAAAAAAAAAACCTGAATAACTGAGGCAGAAAACAGTTGTCCAATAATGATTCCCCTCAAACAGTACTGAATCCATATAATCTTAAAGATGATTTCTATCATACCTTCAAGGAATAGATCATTTCTATGCTAGAAAAGATGCAAAATTTCTCCATTTATTTTCATAACATTGATGGTAAAACCTGTCACAAACTACACATGGGCCAGGCATCACAGCTCACATCTGTGGTCCCAACACCTTGGGAGTCCGAGGTGGAAGGGTCGCTTGAGCCCAGGAGTTCGAGACCAGCCTGGGCAGCAAAGTGAGACCCTATCTCTACAAAAAAAAAAAAAAAAAAATTTTTAAGTAGATGGGGACAGTGGTATGCACCTATAGTCCCAACTCACCAAGAGACTGAGGTGGGAAGATACCTGAGTCCAGGACTTCAAGGCTGCAGTGAGCTATGATCATGCCACTACACTCCAGCCTGGGTGACAGAGGAAGACCCTGCCTAAAAAGAACCCAAAAGTCAAAACAAACAAAAATCACCATACACACAAATAATAATACCAACCAACTGTATAAATAAATATACATGCAAAATTCCAAACAACACATTACCAAATTAATGGAATAGTACATCATGACCAAAAAAAAGTTCATTCTAGAAATGTGAGGATGGTACCATTATTAAATCTATGACTAATACTAAGAGATTAAAAAGAAAAACCCCTTGTTTATCTCACTAGATGCTAAAGTGGTTTTTGATGGAAATTCAACATTTGATCATGATAAAAACAGTTACTATTCTAGTAACAAAAGGGTACGTGTACCACACGGTCTACTGAAATGAATAATAAACATTAAACTTAACACTGATATATTAGAGGCAGTTTCATTAATGACAGAACAAGATAAGGAAACTACCCTCACTGCTATTAGTTTATATTGCTCTGGAAGTTCTACCCAATGAAAGAAAACAAGAAAATAGAAATGTGGCACAGATATTAGAAAACTCTTTCAAATGATTACTATTTAGAGACAACTATTATTTTCCAAAACTTCAAGCAAATAAAAAAATAATGAGAAATTAAATCATATAAGATAAATATAACAATCAACTGTTTTCCATTAAAACAGCAATAACCAGTTTCAGAAGATGATGTGGAAAAAAGATCTCAGTCACAATAAAAACAAAATATATATTCTGCTCAGGAATAAACAAGAATACTACTGGCTAAGTAGATAACCATTTGTGAAAAAACTAAAGTCTTATAACTTGTAAAGCCACATAAAACATAAAACCATAAAAGCAACAAAAAGAAATAGATTATTTTTATACTCCTGGGCTACAATTTTAACATCAAAGGTGCTAACTATGAGGAAAAAGAAGGACAGGTTAGACTACATAAAAACTGAAATGTATTATATTGTAAAAATATATTATATACCAAGATAAAAGAAAAATGACATGGTCGGGCGCAGTGGCTCACGCCTGTAATCTCAGCACTTTGGGAGGCCAATTCAGGTGGATTACCTGAGGTCAGGAGTTCCAGACCAGCCTGGCCAACATGGTGAAACCCCATCTCTACTAAATATTCAATAATTAGCTGGGTGTGGTGGCAGGCACCTGTAATCCCAGCTACTCAGGAGGCTGAGGCAGGGAGAACTGCTTGAACTCGGAAGGCAGAGGTTGCACTGAGCCAAGATCACACCACTGGACTCCAGCCTGGGCGACAAGGCGAGACCCCGTTTCAAAAAAAAAAAAAAAAAGAAAATGACAAACAAATATATGACAGAGTTAATATACTTAACATACAATGAGTTTTTATGAAGCCATTACACAAAGATGAAGATCTCAATAGAAAAAAACAAGGCAAGGGGTTTGGACAGGCAATTCACTAAAGAACAAAAAGATACACAAAACATGGCTTTATATTAAAAAACAAGCAGTATAGCTACAATGATATTCATCATTGCAACACTGCTTATAATAGGAAGAAATTAGAAAACTAAACATTCAAAATAGAGGACTGGATAACTAAATGATAATATTCATATTATGCAGTACACTACAACCATTAAAATGATATCACTGTGAAAGGGAGATCTTGTCTATTAAGTGACATACAGGTGGCAATCAAAATTTTTGTTTCAAAAAGCAAATGTATATATATTTTATACATTTATGTAAGTATATGTAAATCTATACATTTTCTCTGTAGAAAAATGTCCATTTTACTTCTGAATAATGGGATTACAGGATGATTAGTTATCTATTGCTGCCTAACAAATTATGCCAGAATTCAGTGGCTTAAACAAAAACATTCATTATCTCAGTTTCTATGGGGAAGGAATTTGGGAAGGAGCTTAGCTGGGTGGCTGGGCCTCAGGGTTTCTCATGAAGTTTCAGTCAAGATGTTGGCTGAGGCTACAGTTGTATGAAGGCTGGACTGTGGCTGAAAGATCCAATTCCAAAAAGACTCACGTACCTGTTCACAGGAGGCCTCAGTTCCTTCCGTGTGGCCCCCTTGAAAAGGCTGCTTCCTGACATGGCAGCTGGCTTCCCCCAGAACAAGATGGAAGCTACAGTGTCTCTTATGACCTACCCTAGAAAGGTATTTCTTATTTTTGCTACTTTCTATTTACTAGAAACAAATCACAAAGTCCAGCTGCATTCAAGGCAAGAATTACGCTCTACTTCTAGAAGGGAGGAATATCAAACAATTGTGGACATGCAATCATGTACCACTTAACAACAGGAATATGTTCTGAGAAATGTGTCGTTAGACAATTTTGTCACTGTGTGACCATCAGAAAATGTACTCACACAAACCTAGATGGGATAGCCTGCTACACACCTATGCTATATGACACACCCTATTGCTCCTAGGCTACAAAGCTGTATCGCATGCTACTGTATTGAATACTGTAGGCAACTGTAACACAATGGTAAGTATTTGTGTATCTAAACATAGAAAAGGTACAGTAAAAATATGTTGTTATAATCTTATGGGGCCACCATTGTATACAAGGTCTATCATTGACAGAAACATCATTATGCAGCCCATGACTGTATTTTGAAATACACACAGGTGACCTGTGGCATACTCAGAAAAAGATATGTAATTTATTCCTGCATAGGAAAGTTAATTTCACAAATACACACACAGGCACACATACAGACATATAAAGAGACAACTTAAGCAGCAAAAATCCTCAATAGGCATGATATGCCAGCCACAAAAGGTAACACAATTCTGGGTTGGAATAAAAAAAAATGGCACCCAGAACAAGTTCCATGATACTCTGTCCCACTTAGACTACATCCAGAATGTCCTGTTCACCTCCAAGTAGCACTCTTAGTAAATTCAAAGTGGAAAGTGAACAAACTAGGACTCATCACTTAGGTAAAGTTACTTCAGAGTAAAGAATAGCCTGGAGGAAAACTGGAGGTGTTTGGCTTGAAAGAGAGAAGACTTGACCAGGCATGGTGGCTCATGCCTATAATCCCAGCACTTTGGAGGCCAAGGTGGGTGGATCACTTGAGCCCAGGAGTTTGAGACCAGCCTGGCCAACATGGCGAAACCCTGTCTCTACTAAAGATACAAAAAGTATCCCAGCATGGTGGCATGCACCCATAGTCCCAGCTACTCAGGAGGCTGAGGCATGAGAATCACTTGAACCCAGGAGTTGGAGGTTACAGTGGGCCGAGATCACACCATTGCACCCCAGCCTGGGTGACAGAATGAGACTGTCAAAAAAAAAAAAAAAAGGAGAGAGACTTGAGGGGGAGAAAGAACAGGAAAATCATTACCTTCAACTATATATAGGGTTGTTACGGCGAAAAGTTAAAAGACTTAAGAGGTAGAACTTGAACCAATGAGTCAGAGTCACAGGGGTGCAACATGGCTCATTAAAAGGCAGAACTGTTTAGTAATTAGAGTTAAGAACCAGAATGTGCCACTCAGTGAATATCCCAGGTGGCGGCAGGAGCAGTTCATGGTGCCTGAGGAGGCATGGTGCTTCTGCTCCCTCTAAGGGTCATGTCGAAACAAGTCTTTCCTTACTCAGACTGATGTGGCTGGAAACCAACTCTATGGCCTCTGCCAAAGCCATAGTCTTGACACCAGGGCCTAAGCCATGAGGTGTAAGTGAAATGTACTGTGCTTGGCATAGTACAGTGCCTGGCACATAGTACATGCTCATAAATGTTAGCTGTAACCTCTCCCATTGACTCAAAGTGTGACTGGAACCTCTCTAATATCCCTTCTAATTTCTAAGACTTTATTTAAAAAGTTAAAATCACTATAATTAGCTATTAATCCTAGTGGTTAGCTTAAGTAATAATATAAATACTTAAGTGTAGGAATGACAAAATTCATCTTCAAAGCCATCCATGATGGTTGGACATGCTTTGGGAAACCACAAACAACAGAGGCAGTCACTTAGATAGACATATAAAAACCACAAAAATCAAAACTGCACATATTCAAACAAGTCATATCCTCTCTGGTGTATGTGGTCTGCTTTCTGGAATGAAGCTATTTTAAAAAGGATACTCAAACTGGGCTACTTTACTCACTGAGAGTAAATTAAATTATGACAATTAGATTATTCACCCATGCCTGCCAACTACCCACCACAACTAAAAACTTACTTTTTGGGTGCCAGCAGCCTGGATATTCTGCCATGTTGCTACAGGTTCTGTAGCTACGTGCCATTCTGGGTAAGTTTTCGTGAGTAACTTCACAAACGTGGACTTTCCCACAGCTGCAATGCAAATAGCATGTATTGGGATGCTTCCCAAATCAGGGCTGAAGGAGAAGGCTGCTACTAAACTCTGCCACAAACGCCCAAACTCAAGGGAACAAGTATTAGTTTTCTGAATTTCAAACTCAGCAGCCGTACCATTGTCAGACTGATAACAGATCAATTCATGCTAACCAGAACCACCATAATGAATACAGCCAATAGGGAGGAAAAATTCCTTTTAAGATTTAATTTGCAATTTCCATGTCTCAACCTTCCAGAGGCAGAGCATTTAATAACAGTTGAAAATGTAAAAGTAGATGAAATCAGCTCCATAAGTTCTATCACTTGAGTCACCATTCTATTTGTACTGTGACAGTGTAAAATTTCTAAGTTTTTCAAGACAAAAAATAAAAATGATTATAATCTCATTCATTCAACAAATCTAAAAAATATTCATGGAGTGCTGACTATGAGCTCAGGACTGTCAGGAACTGTGGGTACAATGGTAAACAAAACACAGAATGGATTTTGTCGTCACAGAGCTTGTATGGGTGATACAAACGCACAATTAACTACTAACATATTGTGTTAGGTGCTAGGAAAAAATGCAGGATGGCACTAATATAGCCCAGGAGGTCAGAGGAGACTCCCTTGAAAAAATGACATCTGAGGTAAGACCTAAAAGATGACAATTCATGCAAAGGGAGTAGCATATGCAAAGACCTGAAAGAGAGAAAGAACTTGACACACAACAATACAGAAGTTTGAGGCCCTAGAAGAAGCCATACAGTATGGCTACAGCATGAGCAAGTGATGGAGAAGTGGCTCAACATGGGTGTGGCCAGACAGGGAGTCCAGGGCCAGGTCATACAGGGCTTTGTAGTTATGGTAAGAAGACTGAATTCTATTCTAAGGGCAATGGGAAGTTAGTGAAGATTGGTTTTAAGTAGGAAAATTATAAGACTCCTTCTCATTTTTAGAAGATCACTCCACTAGCTGTGTAAGAATGGGCTGAAGCAGAAGCAGGCAGACTAGTTAAAAGATATAGCAGCTTGCCCCGAGGTGATGGCAGAGGAGTGAAAAGTAGTGGTTGTTTCGAGAAATATTTTGGAGATGAAATCAACCTAGTACCACAACATTCAAGTTATCTTTTCCCATTTATACCAATGTTTGGCCCATACCTCCATGAGCTCCAGAGACTATTCAAGAACTCTCCAGACATCTCCACTTGGGACATTCCACAAACACCTCAAAGTCAACATATTTCCTAAATGAACTAATCATCTTTCCCACCAAATTGAGCTTCCTCCTGTATCCCAGACCTCAGGGTATGAACACACCATCCACTCACTGACAGAAGTCCCTCCTCTGCCAAACCTCAGTGGCCACCAAATCCTTCTGCATTTGCTTCTACATTTTTCATATTTGTCCTTTTCTCTCCATTCCCACCTCCATGCTCAAGACCAGCCTCTTATCATCTCTTGCCTTTCTGATGCTGGCCTTGCTCTCTTCAATCCATGCTCCATACTGTGGCCAGACTGAATATGAAATAACACTGCTTACAATCTTTTGACAGCTCTCTATCGGCTAACTGGCTATAGCAAGGGCAAGCAATGGAGGAGTGGCTCAAGATGGGTGTGGCCACATGGGCAGTCCGGGGCCAGATCACATAGGGCCTTGTGGCCATGGTAAGAGGTCTGAATTCTATTCTAAGTGCAATGGGAAGTTAGTGACATCTGAGCTAAGACCTGAACAAGCTTCATGACAAACTCCAAACTCTTTAACATGGTCTGCAAGACACAAGAAGATCTGATCCCTGTGTATGCCTCTCTGGCCTTGGCTTTCCTTTAGGTAGCCTACCCTCCTGCAGGACCAAACTCCAATCATGCCATGTTCTCTTGCAAATATGACTTTGCATATGCTTTCCCATTTCCTGAAGCGCCTCCTCTCCTCACCTGACCAACTCTTACTCAATCCTCAAGGTTCTGTTTAGATGAACCTCCTGTGTGAAGCCTTTCCAGATCCTGACACCTCTAAGCTGGATTAGCTAGTCCTCCTTTCTGCATGGTTGGTATTCTGGGTGAGACTCCATCACTGCAATTGTCATTGTGTTTCTCCAGCTACAGGATGGGGCTCCTCCAGGGTAGAAAACAAATTACAACCTAATGACCTAGCTGAATGAATAAAATACACAATATATTACTAATTTCAGTTCCCTCTGAAACCTACATTTGTGAAAAATAAAAAATAAATCTTAAGACTGTATCTGGACCTCAATCTCCTCTATCAGAAGTAATCTTTCTCAAGGGAAAGAAGGGGGGCATCCTTCCACTTATGGTTACTGATTGGGGTGCTGATGTCTCAGCATAAGAACCCACACATTTAATAGATGACATTTACTACATGCCACCCCAACTCCTCTCTGAATAGGCAGGATAAGAACAAACAGCATGAATCTGTGGATTTGTACAGTCACGCTCATCTCTCAGTCCCCACCTCCACCTAACTTGTGTGTGCTTCTTCACATCTGTTCGATCCCTGCTCTTCCCACACTCCAATGAATAAATGCCCTCCCCTGCTCTTCCAGGCCTGTGTCTAAATCCTTTCCCCCAGCAAGCCTAAGGTGCCACTTCTTCAGGACTTCTCTAGCTCTGAATTCCTACCACACTGGTCAGGTGCGAAGTGGTTGAATGTGTATATTATCAGATACCTGTCTGCCCTGAGTAAGCCCTCGCTTAAAATATTTGGCCCAGATGGTCAATATTTAGATTGTAGGTTGTTTAACAAGTCTAAAATATGGTCCCTGCTATTTAATAGCTAAAAAGCTATTTTAATTAAATGAAAAGATAAACGTAGCTGATTTGTTAGATGGCTGGGATTGAACAATTGTTAGAATTACTTATATTTTTTAAAAGTTAAAAACAATTACCTTAAAAAACTGTTGCAGATGGAAAGGAAGGGCTCTGAGGTCAGACACTATTAGTTCATCTAAGAGCAGTCAGGACTCCAAGAAATTGACTCATGCAATTTAAACACATTAATTCTAGAATGCCAACAAATTAGATGTAACAGGAAATATACAGTTCCAATGACTGGAACAATAACACCTAATACTCAGGGTACTCTGTAACCCATGCCCCATTCCAAGGCTTCTGGAAAGCTAGTTTAGTAATCACAAGGCAGCTTCAGCATACAATGACAGTAAATGGTGGTGAAATGTCCTGAGAGCTGTGCCATCCATGTTTCTCAGCCTTGGAGAGCCTGGGTAATTCACTACAGGGCAGTATTTCTTAAACTAATTCCACTGGAACTGAGCTGTGCCAGGTACCACCCACAGATGTGGAATAATTACTTTAAAAAATAATTCAAAGTTACATGGTTTTATTAAAGCCAGACACAGTATAACTTTCTCAGTGCTGTGATACCTGATCATCATAGATTTTTTTTTTCCCTTCTTGCTGGGGTGTTGTTTGTTTGTTTGTTTTGACAAATGTTTCAAGATGTTCACAGGGGGTTCCTAAGAGTGGTGGTGTTTTGCTCTCCATTGCTTCAGAAGCCTCCTCCTAGTGACCAGAACACCCCTGTCTACAGAAAGCCATACTTCTTCAGCCAATCTCTTATGATATCACTATCTCAGACTTACTGCAATTTAGTTAGATCCCAGCTTAGCTGCTATCTTTCCTTTTGAGATGGGGGTCTCTCTCTGTCACCCAGGCTGGAGTGCAGTGGTGTGATCTTGGCTCACAGCAACCTCTGCCTCCTGGGCTCAGGTGATCTTCTCACCTCAGCCTCCTGAGTAGCTGTCCAGTATGTTTGACCTGTCCAATATATTGTTTGTTTATTTATTTATTTTTGAGACAGAGTCTAGCTGTTGCCCAGGCTGGAGTGCAGTGGCACAATCTCGGCTCACTGCAACCTCTGTTTCCTGGGTTCAAGCGATTCTCCTGCCTCAGCCTCTTGAGTAGCTGGGACCACTACAGGTGTGTGCCACCACGCCCGGCTAATTTTTGTATTTTTGGCAGATACAGGGTTTCACCATGTTGCCCAGGTTGGTCTCAAACTCCTGAGTTCAAGCGATCCACCTGCCTTGGTCTCCCAAAGTGTTGGGATTACAGGCGTGAGCCACTGCGCCGGGCCACTGCTGTTATCTTTCTTTCCTTTTTTTTTTTTTTTGAGACAGAGTCTTGCTCTATTGCCCAGGCTGGAGTGCAGTGGGGTGATCTCGGCTCACTGCAACTTCCAACTCCCGGGTTCAACTGATTCTCCAGCCTCTCAGCCTCCCGAGTAACTGGGACTATAAGCACGTGCCACCACACCTGACTAATTTTTGTATTTTTAGTAGAGACAGGGTTTCGCCATGTTGGCCAGGCTGGTCTTGAACTCCTGACCTCAGGTGATCTGCCCGCCTCAGCCTCCCAAAGTGCTGGGATGACAGGGGTTAGCCACATCGCCCGGCCTGTCTTTCAATATACTCTCAGTATTATGAATTTTGGAAGGTATCAGAACTTACAAGCAGCATCAAACCTTCCCTTAGGACCCTGGCCACCAGTGTTCTCTGTTGTTATATTGCCACAACCTTAAAAAAAGGTGGAAGGTACTTTCTTAAGAGTATATTACTTCAACATGTTGATTTTCATTAGCTCCACTATTCTCATTCCACAAGCTGGGACAAAGAGTTCTGTTGTTACCACTCATCTTTTTCTAAGGCATGTTTTTTTCTCCCCACAAAATTTTCTATAAACTGACAATGCCTACCATAGCTATGTAATGCTAAAATCTAGCAGCAAGATAGCATATGATGTAATACCCAAAATAACAGATCCCATTATTTTACGTCTAATACAGCTGTATTTCATAGGAGCCTATATTTATCACCTCTAGGCATTTTCATCTCCTGAACAAGATGAAAAACATGAGAAAAAAAATCCAATTCTGAAATCTTTTACCAAAATCCAACAAAGTCAGAACATATAAAACTGTCTAATGTCTTTTTTAAAAAGTCCTTCCAAAAAAAATTGAAGTCTTTATTTCAGATACTGTATTTGATGCTGCATTCATTCACTCACTCATTCAATCAACAAATGTTTATGGAGTAGCTACTCAGAGGTAAGTACTATAACTGAAATGATGATCTAGGCTGAGAGCTTGCCCTCAAGTTATATTCCAACCCCAAGACTGAGTACCCAGGATCATACAGGCTCCAAGCTTAAAGGCATTCTAGGCAAAGTTAATAAAAATCAGTCAGCAGGCTTAAAAAAAACTTAATACATTTTACTTTGATGACCTTTTTTCATGAAAAACTGTTTACGAAAAAAAAAAGGCAAAAAATTTTCTCACACCTTCCTATGATCCAAACTCATCTGCTCAGCACAAAAGACCCTCACTGATCTGACATCCCCTCCTCCCGCCTTGCCTACCAGGTGATTCAGCTTTCCACTGCCACCTTCTCTGTGAAGCCTCCTTGAACTCTCTCCAGCGCCACTTCATCTCTAGGCAGAGTTAATTACTGCCTGCTCTGGTTTACCAAAGGATTACGCTGTAATTATTTGTTCACTCATCACTCCCTCCAGCTAGACTGGGAGCTCACTTTTGAAGACAGAGACTGAACCTTTGCATCCTGAGTATGAGAACAGTGATGGAGGGAAGGAGGTGAGTCACAGGCACAGAGAATCCACTATACAGTATTTGAAATAAATAGGCTATTTTTTCCCAAGGATTCTTTGCCCAATCATTTATACTTAAAATAAGTAAGACACATATTAGTGATGTGAAGTCACTAATTTTGAATGCTGGAGGAAACATGTTATTAGGGAAGCCCTCTACTGCTTTATGTTTAAGTTTCTTGATTGAAAAGTGCAAAAGAGTTTCCTCTTTTCTGGTTGGGTCTTTGAAAATAAGGTAAAAATGCTGAGATGACTCACTGACAGTGAGATTTCATACAGCAATCTTTTCTTCAATTTACGCTTGTAATCGTAAGATAATCACAAGAAGATGATAATACACTGTAGGGATGAACAGTCTTAAAAGACAGGCTAGGTGTTTTATTTTTTAGATTTTCAGGGGTTCTAGGTACCAAGCTTTTGACTTTCAATCACACATCTTATATGGCTTCGTAAGTCATGCTAGATGCCATTAGTTGCTACTTCACTGATCAATTTTCCTTACATGCCGCTGTCTGCACCTTCAGGATCAGAATAATAGGACTTAGAGCAGAAGGAATACAAGAAAAGCCCTCTAAACATACCCAATTTTGGTCAGGACAGGGGTTCACCTTCCCTGTTCAGGTTTCCTGAATGGGTGCTCTCATTCTGATTTGCTTGAGGATGTTACCTGTGATTAGAGAAGATGATCACTCTTGATTTAAAAAGCAGTTTAATACATTCCCTGTGTGGGTACCAATGCCTAACTTCCACATGGATATCATAGCACAGGATTCAAGAATCTGGTCAGTACTGAGTACACTGGGTCAAGGCGGGGGTTAGGTGTCAGCAATACAAAGATGAACAGCACACTGAGTGGTCAGAGCCCAAGGAAGGTGGTGAATGTGCAAACAAGCTCAGCAGAACTCAAGTGCTGCAGCAGTTGTGGGTACAAAATGTTATGTCAGCCCACAGAGGAGGCAGTGACTAATTCTGTCTAGGGAGAGTCATCAGGGTGTGTGGGGTGATGAAGAGTAGTGGGAGATGAAAGTAAAAAGAGTCAGATTAGGTCCTCCCATTCCACTTCGCATCACCCTTTTCTTGGGCAATTGCATTTACTTCCAAGGCTTCACCAACTACCCCTCTACCCACCAGTCAACAACTTCCACATCTGAAATCTCAGCACCCATCTCCGGACTCTCTTGACCTCAGGCACATATTCCAATCTGTCTCAGAACACCTCTATGTCTCACAGGCACCTCATACAAAACATATCACTCTAACCTCCCCAGACCGCCTCTTCCTTTATTCCCATCCTCATGAACCTCAGTGTCACCCTCCTCTACTCCTCCTCCTACCTCACCTCCAAGTGGCCACCACATCCTGTCAATCCCGCTTCCAAAATCTCTCTGAAACCGTCACTTCTCTGTCATTTCAGTTCTTCTATTCAGGCCTGCATCTTTCCTCCCTCCAATTACTCCAATAGCCACAAAACTAGTGCACAGACTCAACTCTGTTCCAATTCATCTATTCATTCATCCAACAAACTGGATGCAAGGCACTATGGGTACTGCAGCAAACAAAATATACAAAGAAAGTGCCTGTTTTATGGAGCTTTCTTTCTCATCCTACACAATTTCCTTTTTTAAATTAATCTGGTCATGGCACACACTGGCTTCAAGTGTTCAACAGCCTCCCACTGCCAACAGGATAAACTAGCATGGTCCACAAGGCTCTTCGACATATGGCAAATCCCACCCTTCCAACCTCTTGTTCTGCCACCCTTTCACAGGTCCCTTCAACTCCAGGCACATCCAACTACTTCTCTTTCATTAAAACTGCATGTGTTAGCTAGGCGTGGTGGCACATGCCTGTAGTCTCAGCTACTTGGGAGGCTGAGACAGGAGAATCACTTGAACCTGGGAAGCGGAGGTTGCAGTGAGATGAGATCACACCACTGCACTCCAGCCTGGGTGACAGAATGAGACTCCATCAAAAAAACAAACAAACAAACAAAAAAACCCCCAAAAAACTGCATGTGTTTCTTCAGGCTTCACCACCTTGGCACATGTTGCTTTCTATGGCTGAAACACTTTTCCCTCTTCTTCCTCTTGGGAATTCCTACCCCAGAGATTCTGGCTTTCCATGCCCAATCACAAATCTCACCACACAGTATGAAAATTATGTCGAGTCGGCCAGGCACGGTGGCTAACGCCTATAATCCCAGCACTTTGGGAGGCCGAAGCTGGCGGATCACGAGGTCAGGAGATTGAGACCATCCTGGCTAACATGGTGAAACCCCGTCTCTACTAAAAAATACAAGAAATTAGCTGGGCATGGTGGCGGGCGCCTGTAGTCCCAGCTACTTGGGAGCCTGAGGCAGGAGAATGGCGTGAACCTGGGAGGCGGAGGCTGCAGTGAGCCAAGATCACACCACTGCACTGCAGCCTGGGTGCCAGAGCAAGACTCTGTCTCAAAAAAAAAAAAAAAAAAAGAAAAAAAAAAAGAAAATTATGTCGAATCTGTTTTCTCCTACTTAGTTGTGAGTTGTGAGCTCCTTGAAGGACAGGAGCTGTATCCCATTCACTGCTGTGCTCAGCATGAGAGTGGACTCTTAGTCCTCACTCAGTAAGCCTCTGTTGCACAAGAAAGCAAGGAAGAAGCAGAGAAATTTGACAAGGTTAAGAAGCAAAAGTCAGGAAAATAGAGGGAGTTCAAACCTTATCTGATGACCTGTCCTAAGTACTTACTTTGTGACATACCCTGTTCTCTCTCTGGGATTTGAGGACAGAGCTTCCTTTAGGGGTGTGTTTCTCAAAGTACAGTACAAAACATCATATTTAAATAATAACATCATCAGGCAAATAGCAGGACTCTCCCTTCCCATTCCTTTCAATGTTTCGGATTTGGCTGGAGAAAAACACACAGCCATGGTGACTGGTCTCACTTTAAATTCATGACCACTAACTCCAAGTGGGTCCTAAATGGTACCCAGTAATTCAACATTTCTCTTGCTTATTCACTAGAGTATTTCATGTCTTCTGTCTCTACATTCACTCTTAGCTGATGACCTTTCTTCCTACTTCACTCTGAAAACAGACACAACCAAAAGACCTTCCCAAGTTCCCACCACACCCTCTGAAGTTGGTGCTCATATATTTTGCCATCACGCCTGTTACTAGGGATGAATTGTGCTCCTAGCTAAGACTAAATTATTTCCCACTGGGCAATAGATTCCATTCTTTCTTGCTTAAAAATCACTCCAGCAATTCTATCCTCTGTCCCGATTTACCAATTTTCCTCCTTTCCACTAGACCACTTCTGTCAACTTAAAAACATGCTCTAATTCTTTTCACAAAAAGAAAATTAAAAATGTTAAACACTCACACCCTCTTCTAATTTCAGCTACCACCCCATGACTTCCCTTTCTAAAAACTTCCAGTTATCTTAACCCACTCTCCTCACCTCCCATTCTCCTTGAACCTATACCAATTAGGCTTTCACTCCTAACACTCCTAAAACTGTTCTTTTCAAGTTCACCAAAGACCTTCATTTACTTAAACAGTATAACACAGCTGATCATTCCCTCCCACTGAATACCTTCTTCACTTGGCTTCCAGGATATCATTCTCTTTTGTTTTTTTCTCCTACCTCAGTAGGCATTCCTTCTCAGTCTCTGCTTATTCCTTCCCATCTCCCCAGTTTCATAATATTTGCATGCTCAGGGCTCAGTCCTTTCCATCAACACATAGTCTCTGGCATTAAATACCACCTACATTTACAGCTCCAGTCCGGGGAGACCCTAATTCTGAACTTACATATCCAATTACCTATTCAACACCTCTACTTGGATATTAATAGGCATGTAAAAACCTAACATGCTTAAAACCAAGGCTCACTTCTGTAATCCCAGCACTTTGGGAAGCCAAGGCAGGAGGATCAATTGAGCCCAGGAGATCAAGACCAGCCTGGAAAATATAGTGAGACCCTGTCTCTACAAAAAATATACAAAATTAGCCACGCATAGTGGCAAACACCTGTGGATCCAGCTACTCAAGAGGCTAAGGTGGGAGGATGGCTTGAGCCTGGGAGGCAGGCTGCAGTGAGATGCAATTGCATCACTGTATTCTAGCCTGGCAACAGGGCAAGACCACACCAAAGGAGGGGAAGCGAGGGGAGGGGAGGAAGAAGGAGAGGAGGAAATAAAAGAAAATCAGGAGTCTATCTTTCAAGTACTCAAGTCAAAATAATTGGAGTCATCATTGGCCCCTCTCTTTACCTTACACTCTGCATTCAACCTGTCACCAAATCCAATTGGCCCTATCTTAAAATATAACTAGAACCCAATCATTTCTCACCACTTCCACTGTTAAATTTTACTTAAAATGTAACTCAATTTTTGTTAACGTATAACTAGAATCCAATCACGTCTCACCACTTTCACTTTTCACAATACTATAATTATTGCAATACCACTTAACACTCTTCACTTTCAATGTTATCAGCCACAGTGATCTTTTTATAATCTAAGTAAAACTGTCACTTGACTCCTCAAACCTTCCAATGGCTACCCATCTCGGTAAGATTAAAAACCCATGATAAGGCCTATAAAATCTGGCCACCCCTTGGGCTTTTGCCCTAATTTCCCTCCCATCCTTGCTCACTCGACTTCAGTCACAACGATTTCCCTCCTATTCCCCGAACACACTTTCCACCTCAGGGCCTTTCCAATTGCTCTTCACTCTGCCTAGAAGATTCTTCTCCCAGGTATCCACGTGATTTGCTCCCTCATCTTCAGTTTTTTGCTCAGATGTCACCTTCTCAGTGAGGCCTTGCTTATTTTATTTAAAATGACAACTTCGGCCAGGTGCAGTGGCTAACGCCTATAATCCCAGCACTTTGGGAGGCCGAGGCAGGCGGATCACCTGAGGTTAGGAGTTTGAGACCAGCCTGGCCAACATGGTGAAACCCTGTCTCTACTAACAAAACAAAAATTAACTGGGTGTGGTGGCGGGTGCCCCTAATCCCAGCTATTCGGGAGGCTGAGGCAGGAGAATCGCTTGAACCAGGGAGGCAGAGGTTGCAGTGAGTCGAGATCGTGTCATTGCACTCCAGCCTGGGTAACAAGAGCAAAACTCCATCTCAAATAAAATAAAATAAAAACTTCCCTCAATTCTTCATCCCTAATTTTTCTCCATCATACTTATTACTCTCTAACATATTGTTCACCTTGCTTAATTTATGTTGTTTATTGTCCATCTCTCCCTACTTGAGTTCCATGAGAGCAGAGATTTTTATTTGTTCTATTCACAGCTGTATTCTCCAGGCCAAGAACAGTGCTGGCATATGGAAGTGGCTCAAAAGGTGATTTGTTGAATGAATAAAAAAAGAAATTCTCAGTTTGCTGCTACGTCTTCAGTACTCAACACTTGCTAAGCCCCTTTTAGGGGCTCAGTGACTTGGTAGATAAAAGTATCAAGTCAGAATTTATTAATATTAAATCGAAATGCTTTGCCTTCATTTTGCTTTCTGACTACTTTTTATTCAAGATACTGGATCTCACTCTTTTAACAAAATAATTTTTAATTTAATACATGTTTTTAAGTTTAAAAAGTGAGGTTCTTCTAAGAAAAGCCTTAAGAAATTATTATGCAACTAGCACAGGCACAGGGCAAAAATTGTGAATGTGGTATTTGAACGACTGAAATTTAGGAACTCTCTTCGAATAGGGTTGCCAGATAAAATACAGGACACAGTTAAATTTGAACTTTCAATGAGTGATTTCGTTGTTGTTTTGCTGTAAGGATGTCCCAAATATTGCATTGGACACACACTAAAAATTATTCGTTATCTTAAATTCTATTTTAACTGGATATTATTTTTAATTTCTGCTAAATATGGCAACCCTATCTAGGAGAACAAATAAACTGCACCCGCTTGTCGCTTCAATTTCGATCTATTACAAACAGCTAATACAATTCTTGTCCTATCCACTAACTGCGTGGCTTTTATGCCCCAACAAATATGTTCCTGTGGGCGGGTACTGAGGCCCGATATCCTAAAAACAAGGAGGCAAAGATACACAGTGCACTTTGCGAGGGGAAAGGCTCTCCTCGCAGCCCAGAAAAAGAGGCCGGCCGCATCAGACGCAGGCCATTCCGGGCCCAGCTCCTTTCCCAGCCTCTGTCGCCTGCGTGGCGGAGGCCAAGGCTTGGCAGCCGCTTTCCGGCCCTTACCAATGTTGCCTTCGATGGAGAGCCTTCGGGGCCCGCGCCCCGCGTGCAGGCCTCTGGAGGAGGAAACGCCCTCGAGTGGGCTCTTGGCCATGGAACTGAAGGGTGCTCGAAGCCGACTTAGAAAGAGGCGGCCCGCGGCCATCCCACCCACGATTCACACAGCGATCACTTCCGCCGAGAGCACTTCCGCCCTAGGTATCGCTGCTCACTCGCTCCAGCGCACCGTTGACGTAAGGAGATCGTCAGACAGGAAGTGGGTGGGGTTGAACATGCGGCGGGGTGCGCCCAAGAGACCGCTCCGCTATCGCGATGTTTGTAAAGAAGCGTTGAGTGAAGGAAGTTTTGCAACGGTGCAGAATTTGATAGTAAAAGGAGTTGCGGTGCGAGTGGTTTTTGTTCATTGGACAAATAACATTTTAAAAGACGTAATTCCACAATCCAACCACTTCATTTTTGTATAACTTTAAAATAAATTTTATAACTGAAGACAAAATTAAAAATAGAAATTGTAATTTTAAGAGGGGATTTCCCCCCCCCCAGGTGCTTGTTGTCTGGTTTTTATTTTAATATCGGAAGAAAATGGAAGTTTTAAAGTAGGAAAATGACTCAATCTGATGATTTACACAAATTTAACTTTTTCCTATTCCCTGTAATTCCCCTGCACAATGCTGGCATATTATTGACTAAATTAACAAATTAGATAATCAGTTACACCCCATCTCTTAGTTTGTGTCTTGAATAAGTAAATAAATGTTCGGTCAATCGATTTGCATTATACCCAAAAATCCCTTCAGGATAAGGTGGTGGTGGCTCAGGTATGTGACTGGAAATTGTTTAAACCTGGTAGGCTGGGTTCTTGGACGTAAGCAATGGCGAGTAGAGACTTGTATAAAACCTGAGTCCTGCTGTCGGTGAAGTGTGCTCTGCAGGAGGGCAGGGACCTAAGCTGCTGCCACAGGTGAAGCCGGACTGCCACACCCCGTCGTCATAACAACCTCAGAAGTAATGATTTACAAAATGTTGTCAAATGGTGCTTCCAGTTCCAATCGCTTAAATCACCAACAGTCAAAACCAGGAGTCAACAGGCCAAACCGGCCTTCAGGCAGCGCTCTTAGGTGTGGCAGGTTTTAGAAGACAAGGATCTGATTGCAAGGGGGCTGGGGAGGGGCCGGGGGCTGGGATACCTGTCTTGAAGCTGTTCCCATAAAAAGCACGGGACCTTTTTCTTATGTTGATGTATATATAGGATGGCTGAGGTCATGTTTATATATTAAGAACTTTTTTTTTAATCGAATTTTTTAAGGATAACCAGGGTGGGGCGTTAATGGCTACTGGAGCGGCTAAAGTCCTACCCATTCCCATCTCCACTCCAGCAGCCACTTCTGTTAAAACAAAACAAAACAAAACAAAACAAAACAAAAAACAAAAAAAAAACTGCTTACATTTCTTTACCTATGTAAACTCAGACTTGGAAAATATTCATCCAAAAAAGCTTGAGAGGCTCTCTGCCTCGCCAGGATCTTGCTGCCTCAGGGGTGTTGTGAAAGTTAAATGAGGAAGTTGTCTGCAGGCAGGCATTAATCTCCTAAAAGCTACGAGGCAGGAAAATAGGGTCTGGAGACAGGGAACCTAAGGCCGATTTAGGCTGACTTCCTAGAACTAAATCAAAAGGAAAACCCCAACTTTCTAGCCCAAGTAACAAAAGGACCAGAAGCTAATCCCTCTTCTGGGTGGCAGATAAAAAATTGAAAGTACCTCTGACTGGTCCCCGCGGGCAATCAGTCAGGCTGGTGGCAGGCCAAGTCTTTAGTTGCATGGGGTATAACTTCATAACTTTACTTCAGCCTCTGATTGGTCCCCTCCTGCAACCAATCAGACTGATCGCTGGCCACTACTTCATTTACATAGGGTGTACACCAGGTAACCAATGGGAAACCTCTAGAAGGTATTTAAACCCCAGAAAATTCTGTAATTGCTGCTTGCTTGGGCCCTTCCTACCGCAAGGAGTGTTCTTTGATGTACAATAAATCTGTGCTTTTGTTGCTTCATTGTTTCCTTGCTTTGTACGTTTTGTCCAATTCTTTGTTCAAAATGTCAAGAACCTGGGCACCCTCCACCAGTAACAGAGCTCCTAAAAATTATTTTTAAAAATTTTATGGTGAAGTGGCCTGGCGCGGTGGCTCACGCCTGTAATCCCAGCACTTTGGGAGGCTGACGAGGGCGGATCACGAGGTCAGGAGATCAAGACCATCCTGGCTAACATGGTGAAACCCTGTCTCTACTAAAGAGAGAGAAAAAAAAAAAAGCGGAGTGTGGTGGTGGGCTCCTGTAGTCCCAGCTACTCAGGAGGCTGAGGCAGGAGAATGGCCTGAACCGGGGAGGCGGAGCTTGCAGTGAGCCGAGATCGCGCCACTGTGCTCCAGCCTGGGCGACAGAGCGAGACTCCGTCTCAAAAAAAAAAAAAAAAAAAAATTATGGTAAAGCATAGTATGTAGTGAGGAAAAGAGGATGTGTTGTGCAGTGAGGAAAAGAGGATGTGTTGTAAGTGTACAGTTCAATGAAGTTTTCACAAATGGAATGACTGTTACCTGGATTCAGATCAAGAAACAGCATTATCCGCATCTCCAGAATCCCCCATATTCGTTGCCAGTTACTATCCCTCAAAGATAACCATTAGCCTGACTTCAACAGTAGAGATTAGTTTTGCGTTTTCTTTATATAAATGGAATTATATAGTAAATACTTCTTTTATTTAACATATCTGTGAGATTCATCCAGGTTGAATGTATTAGTTGTAGTTCACTCATTCTCATTGCTGTATAGTATTCCACAATGTCACTATACCACAATGTACTCGGAAGTTTCTAGATTTGAGCCATAATGAATAGTGTTGCGGTAAATATTCTTGTACATGTCTTTTGGTAAAAAGAAGTATGCATTTCTCTTGGGTGTATAAGTAAGACTGGAACTGCTGTGTAATAAGTTACATATATATGCTCAGCTTTGATAGATATTCCCAAATAGTAGATAGTTCCACAGTGTTTGTTCTAGTTGACATTGCCATCATCAGTGAGAGAGAGTTCTGGTTTTCCCACATTCTTACCAACAGTTGATATTGTCAGCTTTTTAAATTTTATCCATTTTGCTGTGTGTAATTATAACTTATTGTGGTTTTAATTTGCATTTTCCTGCTGATTAATGAAGTCAAACATCTTTTTGTATGTTTATTGGTCATTTCAGTATCCTCTGTTGAAGTCTTATGTCCATTTTTCTATTGGTTGTCTTTTGCTTGTCTTATTCTTCAAATATTCTGGATGAGTCCTTTGTGAATATTTTATCTCTGTGGTTTGCTTCTTTTCTTTTCTTTTCTTTTCTTTTCTTTTCTTTTCTTTTCTTTTCTTTTCTTTTCTTGTGTTGAGACAGAGTCTCTTGCCCAGGCTGGAGTGCAGTGGGGCAATCTTGGCTCACTGCAACCTCCATCTCCTAGATTCAAGCGATTCTCATGCTTCAGCCTCCCAAGTAGCTGGGATTACAGGCATGTGCCATGCCCGACTAATTTTTTGTATTTTTAGTAGAGACGGGGTTTTGCTATGTTGGCCTGGCTGCTCTTGAGCTCCTGGCCTCAAGTTATCCACCCACCTCTGCCTCCCAAAGTGCTGGGATTACAGGTATGAGCCACAGCACCCAGCCTCTAAAAACATTCAAAATTTTTTTGATGTAGAGTGTAATGTAAGAAACTAAAATATCTTTTGCCTAAGTTGCCTGTCAGTTATCTTAATTCATTAGTAATAATCTTTCTACCCCCCTTTAGTTATCTATGCTTGTTTTGTTAAATGTTTTTTATTTATTTAGGTCCCAATTCCAAATTCCCAGAAGGGAGAATCTGATTGGCCCAGCTGTGTTCAGGTATCTAATCATGGTTCAATCAGCTGTGGCCAAGGAAGAGGGTTGGGGCCCCACTTTTGCACATGAGGAAGTACAATTAAGGGGATCTTCATGAGGAAAGAAGACACCCCAAAGAGGTGGTGATCATTTCCTCTTCGAAGCAGTAAACACGGAGTTTTCATCCCATTTGGGTGCTAGCCAGAAGACTGAAAGTAGTGGCATATTGGTGAGTAGAATTACCTCCCCCTTACCTGGGAGAACGAGGCCACTTCCTGCCCCTGGGCGATTTTGTCCTGGGCAAAATGTTGTCCTGCAAGAACTCTAGTCATTCAGCATCCATTCATTCATCCAATATTTGCTGAGCATCTACTGCATGCCAGACACTCTGCTTAGTCCTTGAAGTGCAGCTCTGAAGGATTTACTATTTTTCCAGTGTTTCTAAATGCTACCGTATACATAAAATACTGACCAATATTATTTAAAATGTCATGCAGCCATTAAAAAAGGGAGATAAACATACAAAAATGTGGCCCAAACTTTATTCTGCAGCCTGGACTTTTAGCCAGCTATATCTCACCTACTTTGAAGATTTTATAATGTGCTGGATTGTGCTAAATCGATTTGGTTAAATTGGAAAGTACACTTCCAGAACGCCCTACCAACAAGGCTCTGAGTTAGAGTTGGCCAAAAGAGGACCTGGGGTGAGATTTGGAAGGCAGAGTGGGAGTGTCAGCCATTCCTCTGTGGAAATCTTCTAGTCAGATGCTATGACAGACAGAGGTGCCCAGCAGATAGGTTTCACCTAGTCCTCCACCCATTTGTGACTCCTCTTGGAGTATCCCACAGTTCCTTGCAGACTTTCACTTTTCCAGCTCCTTCAGTCTTTGGGGAAAGTGTCATTCCTGTAATAAAGCCCTTATTCCCATAATACCCATAATGGCTCTGCTCCCCTGAATGAACTGTATTGATACACCTAATCATAAAGGGAGACGTATCAAAAGGTGGTTAACAGTGTGGGCTCTGGATTCCAGTGACCTGGGGGTGAGGATTAAGAGAGAGAATCCACCTGCCACACCTGCCACACAGTTACCACCCAATAGACATTATATAACACATAATAAGTAATGGCTGCCTTCTTAGGCCCTCAGTGCCTGGGACATTGTTTCTCTCTCTCTCTCTCTGATAGGGTCTCGCTTGTCAGAGGCTGGTTTGAATTAGGCTCAAAGGATCTTCCCACCCCAGCGTCCCAAGTAGCTGGGATTACTGGTGTGAACCATCACACCTGACTTTTGTCGATCTTTAATAGACTTCCAGTTGGATTTCCACTTTCCTCAAGCCACTGTCCCTCTCTCTGTCAGTGGATAACTCCATATCCATTGAAGAATCTAGGTCAGCATTTTTTAAACTTGAAATAGAGTAAGACTGGAGTAGGGGTGGAAGGATGGGGAAGGGAGGTCAGATGGGTGCGGGGGGTTTGTGGGAACAGTCTGGGCAGCCTGCCCTTCTCCATGTGGAGGTCCGGATGCCCCTCTATAGCGCAGTGTCGGTGCCCTACATCTCAGATCGCTCCCGCCTCCTCCTGTGCCTTCTCTTCCAGCAACCAGAGCCTGCAGCTCTTCTTTGGAGGAGGCCTTTGCCGATACAGGTGGAAAGCCTAGGACTTCAGTCCTCCCAGGGAGCGCCCTCACCAACCACTGGCAGGTGGGACTGTGAAAGCCTGGCTCCCTGTCCTTCACCAGGCTAACCTTAGACTCCAGAGCTCCCAGTGGGCGGGGCCAGGCTGAAGCTGCCCTCTCCAGGACATTATCTGCAATTACCCCCTTGACAGATTTCCTCCCCTTTCCTCTTCTGCGCCCCCCTCCCCCGCACTCTGCTTACCAGCTGTCCTCAGAGCACTTCTTTAATAAGTCGTTTGCAGGGAATCCTCATTTCAGGGTCTGCTTCTGGTCCTCACACAGAAATCCCCTAAGGGCTTATGAAAGCCGCTCCTCCATCCCACCCCACCCACAGAGATCAAGTGCTGGGAGGGTGAAAGGAATGTCTGGCATTGAAGTGTCTGCGCTTAACCACTGGACTCCACTGTCTCCAAATGGGTATGTCTGGGAAGCTTCATGGACCAGGTGGGATCTGATGGGGGCACGAAGGCTGGGACTTTGCTAGGTGGGGAGGTGAAAGGTGCACCAGCCCAATGTGAGGATCTAGTTCTAAGGTGAACTAGCTGGGTGACCTAGTAACCAGTAAACTAGCTATAAAATGGGAAATGATGCTAGTACCTGCCTCATAGGGTTGTGGTGAGGATTAATTGAGGAAATCCATGCAAAACTCTTAACCTGGCCTGAATACATGTTAGCTATTATTATCATCCCTTATTTTCTCATAGTACTTTTAGGCGCTTGTTTCACTTCGTGTCACTGTCTTGTATGCATGTGTCTATCTCTGCCTGTATGCAGTGAGACCCTAATGGGCAGGAATCATCTTTGTTGGAAACATAAATCCCTTGTGGCCTTACCCGGCAATTCCAGATGCCAAAAATTCAGTAAATACTTGTAAAATTAAACAAAATTAACCTAGTGGGTAGGGAGGAAATTGATAAAGAGGGGAGGAGGAGGAGGAGGAGGAGGAGGAGGAGGAGGAACAGGAGAGGGAGGGAGAGAAAATGTCCTTCCTAACGATGCTACTCCTTTCTTAATTAATTTTGGGGCAAAATACAACCTGGCCAGGCGCGGTGGCTCACACTTGTAATCCCAGCACTTTGGGAGGCCAAGGTGGGCAGATCACCTGAGGTCAGGAGTTCAAGACCAGACTGGCCAACATGGTGAAACCCCATCTCTACTAAAAATACAAAAATTAGCCAGGCGTGGTGGCGCATGCCTGTAATCCCAGCTACTCAGGAGGCTGAGGCAGGAGAATCACTTGAACCCAGGAGGCAGAGGTTGCAGTGAGCCAAGATCGTACCACTGCACCACAACCTGGGCAAGAGTGAGACTCTGTCTCAAAAAAAAAACAAAAAAAAATACAGCCTAATCCTCAATGACAACCTCATAGAGATCATAGAGATCTTAAGCCCACGGTGACCCTCCTTCACGTGAGTGACAGTAACATTGTATGTGAACTCTTCATGTCACATCCCATAAGCCTATGTCACGACTGCGTTCATATTCCCTAGTGAACTGCCCTAGAGCACAAGGACTTACATCACTGAAAGTCTGTGTTTCTACCCCCATCCCAAGAGTCATCTAGCCTCATTCTTACTTATATTCAAGGAAAAGAAAACAAGATGACACAGTAGAAGGAGCACTAGCTTTGCAGTCAGATACTTGAATTTTAATCTGGAATCTGTGTGATCTTCGCAAGTCCTTGACTTCTCTGAGCCTCAATTTCCTCATCTGTAATATGGGTATAATGATAGCACCTACCTTACAGCACTATTGCATGGATTAAAAGTAATGTGTGAAAAGTCCTTAGCACTGTGTATGAGACATAGCCCAGGAAAAAAGAGCCCCACACAGAGAAGTAAGGCTTGTAGGTTTTAATGTTTCATGACTGGTAACAGAGTAGTCTCGAGGGGATCCTTGGAGAACCTGTTCTGACTTTAGAAGCACTTCCTGTGGACAATGGAGGGCCCTGCCTCATCATACTCAGGCTTGCTGATCCACATCTGCTGGAAGGTGGAGAGAGAGGCCAGGATAGAGCCCCCGATCCAGACTGAGTACTTCCGCTCTGGGGGAGCAATAATCTGCAAAGAACAAATGTGGTGAATCATGATCAGTCCCCAAGGGAATAAGCAAGGTGGTCCAAAAATCTACTTATCCCAGAAAAGGGGAGCCCCATGGTCAGAAAAGAACAGGAGAAACATTGTGATAGATTAGATTATTGCTCAAAACCTTCACTTCCCCCCTCTTCCCTTATTCCTTCCATGGGAAGAGTGCACTGCTCCCTGTAAGGCTGGGCATTGTGTTTGCTTTGACCAATGGGATATTAGCAGACATAACACAAACAGGGGCTTGAAATATGCTTGTGTACTTGGGCATGTTCTCTTGCTCTGCCATGTGCATGAGAAGAGCTGCCCCTGGGAAGCAGCTAGCCCTTCAGCCTGGGCCCATTAATGAGAAATATGGACTTGACCTGAGCTGGCTGGACCTGCAGTTAATTCAGAGCCACTTACTTAGCCAAGCCTGACCTTGATCAGCTAACTTCCAGGTGATGCGCAGATGCACGAGTAATAAATGCTCATTGTTAGGTGCCCCTGAGATTCCACGGTTGTTTGTTACTTGGCAATAGCTGACCAATACAAATATCTATAAGGGGAACCTTGTTCTGTTCTTGCCTGGAGTTTGGAAGCATGGGCAGGTTGGGCTGGGCTTCCTCCATGCCTGAGTATAAACCAGTCTACCCAAACCCTGTTTTGAGCTATCTGTCATCAGCCAATTATATCTCAGAAGTCCTCAAATTTATATCTACATTGTTCATGCTTTCCACTAGGAATCCTGGGCTTAGCTTTTAGAAATTGATTGTCAGGTCAAACAACTTTGAACTCTACTTCAAAGGGGATCCAGAAGGACTATGATTCTTCAACTAGTTTTCCAGTTTTGGAAGGGTCTAAGAATTCAGTGCTAGAGCAAACCAGATAATAAATTGATTTTTTTTGTTGCCGTAGAATCTCTTTACATATTCCCTAAATCACAGAGATCATGGAATTGTAGAATAAGAAGGATCTTTAGAAGTTATTTTATTATCCAGGCAGACAAAAGTCACACAAATGCTCCTTGAACAGATTATTTCAAGGACTGGGAATGCACAGCCACTAGCAAGGTAACAAATTTTATTGTTGGACACTTCTCATGAGAAAACTCTGGCTTCTCTTAGGTTGGTGGTCCTAAATATAAGCCCTACCCCCACCCCAAATCTGTTCTTCTGTGTCCTTGAGACTTGCCTCATCTCCCCCAGTTCCCCTATAACAAATCCTGCTGTCCAATTTGGATAGGTGCTCATATAAGCACACACCTGCCTGGACACATTTGCTCCTTCTATTTCCTCTGCTTAGAGTGTCCTTTCCCTTCCGCTTTTATTTAGATTGTCCTGGTATTGATAATGTTTACTAATTAGATCCTAAACTCCATGAAGGCTGGCACGTACTGTTTAAGTCAGAGCTGTGGCTCATGAATTGGGAAATGCATCAGATCACTGGTGGTTGTTTATCAGTGTAGGTGATGGGGGAGCAATTCAGACTTGTTGGACCAGAATCTGGGAGTGAGGCTAGGCGTGGTATACTGACACACAGTCCTGGTAAAAAGCCCCTGCCCCAGGCCTGGCACAGCTCTCCACAGGACAGGCCTCAGTAATGCACCATTCCTGTGGCTCTGGGTGAGAAGAGCCCACAGGTTCTCACCAGTTTCCTGCTGGTTTGCTCCATTTCTCTGTGATGAACACCATCTGTTAGGCAGGGGGAAGGCCCGGGGCAGCCTTCCTTCATGAAGGTTCTTAGAATATTGACTGAGAACACATTTCCTTACATCAGGCCTACTCCCCAGAGACCAGCTTTATTGTGAGACTTTGTAACTTTCAACCAATGTGATATTTCTATTCCCAACTCTTTCTCTAAAGCTGTTAGCAGCAAAGTTCCTAGAAGGAGCTAAAAATGTCTGTGTGACTGCTTGGAGACCAGAGGCAGAAGAGAAGCTCCCATCCTGCAGATGCCCAGGAGGCGAGAGGCCCTGTTGGGAGGCAGTATGGGGAAGGGCATGGCCAAGATGGGACAGTAGATCAGAGATGTTCAGGAATCAAGGAATGTCCCTGTTGAGTTTGAAGCAGAGCTGGCCCTATGACCAAACATCCACTCTTTGGAACTTTTACCCTCCTTCGGAGCAATAAAGTTTAAAGATACCATAGTGTGACCTCCTTCTTTTCTTTCCTTCTATTTCCCATCTCCTGATTTCCTTCTTAACCCTCTCAATATTCTATTTATTTATTTATTTATTTTTAGAGACAGGATCTATCTGAATTTATATTTAGAGACAGGCTGGAGTGCAGTGGCACAGTTAGAGCTCATTGTGGCCTTCAACTCCTGGGCTCAAGTGATCCTCCCACCTTGGCTTTCCAAAATGCTGGGATTACAGGTATGAGCCATTACACCTGGATAATATTCTCATCATCCCAAATTCTTTCAGCCTCTTCTCATGTGACATTCCTGGGATTATGTTTGAGATCCATGCTAAGTGGGTCTTCAGCCCATCAATGCCCAAGGAACATAATTCCGTAGGATAAAATTGGCTCCAGTCCAGGATGATATTGAACCCAGGAGACCAGCAAGTTATCAGGTCTGGCAGTCTGCCTCCGAGGAACTCCCAGGTAGGCAAGACTTTATACAAAGAACAGGATGGAGACAACTGAGGCAAGACCCACCTTGATCTTCATGGTGCTGGGGGCCAGGGCTGTGATCTCCTTCTGCATCCTGTCAGCAATGCCAGGGTACATGGTGGTGCCCCCAGAGAGGACATTGTTGGCATATAAGTCCTTACGGATGTCAATGTCACACTTCATGATGGAATTGTAGGTTGTCTCATGAATTCCAGCGGACTCCATGCCTAGTGGAGATCACAGTGTCTGGTCAACAGGCATCACTTCCTAAATATGCACACCTCCAGCTCCTCAAATGACCCTTCTTCGATTGTTGCAACTACCCTAGTTCAGAACCTTAATATCTCCCAGAAGGATTATAAGATCATACCCCCTTCCTTGTCATGGCCTTTCCTTTATTGTCCCCAGTTCTGATTGATCTTTTTTTTTTTTTTTTCTGAGATGGAGTCTGCTCTGTCACCAGGCTGGAGTGCAGTGGCGCGATCTCAGCTCACTGCAACCTCTGATCCCTGGTTCAAGTGATTCTCATGTCTCAGCCTCCCGAGTAGCTGGGATTACAAGCACATGCCACCACGCCCAGCTAAATTTTGTATTTTTAGTAGAGATGGGGTTTCACCATGTTGACCAGGATGGTCTCCATCTCCTGACCTTGTGATCCACTCATCTCGGCCTCCCAAAGTGCTGGGATTACAGGCGCGAGGTATTACACCCGGCCTGATCTTTTATACTGTTGCCTGAAGCATATTTCTAAAGGAACACTTTTGTTATATCATCTTTCTTTTTTCATAACTTTTTGAGATATAATTCAGTCATTTTCAGTATATCCACAGAAGCAAACATCACCAAAATCTAATTTTAGAACATTTTAAATACCTTCAAAAGAGACCCCCATACCTAATAGCGGTCACTCCCCATTTTCCCCTCCATCCCTGCCCCAGCCCTAGGTAACAGTGAATCCACTTTCTGTCTTTAGAGGTTTGCCTATTCTGGATGTTTCTTGTCAATGGAATCATACACCATATGGTCTTCTGTGTGTGGCTCCTTTCACTTAGTATAATGTTTTCAAGGTCACAGCATGGATCAATACTTCATTCCCTTTTATTGCCAAATAAGATTCCATTGTATGGATATACTCGTCATGTCATCTGACAGTCACCCATTGCCTGCAGGTTGACATCCAGCTACTGTAGCCTGGCATCACAGTCTTCTAGAGCAAAAGGTCCTGCACGCCAAACTGGCTCTTGCCATCTGCCTGGTCTACTTACCTCTACTCTTTTTTTTTTTTTTTTTTGAGACAGAATCTCACCCTGTTGCCCAGGCTGGAGTGCAGTGACACAATCACGGCTCACTGCAGCCTTGATCTCTGCGGCTCAAGCGATTCTCCCACCTCAGCCTCCTGAGTATCTGGGACCATGGGCATGCACCACCATGCCCTGCTAAATTTTGTATTTTTCATAGAGATGGGGTTTCGCTATGTTGCCCAGTCTGGTCTCAAACTCACAGGCTCAAGTGATCTGCCTGCCTCAGCCTCCCAAAGTGCTGGGATTACAGGCGTGAGCCACCGCGCCTGGCCAAGCCTCCGGTCTTTTATCCATGCAATATGATTCCACACTGTAGATAGAAGAATCTTGCTAAACTACAACCTGACCTTGCTACATTGCTGCCTACAAACTTTCTGTGTTTTAACCTCATTCTTAAGTTTCATGTTATATTTCCTGTTCTGCTTTTCCTGTATCTTGATTTCCTTTCCCTTTTATTTAAAATGAGATTTTTCCCTAATTTTTTTTAAAATACATTTTTGGCCCTTCCTAGGAAAATGTGAGGTACGTGTATGTAATTAACAAAGTGGCCATGACTCCTGGTGTTTCTCTCTCCATACCTCACCCACTCCTCCACCCTCCCCTCCTGAGATTGGCAGGGACTGTGGGCAGCACCTCACCAATAAAGGAAGGCTGGAAGAGGGTCTCAGGGCAGCGGAAGCGCTCATTGCCAATGGTGATAACCTGCCCATCTGGCAGCTCATAGCTCTTCTCCAGGGAGGAAGAGGAAGCTGCTGTGGCCATCTCATTCTCAAAATCCAGGGCCACATAGCACAGCTTCTCCTTGATGTCTCGCACAATTTCTCTCTCAGCTGGAAGGAGCAGAAATGACAGAAGGTGAATACTGAGCTCTGATAGTTTGGTTGTCCCATTTTGATCTCCATGAAAACCTCCTTCTCACATCTACTTTATTCTTTTTTTTTTTTTTTTTTTGAGACAGAGTCTCACTCTGTCACCCAGACTGAAGTGCAGTGGTGCTATCTTGGCTCACTGCAACCTCTACCTCCTGAGTTCAAGCAATTCTCCTGCCTCAGCCTCCCAAGTAGCTGGAATTACAGGCGTGCGCCACTAAGCTCGGCTAATTTTTGTGTTTTCAGTAGAGACAGGATTTCACCATGTTGGCCAGGCTGGTCTAGAACTCCTGACCTCAAGTGATCTGCCTGCTTGGCCTCCCAAAGTACTGGGATTACAGGCGTGAGCCACCACGCCTGGCCTCACGTCTACTTTAGGTTCAGTCATAGGATGATGATAGACTTGCCGCGAAGAGGGTCAAGCGTCACTCCATTCAATCTTAATTCTTCCACTCCTCTTTCTAAAGAGGGAGTCTCAAGTCTTGATTCCCATGCAGGACTTTGCATGAGATTTCTGACAAAGCCTTAGGCCTTCCTGGGGGCTTTGCAGGACATATTTCTGGTCTAGACTCAGATGTTTGATCTTACAGAACCTAGAGAGGCTCCCACCTAAAAAATGCCGATTGCCCAGGTGGGCCACATGACACCTTCCCCTTAGAAATTCGGGCCTCACTTATTCAATTTGTCCTCAAACCAAAGGTGCCCCTAGGTAATGAAATGCATCAGCAGATCTTCACTACCATTCAGCCTGTGGAAACTAGCCCTAGTCCTGGTGTGGACGTGGACAGAGGCAGCTGGTCTCTGGGGAAGGAGGGACTGCTTCCATGACTATCTGGTCTTATCCAGAGGCCTAGCCCCAGCTTAAGGCCTCTCAGTCTATCTCAGGAGAGTTTAAAGACACAGAGTCACAGAATTCTCATTGGTCCTGAGAACTTCTTGTCCTAAACCAGATTGGTTCTGAGCTCCAGTCAGAATCAGAAAAGGGGCTGGATACCTGTGGTCACAAAGGAATAGCCTCTCTCTGTGAGGATCTTCATGAGGTAGTCCGTGAGGTCACGGCCAGCCAAGTCCAGGCGCATGATGGCATGGGGCAGGGCATAGCCTTCATAGATGGGGACATTGTGGGTGACGCCATCACCTGAATCCAGGACGATGCCTGTGGACAGAGAGGATCAGGCTTATAAAATTCTCATTCTTGCCTTTCATCAGTCTCTTTCTAGGACTGTTACCAATGAGCTCTGACTACCATATTTTCCTTTACCAGTTAAGAATATTCACCCATCACAAGAATCATCAATCATATTTTTTATTTTTTATGTATGTCACTTTTTTCCCCCCAGTGAGACTGTAGGCCTCTGGAGGGCAAGTAAAATGTGTCCTTTTTTTGTATTCCTTGAAACACATTACTGGTAATGCATACTTGTCAATTTGCATTAAGTCTACATTGCATATTCTTTTTTTTTTTTTTTTGGAGACAGAGTTTTGCTCTTGTTGCCCAGGCTGGAGTGCAATGGCATGATCTCGGCTCACTGAAACCTCTGTCTCCTACGTTCAAGTGATTCTCCTGCCTCAGCCTCCTGAGTAGCTGGGATTACAGGTGCCTGCCACCACGCCCGGCTAATTTTTTGTATTTTTAGTAGATGTGGGGTTTCACTATGTTGGCCAGGCTGGTCTTGAACTCCTGACCTCAGGCAATTCACCTGCCTCGGCCTCCCAAAGTGCTGGGATTACAGGCATGTGCCACTGCGTCCAGCCTCATATTTCTTAATCTAACAGCCACATCATAACGGATGAGAAAACATTACAATATCACCACCATTTTTTAATATTGTCCAGGATGTTCTAGCCAATTGCAGTGAAACAGAAAATAGAAATAGGAGGTGTGACTACCAAAATTGTCATTATTTGCAGATAATGTGGTTTTATACAGAAGACCCAACAGAATCAATTAAGAAACCATTAGACCTAGTTAGATGGTTCAGTAAGGGCCAGATGCAAAATAAATGTCCAGAAAGCAGCAACTTACTCTTGTGTAAGGACCTGAATCATGGCATATTGTATAATAAAAATGAGAGGCAACCTAAAGCTCCAGCAATAGAGAAATGGTAAAATAAATACATAATGAAACCATCATACAACGACTACCACGTGGCTATTAAACATGATGTTTGCAACGAAGTGCAAGGTTGGGCGCGGTGGCTCATGCCTGTAATGCCAGCACTTTGGGAGGCCAAGGGGGGCAGATCACTTGAGGTCAGGAGTTCAAGACCAGCTGGCCAACATGGTGAAACCCCATTGCTACTAAAAATACAAAAATTAGCCGGGTGCAGAGGCAGGTGCATGTAATTCCAGCTATTCGGGAGACTGAGGCAGGAGAATCGCTTGAACCCGGGAGGTGGAGGTTGTGGTGTGCTGAGATCACATCATTGCATTCCAGTCTTGGCAACAGAGCGAAACTGCATCTCAAAATGAAAACAAAAACAAAAACCAAAGTGCAAAGCACAGGATACGACACTGTATATGCCATGCATTTCTCCATCATTGTCCTTATCACATGCAGTGAAATTATCTTTTACTTTTGTCTATCTCCCACTAAACTGTTAGCTCCATAATGACAAAGTCTGTCTTATTTGTCAGTGTGTGCCCATGGCCTGGTACCATGTTTGGCACATTGTAGGGAGTAATGGAAAATATATGATGGATGAATGAATGGATAAATCAGTGAATAAATGATTAATGAACGTTTAAACAAATGTTTATGGAAGCTGTCAAGTTCCTATTAAAGACCATTTTATTTTGAGATTTCCTCTGTTACGCTGAGCACACTTCTATACCAAGGCCACATATAGTCATGTCCACATAATGACATTTTGGTCAACTTCGGACCACATACACAATGGTGGTGCCATAATATTATAAGGAAGCTGAAAAATTCTTATTGCCTAGTGACATCATAGCTGACATCACGTCATAGGGCAACGCTTTATTCACGTGTTTGTGGTGATGCTGGTGTAAACAAACCTACTGTGCTGCCAGCTGTATAAAAGTACAGCACATACATTATGTACAACATACTTGAAAATGATAATAAACAACTATGGTACTAGTACTGGCTTATGTATTTCTTATACTGTCTTTTATTTTTTTATTTTTTTTTTGAGTGTCACCCAGGCTGGAGTGCAGTGGTGAGATCTCAGCTCACTGCAGCCTCTGCCTCCTGGGCTCCAGCAATTCTCCAGCTTCAGCCTACCGAGTAGCTGGGACTACAGGCGTGAGCTACCAATGCCCGGCTAACTTTTTGTATTTTTTGTAGAGATAGGTTGTAGCCATGTTGCCCAGGCTGGTCTTGAACTCCTGAGCTCAAAGAGATCCACCCACCTCGGCCTCCCAAAGTGCTGGGATTACAGGCATAAGCCACTGCACCCAGCTCTTATACTATGTTTTTAATCATTATTTTAAAGTGTACTCCTTCTACTTATTAAATAAAAAGTTGACTGTAAAACAGCCTTAGGCAGGTCCTTCCGGAGATATTCCAGAAGGAGGTATTGTTATCATAGGAGATGACAGCTCCATGCATGTTATTAACCCTGAAGACCTTCCAGTGGGCCAAGATGTGGAGATGAAATACAGTGGTATTGATGATCCTGAACCTGTGTAGGCCGAGGCTAATGTGTATATTTTAGTTTTTATCAAAAAAGCTCTAAAAGTAAAAAATAAAATAAAATAAATTTAATAGAAAAAAGCTTGTAGAATAAAGGATATAAATGAAACTATTTTTGGCTGGGGGTGATGATCACACCTGTAATCCCAGTACTTTGGGAGGCTGAGGTGGGCAGATCACTTGAGATCAGGAGTTCGAGACCAGCCTGGCCAACATGAGATGGATCTGGAGAGGAGAATGGTCAGCCCTGGAAATTTCTGATCGACATTTAAAGGGTGTACTCCTTTTTTTTCTCTACTAAATAAAGACAAAAATAAGCCAGGCATGGTGGCACGCTCCTGTAGTCCCAGCTACTTGGGAGTTTGAGGCATGAGAATCACTTGAACCTAGGAGGCGGAGGTTGCAGTGAGCTGAGATCGCACTACTGCACTCCAGCCTGGGTGACAGAGTGAGACTTCATCTCAAAAAAAAAAAAAAAAAAAAGTCATGGGAGGCTGAGGCAGGAGAATCGTTTGAACGTGGGAGACAGAGGTTGCAATGAGCCGAGATCACGCTACTGCACTCCAGCCTGGTGACAGAGCAAGGCTCCGTCTCAAAAAAAAAAAAAAAAAAAAGTCGAAAAAAGATGTTTTTCTATTACTGTCACTACAAAAAAAGTAAAAATGGCTTTAAAAATTAAAAAGTTTATAAGGTAAAAAACATTACAGTAAGCTAAGGTTAATTTATTATTGAAGAAAGAATAATATATATATATACATATTTTTTGAGACGGAGTCTCGCTCTGTCACACAGGCTGGAGGGCAGTGGCGTGATCTTGGCTCACTGCAACCTCTGCCTCCCAGGTTCAAGTGACTCTTCTGCCTCAGCCTCCCAAGTAGCTGGGATTACAGGTGCCTGACACCACGTCCAACTAATTTTTGTATTTTTAGTAGAGACGGGGTTTCACCGTGTTGGCCAGGCTGGTCTGGAACTCCTGACCTCAGGTGATCCGCCCACCTCAGCCTCACAAAGTGCTGGGATTTCAGGTGTGAGCCACTGTGCCTGGCCAAGAATAATATTTTTATAAATGTAGTACAGCCGATGTGTACAGTGTTTATAGTCTACAGTAGTACACAGTAACATTTTAGGTCTTCACATTTTCTCACTACTCACTCACTAACCCACCCAGAGCAACTTCTAGTCTTGCAAGCTCCATTCATGTAAGTGCCCTACACAGGTGTACCATTTTTTATCTTTGATATTATATTTTCACTGTAACTTTTCTATGTTTCAATATGTTTAGCTATACAAATACCTAACCATTCTGTTACAGTTCCCTACAGTATTAATTATAGTTAAATGCTATACTGTCTGTAGCCTGGAAGCAATAGGCCACGCCATACAGCCGGGGCATGTAGTAGGCTACAGCGTCTAGGTTTGTGCAAGTACACTCTCTGATGTTCCCACAGTGACAAAGTCACCTAATGACACACATTTCTCGGAACGTATCCCTGTCATTAAGCAATGTGTAACTGCACTTACATTTCCACCACCACAGGTTCTACTCTTTCTGCTTCATGAAGCAGAAACATTCCAGTATTGTTGGAATGTGTGTATGTGTAGAAGCTCCTGGAATTATTACTGTGAGGGAAACAGTTCTTGCTGGATGTTTTTTCCAACTATACCAGCTAGGCTCACATCTGGCATTCCACATGGGCATTCTCACCTATTATCCCTAAGAAAGATTTTGCCTGGACTTCAGCTGTCCATTTGATTCTTCTGAGCAGGAGCCTCTGCCAGACCCCAGCTTTTCCCTACCTCCCCTGAAGTCAGAAAAGGAATGGATTACAGGATTACTCACCTGTCGTGCGGCCAGAGGCATAGAGGGAGAGCACAGCTTGAATGGCGACGTACATGGCAGGGACATTGAAGGTTTCAAACATGATCTTAAAGGACAATGAAGAATAAAAGATTATTTGGCAAAAATCACAGCACTTCTTGGCCTGTAGAATGGTTTGTAATCTCATTAAGGGCAGGAACTATGCCAGTTTGATAGTTCATTATTCCACACCCACTCCCCCAGGGCCTGGCATGGACCACAGACATAGCAGGTCCTCAGAGAGTTCTGTTGCACTGATGTTTGAAGGGGAGAAAGTATCTGGCCAAGCATCCATGTTGCATTCTTATGCCAGTGTTCAAGTCTTCCTGGCTTCTTACCTGGGTCATCTTTTCCCTGTTGGCCTTGGGATTTAGGGGAGCCTCTGTGAGCAGGGTGGGGTGCTCTTCAGGTGCTACACGCAGCTCATTGTAGAAGGAGTGGTGCCAGATCTAGTGGAGACAAAAGCCATATGAGCCTGGCAGACTCCCAATGGCTGGAAAATTCTCATTGACATTCCCATGCTGGGAGAGTGTGGCACCATGTTACACAGGATGGGATGGATCTGGAGAGGAGAATGGTCAGCCCTGGAAATTTCTGATTGACATTTAAAGGGTATACTCCTTCTCAACAGGGCCCCAGGTAGGACTCAGACCTGGAACCAGTATTTTCTATGTGTTCATTATTTCCATTTGACCTTCCCTCCTCTTCACTCTCCTACAGTCTCTCCCCTGCCTTTGTGCACTGAGTGATGCAAGGCACATTGTATCACTCAAGTGTTCATTGCTTTCTGGCTTCTGGCTATATTTGGCTGATAGAAGATTCCTGCAAGAGGCTGGAAAGTAGGAGGGCAAAAGAAGTCAGGGTCTATCTCCTGACAATGGCGTGGCCCTCCATGAGCACAGTTCCTGTTGGGCAGCCCCTCTTTCAGAGCTCAAGCTCTCACTAAGCTCCAATGACACTGCCCTCGTCACCTGACCCCTTCATGTTTAGGGGTGTGAGAGCTCCCTCTGTTGCTGGCTCTTGGGTGCCTCGACATCCCTTTGTAGTTGCCTTAACCCTATGCACATTTCTGTAGGACATTCATTTAACCAGTTGTAAAACCCCAGCTGAGTATACACTGTCAAACAATTTCAAAACCGCAGCTGAGTGTACACTATCTCCTGCTGAGAATCTGACAGAGGCACTTGGGCTCAATTTTCACTGGCTATTATTGGCCAGGCTGGTGCTTTAAAGCAGGGTTTCTCAATCGCAGCTCTATGACATTTTAGGTTGGATAATTCTTTGTTGTGGAGGGCCGACCAGTATCCCTGGTCTCCACCCACTGGATGCTAGCAGCAGTTTTCCAGTTGTGACAATAAAAAATGTCTGCAGACATTGCCAAATGTCCTTTGGGAAGCAAAATCATCCTGGTTAAGAACCACCGCTTAGCCTGGGCAACACACTGTGGGCCTGTCTCTACAAAAAGATAAAAAATTAGCCAGGCATGGTAGCGCCTGCCTGTAATCTCAGCTACTCAGGAGGCTGGGGCAGGAGGATCGCTTGAGCCCAGGAGGTCAAGGCTGCAGTGAGCTGTGATCATGGCACTGCACTCCAGCCTGGGCAACAGAGCAAAACCCTGTCTCAAAAATAAAAAAGAACCACTGTTTTAGAGGAAGTTAATTTCTTCCTGTGTCCAGTTCCTTCTTCAGTGATCAAGTACGACCAAAAAGGAGTCTTTCAGAGGGATTGGGCAAAGTGTAGCAGGGACATGGGGCTTTGGTTTCCTCAGAGGTGAGGCACAGGGTCATTTGATGCCATTGGACCCATGTATTTATGGACCGCCAGGTTTGTGCTAAGACGGTGGTAAGTGTGATGAGGGCAGATATGAATCAGACATGGCACCCTATTCTCAGTTGCAAAGTCCAGAGGGGAGAGAGACGTTTAAAAAAGACCAAAACAAACAAAAAGAAAAACACAAGCCACATTTTAAGTGAAAGAAGAGGTAGGAGTAATTCATTATCTGAGGGATTTAAATGGGCCTTGAGGGCAAAAGAAGGTCTCCAGAGGCTGCTGCAAAAGGCATCCGAGGCAGAGGGAATGGCACAGGCAGAGGCCCTGGACTGTGAGCATTGCACAGGAGCCTGAAGGACAGCAACTGGTCTTAAGGAGGGGACCCCATGCTACTTAAAATGTGCTTCCTCAAGGCCCTGTCTCAGAGTCACCTGGGATCATCTGACCCACTGAACCAGAATCCTTGGGTGTTGGGCTCAAGCATCTGCACTTGATTTTGGTTTCTTTTTTGGAGTTTTTATACCTTAAAAGTTAAAGATGTTGATAATTTTTAAAGTTAGAAAAATATTTTTAAGGTCGAGTGTGGTGACTTATGCCTGTAATCCCAGCACTTTGGGGAGCTGAGACAGGCAGATTGCTTGAGCCCAGGGGTTGGAGACCAGCCTGGGTAACAAAGTGAGACCCTGTCTCTACAAAAAATTAAAAAATCAACTGGATGTGGTGTGCACCTCTGTTCCCAGCTACACCGGAGACAGAGGCAAGAGGATTCCTTGAGCCCAGGAGGCCAAGACCACAGTGAGTTATGACTGCACCACTGCACTCCGGCCTGGGCGACAGAGGAAGATCCTAGCTCAAAATTTTTATGTATTTATTTATTTATTTATTTTTTATTTTTTATTTTGAGATGGAGTCTTGCTCTGTCGCCCAGGCTGGAGTACAGTGGCGCCATCTCGGCTCACTGCAAGCTCCGCCTCCCGGGTTCACGGCATTCTCCTGCGTCAGCCTCCCGAGTAGCTGGGACTACGGGTGCCCACCACCACACCTGGCTAATTTTTTGTATTTTTAGTAGAGATGTGGTTTCACCGTGTTAGCCAGGATGGTCTCAATCTCCTGACCTCGTGATCCACCCGCCTCCGCCTCCCAAAGTGCTGGGATTACAGGCGTGAGCCACCGCGCCCGGCCAAAATTTTTTTTAATGGAATAAAAATCTCCCCTATGTCCATCACCTAACAACAAACAGTTAACATTTTGGCTTTTTTCTTTTTCCTAACCTTTGTCTTTATGTATTTTTAAATTTATTACTATCATTATTTATTTCATATTCTTTTATTTATTATATTATTATACTATGTTCAAATTTGTTTTTATAACAAATTATTTTACTTTTCATAATAAATATTTATTTTTGATAAACTTAAACTTTTGAAAATGCTTATATAACATTTTATCATATACTATCATATATTTAATCACATTACTATTCATGGTGTCTTTGATTTTTGGTTATAAATAATCCTATGATAGTTATCTTTGTGCATATTGCAATTTATTTTTTGTATTCAGGATGTTTTCCAAAGAAGAAGATTCTAAAAGTGGAATGACTGGGCTAAAGAACATAGCAATTGGAAGACTTTCTGATTTCTGTTATTAACAAATAGGCTAAACCAATCTTTACTTCAGAATAAAAAAGTGGCTGTTTTACCCCATTCTTAACTGAATTCAGTGCTCTCACTCTTAAAATATGAAATAATTTGATAGGTAAAAATCATACCTAGTTATTTTACTTCAATTTTTTTGTTTCAAATGAGTTTAAATTTTTTCACATTTGCAACTTTTCATAATTTCTGTTCAGCTAATTAACTGTTTTTTATTTGTCTGGGGGACACTTCATATTTTTAATTGTCAATTTGCATTAACTGTTCATATTAATCCCTCATTGCCCTTTTGTTTTGCAATTTGTTATTTGGCTTTTAAATTTGGTTATTTTTGAGATATTAAAAGTTACGATTTTTTAAGAAGTCAAATTTGTCATTCTTTTTCTCTATGACCACTCTTACCAGAAATTTGATTAAATGCTCACATTAACTGTATTATATTTTTGGTAATTTAAATGTTTACATTTAACTTTTATATTTAATTGACATGTGTTTGGTGAAATGGTATGAGCTTAGGGCTATAAACCAAGATTCTCTAGCTCCAAAAATAACTAATCAGTTGTCCCAGAAATAATTTATTGACTAGTCCTTTCCTCCTTTCTGATGCTGGAAGTTTCATTTATTATATATTTCCTCTTTACCTTTTTGCTGGTATCAAATTGTTTTAACTTTATAATTTATATTGTATTTTATTACATTATGTCTTCCTTCATAATTAAAAAAATTCATTTTGTTCTCATAATTGTTGCTTATTTATTTCTGCAAACATACTTTAGAATTATGTCACATAATTTTTATTGGAATGCAATGAGCCTATAAATTAATTTGAGGACATTTGACACTTTTACCCAATTTGGTTTTTCTTTTAAGGCACACAAGATTATATATATATATATATATATATATATATATATATATACACACACACACACACACACACACACACACACACACACAATGATTTATAGATATATAATGAAATGATTATATAATGAAATGATTTTATATTTATACATATATACATTTTTAAAAAAAAATATATATAGGGTCTCACTCTGTTGCCCAGGCTGGAGTGCAGTGATGCGATCTTGGCTCACTGAAACCTCCACCTCCCAAGTTTAAGTGATTCTCCTGCCTCAGCCTCTGGAGTAGCTGGGACGACAGGTGCTAACCACCACATCCAGCTAATTATTGTTTAGTAGAGACAGGATTTCACCATGTTGGTTGGCCAGGCTGGACTCAAGTGATCCACCTGCCTCAGCCTCCCAAAGTGCTGGGATTACAGGTATGAGCCACTGTGCCCGGCCTTAAGGCACATAATTTATTTTTAAGGGTTTCTTTAAAGAGTTCACATGTTGTCACTACTGTGAATAAAATAGTTTGTCTATTATTTGTCTATTATGTTTTCTTCCTTCCTTCCTTTCTTTTTTTTTTTTTTTTTTTTTTTTGAGACATGGTCTCACTCTATCACCCAGGCTGGAGTGCAGTGGCGTGAACACAGCTCACTGCAGCCTCCACCACCTGGGCTCAAGTGATTCTCATGCCTCAGCCTCCTGAATAGCTGAGACCGCAGTCATGTGTTACCATGCCCAGTGAATTTTTACATTTTTATTTCATAGAGATAGGGTATCACCATGTTGCCCAGGCTGGCCTCAAGCTATCCTCCTGCCTTGGCTTCCCAAAGTGTTGGGATTACAGGCATGAGCCACTGGCCTCTATTATGTGGTTTTTTTTTTGTTTTTTTTTTTTTTTTTTTTGAGACGGAGTCTCACTCTGTCACCCACAGTGGAGTGCAGTGGCACAATCTCGGCTCACTGCAACCTCTGCCTCCCGGGTTCAAGCGATTCTCCTGCCGCAGCCTCCCGAGTAGCTGGGATTACAGGCACCCGCCACCATGTCCAGCTAATTTTTGTATTTTTAGTAGAGACGGGGTTTCATCATGTTGGCCAGGTTGGTCTCAAGCTCCTGATTTTGTGATCCACCCGCCTCGGTCTCCCAAAGTGCTGGGATTACAGGCATAAGCCACCACGCCCGGCCTATTATGTTTTTAAATTAGATACTGTTACATATATATGAATCATATGTGTCACTTATTGAGCACATAAGTATGTTCCATGCCTTGGGATTATACTAAGCATTTAGCTAATTCAATCTTCAAAGCAACCTAATGCACAAAGTGTTTTTTATCTTCACTTTACAAATGGGAAAACTAAGACTTATAGGGTGGGATTTGCACCTGGATTTCCTGCCATTGCCTCTAATGTCTGTGCTCTTACCCACTCCACTGTATAACGTGAAATCCATTGCATTTTATGTGCAGTACTTATCTCACATTGAGTGACTCAGTCTAGGATTTAGAGAAAAGTATAAGTGAATTACAGACTTCAAGTCAACATTCCTCATTTCCAGTTGCAGTCTGCTCAATAAGCCCCCTATCACATTTCCAAAGACAGGCGTTGCAGAAACAAGAACACTCAGCCAACTGTCACCAGAGTTAATCACAAGAATATTAGAAAGGCTCTATTAACATTTTGCACACATAATTTTGTTTACCATGAGCTCCACCATTTAAAAATCCCGCTCCCCCCACAATATTTTCTTAAACAAAAATGCTTCTAGAAACCCTGAGAGAGTTCTACTTAGAAACTTTCACTGGAGACTCATCATCATAGTCTAGCATCAGTCCACCTATGTGAAGTCTTGACAGGGAAGATAAGAATGAGAGAGATGGCTGTTTGCCTCTCTTGAGCCAGCACCAGCATTTTAAAGAAGGGGTGAGCACTGGCCTGAGTAAATATTGCAGGAAAAGATGATCGCGGGGATCAGGCAGGGAAAGGTCCTCCAATGCCAAGACGGGGAGTTAGGAACCCCCTGTTGGTTAATGAAGAGCTACTGAAGATTTCTGAGGAGGTGAGTGACATGAGCTGACCTGTGTTTAGAAAGATCAGTTTTGCAGCAGTGTAGAGAATTAATTCGGTGAATGAGGGCAAGAGACCAAGAAATCAGCCAGGAAGCCATTGCAATAGTCCAGGGAGAGATGTTGGCAGCCTAGGTTGGAGAAATGGTCGTGGGGCTGAAAAGAAAGGAAAGACAGAAGTGAGAAGCATTTTAGAGGGAGAGTTGACAGAGCACAGTGGCCTATGAATACGAGGGTCATGATGATGGGTGATCATTAAAGCAGGCTCATTAAGGGGAAGTCTACAGATACCTTCTCCATGTCATCCCAGTTGGTGATGATGCCGTGTTCAATGGGGTATTTGAGAGTTAGGATCCCTCGCTTGCTCTGAGCCTCATCCCCCACATAGCTGTCTTTCTGGCCCATTCCCACCATCACACCCTGCAATGCAAAAAGAAGAAAAGAGAAATGAATGGCTGAGGGCTCCACACAGAGGGATTCAGGCACTGGAAGGTCTCTGAAGAAGGATAAGGATGGGAAAAACAGCCTTTCTTCCCCCAGAAACAGGATAGCAGGAGACAGGATGGAGCAGATGCCAGTGAGTATGAAGGTGTCAGGAAGAGAAGGTGGAGGATTTCTTGTGTGGTGGCCTTTCTTCTTTCTCTTCAGACAACGATGTTTTCTGAGATAAAACAAGCCCCTCCCATACACTTCTTCCCCTCATCCTACTACACACAGACACACACACACACACACACAGACACACACACACACACACACACGACTTGTATGCATCCTCCTCAAGTCCCCTGTGCCTGCTTAGATCTCCAAATCTTTGCTATTCTCTCCACCTGCTGAAATCCTTCTTATTCTCAGATATTACTTTTTCTGTGATACTTTTCCCTTCCTGTGAAATATTTTACCTCTATTACAGCCCATGATCTCTGGTTAGTTATGTGTATTTCTTCACAAAGTGTAAATTTCTTAAAGGCAAGAGGCTTGTTCAATCCCATATAAATTAACTTTTCCAAACCTGGCAACCCCCCAAATGTAAGCCAGACATAGTAGTGTCATTGTGTGCCTGATGTATGTTGGTTTTGGCCCTGGATATTTCTATTTAAAGGGTCCTGCTCTATCAGTTAATCAGAAAAGAACTCCCTACACCTGGCGTGCACACACGCATGTGCATGCACAGACACACACACACACACACGCACAGACACACACACACACACACACACACACACACACACACACACACACACACATTTCCTTCCCCTAACCCCCAGCTCAGCAGGGTCTCCACAGTGCAGCGCTTACTCCTAGTGGCTCAAAGCCTGGTGGTATCCAGATGAGCACGCACCTGGTGGCGAGGGCGGCCCACAATGGAGGGGAAGACAGCCCGGGGGGCATCATCTCCTGCGAAGCCTGCCTTGCACAGGCCAGAGCCATTGTCACACACGAGCGCGGTGGTCTCCTCTTCACACATGGTGTGTGTGGCTGAGTGAGCTGGGGACTGGAGCACCTTGGGATTTGCGGGAGAAGAGAACTAGTCAGCCACTTGTCAAATCAGTTTGGAGACAGTTTCTTGGCTTTGGGGCCTGACCCTACCTGCAATCAGGGCACACTTCCAGGAGGGACAGGCATGGGCTTGGCCTCCCACTCACTGGCAGTTGAGCCTCCTCCCTCTGCCCTGAAATGTGAATTGTGTCCCCCCAAAAATTCATGTTGAAGTCCTAACCCCCAGTACACAGAAGGTGACTGTATTTGGAGATAGGGTCTTTAAAGAGGTAATTAAGTTAAAATGAGATTAATGCAATATGGCTGTCATCCAGTATGACTACTCCAGTACAATGGGTGTCTTTATAAGAAGAGGGAATTAGGATCCAGATGCATGCAGAGGGTAGGCCACGGGAGGATGCAGTGAGAAGGTGGCCATATACAAGCCAAAGAAAGAAGCTAAAAGTTCTGGAAGGACACCTAGCAAACTGATTATCATGATTACCTCTGGGAGTGTGGAAAGGAACTGGGAGAAGAAGTGCTGGGTTATATCTATAATATTTTAATTTTTTTACAAGGAGGCTGCATTTGCATATAGTTTATATAATTAAAAATCAATAGCATAACATATCACTAGGAAAAAATAGGCAGTGGTTATAGGTGAAATGTACACTCCTAAGGGTAGAAGCACCTTGATGAGGAAGGGGCACTCTGGGAGGAGAGAGGAAAAGAAGGGACTCCATGATGGGACTCACTGTTGCCTCGACAGATGGGGACAACAGAGGATTCCCTACCCCATGCTGAGATCCGAACTGGGATGGATGCAAAATAATGAAGAAATTAACTTTCCCAACATCTGCTGCACGCATTCTTTCTTTCTCTTTTTCTGCCTTCCTTCCTTCCTGTATCTTTTTCTTTTTCTTTCTTTCTTTTGAGTTACAAACAGCATCTGACAAATTCCTGGCATTTGGTGATGAAGGAGAAGCAACAGAGCCTCGGAAGACAGTCAGAGATTGCCTCCTACCCTGGGAGGACCCAGTGGGGCGGGGCAGAAGTGGGGAAGGCCCCAGCTGAGGGGCTGGGCAGGCAGACTTCCAAAAACCCAGAGAAAAGAGAGGCGCCAGGCACATAAAGAGAAGGCCGGCTGAAGTTTTATCCAGGATGTGCGATTGCAGGTGCCTATGGCATGGAGCGGGGAGAGGGGAACTTCTAAAACCTGTGACCCTTGGCCCCAGATGGCCTCATGCAGAAGCTGGACAGAGAAGACCATACTGAAGCAGAGAGGAGACAGCACCACAGGCCTGAGAACGCGAGGTCTGAAGGCTAGGTAGATGCTGAGCAGAGGCTTGTAAACATTTTCAAGACTAAAAGGAAGCCCTTCCCAGATATGTTCAAAGCAAGGCTCATACTAGGGGAGAGGCCTGCTGTGACTTCTTAAATCCAGCTTTGCCTCTGTCTCTGCTGATCCTTATGTCTCCCATAGCCCCAGAGATGAGTCCTCACTCTCTAAACCAGCCCACAAGGTCCAGAATAGGATATCCCTCTTGATAAAGCCATGTACTAAGCAATAATACAATTTGGTATATTTGCGGCTGCCTCAGTCAATGTCAATGAGGAGGCAGCAATATGTCCCAGGGCTCTACTCTTGACCCTTTCTCATGTGACATTTTTATAAATGAATTGAATGAAAATATAAAGCACAGGTTGATAAAGTTTTCAGATAAAACAGCTGGGAGAGAGTAATATTAAATACACTGGGTGAAAGAATAAAAGTCCAAGAAGATCTCAAAAGGCACAGAAAATGAGCTGAATCAGAAGATATATATATATATATTTTTTGAGATGGGGTCTTGCTCTGTCACCCAAGCTGCAGTACAGTGGCAAGAACACAGTTCACTGCAGACTCGACCTCCCAGGCCCAAGCGATCCTCCCACCTCAGCATCCCAAGTAGCTGGGATCACAGGCATGCCCTATGGCTGGCTGATATAAAAATTTTTTTCTGTAGAAACAGAGTCTCCCTCTGTTGCCCAGGCTGGTCTGAACTCCTGGGTTCAAGTGATTCTCCTGCCTCAGCCTCCCAAAGTGCTGAGATTACAAGTGACCCACCACACACAGCCAAGGTTAAATTTAATGAAATGAATATGAATTCCTATATGTGGGTTTCAATCACCAAACTGTGAAAGTTCTTGTGGCCGGGCGCGGTGGCTCACGCCTGTAATCCCAGCACTTTGGGAGGCCAAGGTGGGCGGATCACGACGTCAGGAGATCAAGACCATCCTGGCTAACATGGTGAAACCCCGTCTCTACTAAAAATACAAAAAAAAAGAAAATTACCCAGGCATGGTGGCGGGCGCCTGTAGTCCCAGCTACTCGGGAGGCTGAGGCAGGAGAATGGCGTGAACCCGGGAGGCGGAGCTTGCAGTGAGCCAAGATCGAGCCACTGCACTCCAGCCTGGGCAACAGAGCAAGACTCCATCTCAAAAAAAAAAAAAAAAAAGAAAAAAAAAAGAAAAGAAAAAAGAAAGCTCTGTTTAGCATCTGTGAGCAGGACTTGGTGTCTTGTTGACCATCAGCAGTGTGCTATGGCCAGGATAAAAGCTACCTTTGCCTTTAGCTGGGGTACTGTGTGTGGTTCTTGGGGCCACCCTTGCTGGCAAAGGTATGGAGAATTGGCTTCACATTCACTGCTTGTGAGTGTTAAATTGTACTACTTTTCTGAAAGGGAATTTGAAAATACTTATTCTACGAATCTATCTTTGTGAAATGGTCATGAGTGAATGAAAAGATTTGGCCTGTTTTCACACCTTTGTTTAAAATGATCAAAATTAGGAACAATCTCAATATCAAAAAAAGTTACTGAATAGTAAATAAGTTGGCTTGTAAACTAATTGCTGGAAGCCTCCATACAATGGAGAAACTGAAATATTTAATACAATAGAAAAGGTGCAAGTTGCTTTGGTAGGTGAAACAGCAGTATGTTCCAAATCTCAGAGAAGGTAAAGAACTTAGCCAGAGATCTCTTCACCGAGAAGAGGCTGGGAAAGGCAGGCCTGGCACCCACCGAGGACACTTCCCAAGCCTGAGATGTGCCTTCGTCACTACTTTGGGGAACTGTCATAACTTCTCCATGTTTGGTGTTTTTGCTTCAGCCTGTCTCTCCAGAGCGGTTGGCAGCAAGCACCCTAAAACAAAAGGGTCTGTGTTCTTTTCTCTCTATGAAATGGAGTCCCTCCTGTGCCAGGGCCACGCCTAGATTTACTTTTTACAGCCCCAGCACCTAAGTGGGTGTTTAACACACAGGCGGTGCTATGGTTTGAATGTTTGTCCCCCTCAAAACTCATGTTGAAATTTAGTTACCAATTTTAACAGCAGGGTTCTGCCCTCTTGAATGGACTAATGTCCTTCTCAAGAATGGGTTTTTTTATAAAAGGGCGAATTTGGTCCCTTCTCACTCTCTCTTGCTCTTCTGCCATGTAACGGTGCAGCAACAAGGTGCCACCTTGGAAGCAGACTCTGGGCTCTCACCAGACAGACACTGAATCTGCTGGTGCCTTGATCTTGGATGTCCCAGCCTCCAGAACTTTGAGAAATACATTTCCATTGTTTATAAATAACCCAGTCTCACATATTCTGTGGTAGCAACAAACATGGATTAAGACAGTAGGTGTTCAATAGATATTGAATGACAATGTTGCCGTCTGAGTGGCCCCCCTCCCAGACCTGGTGTGCTCTGCCTCTGGGATACCCGAGTCCCCACAGTCCAGCCTCATGGTGGTTCAGTCACAAGGGCCTGACTTAGAATCACATGGGCAGTCTTCTCTCCAAGCTGGCCAGTGAACAGCAGTGCTGCCCTGTTCTAGCAGGTGGTCCACCTTGAGAAGAAAGCAACCTCCAAAGCAAGGAAGTAGCCAAAGAAGCAAAGCTGTGCTCCGGGACTGCCTCCCTCTAGGGTCCCCTCAGCAACCCTCTCTCCGGTGTGACTTACAGTTCAAGCCTGTCTGGGTTTTCAATGGGCCCTTTTGTCTCCCTCCCCAAACTCTCTCCGGTGTTTCCCACACACAGAAAGAGGGAGAGCCTGGAATTTTGTTTCCAAAGCACAGCAGCAGCTCAGAGAAGCCACAAGGCGACTTGAAGCTGTCAACAACGCTGTTCTGCAGCCCTTCAGGTGGCTTGGAGTCTGCTATTTTGAAGGCAAAACTCAACCGAAGTGAGGGTGGGGAAGGCAGGGGGAAGGCAGTGGGAGGGCTGGCGGAGTCGAGCCTCCAAAGGGCCCCGTGCTGCTCTGGGAAGAAGGGGTTCACCCTGGAGCCAGACTCGTGGACCATCTCTGCCAGGAGAAATTCTAAACTTTCCTCAGCTGCTTTCTGGTAATTTGTGGCTAGACTCGAGCATGTCAGCTGAACCAGAGTCAAAGTCACTGTGGTTTCCTGGGGTCACAACCGCTTCATGCTTGGCAGGGAGCAGAGAGTTGTTCTGGTTCTTTCAGCACGAATGACATCTGGGCTTCATTGAAGCTCTCACTGACTCAGGAATGAAGCTTTTATTCCCCTAGCCCCAAAGGTGGCCAGAAACCAAAGACATAATGAATGCAAGTCATTTGCTCACTCACCCGTCTCCCTGGCCACCTCAAACCCAATGTGAGGGCAGAGCTGTTAAAATCCACCCTCCCCAGCACCTCAAAGGAGACAAGTTTGGCTCTAGAAATCCTCCCACTGCTCCTCCTTCCTTTACCCTCTTCTCCCTCCTGGTTCCCCTTTCCCACAGCCCAGTCCCTTCCTTCCCTGGGCCTTAGTTTCCTCCGCTAGAACATGGAAATGATAGTATCTATCTCACAAGATGACAGAACGGAAATGAAGGTGCCGTAGACATTGTAAATCAGGGTAAGGCAAATTCCGGCCTGTTTCTGTATGGCCTATATCTCAGAATGGTTTTTCTTTTTTTTTTTTTTTTTTGAGATACTGGGCCTCACTCTGTCACCTAGGCATTGAGTCCAGTGGCACCATCAAGCTCACTGCAGGCTTGAACTCCTGAGCTCAAGGATCCTTTCTCCTCATCCTAGGAGCTGGGATGGCAGGCATGTGGCTGGCATGGCCACTACATTCTGCTAATTTCAAAAAAAAATTTTTTTTGTTGAAACAGGGTCTTGCTATGTTGCCCAGGCTGGTCTCAAACTCCTGGCCTCCAGTTGTCCTACTGCCTTGGCATCCCAAAGTGTTGGGATTACAGGTGCAAGCACTGCACCCGGCCCTACATTTTCAAACGGTTGAGAAAAAAGCAAAAGAAGAAAAATATTTCATGACCCATGGAAATTATATGACATTCAAATCTCAGAGTCTAATAAAGTCTTACTGAAACACAGCCACATCCATTCACTTACATATTATCTATGGCTGCTTTTGTTACAATGGTAGAATTGAGTACTTGTGACAGAGAACTTCAGGCTCCGAAAGCCTAAAATATTTACTATCCGGGCTTCGTCAATCCCTGTCGTCAAGGGCTGTAAAGAATAATGATTCTTATTAATCTCTCTTACTCTTCTCCATCAAAACTTGCTCCCAGGATGAAGCCTGTCATATTGAAAGGAATTGAATGATCCATTTCACACATCAATGACTATTGAAAGTTGAATTTATGTCAGTTCTCAAAGACATTTTCATTTTGACAGAAAGTGTTAGGCCTAAACGGAGGGCCTCTGCGATGATGAGATTTCAAACAATAGTTGGCGACAGGTTTTTGGGTGAGAGCTTCAAGTGACATGTAAGCAGCTGCGTCTCTGCCTTTTATTATTTGCCTACACGTATATACAAACCATCAGAAACCCTGGCAGAGAGAAATTGTCTATGAAAAACACTGCCACGATGGAAAATTCTAACAGCACCTCTAATTAACTTCAGGATATCTTCACTAGGTTCTATATATACATGAGTTCAATTAAAAACAACTCTGCTGAGTAATATTTTGGATCCTCCACAATCTGTCGTGGGTGCCTTATCTTCTGGCTCTTACCCGGACTTCCATTCACTCCCCTGGCTCTGCTCCTGTCCAGACCCCTCTCTTGAGCTCTAGGCCTGCAGAGCCTGCCGTGCATCTCCCCCACCAAAACCCCCCTGGCACCCCAACTCCACACCTCCAGGACTGCTCTCCTCATCAGCAGCCTCTGCCCGGAGCTGCCCTCACAGACTCACACCACCCACCCTGAGCCCATGCCCAATGCCCTGGTGCCGCCCTCTTCCCTCCCAACCTATCACCAGCCCTTCTTACTTCTACCTGCACGGCACCCATGCCACCAGCTCAGGACCACCGCATGCTGCAGTAGCGCTCTTGCCCTGTTCCAGTCCACTCTCCTCACAGCTGCCAAAGCAGCCCCTTCAACAGATACCCTCCAGATTAAAACCCTTCCATGGCTCCCCATAGCCTGATCCTTTAGAGTCTAAAGCCCTTGTAATCCAGCCCTGCGGACCCCTCTGAATTTAGTTTTACCTGATTCCTGCCTTGCTATCTAAATTCAGTGGAATTGAGCCACTTGAGTCCCAAAGACCATGCTTCCTCTTTACCAGGAAGGACCAAGCTTGGTCCTTACTTCAGGACCAAGCTCAGGCACCTCTTCCTCCAGGAAGTCTTCCCTGATAACTCCTGGGTTGAGTGATGGGCTCCTCCTGGCCTTTACCCCTTTCGTGTACTTATTTGCTCCATGGTTCTCATCTGTTTATCTGTCTCTTCCAGTAACTGCAGAAGCCTCTCCACTGTCCCTAAGGAGCAGAGACAGTGCCTGGCCCATAATAAGTGCTCAATAAATGTTGGCAGAATGAACAAGGGGAAAGAGGAAAGATATCTCGCCCCAAGGTCATGATGTCACACGGCCCATCCCCTTTTCTCAGGCCTGGCATGTAGGATCTTACTGTTCATTGCAGTTTCTCCAGCACCCATCCCTCTCTGTCACAGGAAGCTCTTCCTCTTTTCAGCCCAAGGGTTAGTATCAGAGTCCAAACCCACATTCAAGTAATCAAAGTGAGCACTTAGAGCCTCCCTGTACAAAGTGTGGTCCCAGACCAGCAGCTTCAGTGTCGCCTGGGAGCTTGTTAGGAATTCCAAGTATCAGGCCATATCTCGGCCTACTGGAATCAGAATCTGGGGTGGGGCATGGGGCAATCTGTGTTTTAACAAGCACTCCAGGTGATTCTTAAAGTTTGAGAACTCAGGGCCGGGCCCTGACAGCCTTGAGCTGAGTGCTGTATATACGCATTCTCTCGTTTAATCCTCACACCATCGCCAAGTAGATATTATTATTCTTGCCCCCATTTTACAGGTGAGGAAGCTGAGGTCGCTCAGTAACTTGGTTAGCCTGACAGTCTGCCTTCAAGGCCTGCACTGCCACACCCAGCCTGCCTCACCTGTGAAGAGATGCTAGTGAATTCTGATGCCAAACATAGAAGTGGCCCCTTCATCTCATCTTCCTCTTAATTCTTTGTGCATGTGTTGTGTGTGTGTTGGGTGGGTTGGGGGGAGTAATGACATCTGCAAATGGGTCACAGTTGGGTGTGAGTCTTTTGGATGAGTGGCTGTACGTCTCTAGGCCTCAATGTCCTCATCAGAGGAGAATGAACTAGATGGGTCCCAAGTTCCTTCTACCCTGAAACCTCACGATGCCACAGGGCAAGTGGAATTTTCTCCATCCCCCAATGATCCTAGAGCCTTCAAGGACTGCAGAAACCCTCCATTCTCCTCAGCCAAGCACAGATCAGAGGACAGAGAGACCCACAGGGGACCTGAAGAAAATACCCTCCCATTCCCAGCACAGACATTTCATGGACTAAACAGCTCACAGACACCAGGACCACTGTTGGCTTTGACTCAAGTATTCTGAAAAGCTGCTTTTCTGCAAAGTATATGATCCCCTAAAACAGCCTCCCAGACATTCTAACCCAAGACAAAGGACATCAGGGTGTGGATCTGCACTGGCCCTGGGGAGCAGGGCTAGTAGAGACTGCAGGCATTATATCCCGCCAGTCCCCATTCTGAGGCAGGGAGCACGGTTCCAAGCTGCCCCTGCCCCAGGATGTCCCATGGCCAGATACGCCTTTTCTCAGCAGGCTGCAGTATGCTTGCAGGTGCCGCTGCCCACCAAGGGCTCTGGTGTGTGATCTGGGCCAGCGTCACAGAAGCCAGGCCAATCTGGAGGCACCTCCCGCACCCAGGAGGCCAGGCAGCCCCGGAAAGGAAGAGGTGGCAAAAGCCGTACAGTACTTACCGAGGGTATGAGAGGTTCTTCTCCCAGTGACTGAGGGCTGGTGTGTCTTTGGCATGAATACCAGAGCAATATAAAACCCCAGAGGCGGATCTTCTTTAAACAAAGTCCCTAAAAAGGCCAGCTGACGGTGTGTTAGCAATATTACCATATAAGGTGGTTTTTTCAATAAATCGCCTTGGGGGTAGGGAAGGGGGGTGGGTAGAGTGAGTTATCATTTGAAAAATGTATGCAAAAGGACTCAGTGGCAACAGCCCCGGTGCTGGTAGATTTGTTCCTTTTATGCTGCACTTGCATAAACAAAACTCACACCAGGCCTTATAAGCTGCCCAGAGTGAGACCAGATGCAGCTGTGCTCCTGGAGTGAGAACCATACCAAGAATGGCAGCGGGCCTCCTCCGTCCACACCTCCCTCCTCAGGCCCTGCTGCATGCGGCCCCTGGGTCTGCCTGGGACGCCCAGGCACTGTCCCCAAAATGGGTGCAATCATGCCTTGTCTGGCACGAGCCTGGGACCAATGAAAGCTGAAGAGAAATGCCTTCCGTACCCAGGAAAGAAATCCTGCGTGCCCTACTCACCTGCTGCACCTTGACACAAGCTCCTAACCCTTGGGCTGAGTTCTCTGAGGGTCTCAGGACACCTTAGGCTTCATTCTCTCTTGGCTCCTTCCTGGTTTTCCTTTAAATATCTCTAAATATCTGCAGACTGAGGGACCTGCTTCAGGGTTGAGGCACACCTAACAAGACTCTTGGCCTGTAGGATTTTCCACAGTCCTGTGATTCTTGAGCTGCTTCTTTTTCTTTTTTGAGATAGAGTCTCGCCCTATCCCCCAGGCTGGAGTGCATTGGTGCAATCTCGGCTCACTGCAACCTCCGCCTCCCAGGTTCAAACAATTCTCCTGCCTTAGCCTCCTGAGTAGCTGAGATTACAGGCACCTGCCACCATGCCCAGCTAATTTTTGTATTTTTAGTAGAGACAGGGTTTCACCATGTTGGCCAGGCTGGTCTCGAGCTCCTGACCTCGTGATCCACCTGCCTTGGCCTACAGGTGTGAGCCACTACGCCTGGACTTCTTTTTGTTTGTTTGTTTTGTTTTTAATTAGACAGGGTCTCGATCTTGAACTCCTGGATTCAAGCAATCCCTCCACCTTGGTCTCCCAAAGTGCTGGGATTACAGGTGTGAGCCACCATGGCTGGCTGATGATTGCTCTTCTTTGTGTAATTCATGTACTATCCCTAGGTAGCTGGTTCATTTCCCACATTATCAGCTACCAGCTCTGCAGTATTACTTTCAACTCCACATTCTCATGGTCCCCCTCCCTCACCCTGATCCAGACTAAAATGATCAATTGCCTATTGGACATCCCAATCCAGATGACTCTCCAGCTCTTCAAACTCATCCTGTCTAAAACTGAACCCTTCTTCCCTACCCTCAAAGCTGCTGTGCCTCCTGGGTTGCCAACTTCCAAGTCCACCCCTCGGCCCTTCAAGCTAGAAGTCAGTCAGTCTAGAACCCTGTGTCTCCCTCATGCTCCCACAACCACCTGGGCACCACAGCCTGGTGCTCCCCCGACCAGAAATGCCCCTCAGCTCTGTGTCCTCCCTCAATCCCTGCTGGCCTGCGCTGCCTCAGGCTCCAGTCCTATCTGGCCTGGAGTGGGGCGCAGCTTCCTGACTGGCCTTCCTGACTCTGCTTCGTCTTCAACACAGAGGTTCCCAAAGCATGGGGACCACCAGAGTGCAGCAGCAGCATGATATGGGAATGTGCTCACAATGCAGATTCTCAGGTGTCACCTAGCCCTATTGAAACAGAAACTCAGTGAATAGGCCTCAGCCATCTGTGTTTCTTAAACTTTCCCCACCCGGTGCCCAGGATACCCCCGCTTCAATAGAAGAAGCATGCATTGCATCCCTGCTAAACGCACAGGGAGTTCCAGGTGGTTTTGGGTCACCTGGTGCAATGGCTTGGTACAGGTCTGGCTTCCTCATTAACTGAAAATTGAGGCAGGAGATGGTGTGAATGAGGAGTGTCCTCTGCTGAGACAGCCCAGAGGAAAGATTTAAAAACACTTTCCTTGAGGACCTGCAGTTGTTCCCTGTGGAGAAGGAACACTGTTGTCATTGTGAGGTTCACTTACTCATCATTTGATCACTGGCCTGCGTGTTTAGTGCCTAAGTCTAAATTCCAGGCCTGTGGAAAGCTTCCTGAGCTTTTCAAGTTCCTAGAAAACCCTCACTGGGGATTCTGGAGGGAAGAGGGCTCCCTTTCCGGAGCTGTGCTGCATAGAAGGTGGCAGTGGATGAGGTGTGAGCTGTCCCAGCATGGACAGAGTGCTCGCAGTCCCAACTGGCCGAGGCAGGTAGCTCAACGCTAAGTGACAGGGTCATAAGCTCCCCCTCTGATTCTCTCTTCTTGTGTGGGAATGAGGCCAGGGCAGGGACAGGGTGCCAATCACCCTTGACCTGATCATGGGTTTAGAGGGGTCATCCTTTCCCTTCTCAGAGTAAGGGTTGTTTCACAGAGTGAGCTTTCTTCTAATCACTCAGCACCGTGGTCAGCGTGCAGATGGGGGCACCTTGCCCTATGGACATTCCCCTCTTAGTTGGCACAGCCAGTCGATAAACAATGAAAAGCCTATAACAAAGGCACTGGTTGTGATCTAGGCTCCAAACAGCCCAGAGACGAGAAAGCAGGGACTAACTGAATAAACTGAAGCTCTGAGGAAATGTTTAGGGAGAGATCAGAAGGTGAGGGAGGTTACACCAGGTACTCGATTTGTTTATATTTAACATTTTTTTCTGGTTTCAAAAATTCAATCAAAAATTTCAAAAAATACAAAAATGTGTGTTTTAGAAAGCAAATGTTCGCTATAATCCCACTTAGACCTAAGTCAGAGAAGGCCACTGTTAAGGGCAATAGGATACCTATTTTAAAAATATTTTTTCCAGATTTTTTTCTAACATTTTAACATTATTTTACAAAAATGGGATTATGTCATTGCATATGTTTTTACAATTGTTCTGAAACTTGTCATGTTCTCTTAATAATACTCTTGGATGTCTTTCAAAATCAGTTTATATAATTTTTTAAACTCTAGCATCGTTTTCCATAGTAGGGATATACCATAAATTATTTGACCAATATCCTATTGATGGGCTCTTGGGTCATTTCCAGCATTTTTACTCATGCAAACATTGCTAACATTAATAAAACTTTGTATATGTGCCTTTGTGCACATGTGGGAGTATTTTCATATGGTAAATTTGTTAAAGTGGAATTGTTTGATTAAGTAAGCACATGTGAAATATTGATGGAACCTGCCAAGTTGTCTTACAAAAATTTGTACCAGGTTATACTCCTGGGAGAGTATGAGACCACCTCCCTCTTCATGTTATTTCAGTTAGCATTAATAAGGTTTTTTTTCAGTACATTACATTTGTTTATTACATTAGAAACATGTCAATTTTCATACGATTGGCCACCTTAGAACTGTTTAGTTTTTTCCCTAATTACAAAAGTAATATATGCAATGATTAAAAAAAAAAAGAGGAAAATATACGAACTAGGTGTTCACATCTTGAGTTATTTCCTTGAGTGGGCAATTGTCCAAACGAGCCTCTCTGCTCATCTGGCTCTCTCTCCTTGTGTCCAGATGAACCATGTGGATCATTGGCAATTACCCATCTTTTAAATGTTTCCTAATCGGGAAGGAGAAACTTAGCATCTTCTTGTTTTAAAATTATTATTATTTTATTGAGACAGGGTCTCGCTCTGTTGCCCAGGCTGGAGTGCAGTGGTGCAATCACTGGAGCCTTGACATCCTGGGCTCAGGTGATTCTCCTGCCTCAGCCTCCATAGTAGCTGGGAATATGGGCAAGCGCCACCCTGCCCTGCTAATTTTATTTTTATTTTTATTTTTTGTAGAGACAGAGTTTCACCATGTTGCCCAGGTTGGTCTTGAACTCCTGGCCTCAAACGATCCAACGGCCTCAGCCTCCCACAGTGTTGGAATTATAGGCATGAGCCACCGCACCCGGCTCATGAAAGTGTAAAATTATGTGGTAACTAATGAGAATGAACACATGTTTTGCTTATATCAACTTTTCTTTTCTTCTTTTTCTTTTTGAGACAGAGTCTCTCTCTGTCACCCAGGCTGGAGTGCAGTGGTGTGATCTTGGCTCACTGCAACCTCTCTGCCTCCTGGGTTCAAGCGATTCTCATGCCTCAGCCTCCCGAGTAGCTGGGATTACAGGTGTGCATCACCATGCCCAGCTAATTTTTGTGTTTTTTAGTAGAGATGGAGTTTCACCCTATTGGCCAGGCTGGTCTGGAACTCCTGACCTCAGGTGATCTGCCCACCTCAGCACCCCAAAGTGCTAGAATTACAGGCATGAGCCACTGTGCCCGACCTAACTTTTTTTTTTTTTTAACTTGTCTTTCTCTGAAAATGGCTGCTTCCTGTTTACTTTTTTTTTCTATTGGATTGTTCACCTTTATCTTCTTGAGTTATGAGAGATCTTGGTATATTATATTAGTGATATAATTAGCCTTTTGCCTACTACAAGTGTTGCAAATATTTTCCCCCCAGTTTAAACATTTGCCTTTCGATTTTGTCTGGTAGCATTTGCCTTACTAAAGTTTAATCAAATGTCTTTCCTGTTTAGTGTCTGTTTTATAACATCCTTAGGAAGGCTGAGCACTTCTTTTTATACATTTTAACTTTTAAAAATTGTAATTGTGGAAAACACATATAATATAAAATTTACAATATTAACCATTTAAAAATGTATGGTTCTATATGGTTTTTGTTTTGTTTTGTTTTGTTTTGTTTTTTTGAGACGGTGTGTCACTCCTGCTGCCCAGGCTGGAATGCAATGATGCAATCTCGGCTCACTGCAACCTCCGCCTCCCGGGTTCAAGCGATTCTCCTGCTTCAGCCTCCTGAGTAGCTGGGATTACAGGCACCCACCACCATGCCCAGCTAACTTTTGTATTTTCAGTAGATACGGGGTTTCACCATGTTGGCCAGGCTGGTCTCAAACTCCTGACCTCAGGTGATCCATCTGCCTCAGCCTCCCAAAGTGCTGGGATTAGAGGTGTGAGCCACCGTGCCCTGCGGTTCTGTACTATTAAGTATATTCACATTGTTATACAACCAGTCTCCAGAACGTTTTTATCTTGCAAAACTGAAACAGTATCCATTAAACAACTCCTCACTTTGCCCTCCCCCAGCCCCTGGCAACAGCTCTTCTACTTGCTGTCTCTGAATCTGACAACTCTGAATACCTTGTAAGAGTGGAGTCATACAGTGTTTGCCCTCAAGGTTCATCCATGCTGTAGTATGAGTCAAAATTTCCTTGCTTTGTATTTATGTAATTTTATTTTTCGGAGACAGGGTCTTACTTTGTCACCCAGGCTGGTGTGCAGTGGCGTGATCATAGCTCACTGCAGCCTCAAATTCCTGGGCTTGAGCAATGCTCCTGCCTCAACCTCCCAAACAGCTAGGACTATAGGCATGCTCCACCACACCCAGCTAATTTTTAAAAAATTGTAATTTTTGTGGAGGAGGCGGGAGGCGGGTCTCAATATGTTGCCTAGGCTGGTCTTGAACTCCTGGCTTCAAGCGATCCTCCCGCCTGCGTCTCCCAAAGTTCAGGGATTACAGGAATGACCCAATGTGTGGCCTCCTTGCTTTTTAAAGCTGAATAATACTTCATTGTATCTCTATAACACATTCTGTTTATCCATTCATTTATTGAGTGACACTTGAAGTCCTTTCACTTCTTGGCTATTGTGAATAATGCCACTATGAACATGGATGTACAAATAGCTCTTTGAGACCCTGCTTTTACTTCTTTTGGGTATACACCCAGATACAGAATTGCTGGACCATCTGGTAATTTTCTTTTTACTTTTTTGATGAAGTGCCAAATGGTTTTCCATAGGGACCACATCATTTTCCATTTCCACCAACAGTGGTGCACAATGATTCCAATTTCTCCACATCCTTGCCAACACTTTGTTATTTTCGGGGTTGTATTTTATTTTCTAAAGTAGCCATCCTAATGGGTGGCTACTTTTTAAAAATTGTATATGAGCGTCGTGTTTTAATTAAACAGACTTTTTTTTTTTTTTTGAGATAGAGTCTTTCTCTGTCACCAGGCTGGAGTGCAATGGCGTGATCTCAGCCCACTGCAACCTCCATCTCCCGGGTTCAAGTGATTCTCCTGCCTCAGCCTCCTCAGTAGCTGGGACTACAGGCATGCACCACCACACCCAGCTAATCTTTGTATTTTTAGTAGAGATGGGGTTTCACCATGTTGGCCAGGATGATCTTGATCTCTTGACCTCATGATCCACCTGCTTTGGCCTCCCAAAACGCTGGGATTACAGGGGTGAGCCACCGTGCCCAGCCTAGACTATTTTTTTAGAGTAGTTTTAGGTTCACAGAAACATTGAACAGAAAGTATAGAGAGTTTCCATTACGCCCAACACCCACACACTCTCAGGTTTCTCCACTATCAAAGTCATATACCAATGTGGTTCATTTGTTATAACCAATGAACCTACATTGACACATCATTATCACCCAAAGTTCATAGTTTGCATTAGGGTTTGCTCTTGGTGCTGTACATTCAATGGGTTTTGACAAATGTATAATGCCATGTATCCACCCTTATACTGTAGTGTCATACGGACTAATTTCACTGACCATCTATTCATCCTTTCCCCTCCACAACCCCTGGCAACCATTGATCTTTTTGCTGTCTCCATAGTTTTGCCTTTTCTTGAATGCCATATAATTGAAATCGTACAGTATGTGGCCTTTTTAAGGTTGACTTCTTTTACTTAGCAATAGAGATTTAAGTTTTCTCCATGTCTTTTTTACGGTTTGATATCTTATTTCTTTTTAGTGCTGAGTGATATTTCATTGTTTGGATGTACTACAGTTTACATATCCACTCACCTACTGAAGGGCATCTTAGTTGCCTCCAAGTTTTGGCAGTTATGCATAAAGCTGCTCTAAACATCCTTTTGGGCTGGGCGCAGTGGCTCACACCTGTAATCCCAGCACTTTGGGAGGCTGAGGCAGGCAGATCACCTGAGATCAGGAGTTCGAGACCACCCTGGCCAACATGGCGAAACCGCATCTCTACTAAAAATACAAAATTAGCTGGGCACGGTGGCACATGCCTGTAGTCCTAGCTACTTGGGAGGCTGAGGCAGAAGAATTACTTGAACCTGGGAGGCAGAGGTTGCCATGAGCCCAGATCGCACCACTGCACTCCAGCCTGGGCAACAAAGACAGACTCTGTCTCAAAAAAAAATCCTTTTGCAAGTTTCTGTGTGAGCATAAGTTCTCAGCTCATTTGGGTAAATACCAAGGAGTGCAATTGCAAGACCTTCTGGTAAGAATATAGTTAGTTTTGTAAGAAACTTCCAAATTGTCTTGCAAAGTAGCTGTACCATTTGGCATTCCCACTGGCAATGAATGAGAGTTCCTGTTGCCCCACATCCTCATGGTTTTGATTTGCATTTGAGCATTTCAACATAACAACATTTTTTCCCACTTGACAGTCATTGATTTTTAATTTCTTCAAGGGAAGAAAATAGCAAATATTTATTCAGAAACTTTTAAAAATAAACGTTTGTCATTTTATTTTTGTCAAAGTAAAAATTATTTTCATATGATTTAAAAAGAACACTCATTCAAAAAACTTCAGGAATAAGACAAAGTAGAAAAAATTCCCACCATCCTGATAACCATTATGAACTTAAATCTTTCCAGACATTTTCAAGATATAAACACATTTAGAAAAATGGTATCAGGGCCAGGTGTCGTGGCTCATGCCTGTAATCCCAGTACTTTGGGAGACTGAGGTGGAAGGAATGCTTGAGGCCAGGAGTTCAAGACCAGCCTGGGCAAAATAGTGAGACCCTGTCTCTAAAAAAAATTTAAAAATTAGTTGGGTGTAGTGGTGTGGATCTGTAGTCCCAGTTACTTGGGAGGCTGAGGTAGGAGGAGCCTTTGAGCCCAGGAGTTCAAGGCTGCAGTGAGCTATGATTGTGCCACTGTACTCCAGCCTGGGCCACAGAGTGAGACTCTGTCTCTAAAAAATAAATAAATAAATAAAAGGAAAAAGAAAACTGGTAGCATCCTGCACATGCTATTTTATATACTACACGATTTATTTTGCTTTTTATTATCTTTCATTTGTCACTAGAAAGTCAGCTCCATTCTTCTAAAAGGAAGGCAGCAATTCCTTTTATTTTTTGCTCACTGCTGTATCCCCAGCACCTAGAAGAGGGTCTGACACATGTAGGCACTCAATAAATATTCATTAAATAATGCAATAAACAAATCCCACTTTTACAACATAACAAAATGTTTTGGAATTTCTTTTTTCTGTGTCCATAGTATAATTTTCATCATCATCTATTTTATTGGCTGTGTATATTTCAAGGTATTTATTGAGCTTTACTGACTGACCACGTAAGTGGTTTCTGATTGGTCACTATTACAAACAATACTGTGGTGAATGTGCTTTTACTTATATTTGTGTACCTGTGAGATTATCTCTTTACAGCAATTTAAAAAGAGAAGTTCCTTTGTCAAATGGAATGCATATTTTAATTATAAACCATTTTTGCTAAGCCAGACCTCCAGAAAATGATTGCAATTTATTCTCCCACTCAGGCACAAGAGTGCTTATTTTCATTTTGTGCAACCTAGCTAGACAGCATAAAACTTGTTAATTTTTGCTGTCTAATAGGTAAAAAATAGTGTTGCACTGGGTTTTGAGTTTGGTTATTAGTGAGCTGCAAATCTTTTATTTTTTACTGTTCCTTTATATATCTTTTCGGAATTGCCTATTTGTGTTTTTGCATTGTTATTAAATTGCTTGATCCTTTTTTATTGATTTACAATAGCTGTTAAATAAAAGATAATTAATCTTTTCTATGTCATGACTGTTGCAAATATTCCTAGTTTGTCATTTCTTTTAAAATTACATTCATGGTAGGCCACCTGCTTGGGTCCCCTTCCACGCTGTGGAAGCTTTGTTCTTTTGCTCTTCATAATAAATCTTGCTATAAAAAAAAAAAGAAAGAAAGAAAAATACATTCATGGTAGCTTTTGCCAAACAGAAGTTTCACTAATTTTTTTTTATTTGAGGGATAACATACAGACAGTAAAGTAAACCACCAATTTTAAGTGCTCAGTGTCTTCTTCTTTAGAAATGTGCATATTTGAGGTGTAAACATGATGTTATGGGGTACATAGAGACAGGAAAGTGGTTACAATAGTGAAGCAAATTGATGTATCTCTCATTTCACATAGTTACATTGTGACAAGAGCATCTAAAATCTACTTATTTAACAAGAATCCCCTATACAATACAGTTTTATGACCTATAGTCCTCAGGGTGTACATTAGATCTCTAGACTTGTTCATCCTACATACCTACCTTCTACTTTGTATCCTTTGACTTACATCCCAATTCCTTCCCCTCTTCACCCCTCCCCACTCCAGCCCCACCACTATTTTAACCACTGTCTCTATCAGGTTTCCAGGTAAGCTCTCCCAGTCAATAATCCTCCCAAGTTAATCCTCTGATAATGTTTTAACTTGATGTAATAAAATCTGAGGCCAGGCGCGGTGGCTCATGCCTGTAATCCCAGCACTTTGGGAGGCCAAGGCAGGTGGATCGCCTAAGGTCAGAAGTTCGAGACCAGCCTGATCAACATGGTGAAACCTCGTCTCTACTAAAAATACAAAAACTAGCTGGGTGTAGTGGCGGGCGCCTGTAATCCCAGCTACTCAGGAGGCTGAGGCAGGAGAATCGCTTGAACCAGGAAGGCAGAGGTTGCAGTGAGCCGAGATCGCGCCATTGCACTCCAGCTTGGACAACAAGAGTGAAACTCCGCCTCAAAAAATAAAATAAAATCTGTTCTTCCTTCATGGCATCTATCTTTGTGCCCTGTTTAGGAAAGCATTCCCCAGCTCATACTTGTGTAAACATTTCACTGCCTTTTATTCTGTCACTTTCATTATTTCTATTGTTATATTGAAATCTTTAACCCAGCTAAAATTTAGTCTAAACTGTAAGATAATGATCAAATTCCTCTGTCTCCTCCGTTCCCCAAGGGCTACTTCCCAATGTCGTTTATTAACTAGTCAATACCATTTATGTATTAAGTAGTCAACACTATCTCCATGATTTGAAATATTCCCTTTTTCTATGCCCTTTTCCTTTATTTCTGTTTATTGCAGCAACATTATCTCATCATTGTAAATATAGCTTTTAATATCAGCAATATTGCATCTTCACTCTCTTTCAAACATTTCTTCGTTATTATTACTTATTTATTCTCCAAGAAAAACTATATTTATTCATTTATTTATTTTTCAGACAGGGTCTGGCTCTGTCACCCAGGCTGAAGTGCAGTGGCACAATCATGGCTCACTGCAACCTTTACCTCCCAGGCCCCAGGGTTCCTCCCACCTCAGCCTCCCAAGTAGCAGGGACTACATGTGCACACCACCATGCCCGACTAATTAAAAAAAAATTTTTTTGGAGCGATGGGGTCTCCCGATGTTGCCCAGGCTGGTCTCAAACTCCTGGGCTCAAGTAATCCTTCTGCCTCAGCCTCCCAAAGTGCTAGGATTACAGGCATGAGTCACCACCACACCCAGCTCACATTATTTTTCATATTAAGAAAGTATTAATCCATTATAAGTTTATTAACAATTATTAATGAAAAGAGTTGGATTTAATAATTTTTTTCAGCCTCTCAGTGATCCTCTAAGATAAAATATTTTAAAATCACCTGTTTGAAGGCATCAGAGAAGCATTCAGTTCACGTTTCTAGAGGTGAGGTTTCTAGAGAGAAAGAAAACTCATTTGGATGAATCTGATATTCTATGTCACTTTCCTCTTGAGACATCTTTCCATGTTAAGCAGTACAAGGCCGTAGATCAAGTTAAGCAAGAAGCAGTAACTAAGAGACTGAGAAGCTAATTAGAGTTTTAGCAGACTGATGGGGTTGGGGGAAAAATACTGGAGTTCAGAGCCCACTGTGGAGGAAAAACACTGTTAAACACTCCAGGCTTTCTGTTGGGATCTGTGATAGTTAATTCTATGTGTCAATTTGGCTAGGCCACACTATCCAGGTATTTAGTGGAACATTAATCTAGATGTTTCTGTGAAGTTATTTTTCAGATGAGATCTATATTTAAATCAGTAGACTTTGAGTAAAGCAGGTTACCCTTCATGATGTGAGTGGGCCTCATCCAATCATTTGAAAGCCATAATAGAAAAAGACTGACTTTTCTGGAAGCAAAAAGAATTCTGCCAGCAGATTGCCTTTAAACTCAAACTGCAGACCCCAATTCTTTCCCAGCCTACTCTGCAGATTTTAGATCTGCCAAGCCTCCACAACCATATGAACAAATTCCTTAGAATCCTCTCTCTCTCTCTCTCTATATATATATATATATGTATATATACACAAACAAATATATATATAAACAAAAACAGACACATAGATCAATGGAACAGAATAGAGAGCCCAGAAATAAGTCCACACACCTACAATAATCTGATTTCAACAAAAGCGACCAAAACAAGTGATGGGGAAATGGAGAAAGGACTCCCTATTCAATAAATGGTGCTGGGATAATGTTTTACTAAATACCTGGGTACTATGACCTAGCCATAACTTCCGTATCTGGTGCTAGCCATATACAGAAGATTGAAACTGGCCCCTTTCCTTACACCATATACAAAAATCAACTCAAGAATGATTAAAGACTTAAATGTAAAATCCAAAACTACAAAACCCTGGAAGACAACCTAGGCAATACCTTTCTGGACAGAGAAACAGGCAAAGATTTCATGATGAAGATGCCAAAGACAATTGCAACAAAAACAAAAATTGACAAATGGGATCTAACTAAACTAAAGAGATTCTTTTTCATTTTTCTTTTCTTTTTTTTTTTTTTTGAGACAGAGTTGCACTCTTATTGCCCAGGCTGGAGTGCAATGGTGCGATCTCAGCTCACTGCAACCTCTGCCTCTGGCGTTTAAGTGATTCTCCCTCCTCAGCTTCCCGAGTAGCTGATATTACAGGCGCCCACCACCATACCCAGCTAATTTTTGTATTTTTAGTAGAGATGGAGTTTCATCATGTTGGTCAGTCTGGTCTCGAACTCCTGACCTCAAGTGATCCACCTGCCTCGGCCTCCCAAAGTGCTGGGATTACAAACTAAAGAGCTTCTGCACAGCAAAAGAAACTATCAACAGTGAACAAACAATGTACAGAATGGGGGAAAATTTTTGCAAAGTACGCATCTGACAAAGGTCTAATAGCCAGCATTTATAAGGAACTTAAACAAATTTACGAGAAAAAACAAACGACCCCATTAAAAAGTGGGCAAAGGACGTGAACAGACACTTTTCAAAAGAAGACATACATGCAGCCAACAAGCATATGAAAATAAACTCAACAACACTGATCATTAGAAAAATGCAAATCAAAATCACAATGAGTTACCATCTCACACCAGTCAGAATGGCTATTATTAAAAAGTAAAAAAATAACAGGTGCTGGCGAGGTTGTAGAGATAAAGGAATGCTTATACACTGTTGGTGGGAATGTAAATTAGTTCACCCATTATAGAAAACAGTGTGGTAGTTCCTCAAAGACCTAAAAACAGAAATACCATTCCACCCAGCAATCCTATTACTGGGTATATACCCAAAGGAATATAAATTGCTCTATCATAAAGACACATGTATGCGTATGTTCATTGCAGCACTATTCACAATAGCAAAGGCATAGAATCAATCTACATGCCCATCTATGATAGACTGGATAGAGAAAATGTGGTACATACATATACACCATTAAAAACTACGCAGCCATAAAAAAGAATGAGATCATGTCTTTTGCAGAAACATGGATGGAGCTGGAGGCCATTATCCTTAGCAAACTAACACAGGAACAGAAAATCAAATAATACACGCCCTCACTTATAAGTGGGAGCTAAAGCTAAAATAGATGGACACAATGAGGGGAAAAACAGGCACTGGGGCATACCTGAGGGTGGAGAGTGGAGGGTGGAGAGTGGAGGGTGGAGGGTGGAGGGTGGAGGGTGGGAGGAGGGAGGATCAGGAAAAATAACTGCTGGGTACTAGGCTTAATACCTGGGTGACGAAATAATCTGTACAACAAACTCTCGTGATACAAGTTTACATATATAATGAACCTGCACATGTACCCTTGAACTTAAAATAAAATTTAAAAACAAAGCAAAAAGATTGTTGGGCTGGTTATTTAATGATAAACTGACAATATGCTGCTTATAAGAGATACTCCTTAAATGCAAGGATATAGTAATATTGAAAGTAAGAAGCACTAATCAAAAGAAAGTTGTATCAATCTCAAAGTAGATTTTAAGGCAAGAAGCAGTCCTAAAGATAAAAAGAGACATTTTATAACATAAAAGGGTCAGTTCATCAGAGGATATAACAATTCCATATTTGTATGCATCTAATAACATAACTTATATATACATGCCAAATGTGTGTGTGTATATATGTATATGTGTGTATATGTAAATAAATAGAGCTCAAAAATGGACTAAACACAAAAGAGAAATAGATAAATTTGCAATCATATCAGGAGATTTTAGCACAACTTTCTCAGTAATGGACAGAAGAAGGAGCCAAAAAAATCAGGAACAGTATAGAGAATTTGAACAACAGGATGAAATCTTATCTGTGTAATGGAGTGTTGAGTGAACAGTTTTCTATTCCCCCAAATTTTCTTCTCTTTCTTTCTTCTCTCTCTTTCTTTCTTTTCTGTCTCTCTTCCTTCCTTCCTTTTGTTGTTATTGTTGTTGTTGTTGAAATGGAGTCTCACTCTGTCACCCAGGCTGAAGTGCAGTGGCACAATCTCGGCTCACTGCAACCTCCACCTCCTGGGTTCAAGTGATTCTCCTGCTTCAGCCTCTTGAGTAGCTGGGATTACAGGTGCCTGCCACCATGCCGACCTAAATTTTGTATTTTTAGTAGAGACGAGGTTTCACCATGTTGGCCAGGCTGGTTTCAAATTCCGGACTCAAATGATCCACCCACCTTGGCCTCCCAAATTGCTGGGATTACAGGCGTGAGACACCGCGCCCGGCCTCTTATCTGCTTTTTATTTCAACTGTTCTAGTGTTAAGCTGTACTGGTGATAGCTTTCTCTCATTGGCCACTCCAGGTCATCTCTTTCAGGGACCCCTGACCACACAAATACCTGTTTAAATTCCTCCATTTACTTCCCATATCATAAAGAAAAACAAAGACCTCTAGTTGATAATACTGAATTCAATCTTTAGCTTTCTCTTCAATCCATGACTGACTAAAAGTTTTGTTTCTGAGGATGATTTTCATCTGGATAAAAAACAACTTCCTGGTCATTAGAGAAATGCAAATCAAAACCACAATGAGATACCATCTCACGCCAGTTAGAATGGTGATCATTATAAAGGGAGGAAACAACAGATGCTGGCAAGGATGTGGAGAAATAGGAACGCTTTTACACTGTTGGTGGGAATGTAAATTAGTTCAACCATTTTGGAAGTCAGTGTGGTGATTCCTCAAGGATCTAGAACCAGAAATACCATTTGACCCAGCAATCCCATTACTGGCTATATACCCAAAGGATTATAAATCATTCTACTATAAAGACACATGCACACGTATGTTTCTTGCAGCAATATTCACAATAGCAAAGACACGGAACCAACTCAAATGCCTATCCGTGATAGACTGGATCAAGAAAATGTGGCACATATCCACTACGGAATATTATGCAGCCATAAAAAAGGATGAGTTCACATCCTTTGCAGGGACATGGATGAAGCTGGAAACCATCATCCTCAGCAAACTAACACAGGAACAGAAAACTAAACACTGCATGTTCTCACTCGTAAGTGTGAGTTGAACAATGAGAACACATGGACACAGGGAGGGGAACATCACACACCAAGGCCTATTGGGGGGTGGGGGACAAGGGGAGGGAGAGCACTAGGACAAATACCTAATGCATGTGGGGCTTAAACCTAGACAACAAGTTGATAGATGCAGCAAAACACTATGGCACATATATACCTATGTAACAAAGCTGCACGATCTGCACATGTATCCCAGAACTTGTAAAGTAAAAACAAACAAACGAAAAAACTTCCCAATAGTTATGGTTGTTCCTAAAATGAATCCCAACGTAAACAAGAAGGCAGCAAATGCGGTGAATCCAGGCGGAACAACTGAAAGAGGATCTCTCCAGGCTGCACTTGTATCAGTGTTTACTGTGTTTCCTCCAAAGAAGAACCGATTACAAAGCTGTATGTACATAGTGAAAATAAAAATGAAAGCAGCATGGATACAAGCCAGAGGTGCTAAAAGAAGGAACAGTGTGAACGAAGCATGATTTTGGTAACCATAATAGTCGTGAATGTATGATGAAATTCACACTTCCTCCAGTTGTATGTAAGGGCTGATATCACAATACAGAGTCAATCATGGCCACTGCAGAACATACTGCTGTAACATCAAGGGCTGTGATGGGACCCTTTCTTTAATTCTTGGAGATTTTCAAACTTGATAACTGAGCCGAATGTATGCATTTTGGCAAGGAAGAATGTCTTCCTACTTTTAAAGAATTACAGAGTTGTCTTTTCTGTGCACACATTTCCATGTGCCACAAGTCCCAGTGTGTTCTTTGTCATGCCTTCAAGTTGTGACACGTTAACATGGATTGTGCCATTTTCACCGTCAAGCACTCAAAGCTGTTTATCTTAACCAGGAGAATCAAGTTTCTTGGTTTGAAACCCAACCTCAGTCTGCTCCCTGGTGCCCACTCCTCAGCCATGGCATACTTGGGGAGTAGAGAGAGCCAGGGCACACCAGAACAGATTTTCTCCTCTTTGGCTGACTCCATCATGAGCACCTCAGTTCAGAGTAAGCAGAAAGCAAATCTTGGTCTCCAGAGGCTGGAATGCAGGACCCATGTGTCTCCTGCCAGCGTGCTTGCTGAGACTCAGCAATAAAGTATTTTAAAATTAAGGTATGTACATCTTTTTAGATACAGTGCTATTGCACAGTTAATAGAGTACAGTGTAGTGTAAACATAATTTTTATATGCACTAGGAAACAAAAAAATGTGTGCAACTTGCTTTACTGTGGTGGTCTGGAATCAAATATTCAGTATCTCTGAATGTTCAGTTTGTCTGAACACCGCTCTCTGCTTTCCATGTGTTCTGAGCCTTGAGTGGCTTGGGAGGTACCCCAAGATCTGGGCTCCAGTAACCCCACTTCTCTTATTATCAGGCAGTCTCTCACTCCCACTCCCATACTTCCTGGCAAGCACTTGGGTGTGTGTTTCCCAGCCTCCCTATCCTCATCTTGGGAGACAGGAGAAGCTGGGGATGGTGGTGATGGGGAAAAAGGGGGCTAGAAGCCTCCCCACAGGATGGTTCTTTTAAAAGTCAAGCTCTACCCAACAACTCAGGCCTGCCTACCCAGAAGGGTAGCTTTTATTTTTTTATTTTGGAGACAAGAGTCTTGCTCTGTCACCCAGGTTGGAGGACAGTGGCCCAATCATGGCTCACTGCAGCCTCGACCTCCTTGGCTCAAGCGCTCCTCCCACCTCAGCCTCCTGAGTAGTTGGCACTATAGGTGCAAACCACCATGCCTGGCTGCTTTTTGTATTTTTTGTAGAGACTGGGTCTCACCACATTGCCCAGGCTGGTCTCAAAGTCCTGGACTCAAGTGATCCTCCTGCCACAACCTCCTAAAGTGCTAGGATTACAGCTGTGAGCCACCATGCCTGGCCAAGGGTGTCTTTTAAATGAAAGTAGGGGCTGGGCACGGTGGCAACTACTGGACTTAGGCCTTATTACTATTATTGTTATATTATCCATAGTTGCCATGTATGGAGTCGTGTGTGTATGCTGCAAATTGTACTGAGCCATGTGTATGCATTATCTTATTTAATCTTGTTTTTTTTTTTTTTTTTTTGAGACAGTCTCACTCTGTCACCCAGGATGGAGTGCGGTGGTGCAATCTCGACTCACTGCAACCTCTGCCTCCCAGGCTCAAGTGATTTTCCTGTCTCATCCTCCCGGGTAGCTGGGATTACAGGTGCCAGCAGCCATGCCCAGCTAATTTATGTATGTTTTCAGTAGAGACAGGCTTTCACCATATTGGTCAGGCTGGTCTGGAACTCCTGACCTCAAGTGATCTGCCCGCCTCGGCCTCCCAAAGTGCTGGGATTACAGGCATGAGCCACCATGCCTGGCCTAATCCTGGTATTATTTACATTTTGAAACGTTGAAGACTGTGAGACCAGGGAGGTCAGTTTACTTTTTGAAGTCATGCAACCAGTAAGTGAGGAAGCCAGGAATATCCCCGGTCAGTCTCGCCCCTGCACCTGCCCTCGTAAGCTTGGCATTATGCCTCCCCTAGTACTGAGGGAGAAAGCTCTACTTGCAACTTGGTGTTAGCTGAGAACTATTAAAATCATCACTTGCAGTGTTCTGAAGGTGAAGTTCTCACATAACAACATAACGCAAATAACTAAGAATCAGTTTTAGTTTCAAAATGTTACTGCAAATCTGGGTCCTCCTTTCCATACATTTGGTTTAAGAAGGATTTTTGGGTAACCAAAAATGACCTTTAACAAGTCAAATGAAGAAGCTGTGAAGAACCAAGATAGGAAGAGGCCACTCAGGACTTCATCAAAGTTACAGTTTATCCTACATTTTTCACGGTCTTTATTTATTTTTTTTTGAGATGGAGTCTCCCTCTGTCGCCAGACTGGAGTGCAGTGGTGTGATCTTGGCTCACTGCAACCTCCACCTCCCGGGTTCAAGCGATTCTCCTGCCTCAGCCTCCTGAGCAGCTGGGATTACAGGCACGCACCACCATGCCCGGTTAATTTTTGTATTTTTAGTAGAGACGGGGTTTCACCATGTTGGCCAGGCTGGTCTCGATCTCCTGACCTCGTGATCCACCCGCCTCAGCCTCCCAAAGTGTTGGGATTATAGACGTGAGCCACTGGGCCCGGCCTTTCACTGTCTTAAAAATACTTTACTTCAATACATTGTGGTAAGAATTGAATCTGGCTGATAGATCTCTGGCAACAAGGGTGGACTCTGTAAGTTTTCTGAGTTATTCTGGAAAGTGGGTTTGTGTGGGGCCCAATGCTGAGTAACACCTAGGAAGTTCACTTCCTCCAGCTCTTACAAAATGGGGTCAACTGCCCCAAGTTTTATAAATATGAGGCAAGTCTCTGACTAGAACTCAGTTATGGTCCTTCACTGCCCAGGCAATTTTAAAACTTGACCCTAATCTAAAGCACACACATAGAACTTTCTGCCTCTGGAGTTGTCAATGCTTCTGAATCGTGAGCTCCAATCCTCAGTTTTATTGATTGCTTTATTTATTTATTGTGTTCATTTTTATTTTCTTACTCTATGGACGTGGCTTTGTTTGGCTAGACACAGAGTCCAGTTTAACTTGCCTTCAATAAGGACATCCTGTATCTCCTCTAACTCAAATGAAAAGTCTATTTGTTTATTGGCCATTCTACCCAAATTCCATGCCAGCTTTTTAACAAATTGTATAAATTGGGATTCTCAGATCAGCATTTGACATAAGGAACAGATGAGCTTTAAATAATAATTCCACGATAGGCTGCTACTGCCATAATTTTTGCTTTATGGTAGCAAGAATAATATCAAATCATTTGCAACTTTTATTGACCTATCCTCAGCTGTGGGCCCTGGCTGAATTGATTGGGCACTGCTCTTCTGCTTCATGGGTCAGAGCTGTGGGAACAACTTTCCTGAGGGCTGATCCAGGCTGGGCTCTGACACCATGTACTTTTCCACTCATTAAAAAAAAAAAAAAAATCTGATGCCGTCTTTGGATGAGCTGGTTGCATAGCCTCCTTTGCTATTAGGAAAAAAAAAAAAAAAAAAAAGGAGGCTGGGCATAATGGTTCATGCCTATAATCCAAGCACTTTGGGGAGGCCAAGTCGGGAGGATTGCTTGAGGCCAGGAGTTTGAGACCAGCTTGGGTAACATAGCAAGACCCTGTCTCTACAAAAAACTTAAAAGATTAGCCAGGCATGGTGGTGCACATCTCTAGTCCCAGCTACTTGGGAGGCTGAGGTGGGAGGATCACTTGAGCCCAAGAGGTTGAGGCTACAGTGAGCTATAATAGGGCCACTGCACTCCGGCCTGGGTGACAGAGCAAGTCCTCCCTCAAAAACAAACAACCCTCCCCGCTAAAAAAACCCAGAAAAACAAAAACCACACTCACACAAAAGAAAAAGGAATATTCTTTCTTATTCTGATGATATAGTTTAATTTTCTTGGACAGGGAATGGTTTGTGTTTGTACAGCAGAAGCTATTAGCTAATTATGGACAGAAAGAAAGGCTACAGATCAAAAACCTCTGATGTTAGTTGTTACCTAAGTAAGTATTCCCAAGTTCATAAGTAAGGAGACAACCACACTGTCTGAAGTTCAATTCCCTAAATTTGCTTATACAGAAACTTTTGTGGTTACTGCAAGCTCCTTCTCCACTGTAAAGTGGGAATCCATGTAGTAAGTGGGCCATGGGCTCTGTTCCTCCATCTTGGTGAGCTGTGTTAAAACAAAACAAAAATGAGTTAAAAGTTAAGCGCCTCATATCTTACTCAGCCATCAATAAAGAATGGCAGCTGCACCCCAGGCACTTGCCAAAGATACGATTCTGAGCTCACTGTCACTAAATATTTATTAAAATGTCAGTGCAGAAAACAACCCAGAGTTGTTTAAAATGCATGCAGTCCACCTGAGCTCCCAGATGTGATGAAATCCATCCCTAGGCTAGGTCCAGTTAGCAGACAACCCGGTGTCTCAGCTGGACTATGTTGCCTTCCCCACACTCACCACAGTTCCAGTAGAATTACATTTACCATATCTTGTGCTTTAGTGAGATTCCATCATTTCTATGGGAAAACAGAACCCCTCTACCTGATGTTGGGTTTGTTATGCAAATTATTTATTACATCATACATCCTACGGCCCATCCACGGTAGGAATGTAAGTAATCACGGTTTACGTGTTTTACTTTATTCCTGAATTCACTTTGTTGCATACTTGATTTCTAGATCCTTCCCCCACTTTCAATTTATTTTCTCTTTCTCATATTTTACACATCCTAGGAATCTGTCTGAAATCCTTTCTACGAGGTTTCTAGAGTCCTGTGGGACTTGAATTTAGTAGGCATACAGTAAATATTTGTTGAATAAAAGTGGAAGATACAGAAATTAAAATGAGAACATTCATTTCTCCCTCACTTGGGTTCCCTCAACACTTCGGGATAAAGTTGGTGCTCATGATTCTGCGTACACTCATTGATCATGAATTGCTCTTGCACTGTGAGAGTAGGGCTCCTTTATCTTACTTATCTGCTCCTTGAGGACAGAGAGCGTAACATCTACTTCTTGTGTACTTTGAACAGTGCTCTGCACACAGCAGGTACTCAATATATGCAAATTAAATGAATGACCCACAGCCTGGATGTGCGACCCACCTTTTTGGGAGTGAGAAGGTCACTACCCCATCGTCCAGCTGCTATTATCTAAAGCTAACAGCACTTTTTTCTTCTAGGCATGCATGGTGGACATCTGTTGCCTTTGCCTGCCCAGCATCTACTTCCCCTTCTGCCACCACCATTCTTCTTTGGAAATGAATGCTGCCCCACTCTCAGTGCATGTGGCGTAGATGGGTTATGGGTACATGATCCAGGCCTGGCTAATATTCCATCCTCCTGGTCAGAGTGATTGGTTCAAGGATGAAGTCATGACCAAAGCCATGACCCAATATCTCAATTCCAAATATTGTGTTGAAACTGTTGAACTAAAAAGTTCTTTTTCTTGGCCAGATGAGGTGGCTCACGTCTGTAATCCCAGCACTTTGGGAGGTCTAGGCGGGTGGATCCCTTGAGGTCAGGAGTTTGAGACCAGCTTGGCCAACATGGTGAAACCCCGTCTATACTAAAAAAAAAATACAAAAATTAGCCAGGCATGGTGGTGTGCGCCTGTAATCCCAGCTGCTCAGGAGGCTGAGGCAGAAGAATCACTTGAACCCAGGAGGTAGAGGTTGCGGTGAGCTGAGATCACGCCACTGCACTCCAGCCTGGGTGACACAGCGAGCCTCTGTTTCAAAAAAAAAGTTTTTTTCTTGCTGAGTTTACCAAGGCAATAGGCTATAACCTTCTAGCTGTCAAAGCTACCTCATTGAAAAACCCAATTAAATGAACAAACATTAAGCATAGAAGAGCCTAGAGATGAATAAAAAATTAGCCTTGATGACAATGGACACTGGATCCAGCTGTACCTGAACACCAGTTTTAATTGAGTTTTCTGTCAGTGCAATTAAAAGAATTTTTTTTTTTTTTTTTGAGACGGAGTCTCACTCTGTTGCCCAGGCTGGAGTGTAGTGATGCGATCTCGGCTCACTGCAACCTCTGCCTCCCGGGTTCAAGTGATTCTCCTGTCTCAGCCTCCTGAGTAGCTGGGATTGCAGGCACCCACCACCACGCCTGGCTAATTTTTTTTGGTATTTTTCGTAGAGACGGGGTTTCACTATGTTGGACAGGCTGGTCTTGAACTCCTGATCTCTGGTGATCCACCCACCTCAGCCTCCCAAAGTGCTGGGATTACAAGCATGAGCCACCACGCCCGGCCGCAATTAAAAGAATTTTAACTAACAGGGTTCTATTTTCATTATGTGGTTTCCTCATAGGCCAGCTGAAGTCTCAAAGGCCATAATCATAGGCCCTGTGCTTACAGAACAACACTGTGGCTGAGAACCAAAATATTTGTGTAAACTTATCCTGCATTTACTATGGTTCAATTAAAAATAATTTTAAACTCTTGGCCAAGGCACAGTGGCTCACACCTGTAATCCCAGCGCTTTGGAAGGCTGGGGTGGGAGAATTGCTTGAGGCCAGGAGCTTAAGGCCAGCCTGGACAACAAAGTGAGACTCCCGTCTCTACTAAAAATAATATAAAATAAAATTTAAACCCTCCTACAACATGGGAAAGGTGTATACTAGGCTGTGTGAGAAAAGTTCTAGACACAGGTGTCTAAGTGTGGCAAGCAGGGTGTTAAGAGCTGTTCAACGTGGCACAGGGCCTGGTGCTGCAGGTGGCATGGAAATATTTTGATGGAATTGTGCTTTGATATGATGCCATTCACTTTTTTGAAGGCAAAATGGGGTGAAGAGAGGAGGCTGCTGGGGATAGGGAAGCTAACCATAGGGAATTATGGAGGGATATCTAAGAATAGTGTTACTTCCTTTAGTCTAGGTAATGTTTTCACTTCTGTCACCCACCAATAACCCATTATGATTTGTCCAACACAAGAAACATCCTACATTCTAACGCAAGTCCAGAAAAAAAGACAGAAATAACCCTGGGCCACGGTGGGAGTTCTTCTTTGAAGGAGGCTGAGGTTGGGAAAAGTAATCCTTCTCTAGGAATAGATCATAAAGGAGGCCTGCTAAGCCCAGATGGGTACCCAGGACTTCTTCATGCTGTAAGACCAGCACTTCTCTCTTCTTTAGGTCAGTTCTTTCTCAGCTCTCCACTCACCACGTTTTGTCCAAAGAGCTCTGCTAGTTCTTGCAGCAAGGTTTATGTTGAACGGGTTCCAGTGGTGAGGTCACCCTCATGGAAGGTTTCCATATATGACATGCCTCTGCTGCTACGCCCAAGAGCTTTCCCAAGCCCCTTTCACTGATGCTGTCCAAGAATAGGGTCTGGCTGGATTCCCACATTGAAGGGGCAATGAAGTTTCGGTTTCTGAAAATAGAAGGTATTGTCCTTTTTGTCCAATTATAAAAGCAATACATGTTCTTTGTAGTACATTTGAAGAAATTCGAAAAAGGATATGGGGGAAAAATGAACAGTCATCCCATAATTCTATCACCTACAGATAACTAATATTAATATTTTTAGGTACTTCTTATTCATAGTTTTTCTGAATACATGTATTAATGTATATTTTAGGAAGGCAGCATTACAGTGTGGTTGAGTGTGGGTTTGAAAGTCTGACACTATTCATTTGGAGTTCTGTGGCCTTGGTCAACTTAAACTCTTCTAAGTCTTACTTCCTTCAACAATAAAGTTTGCTGATTCTTAATCTAGTCCTCGGTCAGTATCAAATTACTTTAACTTATAGGTTTATTTTTTATTTTTATTTTTTAAAGTTTTATTATTATTATACTTTAAGTTTTAGGGTACATGTGCACAATGTGCAGGTTTGTTCCATATGTATACATGTGCCATGTTGGTGTGCTGCACCCATTAACTCGTCATTTAGCATAGGTTTATAATAAGCATTATCTGGTAATAAATTTCCCCCAAAATTCTTTTTTTCTTTCAATTTTTAAATGTTATTTCACATATCTCAGATTAATTTTAGAATAATCTTTCAAGTTAAAAAATGATACTTTTTAGCAGACTTGCATTTAAATTTTTGGATTAAAGAAGACGTAGCATCTTTAAAATTAAAACATTGTCTTTCTCTCATAGAATACCGATAGTGTGCCTGTCTTTCCATTTATTTTCTTCATGTTCCTCTGAAAAGCTTACTGGTTTTCTTCATATGAGGCTTGCACATTTCCTGTTAACTTTGTTCCAAAGTATTTTATATTTTTAGTTGCTATGTGCTGAATTAGATTTTTTTTCCCCCAATCACAAATGGCTATTACCTGTACTGAAAAGCTATTTTCAAAGTTTTAAAATGTATCTTTTAGTGAACATCGTTGTGCCTTTCTCTTAATAGGTCTGACCATTTTTCAGAATTTATTATCTTCAGATTTCTAGGTAGATACTTAGCTTGTAGCCCAAACCTGTCTGCTTTCCAGTAGTATACTCTTTATCCTGCTTCACTGCATTGGTTAGATTATCCTTTCAGGACACTGTTCAATAATAGTAGTTAGAATGGATCTATCTTGTCCCTGACAGCAGTGTTTGCTTATTAAGTATGACGCTGGGTGTTATATATTAGAAGATTTATTTTATCATGTTAACGAAGCTTCTTGCTTTCTTTTTTTTTCTTTTTTTGAGTCAAGGCCTCTCTCACCCTCGTCCAGGCTGGAGTGCAGTGGCGCTATCACAGCTCACTATAGCCTTGACCTCCCTGGGCTCAGGTGATCCTCCCACCTCAGCTTACTGGGTAGCTAGGACCACAGGCATGCACCAATGCCTGGCTAGTTTTTTGTAGAGACAGGGTTTCACTATGTTGCCCAGGCTGGTCTCGAATCCCTGGGCTTAAGTGATCCGCCCACCTCAGCCTCCCAAAGCGCTGGGATCACAGATGTATGCCACTGTGCCTGGCCCTTTCTTTCCTTACTAGGGGAGTTTAAAAAATAAAAAATAAATGTTGATTTTCATCTTAAAAAAATTTTTTTTTATGAGAGACTCTTGTTTCTGCTTGTTTCCTTTGACCTACTCCTGTGATATATTATATCAGTGGATTTCTTTTAATGAGGTCACCATTACATTCTAGGGACAAAAATCACCAAACGCCTCAGGGCTCTCAGAGTCAGGTAGACCTGGGCTGCCATCCGACTCATCACTTTCTAGCAGTGGAATCATGGGCAAGTCCTACATGAGGATGCATAATACATGCTGGCAGTTAGGATACTTTATTCCTTTACTAGATTGATGATTTTTTTAGTGTTCTATTTAGAATTTTTGCATCTATATTATTGATTTTGATGTGAAGTGTGTGTGTGTGTACACAATTTATGAGATTGTGCTCATAAAAATGACTTATGTCATTTACTTAATTTCTGGGTTTTTTTTTTTTTTTTGAGACAGAGTTTTGCTCTTGTTGCCCAGGCTGGAGCGCAATGGCGTGATCTCGGCTCACCACAACCTCCGCCTCCTGAGCTCAAACGATTCTCCTGCCTCAGCCTCCCAAGTAGCTGGGATTACAGGCGTGTGCCACCACAGCCGGCTAATTTTGTATTTTTAGTAAAGATGGGGTTTCTCCATGTTTGTCACGCTGGTCTTGAACTCCTGACCTCAGGTGATCCACCCGCCTCGGCCTCCTAAAGTGCTGGGATTACAGGCGTAAGCCACCGCACCTGGCCAATTTCTGCTTTAGTACTTATTTCTTTCCCCCTGGTTTCCTAGTATATTTTATTATTCTTTTTCTAATTTGAGTCCGATGCTTAATTCATATCTTTTGATTCTTTCTTCTTAAATAATGAAAGCATTTAGAGTTCTAAATTTCCTTCTCTGTATAATTTGTAGAAATTACAGAAATTTTAATTTGTGATATTGTATTATCGTTCATCTCTAAATAAAAGATGAATGATTATATATGTAGTTTTTCTCATTTGCCTTTCTTCTAGAGGTAACCTTCTATTATTGTTATTTATTTATTTTTTTAGACGGAGTTTCGCTCGTTGCCCAGGCTGGAGTGCAATGGCGTGATCTTGGCTCACCACAACCTCCACTTCCCAGGTTCAAGCGATTCTCATGCCTTAGCCTCCCAAGTAGCTGGGATTACAGGCATGTGCCACCACATCTGGCTAATTTTGTATTTTTAGTAGAGACAGGGTTTCTCCATGTTGATCAGGCTGGTCTCAAACTCCTGACCTCAGGTGATCCACCCGCCTTGGCCTCCTGCTGGGATGACAGGCATGAGCCACCATGCCCGGCTGATTGTTAATTTTTAATTTTCACAATCTTTAAACATCAATATTTAAAATGTGCTCACATTTGTTGCACTTCTCCCAAAAAAGCAAAGCCTTACCATTTATTAATTGGATGATTTTGGACAAGTCTGTGCATTTATTCATATCTTATTCCATGTCAGGGGACTCAGTACAAAGGTGAAAAAGACAAAGTTGCTGTTCTCAAGGAGTATACTTTAGACACATAAGCTAGCAATAAACAAACAGGATGATTTTAGCTCATGACAGGGCTACACAGACAGTAACAGTGATGAGATAGAGTGATGGGGAAGAGGTGCTTAAAATGGGGTTGTCAGGAAAGGCCTCTGCTAACCACCAGATCTCATGGGCTCATCTTGAGATTTAACCCAGCAAACCTCTTCTGAGCCAGTTGGCACCACTGATCTCCCTCCCCTCCTTTAAACTGTTGCCTTCCTTGATTTCTGTGACAAGATACTGGTGTCACTATCTCCTTGTCTCCTCCTACTTCCAGCTCCCTCTTTCAGCCTTCTATGCAGGCACATCTTCTTTTGACCACCCATTAAATTCGCTGTTGGCCAGGACAACCATCCCTCCTGGCGGCTGGAAAGAAAGCTCAAGTGCAGCACAGGCCCAGCATATGATGCTGAGTCAAATTCAGATGGCTTCCTACAAGGTGACATAGAGCTTCTCCAGGCTAGGACACAGGTCCACCTGGCTACCTAACACATTATTCAACACCAAGGAACAACTGATCAATAAGGTTAAGTGCCTATACTGACTGCAAGGCATGTTACACAGTGCATAAAGCAAACATGATTCTTACCCTAATGAAATTTATACGATAGTTCAGAAACATGACTTACATAAAAGACAATATGAAAACGCTGCAAAACAACAAAAAACACACACAACAAATTGTGGGAAACAGACTATAGTTGCCACTGGAGTTCAAGGAAGGAAGCCCTCAGAGTGAACCTACCAGTGAGGGAAGGCACTAAAGGAACTGGAAGGACAGAGCCCATGGTTATGTAGCGTCACAGTGCTGGATTCTGGATCTAACAGGCTGATTGAATGATGCCGGACACACCTGTAAGTTAAGGCCCAGCTTCTAATCTCAAACAGGCTAAGGTGAACTAAAAATTGAACCCTGGATTAAGGGGTGAAGACTTCAGTGAAGAGGGCCAATGTTCTGCCCTTCCTTCATCTCAAGAAGTAGTTGGAACAACAAAAGTGGGAGGTTCAAACAAGAGTGGGCTGGAGCCAAGGGAAAATAGAGATGATGTAATTTCTTTAGGTCCTGGGTCTGCTCTGGGTCTTAGGGAGAATGAGTAGAAATTTGGAATGGTTCTTGAGGTCCTCAGTTTTCCTGCTCAGAACATCAAGGTAGACCAGATAGCTTTGGAGTCAAAGCCTAGCTAGTGCTAAAGAATGTGGATCTGCCCAAAGATTCCTCTAGCTGTATGCTGAATGGGCAGAGGTCCAGAAGATAGAAGCAACCGCACCCCAACTGTAACATTTCAAGAAAGACAAGTAACAAATCCCTTATATCTTTATAGCATCTTTCAACTAACGTAGGCCTCATATGCATATAGATGTCATTCTGTCATCATTTGAGGTAGGCATATTAGACTGATCCCATTTTACAGATTTTAAAGAAATTTAGGAAGTTAAGTGATTTGCTGGTGAATGTATAGCTGGGCCTAGAAGCAAAGCCTTAAATGTTCAACCTGGCACTTCCCCTGGAGAGGATAATATTCCAATAGTCCTGATCTAAACAGGATTTCCAGTGCCCCAAGCAAAGCTCCTCAGAAAAAGACATGATCCTTGACTCAGAAGTTCTACTCTGGGCTCACATGTTTGAAAGATCCTTGGACAAACTGGTCTCCAAACTCAGGTGGGGTTAAAACACTGAGATATGAGGGATGGGAGGCACAATATCAATAGCTGACTCTATTTTCTAGGGAACAACATCTACTCTGGTCCTAAAACTGTGTTCTCAAAATCCACTGGAAACATATCAAAATTGCAGGATTCACCAGACTTTCACTCATTAAAGCTTTGCTCCTAATAGCCTCCATTCTTCTCAACCCCAATATGAAAAATTTCTCTTTCAACTGGGGTAACTAAAACCCCAAAGAAGCCATCAACAGTCAAAAGGGATAGGCACTTACAATTTTAAATTCTGTGGTACCAAATGAAAGCTGAAATCCTTGCCTCTCAAGCAAGAAAATCCACCATGACACTGGCCCAAGGGAATGTTTCTCTCATGCTGCCTTTTATGGTATCTGGTACCCAAGACAATATTACAAAAGCTTAAGGGTTTCTTCTTCTTCCCCTTTGGTCCCATTTAACAAGGAGTATGTGAAAGTGATCATCTGAAAAAACCCAGCTCTGCTCTGACCCCAAGCAAATCAGCTCCTCTGATTCTCTCTGCACCTGGCCTATGGCACTTTGGTAGGTTTGTGCCTCCCAGGGCAACTGGGACATTGTTTGGCAACCTGACGATGCTTTTGTCTCCCCTCTCAGCCCAGAACACTAAGTATGGTACTTGTGCAGCTTGCAAGAGTGGAAAAGTCTCCTGGTCTTTGAGCCTCGGGAACCCAGGAGTCAGTCCCTTTAGCCAAATAGTCATTACCCTTTCAATACAATGTCTTTCCTCAGGTTGCGTGGTCTTTGTCCCTTTTACCCACAGTATTCCTTTCCTCTTTTCCCGACCGCTCTGGCTACTCCTCTTTCTCTCCGGCCTATCCAGTCTCAGGGCTTGTGGGCTGGCTTGATTCCACGTCTCCTCCACAGAGGTAAGATGAAGACAGAGACACTTAGACCATCCTATGCAGAGTGCCTCTGCAGTGGCTAGGCTGCAGCAGATATGAAGAGGGATCTACAGACTGATTTCCTGCACCCATCTAGCCACTAAGATATCTTGTGCCTAGAGGAAGAGAAAAGAAAATATAGCAGTTTGGTGATCAGTCTGTGATCAATGTGGTTGCAACGTATGATATGTTGTTGACCTGGCTGAATGTCTTTGGTGGGCAGAGACGGATAAGAGAGCTCACAATTCTTAGGTATCAAAGACCAATGCAGTGGTTGTCAACCCTGGTTGTACTTGAGAATTCTAGCAGCTTGAAAGACAAATGCAGAAACAACATCTGAGGCTCCACCCTAGAGATTCAGCTTTAATTGGTGGGGGGTAGAACACAGGCATCAGTATTTTTTAAATTGCTCCCTAGATATTTGAATATATAGCCAGGGGTAAGAACTTTAAGTGGAAAGTTCTGACTAAAAGCTAAATTTAGATTTTCAGCAATGGGAAGCTATTGCAGGTTTTTGAGCAAGAGAGAAAACATGAACATGGCTGGAATGTGAGAAGCTTCTCCTGATCAAAGTGTGCAGAACAGACTGGAATGAAGAAATGCTAAAAACAAAGAGACTTGGTAAAAGCCAACGGCTACAGTCGAAATAAAAGGTAAGAAAGCCCTAAGCTAAGTGGTAGACAAAGAATGGGAAGAAGGGGATGGATTTCCCAAAAGCAGAGGACTGGGCAATTTCAGGACTGTTTAGAGCAAGGTGGAACAGCCAGGCTGCTCTGGGCTGCAGCAGGAAATGGCTTGTCCAAGCCCAGCTGGCCCCCAGACCCACCCATACCAAAACAGCAAAGAAGGAATTTCCACTATATGGGGAATTAAGAACCCAAGAGAAGAAAAAGAATATAGAGAACTGGGCTCTTTCAGGGGACAAGTTCAAGGACCACTAACCTAAGCAATAAAGACTGAGACAAAATTTAAAAATGAAGAAAACTTTATGCATTCACAGATTCTCCCTCCCCCACCTAGAATTCTGATAAAGAATAAATCACTCTTCTCCTAGCCAAAGTATTTACTCTCCTGCCCTCACTCGAGGTGTCACAAATGACACCATTATTTCTAGGCCACCTAGAACACCAGGCTCAGCTCACAGAAAATTGCAGTAACAATTGCTGCTTCAAGCGTTTTCCTAGGTATTGCCTTAGTCAGAAAAGAACAGCCAACACAATGAAATTGGTAGGGTGGGGTGGCTGGGAAATGTAATCATTTATTGGAGTGTAACCTGGTACTCCAAACAAAGGCTTCATTATCCTCAGCCAAAAGCATGGAGGGCATAAGGAGGAAGTGAATGGTTGACCCATTTGAGACAGCACCAAAAGAACAGAGATGACTTCACAACACCTCTGGAAGATGGCAACAGGCAGATAAAAAACAAGGAGTAATTAAAAGTGAACTGGGACACACCATCAGTGTCAGTATATCTCAAATTCCATTTTTCCTTCACCTTTCCAAAACAACCATACCTTTTTTTTAACCTGTTTATACAATGCTTGATCAAATGGATCACTCTGAAGCACAAAAACATAAGTTAATTGTTACTTTATTGTAGAGGAAAAATATCCTGAAATATTTATTAAATAACAATAATTCCTGACAAAATCATTCTTCGGGATGTGTTAGCCAAACAATCTGGTCAAATGGAGTAAGCTGTCCCTCACCCCAGTAATAAGCTCCATTCATATTGCCATAAACCACAGGAAAATCCAAAAGATTTTCTAAATGGCTTCCAAATTTCTGCACAGATGCCCTTATTGAGCCCAGAGGTAAATATAAACAAATTGAAATTAGAGAGAAATTAGAAGGATAGCTGAGAGGAAAAAAATGTTAACAATTGGTGAATCCAGAAGGAAGGGTATATGGGGGTTCATTATACCATTCTTTCTTAATTTCTGAGCTACTTAATTTCTGAGTAACTTAATTTCTGAGTTACAGTTGCTTTTGGGTGACCATGTTCTCTTTCTGACTTGCCTAAAAAATATGTTCAGTTATTTCTTTTCAAACCTGAAATACAAAATCAGCTCTTTCTCAGGTGATGCCCCCCTTTCTACTATCTACAAAAACTTCCAAAGCTTTCTAGAAAGCTTAAATTAAGGGGCTACAGTACACTGATATGGTTTTGTTGTTCTTGGAAGGTGTTGGACTCAAACGCTCATCGAAGGTCTGTGATGGTCACTGCTCTGTCCACAACAGTCACGTGGCTGCAGCTCTGCAATAGGAAAAAAGAAAGGTGGAGTCCTAGAAAATTCTGAAAAGTCTTTTTTTTTTTTTTCTTCATATAGGGTCTTGCTCTGTTGCCCAGGCTGGAGTGCAGTGGCACGATCTCGGCTCACTGCAACCCCCGCCTCCTGGGTTCAAGCGATTCTTCTGCCTTAGCTTTCCCAGTAGCTGGGATTACAGGCACGAGCCACCATGCCTGGCTAATTTTGTGTTTTTAGTAGAGGTGGGGTTTCGCCATGTTGGTCAGCCTGGACTTGAACTCCTGACCTCAAGTAATCTGCCTGCCTCAGTCTCCCAAAGTATTGGGATTATAGGCGTGAGCCACCGTGCCCGGCCTGAAAAGTCATTTTAAAAAACCACTTTTTGGCTGGGTGCGGTGGCTCACGCTTGTAATCCCAGCACTTTGGGAGGCCAAGGTGGGCAGATCATGAGGTTAGGAGATCAAGACCATCCTGGCCAACATGGTGAAACCCTGACCCTACTAAAAAAAAAAAAAAAAAAAAAATTTAACCCGGTGTGGCGGCGCGCACCTGTAGTCCCAGCTACTCGAGAGGCTGAGGCAGCAGAATTGTTTGAACCTGGGGGGCAGAGGCTGCAGTGAGCTGAGATCATACCACTGCACTCCAGCCCGGCAACAGAGCGAGACTCTGTTTCAAACAAAAACAAAAACAAAAACAAAAACAAAAAAACCCTTATTTAAAATGTTCATTCTAGGCTAGTGGTTCTCAGTCTGGAAGCCAGACTGCTATTTAAGTGGTAGTTGTGGTAAGAGTCTGGGACTCATTACTACCACCAGTCCCACCTGTAGATGGAATCAGTGTTTGCCCATTTACCTTTGTTTATTTTTAAAATGTATATACATTCTAGACTCATTCTTTGATTCCTAAACTTGGGAACAAATAGTGTCATCCCTAAAATATATATTAATTTAAAAGAATTACTGAATTCATCACAGTTTTTTTAGCTATGATGTCACCCAAATAATAAAGTATACCTACTGTCACATGGTGAGAGAAGAATGCTCCCTTTTGGCATGCAACAGGGGCCTTTATAACTGAAAACATGGGCACTGGTGCCCCAGACCTTTTTTTCTGATTGTGTAGTCTTTGTTTCAACATCCTAGTACTTAGACATTCCAAGGCAGACTGATCTATTTTTGAACAGATTTGTCAGAAAGTTCTTCCTCACGCTCAGCAGAAAACCATCATTCCATGAAGTCTTTGTTTTAGTGCTAGGAGTGACGTGAAATATACCCAATCCCTTTTTTTATACTTCAACTCTTCTAACACTTGAAATCAGCTCTCAGATCCTTCCTGGGGTTTCTCTTCTAAGCATCTCCAGGTCCTTTTAAGTGTCAAGGTTCTTAGTCCCTTTTCCATATTGCTCACTTTTCTCTGAACCCAAAAGAAATAATACTCCATGGCCAGCATGGAGTAATGCAACACCATCAAATCAGCTTGCAGGGGCAAATGGAAACATACTGATCTTATCATCAACTAAACTTTTTATTCACAGACCACAACATAGGGAAAAAAGAACTTTGTAGGAAGGTCGTAAAGCCCCTATGATTTAAGCAAAATTCTACAAATATACTTAATTTACCTATCTGAAGTGGCTTCTCTTTTCCTTTGCCTTCAAATCTCTTATTGAAGTACAGGCTTAGAAAGAGACATTGATGAAAGGAAAAAGTAACATTTAATAAGCCAGCAACTGCATTACGTACTTCCTGCACATTACTTCATTTAATCATCTCAAGAACCCTATAAAGTAGGTGTTATTATTATGCCTATTTTATAGATGGGAAAACTGAGGCCCAGGAACGGTAAGTAGCCCAATCAAAGGCACACAGTGGCAAAGCTAAGATTCAAATCTATTCCTGTCCCACACTGCTTCTCATGTACGTCCTTATTATGGAGATCTGGCAAGGTAAGTGACAAAGCTGGTCTTCTGTGTGGATCAGAAAGGATGATGCATTTCATCAGCTCTGACTGTCCTCCCTGCTTGAAGCATAGCCCCATTTTCTTTTACATAGATACGTACACAGAACAGAGGTGGATCCTTGCTGTGTGGATGAAATCCTTTCTGGCGACAGGAAGAAATCTCCTCTAGTCCATGGTCAGTTAGTTTAAAGAATCCAGTTCTGAAATTTAAAAAAGGCAGGCTAAGAGTCAAGCAAAGGTGTCCCTCCATCCCAAACATATGCACGCACACACACACCAGCATGCACACTCACACAGCAGGGCAGAGGTCATTGTGAGACAGCTTCTGTAGGATGCTGCCTCACAGGTCTCTTCTCTGGTGAATGAATCACAGTTAGAGAATGACTCATTACTGCCATCACACTAGTTTTGCTGGAGAATTCATAGTAAATAATCAAAGTGGGAGTAGAGACAGGATTTGGTATGAAAAAGAAGTGCATTCTGAGATAATGTGTTTGATTTTGAAACTTTCTTATTTTTTATTTTTATTTTTTTATTATATTTTTTTATTTTTTATTTTTTATTTTTTTATATTTTATGATTTTGAAACTTTCTAATCCAACATAAAACTCTTGACATTCCTATCGCTTCAAGTCAAACACTTCAAATTTCTTGTAGACTTTTCTTAGAAAAGCAACTAAGTTGTTACTTGGATATCTTTTTGAACAAGCATGATAGATAAATCATGATATGGGGCTTAAAAGGAAGCCCTTTAGAATAACCAACTTACATTATAATCTATGTATTTTACAAAGGACAAGTCCACAAGAATAGAGACCTTTTCCCCTGAGGCTTTCTTCCCTACTACCCCCTTGAAACACCCAGAACCATGCCCTCTATACTCACTCCTGGAACTTGGGGGAGCAAACAATGGCTACTGACTCTGGCAACATCATCTGGTAAGAGCAGTGAGTGTGTAGGTCGACACTGGAGAGAAACGCGGTCTGTGTGGGGTGAGTCTGAGGAGAGAAAAAGAGTCAGAGGACTCTTAGCGAGGATATATGGTAATCCCTCCTTATTTGCGATTCCCTTTCTGAGGTTTAAAGCTATCCATATCAACTGCAATCTGAAAATATTACATACGATAACATACTTTGAGAAAGAGAGATCATCTTCACATAACTTTTATTACACTGTATTTTTATAACTGTTCTGTTTTATTATAGTTGTTGTTAATCTCTTCCTGTGCCTAATTTATAAATTAAACTTTATCGCAAGTATGCATGTATAGGAAAAAAACATAGCATATATAGGGTTTGGTACTATCTGTGATTTCAGGCATCCATTGGGGGGTCTGGGCTCATATCCCCTGAGGATAAGGGGGGGACTACTCTGACATACAACCAAGTCTGGTCTCTGAAGGAAGTAAAGCCAAACAGTTCTCAACAGCTGGTCACAATCTCCTTTGTAAGTGAGAAGCCATCTGCAACCATGAGAGGTCCACCTGAGGTTCCTAATAAGTAAGGAAGCTCCTTTCCAGCACTGTAAACAAATATTGCTTAATACCAGTATGTGAAGAGACTCATAATTTCTTTCCTTTTTTAAGTTCAAGAGACTTACTATACAACATGGTGACTACTGTTCATCACAATGTATTATACACTTGAAAACTGCTTAAGAGAGTAGATTTCAAGTGTTCTCACCACAAAAAAGTATGTGACATAATGCATATGCTAATTAGCTTGATTTTCCCATTCCACAATATATGCATACATATTTCAAAACATATAGACTATTGTTATTTGTCAATTAAAAAAAGAAAAAACAAAAACAGGCTGGGCATGGAGGCTTATGTCCGTAACCCCCAGCACTTTGGGAGGCTGAGGAGGGCAGATCATTTGAGGTCAGGAGTTTGAGACCAGCCTGGCCAACATGGTGAAACCACATCTCTCTTAAAAATACAAAAGTTGGCTGGGCGTGGTGGCGGGCACCTGTAATCTCAGCTATTCGGGAGGCTGAGGCAGGCAGATCATGAGGTCAGGAGATCAAGACCATCCTGGCTAACATGGTGAAACCCTGTCTCTACTAAAAAAAAAAAAAAAAAAAAAAAAAATACAAAACAATTAGCCAGGCGTGGTGGCACGCGCCTGTAGTCCCAGCTACTTAGGAGGTTGAGGCAGGAGAAGAGCATGAACCCGGGAGGTGGAGCTTGCAGTGAGCCGAGATCGCGCCACTGCACTCCAGCCTGGGTGACAGAGCGAGACTCCATCTCAAAAAAAAAGAAAAAGAAATAAGGAGTATAAACAATTATTGGAAACTGGAAGAGCTGTCTGTGGTGAAGGATACAATGAGAGAGGGGAAGGGGATGAAAATAACTAAATGAAATAACTTAGATTGCATTGTCCCCAGCAGAATGACAACTAAACAGATGAGGATTTGTCTGAAGAGCAATCGTGGGGAGATGCCACAAGTGGGGTGGGGGAGATTCCACTTCAGTTCCTGGGTAGGTGGATGTATGCCCTCACTTACATTGTGCAGAACCATAATTCTGAGATTCTGTAGAGTGTCTGATGAATGATAAGGTGATCTTTTTCTAATGGAAAGTAACAGCATTAAGCCCAGGCAAGCGCATGCCGTCCTAGCTCATGGTTATAGATGACATACCAAATAACCCACCCACCACATTTCATCTAATTCACTCAGACAACCTTCTCAGGGAGAGAGCTCCCAGAGGTCACCAAGGCTGTACTGGACAAAAGTAAACTGTGGACGAAGAGGCTTGGAACTTTCTGGCTTCCCTTGTTTGAAGGCAGTGGAAGATGTTAGGCAGCTTGAGCACTCAGGGGGAAGGGGGAACTGGAGTAGGCAGACAAAAAGGGAGGTAAACACAAAGGGGGAACTTTCTTCTCTGTACTACTCAAAACGGGGACTCTGATCCCACTGGTTCAGAAGATCTAGGGTACCTGATGGGTTCTGGAATTCCTGGTTGGATGAAGGACTGTAGGCGCAGAGCCTTGATGCGAGAAGGCATCAAGACATCGGGCCATTAAACAGGTAGGGTATGGAGAGGACCCAGGGACAGAACTCAAACCTTCCATCTGGGGCATCATCGGGGAAAGATACTGTTCCACAGTGTTAAAACTCAAAGACCACTGCAAAGTGGGAGAAAAACAGAATTCTGAGGCTGGAATAGACAAGGCAGAAGAATTCAATGCTGTGCCACATTCCAGTTAAACAAATTCTGACCTCACAAAAGGAAATCAAGATCTAGGTTCCAAGTGTGAAGAAAAGGCTTCCCTGGGGTTGGTGTGTGCTAGCCAGGAGATCAGTATGGTGGGTCTTGTGGGGTGTGAGAACTGGCAAGGGGAACCCCATCTCAGATGACAGCACACAGAAACTGGCTTGGAGACCTCCTTCAGGCACATACCTGCTGCACAAAGATCACCAGACAGTAGGAGTGGAGACAGGAAAAGACATTTGCATCTCAGGGTTGGAGACAGAAGAGGGGGTTGTTTGTTGATATTTCCTGCTCTAGCTCTCCTGTTCTTGAACCAAATTGGAAGAACTCAAGGACTATGATGTTGGATTCACCCAGGGATCCATGGAATCAAAGGTGTTAATGGGGTTGTCATGATGGGCATCCATGGACAAGGTAGGTGGGTGTCCTCAACAATTGTGAATGGCACTCAGTGGCCCTTGGAACTTTTGCTAGGGAATTTCTTCTATCTCCTCTAAGAAGTGTTTCTCTCTGGATGATTCAGGCTTTGGTTTTTCAAGAGACTCATAATTTCTAACTGACCATCAAGACTTATTTGGTTCCTTACAAGGTCTCTTCATACCACTGAGTCACCCATTCTGGAACAGATGGTACATACCCAATATTTCAACATGGTGGAAGTCAAGGACTTAGTAAACCACAATTAGATGAATGATTCTTCTCTCCCACAGAGGTGTTAAAAGGTCAAACATGAATCAGGTTCTATAGGCAAAGGCTGTCCTGTAGCTAAAGCATCATCCAAGGAAGATATGGGAGGTAGGGGAATACTTGAATTTCAGTTGATAGTTAAACCATACAAAGGAGACCATTCTGTTTGGAAGGAGAACACGATGCTAAAATTTGAGGTTAATCAGTTAAAATATCACCTAAATGTGCATCCCGATTATTTGTTTCCATTGTTTGTTTTATTAAGCACATATTTTATATACAAAACAGACAACTATATAATGACTTATGTTCATCTTAGAGGAGGTGTGATCTTAGGTAACAAAAATGGAAAAAGATCTAGCATGATTCAAAAAGACAACCAACCTTCACTGACAGAAAAGCACAGACAATAAAGACATGCAATTGACTAGCGTTTTCAAACCTGCTGTCCAAAAAAACAAATCTCCTGAGGAGCTTGACAAAAGCCCAGACTCCTGCACCCCACTCCTAGAAAGAACCATCATGAAGGAACATTTTTCTTGAAAGCTCACTAAGTGATTCTTATGTGCAGCCTCATCTGAGAAGCACCATTCCACAGGGTGCTGTGATGAGCTCACTGTGGAAGAAGCCTTCAGGACAGGAACGTGTTAGCTCAGTGCAGGCAGCAAATCCACACACAAGTCTTCATGGGGCATGTAAGGACTTCAGTGACCACAAAGTTTCTACCTGATGAGAATATAATCCTTTAGGCTGCTAAAGAGCAGTGGCCTGTGCCAACACCACCTTCCATCCCATGGTTAGAGTCCAGGATTCTAACTGGGAGCAAACGTGGGTAGCCAGAAAGATAATAAAGAGACATAAGCAGGGACTCAGTAAACAACTCTTAAACAGAATCAAAAAACTTTGCCATGATCCCCTGCTCCTCTCTAACTACTGTACCTTCTCTCCCTCCTTCCTTTCACAGTCAAGTTTCTTGAATGAATAGTTCATTATGTTCACTGTGCCCATGCTGCTGGGGATAGAGGAAGGCACTTTGACAAAGAGAAAACAATATACCGAAGGAGCAGAAATGAGCAAGGAGGGTGAATGCTGAAGGCAGCCTGGGTACCTAAGAGGGAAATTTTCCCTAAAGGGAAATGGCTCAGATAGCGCTGAAACATGATGAGGAGTGCCTTGAGTTCTGGGCTGGAGGTTTGACAACAGTTGGTGATCAATCCATAACCATACTTTTGACCTGGGCAGCTGATTCATAGTTGACAAGGTTAAGAAGGAAGAACTGATCTTTTGCATTTTCCTCTGGCCAATTTTAAGATCTGAATAAATCTTTCGGTCTGCTTTTCGTTTGTTTTTGAGATAGGGTTTTCGCTCTGTTGCCCAGGTGCCCAGGCTGGAGTGCAGTGGTGTGATCACGGCTCACTGCAGCTTTGACCTCCCAGTCTCAAGCGATCTTCCTGCCTCAGCCTCCCAAGTAGCTGGGACCACAGGCGTGTGCCACCACAAATGCATAATTTTTTTTTTAATTTATAGAGATGAGGTCTTGCTATGTTGCCCAGGCTGGTCTTGAACTCCTGGCCTCAAGTGATCCTCCCACCTTGGCCTCCCAAAGTTCTGGGATTACAGGTGTGAGCCACCATACTCAGCCTGTTTGTTTTTAATCCCGAATTAGGAAGGAATGGTGCAGAAATATGGAGGAAAAAAAGCTGAACTAGCTGGGCACAGTGGTGTGTGCTTGTAGTCTTAGCTACTCAGGAGGCTGAGGCAGGAGGATCACTTGGGCCCAGGAGCTCAAGGCTGTAGTGCAGTATGATTGTGCCTGTGAATAGCCACTGTATTCCAACATAAACAATGTAGTGAGACCTCATCTCAAAAAATAAAAATAAAAAAGCTGAACTACTATCAATTTAGGCTTCAAATCTGTTCCCAACTGGACCCTCACTGATACTTAAAACTCTTTTATTCATTTGTAGCTAAGTTCTACCTGAAGTCTGTACAGTAATGATTCTAAACTTTCCCCCATCTCCTCCAGTTTCTAATTCCTCCTTGGTCTCCCTCTTGCTCAACAGCAGACCTAGACTCCAACCTTATTGAGGTCAAGATTGTCTAAAACGTGTTTCCTCAACTCCTCCAGACATCATTTCAAAAATCTCTCTGGATCTTCATTTCCGTTCATTCAATCTTGTCTTGGAGGAATGGATGTTTTTCCCCCTGTGAAGATGAATCCCTCTATGTACTTCTCATTCGATCCTTCCTTATCACCACATTACCTTGTCTCTCCTGCCCTTTTACATCTCCATTGTTGGCTCATTGGGCATAAGAACATGTTCAGAAAACTACACACAAGAATGTGGATAAACCTTCAAAATGTTGAGCAAAAGAAGCAAGACACAAATATACATATGGTATAACTCCATTTACAAAAAGGTAAAAGCCAGGCAAAAGTAAACTATAGTGTTTAGAGATACACATTGAAGTGGTGAAATTATAAACGAAGCAAGGAAGGGAGGACTTCCCTCCCTTAGGGCATGCATGCTCCTGACAGTGTTCTGTTTCCTGACCTAGGTAGTGTATGTACATAGATATTTGCTTAATGATTTGTTAAAGTGTACATTTAGTTTCTTTTTTTCCCAAGACCAAGTCTCGCTCTGTTGCCCAGGCTGGAGTGCAGTGGCGTAATCTTGGCTCACCACAACCTCCGCCTCTGGGGTTCAAGCAATTCTCCTGCCTCAGCCTCTCGAGTAGCTGGGACTACAGGCATGCGCCACCATGTCCAGCTAATTTTTGTGTTTTTAGTAGAGACAGGGTTTCACTATGTTGGCCAGGCTGGTCTCGCACTCCTGACCTCGTGATCTGCCCGCCTTGGTCTCCCAAACTGCTGGGATTACAGGCTTGAGCCACCGCACCCGGCCTAAAGTATATATTTAGTTTCTGTGTGCTTTCTTATTACATGTGTTATATTTCATCAAAACAAAACATGTTCAAGCCTTTCACTTTGAACAATCAACCAAACATTCTCTCAACCCAACTTCTCCTTAAACCACCATTCCATGTTTCTCCTTTCCTCTAGAGCTAAGTTGCTCAAAATGGTAGTGTATACTTCATTGTCTCCACAAACTTAATCCCTATGAGTTCTTAAACTCTTACAGTCTACTCCCATTAATGCCTAAAACACACTAAATCGAGATCCTCAATAATTTCATCAAATCCAGGCCGATCCGAGTCTTCACCATTCTGGAGCTCTCCATAGGATGTGACATGGTTAACATCTGGAAATTTTTTCTTAAAGCCTTCCTTGGCCGGGTGCGGTGGCTCATGCCTATAATCACGAGGATCACAAGGTCAGGATTTCGAGACCAGCCTGGCCAACATAGTGAAACCCAGTCTCTACTAAAAATACACACACACACACACACACACACACACACACACACACCTGGCCAACATAGTGAAACCCAGTCTACTAAAAATACACACACACACACACACACACACACACACACACACAATTAGCCAGGCATAGTGGCGGGTACCTGTAATCACAGCTACTCAGGACACTGAGGCAGGAGAATCACTTGAACCTGGGAGGCGGAGGTTGCAGAGCCAAGATTGCGCCACTGCACCCCAACCTGGGCGACAGTGTGAGACTCCGTCTCAAAAACAAAACAAAACAAAAGAGCCTTCCTCCTCCTATGGCTTCTGTGCCTTACCACTACCCTCACCTTTTTCATACATCTCTTTGCTCCATTGCTAACTACATTCTATGTTACATTAGGTAGCCTGTCCCCCAAGTTGCCAGTGAACCTTTTCTTGCTCTAGACTCTTCTCCTACTTCCAGGGCTTCCAAGATCAGCACTAAATAGTGGATTCCCAGAGCCCTCTCTCCTGCTTTGACTTTGCTCCCAAGTTCTAGCCCTACATTGCCAACTGGCTGATAACTACCTCCAGTGATTTAATATCTCATCAATACCTGAAATTTAACATGCTCAGAACTGAACCCCACTTTCAAACCAAATCCTTCTCCTGGATCCCCTACTTTTGCTTATGAGATGATCACTGCAAGGCCCCAAATCTCTGAGTCACCATTGACTCTGAGTCATCATCCTCTATTACTCATTTCCCAAATCCTCTGAAATCCTACATTCATCTCCTCCTTCCCAAACACACTAGCATCACCCTAGCTCTTATCATTATTAGGCTTTATCAGCACACTAACCTCTTAAATCATCTCCTTGCCACAACCTACCTTAAAACTGTATTTATGTTAAATTTTCTAAAGTATGGCTTTAATCATATCATTGCTCTACTCAAAAACCTTTAGGAATTTTCCACTTACTAAAAAGTGGAACAATTCTGCCTGTCCACCCCAGACCCTCCAGAACTCGGCTCCAATGTACTACATTAAAACATATCTAGCCGGGCGTGGTGGCTCATGCCTGTAATCCCAGCACTTTGGGAGGCTGAGGCGGGTGGATCACCTGAGATCAGTAGTTCGAGACCAGTCTGGCCAACATGGTGAAATCCCATCTCTACCAAAAATACAAAAATTAGCTGGGCATGGTGGCGGGCGCTTGTAGTCCCAGCTACTTGGGAGGCTGAGGTAGGAGAATCGCTTGAATCCGGGAGGTGGAGGTTGCAGTGAGCCAAGATCTTGCCATTGCACTCCAGTCTGGGTGAAAAGAGTGAAACTCTGTCTCAAAAAAAAAAAAAAAAAAATCTACCACTGTTTCCTGATATGAACCATAAATCTCAGTGAACTGGTCCCCCCAGTGCTCCAGGGACAGAGTCCGCCTCTTCTCCACCTGTCTGCTCCTTAAGGAACTTGCCCTTGGCCCAGCTTGCCAACATTCTACTAAACCCTATCAGGCATGGTCCCTCCTTCCTCTGAATTCCACAGTGCCTCGCTGGCACCTCTTGTGGCCTTTAGCACGTTCTGCCCCAGGTGAAGTTATTAATTGTCTATTTATTTAATCTCCTTCATGAGGCTAAAATCATACCTTACTCAAATTTGTATGCCCTGGCAGATAAGGAACAAGTTTTCTCTCCCCCATCTACTACAATGGGGGTGGGATGGGGATACACAATAATAGGCAAATCATCAACATGAATGTAATTGAATAGAAGAAAGGACAGAAGGCACATGGGACTGCCTCACAGGTCAGTCTTTCCCAAATTCTGGCATACAAGTATGTGTAATCCAAGAATAAGCCAATTTATTTGTAACTCTGTCATACAGCATAAAATGCAGCTTGGGCTATGAGAGTGAGGGGTTGAAAAGGAATAGAAAGAAAAATTTAAAAATAATCTTTAGGGAAGGCATTATATTTTACCTGAACATTACCAGAAGGCTGCACAAGATATGCAGACACTTGAAAATCATGTGTATTTATAGCCCTTCTTGTTTATATAAAGGTGCTTTAAGAAAGACCAAATGCAAGCATCTGAATTAACCTCCTTGGCTCATTTAAAATATTTTGAATTATATACCTTTAAGGAACATCATCTGTACACAGTAGGCATAGTCTCTAAGGTCAATGTCCACTTATATTCTAGGCCAGCATCCCATCACCAGTTACACTCAGAGGGAAACTGGAACTTTAGGGAAAACAGTTTATTTTTACTAAAAAATAAATAAAAAGTTAAAAAAATTTAAAAGCCCTAAGTGTTCCCAGAAAACAATACCAAAGTGCAATAGTCAAGTATGCTAAGGACTGCATCCAAAAGAGAGAAAAACAATAAATAATCTGGATATAATTGACTTTGTTCAAAGAAACACTCATGTATTTATACCACCATGGGAGAGGCAGAGACTAACTCTCGGACAGCTCAGAATTGCTTACATGAATCCAGCCCAGTGTGATGAGGCCCTGCTGATCCTGTATGAGGAAAAGTTCTTCTTCGTTCTCTGTGTTGCAGTAATCAGACCCAGCACTTTGCTTGGGGATGAGAACATGGGTAATGGTAAATTCATTCCTCATCTGCCAAAGGAGAAAACAGCTGGTCACAATTCCCTGGTGCTCATGCAACCCTGCTCCACTCCATCCCGACAGTGGAAAGGTAAGCATCTATACAAGTGAAAGCCCTTCCCACACAGCAGGAGTCCTGCCACTCAGTGGTTCACAACCTTGGCTGCTGATGCACATTGCCTGGGGTACTCTGTACAGCGACAGATGCAGAGACCAACCCCAGAACTCTGCAGCCTGGGCAAACACCACAGCCCTGAGGGAATTTCCTGCTGTGCCAAACTGCTCTGCTGAGAAGCTCTGGGTAGAGTACCATTTCTCTTCCCTTGCTCAGGTCTAAAGTTGTTGTCCTGTCACTGTTTCCTTAAGCCCTTCTCATCCTGTAAGCCTCGGCTTACATTTACTCTACTTCATTTATTTATTCATTCAGCAGTAATGGGTTCTTTAAGTGCCTCCATTCAGTGACCTTTCCTTCCTCAAAATTCCCAATACTTATACTGTACATATTTTTCAGCATGCTGGTTAGACTTTAGTGCATGTCTGCCTTCTCTCCAAAGTGACTGGGCACTTTTCGTGGACACATACTATGTGCTTTACATATTTTATATTCCCAGGTCCTACCATAAAGTAGGTACCAAAAAAATTGATATGTAGATAATGACTGGATCTTCCTACCAAGTTTAAAATTAGGTATTTCTTACTACTAGCATTAAAATAACCACTTCAATTCAATCAATCAATACAGGGTCACCAAATTCAAAGTGACATGAAATTATGCAGTCCACGGTTCCTTGGTACAAAGAGTAACTGACCCTGGATATTTTCTCTGAGAGTCACAGGATGCCAAGAGGGGAAGAAACAGTTTCGGTTCAGAGAAGAGTTTGGTTTTTTTTTTCTTTTTACCAGTTTTCCACAGAGAATTCCACATGTCTCCACTCCCCGGGCAGTGTTGGCACTGGCTAACTGGAGAAACTGTGGGCACAGCCGCCCAGGCACCACCACATGGCGCAATCCATCGATTGTGGGAACTGTAAAGGAGAAAGGAGAATAGTCTGCGACCACTGAGCCCTGCCTCCTCAAGCAGACCTCACAGCCAGCAGCCCTGGAGGAGCAACATTAAGCCACTGGGATTCCCCCAACTTCAGGCAGTGAGTAGGGATCTCATTCTAATGGCACCAAAAAAAGGGCTGTAAAGTGTCTTCTCCAATCTTGGGCCACAGCTGTAAGGAGCACATTACTTCAAGAAGAGAAAATAGTAGGCTTTAATTATTCAAGTTAAGAAAAGGGCAAACTACTACCTTAAGAAAAGTTTTCTTAAAAATAACCTTAAGAATGTAATTGGATTGTTTGTAACTCAAAGGATAAATACTTGAGGGGATGGATACCCTATTCTCCATGATGTGCTTATTTCATATTGCATGCCTGTATCAAAACATCTCATGTACCCCATAAATACATACACCTACTATGTACCCACAAAAACTTAAAAAATAAAAGTAAAAAATAAAATTTAGGGGGGAAAAAGACACAAGTTCTTGAAACATTTGGGAATTTTCTGTCAGAATCTAATACAAAGAATTAAAAAAATAACCTCCCTGCTGTGGTTTGACTGTGTCTCCCAAAGTTCATGTTTTGGAAACTTAATTCCTAATGCAAAATTATTGAGAGGTAGGATCTTTAAGAGGTGATGAGGCTATGAGGGATCTTTGTTTGCCCTTCCACCCTTCTGTCGTGGGATGACGCAGCAAGAAGGCCTTTGCCAGGCCCCTGGGTCTTGGACTTTCCACTCTCCAGAACTATGAACCAAATAAATTTATGTTCATTATAAATTATCCAGCCTCAGGTATTCTGTTATAGCAGCACAAAATGGACTAAGACACTGCCCATTCATCTGAACTTTTAATTTTAAATCTCTTTTATCTCAGATAAGAATATCAGAGTATGACTTTAAAAGAAATACACTGGTGTATATTCTTGAGAATGGAAAACAATCTGGGCAGTTATTTACTTCTGAACTTACTCTTCTGGAAGAAGTTAAATGCCAAACCACAACAAAATAAAAAATACAGTGTAGTCCCCCAAAAAAGGCATGAACAAAGCAGCTCATAAAAAATGCCAAGAATGGACCCAGTTTCTGAACACCATGGAGAAACTCTGTGAGACAGCCAGCAAGCTAAAGTTAGGAAGTGTCTCTCACAGCTATATTTTCATATTTAAAAAAAAAAAGTGGGAGGGGAAAGATGTTCTGCTTTTGCGTATTCAACAGCAAGATCTGAATTGCTAGAGAGGTAACAAAGTCAGAGCAGGGGACACAGAGTCACACAGCAGTCTGATGATGTTATCTGAGGATTATGAATTCGGTTTGGCACATTCTTTTCCTTTCACTAAAAAGTTGACAGTCTGACTTTCAAGAATAATATTAGCTCTTCAGAAAATCGACCAGACTAGGTTTCAGCAAAGGCCACTTTTATAACATAGCCAGTGTATTAGGACACAGTACAGCAATACTTATCAGATGGGTTTCTGTGACCAAAGCTTAATGAGTGGGATCAGGGAGGTAATCTTAGGTTGACCCCGTCAGAATGATACTGTTTGGCTGCAACTGAGAAGGAAGAGGACATCAGCAAATGCACTTACTACTTTCTGAGTTGCTCAGTGCTCCAGGTTTCAAGGACCTGTCCACCACAGGTGGCTTAGCTGGCCTTACAGTTGTGTGACAGTCTGAAGGCTGTATGGATGAGACTGTTAAGGTGGGGAACACATCTAAGGAGGGCTTCTCCAAGTCAGGCACTAGCGGGCCACCTAGGCCAGGGTCTACCTTCCCAAACTCCTGTACAATTTTCAGTCGCTCTTTTTCTAGCTCCTGGTTCCGGATCATCTCCTCGAAGGCATGGAACTGTTCCTGTTCCAATTGCTGCTGCTTCTGTTGTGCTACCCTCTGTTTTTCCTTTTCCAGCTCTTGCTGGATGGCCATGTTCCGGGCCAATTCCTCTGCTTCCTTCTTCTACAAAGAGAGAAAATTTAGGCTAACACTTCACACCTCAGTGACTTCACACTTCAGGAGAACAAGGCTTTTTAGCATGGAGATTTCCAAAATGTACTTCTGCTGTGGCCTGATTACCTAACACAGAATTCATGCTTTCCTCAGTATCTTTATACCCACGGAGTGTAGTCACCACCCCTTTCTATCTGGCCACAGTATACCTATCTCCAAGGACAATTAAAATCCCAATCCTCTCAATACCCTCCCGACAATGACTCTACCTAATGCACTTTCCTCTTCACTGAAATCTTTTTTTTTTTTTTTTTGAGACAGGGTCTCATTCTGTTTCCCAGGCTGAAGTGCAATGGCATGATCACAGCTCACTGCAGCCTTGACCTCCCAGGCTCAAGCAATCCTCCCACCTTAGCCTCCTGAGTAGGTGGGACCACAGGTGTGCACCACCACACCTGGCTAATTTTTGTATTTTTTGTAGAGACAGGGTTTCGCCATGTTGCCCAGGCTAGTCTTGAACTCCTGGGCTCAAACAATCTGCCCACCTCGGCCTCCCGAAGCGCTGGGATTCCAGGTGTGAGCCACAATGTCTGGCCTGAAATCTTGATGCAACTTACTATCTGTGTTCTCCTAACCTGTATCACAGACAGTTTTATTCTTCTCTCTGTGTCATGTACATATTCTATATTTCAAGTAAGGCTATAAAATAGAACCAGATCCAAACTTATACCTGCTATCTTGGGGGTCTCTACTGAATTTTTTTTTTTTTTCTTAGAGAGTCTCACTCTGTCACCTAGGCTGGACTGTAGTGGTCAATCATGGCTCACTGCAGCCTCAATCTCCCTGGGCGCAGGTGATCCTCCCATCTCAGCCTCCCGAGTAGCTGAAACCAGAGGTGCGTGCCACCACACTAATTTTTGTATTTTTTGTAGAGACCCAGCTAATTTTTGTATTTTTTGTAGAGATGGGGTTTCACCATGTTGCCCAGGCTGGTCTCGAACTCCTGGGCTCAAGCGATCACCCACTTCAGGCTCCCAAAGTGCTAGGATTACAGGCATGAGCCACCACGTCTTGCCTTCTACTGAATTTTAACCCAAAATGAGGCCTCTGAAATTTTTATGGTTTTTGTGCATTTGTTCAACACAGAGTGACATTTTAAGCTAATAAGAAATACTTGAGAGGCATTTGGATTAAAAAAAAAAAGAAAGAAAGAAATGCTAAGTAATAACCTCCTCCTTAAAGCTTACACTCACTTGGTGCTTTAGAAGTATATACCTCATAGCTGTTCATCCCTCTGCTGATTTTCAACATCAGAGTCCAGAATAGAGACCAGCAGACAGCTACACAACAGCCTGTGAGTGGCTGCAGTATGTATTCACAGCTGGCCACTGACAGCGCCCTGGCAGTTTCTCCACATGTTTTAACTGACTTCCTAAAAAGAATCATTTGAAAATAGCTTGAAATGGCTGGGTGCAGCGGCTCACGCCTGTAATCCCAGCACTTTGGAAGGCCGAGGCAGGCGGATCACTTGAGGTCAGGAGTTTGAGACCATCTTGGCCAACATGGTGAAACCCCATCTCTACTAAAAATACAAAAATTAGCCGGGTATGGTGGCGGATGCCTGTAGTCCCAGTCACTCGGGAGGCTGAGGTAGGAGAATCACTTGAGTCGGGGAGGCAGAGGTTGCAGTGAGCTGAGATCGTGCCACTGCACTCCAGCCTAGGCGACAGAGTGAGACTGTCTCAAAAAAAAAAAAAAAAAATAGCTTGAAAAGTCAATTCTTATAAATAGCTTCAGGTATAACCAAATGTGAATCCAACCCTCAAATTCTCTGATCTAAAAACCTATGTTTTGGAGAGAATGTTCATTGTTCTTATGATTCTCACTCTAGACATAGCAGGTAGGCGACAGATTTTCTGTCCCTCAAGTCACTCTCTTCGACAAATAGGCTATATCTGTGTTACAACCCTGAGCCTAACCACTGGTGTTCTACTTTTTTGAGTTTCTGGTCTTTGCCCAAAAAAGGTGAAACAGCACATTAAAAGCACAGGATATATTGAAATGTCATATTACAATCCCAGGGCACAGCCTAAAAAAGCAAAATAATTTTCTTCTTAGCTGTTATATACTGACCTTTTCTTCATTATATTCTGTATATTCTTTGGTATATCGTTTTAACAGCTCTGCCTTCAGCTCTTCTGCTTTGGGAAATGCAATCTCCTTTAATTTCTGAGACACAAAACAGAAAATAGAATTAGAACAATGCCAGAAAATTACAGAATCCAAAAGAAGACTTAAGTCAAGTTGGTGACTGCAACATTTCCCAAAATGATTTAAAATACCCCCTACTGTACCATACCTGCTACTTCAGAACTGTTGTGGTGAAATGGCCTTATCTCCTATTGCAGGATCTGGTACTCAGATGCAGAGACTACTACTTTTATCTTGAAGTCAGTCTGTGCTGCTCTGAAGCTTTTAGATGGGCAACAATGAAAGTGAAGACCCACCTTTACTGTGTCTTTCTTTTCAGGAATGACAGCAGATTTGTAATCTCGATGTTTTGGTAGTTTCTCAATAAAGAGCCTAAGGAAACAGTTCAAAATGATTATGAAGCAAATGGTCCAAATGTCCATAAGACCCTAAAGCTATGCAACCCCCTTATCCTGAAGCCCTTATATGAAAGGTTCCAGAAGTGCAGCGGAGGGAGAGCTAATACACCCAGCTGGGCCATGCTCCTTTCCCATCTCTATCCCCCTAAAGAGCCAGAGTCTTTTCCTCTACTCCCAAACTAGGCAGCAAGCACCAGACTCCTACAATGAAAAAGATGGCCAAAAAAATTTTAAAAAGCCTTTCTTGTGCCCAAAAATGTACCTCCAAAGAAAGAGATCTTTTTCTTGTTGTGACGTGACAGGTTTTCAAAGGAAAGGGCTTCTGTCACATAGCAGTCTTCAGAGAACCGTTTGGCAGCCATGGGCAGGAAGCAAGAGAAAACCATGTTTCCTTACTCCTTCTAGCTCTTATGTAACCTTTAACTTTGGCTTTTTTCCTTTGGGATTCGTGTTCCTTCAAAGAAGAATACTACTTTGCATCATACAAAAATGCATGGAAATACTTAGTGCATGTGTTCTATGCATGTAGTATGTGCATATTACATGTTAGCATGCACTGTCTTTGATGAAAAGTGCTTAGGTAAATATAAGATGCTAGATTTCATCTTTTGGTTCTTGTCCATGGCTCTAAAGCTCAGTGGGGAGAATAAACTTAATTAATTCACAAATCTCTAACATTTAAGACATCTACTTAGGGGCAGTGAAAATAAATAAAAGTCCAGTAACCTGTCACAGAAAGAAAGTGGCAGATTCAGAATTTCAGTATGAGCAGGCTGGCTCCAGAGCCTATTCTTTTAACCACTACACCATACTTCTTCCATACGGATTCTGGAATGTCTAGAACTACTGGAGGGATTCTGAACAAAGATGTCTTTTAACAGAATTAAGTTGTAATACACAGAAACTGAGATAAAAAAATAAATTGAAGGTAGCTTGCTGATAGCTCTAAAATATTATATTGTAATTGGGATAAACTCTTTTCTACTTACTGCCCATGGGGCAGAAGTAATTGGAAGAAGAATCCTCAATAAAGAAAAAAGATGATCCCCACCAAAACAAACTTTCTAAAGATAAGTCCTCATCCTTCAGTTCTATATTAGGCACACAAGTTTCATTTTGATCCAACTTGATAAGGCTCCTCAAGGCAGGGATGGACTCTAAAATAAAAATGGTTCTTTAAAAAGCTTCCTTTTGGGTTCATGAAGAAGATATAAAAGAGGCTGGGTGCGGTGGCTCATGCCTGTAATCCCAGCACTTTGGGAGACCGAGGCAGGAAGACTGCTTGAGCCCAGGAGTTCAAGACCAGCCTGGGTAACAGGGTGAGACCTTGTCTCTATTTATATTTTTTAATTTATATATATATATACATATATATATATACATACACAAACATATATAACAAAACATAAAAAAACACAAAAATTAGCTGGGTGTGGTGGTATGCATCTGTAGTCCCAGCTGCTTGGGAGGCTGAGGCAGGAGGATCTCTCGATCCCAGAAGTCTGAGGTTACAGTGAGCTTTGATCACACCACTGCACTCCAGCCTGGGTGACAGAGGGAGATCCTATCTCTATTTGGAAAAAAAAAAAAAAAAAGAAAGATATAAAACAGTTTCCTTGAAGTCTATATTTAAAAGAAATACAGATTCATTTGTTCAAACCATAAAGTCCTGAAGAATCTATTAAGATAAATAAGACATATTTCTTATATTTTAGAGACTGATAGATGATTCAGTAGAACTCTCATCTTAGCCCCAAAAGCCAAGATACATATTAATATTTACTACCTTTAGCAGGCTGAATGTGCTTTGTATTGAGGCCTGAATCAGCTAAGAAAGTACTATGTCATATAAACACTATGTTTTATTTTTACTTATGCTCTTATTATAGAACTACACTGCGAGCTTCCTGAGGCCAGAGATTTCTGTGTTTCATGCTTCTTTGTATACTCCTTGGAAGCCAGCACAGTGCCTTGTATAAAGAGGCACTCAATAAATATTTGATGAGTAAACATTACATATATGTACAAGTATGTACATATACACAGTAAGTCCTTAATGTTGATAGGTTCTTGGAAATTGTGACTTTAAGCACAATGACATATAACAAAACCAACTTTACCATGCACTAATTGACATAAACAAGAGTTAAGTTCCTTTGATCTATCCTGGTCACAAAAACACCAGACTTCTAAATACAGACCAAAACACTTCTAATATTAAACACTGAAATAAATATGAGCTATACATACATTTAAGAAAGACTTATAAAAACAAGTAAGTAAATGATTTACCTGCCTATTCAGTCCCAGGTGGCCAGAGTCCATCCCAGCAGCTCAAGGCCAAGGTGGGAACCAGCCCTGGAGAGGATGCCATCCCATTGGCATCACACATACACTTGCACTCACTCAGACTGGGGACAATTCAGACATGCCAGTTCACCTAATGTGCAGACCTTTGGGGTGTGGGAAGAAACTTGAATACCCGGAGAAAACCCACACAGACATGGGGAGAATGTGCAGACTCCACACAGACAGTGGCCCCAGGCAGGAATGGATTTTTCTTTTCTCATCAACATTAAAACAAAACGACATTGGACAAAACGACATTATTTGACAACCTGCCGTATTTAGCCTGCCGTATTTATTTACTTTGCTTTGTAAGTATACAAAGAAACAGGAAGTATACACAGAAATGAGGGCAGGGGTAATAGAACAGATAAGAGTAGGTGTGAAACTTTTCACCAAGTACCTCTTTATATTACTTTGACTTTGAGCCATGTAATGGAAATCTAGTTTATAAGTAAAAAAACAAAAACAAAAAACAAACAAAAAAAACCTCCCAGACCTGTACATGAATAGCTTTCCCTTGCTTCAACAACTGTAGCCAGTTTTCTGAATGGGGATAGATGGGCAAAAAGGTCTCCTGAAACAGACAATGGGCAACATACCCCATTACTCATACTGGAGGTAAAAGAACTTAGTGGTTAGTAGGGCTGGCTCTGGAGCCACTGTGCCTGGGCTCAAATCCTGGTTTTGCCATTTACTAGCTATGTGACCTTGGGCAAGTCACTTAATCTCACCATCCCTCAGTTTTTTGCAGGGGTGTCCAACCTTTTAGCTTCCCTGGGCCACACTGGAAGAAGAACTGTCTTGGGCCATACATAAAATACACTAACACTAACTAGCTAATGAACTTTTAAAAAGGTGATATCTGCTACCATAGATAAGCAAAAAAGTCCTTGCATTCAAAGGGTTGGACATGGCTGATATCCTGTCCATAAAATTGTAGAGATGGAGACAAACTAGTACTCCCTGACAGGCTTGCTGTGACACTTAAAGAGATAATAAAATGCTAAACACGGTATCTAGAACATAGTCAATATTTGCTATGGGTTTCTATGATTTTTTTTAACTAATAAACAAAAAATGTGAGCAAGAATAAGAGATGAAGATGCTAACACCAGCATCATATACAGGTTTGGGAGTTTTTTCTTTACTTATAAACTAGACTCCATTACATGGTTCAAAGTTCTATCCCTAGAAACTTTCTAAGGATAGAAAGCGGTGGCCCAGATGTATACTGTTCTCTGGGGTTATATCTGGTTGAAGCCTGGAGAGAGGAAAGGTACCAAAGCAAACAAAGATATGATTGCAAAAACACAAGCAAAATGACCCAATAAACAATGAAAAAAGAAGACATAAGCAGAAAAGTAAATACAAAAGATGAATATATGCAATAATGCTGAATCCACTCATAATTAAAGAAATTCAAATTAGGATGAGATACCATTTTCATCCATCGGATTGGCAAAGGCGTAAAGGTTAATTATACCTGGTAGAGAAATGGGACTTAAAGGTTGATCATACCTGGTATAGAGAAATGGGATACCCATACAGTGTTAGCAAGATTGTAAATTAATATAACCTTTCATCTTAAGGGAGGGAAAATGGAAGCTAATTATTCAAAATTTAAAACGTGTATATCCTTTATTTTTAATTTGTACTATTTATTTTTTTTTTGATTTATTTATTTTTTTTTTTTTGAGACAGAGTCTTGCTCTGCCGCCCTGGTTGGAGTGCAGTGGGGCAGTCTCGGCTCACTGCAACCTCTACCTCCCAGGTTCAAGTGATTCTCCTGCCTCAGCCTCCCGAGTAGCTGCGATTAGAGGCACCTGCTACCACGCCCAGCTAATTTGCGTATTTTTAGTAGAGATGGGGTTTCGCCATGTTGACCAGGCTGGTCTCCAACTCCTGACCTCAGGTGATCTGCCCGCGTCAGCCTCCCGAAATGCTGGGATTACAGGCGTGAGCCACCGCATCCAACTTAAAATGTGTATATCCTTTAAACTCACAATTCTATCTCTAGGAATTTATCCTAGAGATCATTATAAAACAGTACAAAGATATATGTATAAAAATATTCAATACAGCATTGTTTTAAAAAGTAGAAAAAACTGAAAAAAAAAAAAAAAACAAACCCCTAAATGTCCATCAATAGGGGATTGTTTAAAAAATAATGTGCATTCAAATGTGAAGACAATGTAATCATTCACCCATTCATTCAGTGAATATTTACTGAGCATCTACTACAGGGTCCAGAATTATTCTAAAGGTTGGGGATATGGCAGTGAACAACACAGTCAAATATTCCTCCCCACCATAGAGTATACATTACAATGGGGGAACAGACAATAAACAGAAGTATGCTAGGAAAGTCATTAATAGGGAAGGGGGATAGAAAGGGATAGGGGAATGGTTGAAATTTTAGATACAGCAGCTAAGGAAGTCATCATTAAGAAGGAGGCATTTGAGTAAGGACTAGACAAGAGTGAGCCATGAATCTGGGACTGTTCCAGATTCATGTTCCAGGCAGATGGAATAGCTCTGAGGCAGAATGAGATGGCTCAGTATGTCCTGATATGGAAAGACACTACTGTGAAGAAAGCAAGTCGCAGAACAGAATACGTGGTAAGATCCCATTGATGCTTTAAGGAAAAGGACACATGGGGGCACCTATGAGCTTAATCACACCTCATCCATGCCAGAAATACAATAGTGGCCACCTCTGATAGATGAGACTTCTCTTTTCACTTTAATATCTCCCTTGTAGTGTTTGAAAAATTTTTTAAATCGTGAATAAGTGTTAATTTTGTATGAAAACAACTAATTCAAAAAGTCAAGCAAAGGTTCTTTAACATGGATGCATTAAGGATCCTCATCTCGATTCTTCCAGTCTTAAAAGTTACTCAGCATGGTAAGCATGATCACAGATGGAACCTTCTTCAGTCTATAAACCCCAATCCCAGCAAACATTTTCAACACAGGTGACAGTTCATTTTCAGAAAAAGGGTTGGTGTTCCAGGAGGCTCACATAGCACACAGGAATTGCCTGAATACTCTCACTCCCTTCTGGGCAGCCTAGTTGATGACCATAAAAAGCTGTGAAAGAATCCACTGCCTGGTTTATTGTCTGCGCTCATCATGAAAATATGTACTGATTTAATATGCTGAACTCTTTCTTCTATACTGGGGTCTGCAAAAGGCAAAGCATTCCTACATTAGGGAAGCTACTGAGGGGGGAAATATGCCTGAGATCATTAAGATGCCTGAACTGCTCCAGGAAAAGGAACAAACATGCCTTTTAAAACCCTGAAGTAAAGAAAGTATCCACAAAAGGTCTAGAACAATGATTCTCAGTAGTAGGGGAGGCAGAGGAGTGGTGAGGCAGATGTATACTCCCCTCTCTTTTCTCCTCGGTTGTAGTAACTGCCAAAGCTGAGCCACTGTTATTGATAGGAATGTACTAAGTAAAATACAACAGAAAACAGACTGAGAATCAGTGAGCTAGAATTTGTTTGCAATTGCTGTGATTTTCTGTTCACAGAATCAGAATCAGAATCAAGATTTTAAAGGTATCTCCAAGAAAAGTGAAGGTAGCTACATTAATTACTTCAGGTAAGGCCAATACAACAAAATTCCAAATTAAACTCTAAATCCCACAAATCAAGTAAATGAGCTGCTAAATCTCATCCGCACCAACTCTCCTAGTAGTTCATCATTTTAAGTGGTCCTATAAGTGACAGGGACAAACTCCCCATATCAGTCTTGCTGTTAACACTAATATGTCACTCAAAATAACACTAAGTGTCATAAAAAACAATTCCTTAGGCATCCATGTACTCTTAATCCTATCCCCTCTTGACTTCTGAGGAGTTTATTAGTACAGCTAAGCTCTCTTCTGGACTGTTAGCCTCTCCTCCTCCATAAGATCCTTTTCCATCAGCAAAAACATGCTCTAAAATCTCCTAACTTAAAATACATACACATGTTCACACGCTCCTTGTCCCCCATCAACTACTTCCCCATTTTTCTACTTCCCTTCCCATCTAAACTTCTCCAAAGAGTTGTCTATACCGGGGTTGGCAAACTACAGCTGGTGTGCCAAATCCAGCTAGCCATCTGTTCTTGTAAATAAAGTGTCATTGGAACCAGTCACATCCATTCATTTATGTGTTGTCTATGGCTACTTTCACACTATAAAGCAGAGGTAGTCACAGACACAGCAAGTAGCCTACAAAACCAAAAATTTTTACTCTCTGGTCCCCTATAGAAAAAAATTTGCCACTTTCAGGTCTATACCCTTTGCCTCCACTTTCTTACTGTCCATTCACCTTTCTACCCGTTCTAATTAGGGTCTCTGTAATCCTTCTAGCGAAATTGCTTATGAAGATCACCCATGACATCATCTTACCAAACCCAAAGGCCAATCTTCTGTCTTCACCCATCTGACATAGGTGGCTACTCTCCTTTTTCAAACACTAATTTATTTTGGCTCCCATGACACAACACCATTCTCTCTTGGATTTCCTCCTGCCTCTTGAACCTCCCTTCAAAGAAAGTCTCCCCTATTGACTCTCCCTCCATTAACTAACCTCAGGGCTCAGTCCTAGGCTCCTTCTCTTCTCATTCCCTAGCCTTATTAACAAAGATACTTGATCTTTTATGTTCCATGGATCCTTCTGGCATCTGGTGAAGCCTATGGACCCTTTTCAGAACAATTTTTTTAAGGTATAACTTAAAGTACAAAGGATTACCAAGAATACCCCAATTTTATGGAAAAACAGTTTTCAAAAATTTTAAAAATTGTGATATATTCTTCTGTATTAATGTGTTCTTTTTTTTTTTTTTTTTTTTTTTTTTTTGAGATGGAGTCTCGCTCTGTTGCCCAGGCTGGAGTGCAGTGGCGCGATCTCGGCTCACTGCAAGCTCCGCCTCCCGGGTTCACGCCATTCTCCTGCCTCAGCCTTCTGAGTAGCTGGGACTACAGGCACCTGCCACCATGCCAGGCTTATTTTTTGTATTTTTAGTAGAGATGGGGTTTCACCATGTTAGCCAGGATGGTCTCGATCTCCTGACCTCGTGATCCGCCAGCCTTGGCCTCCCAAAGTGCTGGGATTACAGGCGTGAGCCACTGTGCCCGGCCTAATGTGTTCTTTATCAATGCATTTGATAATGGGATCTAGCTGTAGGTCTAATAATTCTGTACTGTAATTCTGAAGTAGTGATGTTTAGATGCTATTTTGAGATGTCAGCAACAACTGTAATGCAATATGAAAATATCTTGATTTCTACTGGTGACAAAATTACAAATATTACTACTACTGTACTTTGAGGCCTACATTCAAAATGGAAGGAAATGCTAAATTTCAGTCACTGGTTAGAAAAAACAAGAAAAGTTTTTCCTATTCCGGTTCACAGATCCCCTGAATTCTATCAATGAATCTCTGTGAGGTTCCTGGACCCCAGATTAAGAGCCCCTTCACTAGAAAATCTCAGGCATTCTCAGGCCCTTCTCTGCATGCCTCAGGAATCCTGAGCCCCGGGGACCTAGTCCTACAGGGCAGCAGGCCAGGCCTAAGCCTCCATTTCTTCCCCAGCCCCTGGCCCAGGGGTTGAAGTGGAGATGGCAGCCCCTCCCCAGTGTGCATGCACCTCTGCTGGCAGGAGGCCAAGCCTCTGGCCGCAGGGCCTAAGAGCTGGGCTTACTCAAGCTCAGCTGAGGCCACCCTCTGAGCCCCAGGGAGGAAGAAGGCCCTGTTCCCCAGCCGGCGGCCACTGCTCTCCCTCCCAGCCTCTAGTCTCTGACCCTTAGCAGTGCCGGGCCAAGCGGAGTGTTCTCACCAGTCATCTGCAGGCTTTAGCCATCCAGCCCTTTCCCCTGCTCAGGGCTGGGGCTGGACAGGGTCTATTCCTCCCACAGCTCCCTCCTCCACCCCTCACATACACAACTTCTTGGCCCAGCCAAGCAAGTCTAGGCCACAGAATGGCACCAGAGGGGTCTGTGGTCAGCCACCCCACCTTGAGGGCAGCGCGGGCACCACGGGGTGGAGGGGAGGGGGAGGCTGCCGGGAGCCTCCAGATGCTGCCTGCTGGCCTGCAGGAGAGCCCTGCAACAGCTGCTGCTCCTGCCTCGGCAATCGCCTCACCTCCTCCACCCCAGCCCCCATTCGGAGGTTCCGACGACGGGCCAGCCCTTGGCTGCTCACAACTGATTCAGTCTCCCTCCTTCACACGGGGAAAGCACAGCAGGGATGTGTGGAAAGAATGTACCTGTAGATGTGTACATACCACAGTGCTGTAATTTTGTATGTAGCAATCATGTAAATACATGTATGGATTTTATTATATACATATATAAAAATCTCTAAAGGCGTATTTTTAGAAAAACAGCGCACCACTGCTTCTTTTGAAAATAGTCTGAATAAGAATAAAATTAATTTCTACAGCAGAAAAAAAAAAAGAAAAAGAAAATCTCAGCCATTCTCATGACTTCAGAACCATCTGTATGCTGAGGACTCCCTTGTCTGTATTTCCAGCCCAGACCTCAGTCTTCTGAGTTCAGACTGGTACATTCAACCTCCCACTTGACATCTCTACTTGGATATCTCACAGGCATCTCAAATTTTAACATGTCAAAAAAACCCCAAACGTGAACGGTTAAATTCCCCCGCTACCCAGCCCTCTTTAGAGGGCTTTTCCCATCTCAATACATGGACTACCCTATCGTTTAAGTTGTTCAAGGCAGAAACACGACATCAACCTCCGCAGTATCTTTTTTCCTAAGTGATTAGTAAGTCCTATGGACCTGACCTCCAAAATACCAAATCCATCTGTCTCTTTCCATGTTGCCACACTACTTCAAGCCACCAGCCTGCAAGAATTTCCTAACTACTCTCCCTGCCTTCTCTTAACGCTTGCTCCACCATTTACCACACAACTGCCAAAATTTATACTTTAAATATTGATTGGGCATGGAGGCTCACACCTGTAATCCTAGCACTTTGGGAGGCTGAGATGGGAGGATCGCTTGCATCCAGGAGTTCGAGACCAGCCTGGGCAACATTAGTGACATCTCTTTTTTTTTTTTTTTTTTGAGACCGAGTCTCGCTCTATCACCCAGGCTGGAGTGCAGTGCCGCGATCTTGGCTCACTGAAACCTCTGCCTCCCGGGTTCATGCAAGTCTCCTGCCTCAGCCTCTCGGGTAGCTGGGATTGTAGACGTGGGCCACCACGCCCGGCTAAGTTTTGTATTTTTAGTAGAGATGGGGTATCACCATGTTGGCCAGGCTGGCCTTGAACTCCAGGGTGGCCTCCCAAAGTGCTGAGATCACAGGCGTGAGCCACTGTGCCCGGCCGAGACCTCATCTCTTTTAAAAAACAGTAAGTAAATTTAGGTCTGAATCCCACTTAAAACTTTTCAATGGCTTGCTGTTACCCTCAAGATAAAAAACAGACTCCTTACCATGGCCCATAAAGTCCTGCATGATCCAGCCCCACTTGCCTCTCCAGCCTTACCTGGAGTCATCTTGCTTTTCTCTGGCTATACTCCAAACACAATGATCTTTCAATCCCCAGAACATGCTAAGGTCTTTCCCATCTAAGCACTTCTAAACACATAGTTACCTGTGTTTTAATGCTCTGCCCTATGCTCTTGGAATGACCAACTGTATTGCATCCCTCAAGTCTCAGCTCAAATCTTGTCTTCTCAGACAGACCTTACCCTGACTACTCTAGTCATAAACCCCTGCTTATTCTCTATCACAGTACTCTTAAGTATTTTCCTTATTTCGACTACAGCTGACTTTTGGACAACATGGGTTTCAATGGTGTGGGTCCATTTATACACGGATTTACTTCTGCCACTGCCGCCCCTGAGACAGCAAGACCAACCCCTCCTCTTCCTCAGCCTACTCAACATGAAGATGACGAGGATGAAGACCTTCATAATGATCCACTTCCACTTAACAAATAGTATCTATATTTTCTATTCTTTATGATTTTCTTAATAACATTCTCTATTCTCAAGCTTACTTTTCTGTAAGAATATAGTACATAATACATACAATATATAAAGTATGTGATAACTGACCATGTTATCAATAAGGCTTCCAGTCAAGAGTAAGCTATTAGTAGTTAAGTTTCTGGGGAGTCAAAAACTTTATATATATATATATATATATATATATATATATATATATATATATATATATTTTTTTTTTTTTTTTTTTTTTTTTTTTAAGACATGATCTTGCTCTGTCCCCAGGCTGGAGTGCAGTGGCGTGATCTCGGCTCACTGCAACCTCCACTTCCTGAGTTCAAGCAATTCTCCTGCCTCAGTCTCCCAAGTGGCTGGGGTTACAGGCACCCGCCACCACACCAGGCTAATTTTTGTATTTTTAGTAGAGACGGGGTTTCACCATGTTGACGAGGCTTGTCTTGAACTCCTGACCTCAAGTGATCCATCCACTTCGGCCTCCCAAAGTGCTGGGATTACAGGTGTGAGCCACTGTGCCTGACCATATGTATATTTTTGATTGCATGGGGGATTGGTGCTAACCTCTGTGTTGTTCAGGGGTCAGCTGTATTTATTTGCTTATCTGTTTATTGTCTTCTCCCATACCTATAAAGGAACACCAATAAGGACAGGGGCCATTTTACTCACTGCTGTTCAGGACCTAGTGCAGTGCCATGTAGACAGCAGGTATACTCAATATACATGTGTTGAATGAATATGGTCTTTGCCCTGAAAGCCCTTTCTATTGTGGGGCAATAGGATTCTGAAGGCCCTTCAGGAAATACCTGGTGCAGTGATTCCATGATTCTACTGAACTTTCTGAATTAGTGTTTCTCCAAAGGAATTGTGCCCCTGGGTTTCATTCTGAGAGAACAATCTACAAGCTTATAGGAAATACATAAGAATATTCTTTCTACCAAGAATATATAAAGAAGACAGGGTCAAAAAAACTGTGCAGGAAAATAAATAGTGTGCCTAGGAATGAAAAACTCATAACAGCAAACAGAAGCAGAAATATAATTATAATTTTATGAAACCTTAACAACATTGAGGCCACATGACATGACATAATGGCATTAAAGAACTACAGATCTTTAAGGAAACAGGTGTTAAGTTAAAGCTGCCTCCAAAGATAGTGAACTGTAACCTAATTTAATGTATAAACAAACTGTAACTTAACATAAGAGTTAGGTTACAAGTGTAACAAATAGCTGAGTCTCAGCCAATCATAGCAGCTGAAACCTCCAGCCAATTGGAGGCTAAAGCCTGCCAAAACATGACCAAATAAGGCAAACACATAACTGTAGCCAATCAGGCTATTTCTGTATCTCATTTCCTTTTCTCTGACTATAAATATAGCCTGCACAACCTCCACTATGGGGTGGAACATTCTGCACCACTTTTGGTCCTGAGTGTTCCCTGAACCTTTTTCTACTGGATTAAACTCTGTTAAATTTAACTTGTCTAAGGTTTTCTCCTCTTAACACAGGCAACACTTCTAAATAAAAAAGACAATAGCAGTCCCATTTCTCCACTCTACAATTACAATATGAATCCTAGACAGTCCATTCTTCCGCATACTTTCCTTTGGAGCACTGGTTCTCAGAGGTGATTCTGCCCCTGGGAGAACATCAGATAATGTCTGGTGACATTTTTGGTTGTCACACTGCGGGGAGGGGGGATACTGGCATCTGGTGAGCAGAAACCAGGGATGCTGCTAAACATTCTGTGACACACAGGACAGCTCCCACCACAAATAATGATTCAGTCCAAAAGGTCAATAGGGCCAAAGTTGAAAAGCCCTGCTTTAGAGGAGTATGTGATCAAAAACTTAATGTGATAAAACTGGTATGTGTATATCATCTCTTGGAAGATATCTAAGAAACTACTAAGAGTGGTTGTCTCTGGGGAGAAGCACTGAGGGTTTGGGGGGAAAAGAGGAGTGGGTGGGGAGACTTTTTTTTTTTTTTTTGAAACAGTCTCGCTTTGCCACCTAGTCTGGAGTCCTGGAGTGCAGTGGCACGATCTCGGCTCACTACAACCTCTGCCTCCTGGTTTCAAGCGATTCTCCTGCCTTAGCCTCCCAAGTAGCTGGGATTACAGGCACACGCCACCATGCCCGACTAATTTTTGTATTTTTAGTAGAGATGGGGTTTTGCCATGTTGGCCAAGCTGGTCTTGAACTCTTGACCTCAGGTGATCCGCCTGCCCTGGCCTCCCAAAGTGCTGGGATTACAGGCGAGAGCCACTGCGCCTGGCCAAGACTTACTTTTTAACTATAGTTATTCTTTTGTGCCTCTGAATTGTGCACCATATATATGTGTATATATATATATATATATATATATGTTACCTACTCAAAAATCAGTAGTAAAATAAATAACAAAAAAATAGCCAGTGTGGCTCATGACTATGATCTCAAAAGACTACCTCTGACTCTAGAACATTACTAAATGGAAAACAAGAAGAACAGGACCTATGTTGTAGAACAAATCCTGAATTAGGAGTCAGAAAACCAAGGTTTTGTCACTTCAAACATGAGCATCCACCAAACACTGAGTTTGTTTCCTCATATGTAGAATGTAGGGTAGTGTACCCTATTCCATGCACACAGAACTGTGAAGATCAAATGAAATTATGCAGGTGAAACACACTATGAGCTACTCAGAACCAAATACATTATAATTATTTTTTAAAAAGTCCTGATATTGTGAAAGAACAAGATTAGAAATGATAAATAAGACCTTTAACATTATTTCCTTTCTAAATTATGTATCATTGTCAATGGAGTTTTAGAAGTTGTTTGCTGTTAATAGTACTGAAATCTTCTACTTATGCTGCCTACCCTAAGATGATAAATAACTTAAGGGAAAGGTCTTATTATGATGAGCCACACAAACTGTAGGCAGTTACTAATTATTTGATGATTTGCATGATTATGATAAAGGTTAAGAGGAAAAAATTTTTTCCTGTATCACTAAATTTGCTACAAAATAAGTACAAGTGAGGAATTTTGGCTCTGCTAGACCCCAACAATAATCCTATGATTGGCTGCTTTAGTAGAAAGAGAACAGTAAAAGCATTCATCAGAACATAATATGTCTAGTTTAACCACCAACTCTTTTGTCTAACAGCTGGGCTATGTGGGCATAGGCCAAAGAACTAAATCTCTTACTCATAAATTACTGAGTCATGAAAATAACACCTTCAGCACTCATGTCTTTGAACGGCAAGGACAGCCAATATGTAGGAGTTGCCAGCAAAAATGATTAATGTTGATGATATTGTGAAGTTCTGTGGTTTTAGCAATTCTGAGCCAAATAGGCGAGGCACCAGTCACCAGAAAGGAAAAAGGAAACTGTAGGTGTCTTACGTGATATACTTGTTATAGAGGATGAAGGCATGTTCAATGTTGCCTTCCTCAGAGTAAATGGATGCCATTCGGATAATCTCAACTCCAGAGCGGAAGTACCGACGGGGTGGAATGTCTTCATTCACCTCTACCGCACTACCCAGCTGGGAGAGAGCCCTCACCCGGTCTTCGGGCGGGAGGCTCACATCTCCATGGTCAGACATCAGGACCAAGTTCTGAGACAGAAAAAACAGATGGCATCAATACCGTTGCCCTCATCATCCCAGCAGTTTTACAGTTTATCTCACAGACCTCTACCTTAAGAAGAAAATATAAGAGAAACATACCAAATGCTGTGGCTCCTATTAAATAAGGACTTTCCTACAAGAAGGCTGAGACCCTCAAGGAAGCCCAAATCACAACGATGAGAGTACTGGCAGACTAGAAAACATACAACCCCTGTACCATAATTAGGTGGTATAAGGAGTAGAACCACAGTGGACCAACCAAAGGTTCAGTTCAAGTTAATCAAATCCTTTGCCATTAGGGGGCTCCGCCCACAGCACTGTAAAAGTGGGAACAGCATCTTTTATTTTCTATTATTTCTCCTTCCAGATACCCACATACCTCCACCCCAGTACCTGGCAGAGTGCACTCAGTGAACTTTCTTGAGGATTGTTAACTAACTTCAAGGTTGACCATTTTTACTTAATCTGAGAGTAACTGACATTTTCTGTGGTATCCTTTTTCATATTTGAGCACAAGGTGAGTTAGGGGAACTGGTCTGGGAATTAATGCTCATAATTGTAACTCTGCTCACTAAACCACTATAGTCAATCTATAAAATCATTCATTCATCATTATCATGGCAAGAGACTTAAATCTTGAAAACAACCATTTACTCATCTTCATAGACTAAACACTGAATAACAAAAAGGCACGATGGTAACTTGCATTGCAAAAACCCCTGGTGTCCCAAAACTCCAGTAATTCTAGTCTTTCTAGATATAGTTGCTGTTAGAATCAGATTCCAAATTCCAACCAGATATCACCACTATCATCTCCAAAATAAAACTGGGCATTTGACACACATTGCATTACAGCAAACCCTAATCAGTATGCTCTAGAATACACAAACTACAGTAGAATAAATCTTGGAATTCAAGGCCCTGTGGCAACTGGCCCTCCCCAACAGAGATCTTTTGCTTCAGTCAGGATTCCAATCCGCCCAGGCATCCTCACATTTCAGTTTCATTTATCTATCCAGTTTTTCTTTTCTACTACAACTCTTCCCTCAGGGGTAGTCTTCTCTCAGCCAATTCCATCTTTAGGTCTCTTCAATATTCGGGTCACAATTCCTCCACAAACCTTCCCCTCTAAAACACCCTCACTAATAGCACAAAAGCCGTGAGGACTACTAGGGATGCAGAGATAGTCCATCTCTCACGAGGCCTCCTTAGGGACTCAGAAAGCCGCAAGCATATCTAAAACCTCCCCAAGTAATTAGTAAACCTAGTCCACGGCCCATGAAAGTTAACTGAAACAGAGGATGCTTGTTGCATCTCAGTACCTCTTGGGAGAGGTTCTTGTGGGTTAAGAAAGGAACCACCTCCCAAGGCCAGGAAGCGGCGCCGGTTACCACCTGGTTGAGCAATTCCAAAAAGGGGATGCAGCATCTGCAAATGAGGGGGAAAGGCGGCGTAAAGGACCGAGGGGGAAATACGAGGAGGAGAAAGGAAGTAGCAGGAATGAGCGGAGGGGGCGTATACAGTAGGGAGGGCTCTATCGACAACTGCTTGAGGAACCCTTCTTGAAGGCACTCAAGACGAACTTGCCAACCCCAGGCACAATCATCCAGGGTTTTCGGGATCTTTCAAATGCAGTAGGCGGGGAACCGCTGGGCCTGGCTGGTCAGGCGCCAGCCCGCGGAGACAGAAGCCGTCGGGTGCCTCGAGCGAGGCAGGCCGGGCAGGGGACTCGGGGAGAGTAGGCTGCAGGCCCCACACTCACGGCGGCCGATCCCCTTCAAAGTCCAACCACGCTCGGAGGCCCTGCCCCACCACGTTCCCGGGACCCTTCCCCACCTTTCCCCGCGGATGACACCCGGAGGTTCCGGAAACGTCACATCCGGCGCCCGCTCCGCCCACTCCCGTTCGTCTGTCTATTACATTCCCAGTGATTTAGGACTTGGAACGGAGAGCTAGTAGGTGGGGCTAGAATCGGCACCTGCGGAAAATCCGACCAATGAGGAGCGAACGACACAGCGGCCATCTTGGTAAAGGAAAAGGAACAAGGAAGAAAGTGGAACCAATTAGCAAGCTAAGGTTTGCTTTTAAAATTATTTTGATTTGGGGTAGTCCCTCATCACACTCACAATACTCCTGCATTTAAGGAGGGATTGCTGATCCCAGCACAACTGCAGACTTAGCTAAACTAACCAGGATTTATAAATTGGGGGACAGAAAGTCTTTCGAATGTATTTTTTAGCTTGTATTACATTCTACACAAAAATTGGTAGTCTTAGATATTAGGCAATATCTAAGACTAATTTTATTGCTTAGAAAAGAACATAAGTCTAACTTTTTTTTTTTTTAAGACAGGGTCTTGCGGTGTCACCCAGGCTGTCACAGGAGTGCAGTGGTGTGATCATAGCTCACTGTGGTCTCCAACTTCAGGGCTCAAGCGATCTTCTTGCCTCTGCCTCCCAAAGTACTGGGATTACTGGCGTGTGCCACCGCACCCAGATGAGACTAACGTTTTAATGTCAAAAAACCTATAAAATATTTGGAAAAAAAGCGTTTAATCTCTAAGAGCCGCTATGCAAAAGCAGTGGAGACACAAAAATCTGTATGACACTGTTCCTGCCCTGAGACCGGGACAAGGTGGTTTTATGCATCAAATACAGAATGGCACGTTCTGCATGTAGATGTGTGTCTGTACGAATCCATATACATCCTCTTTACAAAAAGGTCCTACAAGCTTGCTAATCATTCTGTCTCAGAAGACTTTGTGAAACATTAGGCTTTGGTTTAAAAGTCTAAGTCTCTGGGGGACACTTTCCCAAAATTTGGGAGCCTCCCTGTGAGTTTGTTAGTGTGATGGCATGACCTATTCTTCAAGGTCTAGCTTAAATCCCTAATTCAGGTGTTGCCTCCTCCACCTAGCCAGCCTCCAGATCTCTCATTTCTCCCAACCTCCGTTGTGTATATTTCTGTTGGAGTTACCTGAAGTGATTTTGTGTAGTCATCAACTTTTCAGACTTAGGGTTGAAAGTACTTGCTTGCATCATATCACCTCCCCTTCTGCCCCCAGCAAGCATTAATGTGCATGGGTCTACTATCAACTCTCATGGATCTACTGCAGATAAATCTGGGAAGATAATTGTATAGGGCACTCTACTGTGTCTTCAAAACTCTCTCTACTGACTCTCTTCAGAATGTAAACATGATGGGTTGGGCCTAAAGAAATTGATGCACTGGAGATGCTGGTCATTGGGTGGGCATTATAGTGCAGATGGGGTCCTGGCAGGAGGCAACACAGGTCAAAATCTGATCCATTCAACCTCTCACTCAGTAAATGTTTACTGAGTGTCTACTATGTGCCAGGTTCTGTTCTAGGTGTTAGGGATACATCAGCAAACAAACCCAGCAGGTGGATACTCTAATGGTGGAAGCACAGGTAGAAGTACAGCTGGTGGGGTAGGGAGGGGCATCTGCTCCCATTCAGCACAATCTCTAAAGTAGTTCTTTTTTTTATAATGTTTAGCTTAACAAGTAAAGAAAATTTACAAACATCCTAGATTTTAAGATTATGATGAGAAGACTTTAAGAAGCTATAACTGAGACACACATATAAGGGGTGTGCATAGTCGTAAACATAGCTAGCGCCACATAGAGGCTGTTCCTGATATTAGAAAGTTAATATGCCCAGTTGCTAGCAGTTCTTAAGGTAATAGCTAAGTGAATATAGGAAGCAGGATCTAGTCTTTTTAGGGAGAGAATTTGTAAATGTTGACCAGAGTTTTTGATATCTGGGGCAAAGTTCAATACTCAGCTTTCTAGGGACCTGAAATAAGAAAATCTTGGCCAAGGTAAAAATTTTACATTCCTCATTTCTTGTTTAACTGGAAAAGTTTAAAAACTAAACAATTTTGTATACACAATCAGGAAATCAAAGCTATAAAAGATTCTTGGCATAACTGATGAGAATATCCTACCTACCCCTGCCCTAAAGATTGGAGGCTAAGCGTGGAAGGTATTCCTTCAGCAAATAGGCTTCAGCAGTTCACCTGGCAGACTAGACCAGGTTAGGAATTGAGATGCTCTTTCCTTCCGGTGCTCACTCCCAGCCATGAACACTTTTCCTGAATATAGCAGCCTCCATCTGGCCGCTTGCATATGCCAACGTCAGGTCTCCTGCACTCCTGCATGCTCATTCCTACTTGCTCATTTTTGGGCAGCAGCAAAAGATGCCTAGAAGGTGAAGTTCTTAATCTGAAATGTAACATCGGGGTTTAGAAAACACAGGCCTGGACCAGGTGCGCTGGCTCACGCCTGTAATCCCAGCACTTTGGAAGGCTGAGACAGGAGGATCGCTTGAGCCCAGGAGTTCGAGGATATAGTGAGCTATGATTACACCACTGCTCTCCAGCCTGGGCAACAGAGTGAGACCTCTAAAAAAACAAAACAAAACAAAACAAACAAAAAACCCAGGAGGATCACTTGAGCCCAGGAGTTTAAGGCTGTGGTGTGCTATGATCTCACCTGTGAATAGCCACTGCATTCCAGCCTGGGCAACATAGTGAGACTCCTATTGCTAAAAAGCAAAAAGAAGAAAAGGAAAAATACAGACCCAGCGGAGTTCGGGGGTCAGGGAGGGTAAAAACAAGGAAGACTCTAGGTGTATTTCACTTGCAAGGTTGGTACTCTTGTGTTAAGTGACATACCTAGAGGGACAATTGCATTAGTACAGGAAGGGCGTTCATTCTTACCTACTACAATGCATTCTTACAACAGCAGCTAATTTTTTTTTTTTTTGAGATGAAGTCTTGCTCTGTCACCCAGGCTGGAGTGCAGTGGCACAATCTCGGCTGCAACCTCCACCTCCCAGGTTCAAGCAATTCTCCCTGCCTCAACCTCCTGAGTAGCTGGGATTATAGGTGCTCGCCACCAAACTTGGCTAATTTTTGTATTTTTTAGTAGAGACAGGGTTTTGCCATGTTGGCCACGCTGGTCTTGAACTCCTGACCTCAAGTGATCCACCCACCTCAGCCTCCCAAAGTGCTGGGATTACAGGTGTGAGCCATCACGCCTGGCCACTAATGATCTTTTTAAAGCAAAAATCAGATTCCATCACTCCTCGGCTTAAAACTCTTCAGTGAATTCCCATGGCACTTGGAATAAACATCCACACTCCTTACTGGGGATTACAGAGTGACTCGGCCCCTGTTGCCTTTCTGACTTCATCTCCCAATCTCCTTGCTTAATACTCTCCACCGACACCATCCAAACATCTGCTTTTCCACTCAAGACCTTTGCATAGCTGACTCCTTTTCCTGGGATGCTTTTACCCTCATCTTCACTTGGCTGGCTCTGCCTCATCATTCATTTCTCAGTTTACATGTTACCTCCTCAAGGAGAACTTCTCTGACCACCCATTCTAAGGAGCCACCCAGTCATCCTTCATTAGTTGGTCTTATTTTAATTGTCTTGATAATCCTTACCACTGTCTGATATGATTTGGGTTGCTTATTGTCTTTCATTCCCCACTAGAATATAATTTCCAGAAAGTTAAGATCCTTTTCTGCCTTGCTCACAGCTCTATCCCCACTGCCTAGAATGGCTTGCGAAACCAGATGTGACACTCAATGAACATTGTTGAATGTTCAAATGTTGTTGAGATAAATATTGTCTCACTGTCCCCAAAATGATTTACAGGAATGTAATTAGCCAATTATGCTGATTACTGAGATGAACAATGAAAAACAATGACCGTTATGCTTTTGGGACCCACTCTTCTCTGCAAGGCACTTAGAGCTAGAAGCAGAAAGCCTAAAGGCTAGATGCCTTTATTAATTGAGCAAGTGTTTATTGAATATCTTTCAAGCTCATGGGTCTGTGTCTGGCATGGGTCTACCACAGTGAAAAAGAAAAACTGGGCGGGGCATGGTGGCTCATGCCTATAATCCCAGCACTTTGGGAGGCTGAGGTGGGCAGATCACAAGGTCAGGAGATCAAGACCACCCTGGCTAACATAGTGAAAACCTGTCTCTACTAAAAATACAAAATTAGCTGGGCGTGGTAGTGGGTACCTCTAGTCCCAGCTGCTCAGGAGGCTGAGGCAGGAGAATCACTTGAACCCAGGAGGCAGAGGTTGCAGTGAGCTGAGATCGTGCCATTGCATTCCAGCCTGGGCGACAAAGTGAGACTCCATCTCAAAAAAAAAAGAAAAGAAAAGAAAAGAAAAAAGAAAAACTGAGTTCCAGTTGTTTTAAGTCTTCCGTGGATGAAGGTTTAGAGCCATTAGAAGGAAAAAATTCTTTAAAAGATGAGCAATATTCTCAAGGGGAGGCTAGGTGAGCTCCATGCATTGAGACACTAAAACAGCCTATCTTGAACATTGCTTGGGAATGGAGGGGCTATGAAAGCAGAAATGGAGTGTGTACTAAAAACAAATTGTTCACATTGTTAAAATTTTTGCTATGAGTCCATTGGGAATATAAAATGACAAATAGGTTTGAAAAGTACTTGGGAAGAAAAAGATATAGAATGAGCTGATTCAAATAAAGGGAAATGTAGCAAATGCACTGGGATCTTTTAAGTTTGTGCATTATGAATGCATGCATATATGTTCCTTTTCAGCTGGAGTTGGAATTACCCAGTGAAGTTGTTCTTAAGAAGGCTACTGTAAAACCAGTAACATGAAGGTGAATCTGTGGTTTGGAGCTCCCCCTACAGTTTGTTTGAAGACTGGTCTCTCTCATCTCCAAGAAAAATGACCACTTTGGAAAATGAGTTCTTACGCATGCTTGGAAATATTTTTAATGTGTATATATTGTTTAAATTTATGTTTAAATGTGTACATGAGGAATCCGTTTTATGTTAGACATATTTTTTTCGTTTGTTACCTGCTTGCTAGCTGTGGACTGTATAATTTATTTTCCAATAAGTCAAAGTCTTTGTTTTAGGTCAGAGTGCCATTTTCAAGGTTGCGAATTTCAACAAGAGTTAAATGACACGTGAAACTTTATGGCTATTTGAGAATTGGACATTTTGAATGAGAGATTTTATCATTTTATATTTTGTTTACGTATTTCTTTTCAAATATAGGGCCTGAATTATGACCAAGCACTATAACTTTTAATGAGGGATAAAGAATTGCATGCCACTATGTGTGTACTCTGAAAAATACTCATTTAGTTAGTCATTTGACAAATACTGATTATCATCTATGTGCCCGACACTGTTTAAGGCATTAGGCACATATCAATGAACAAAGCAGACAAAAATTTCCCTGCCCTTGGGGATCTTGTAGTTTAGTGATGGATGGAGGAGTAGTGGATTATAAAAATTATCATGATAAAGAAGTCAATTACATAGTGTATTAAAAGGTTCAAAGTACTGTGAAAGCAATGGGCCCTGGCACAGGAAATCAGATTGAAGGAAGGGAGAAGCAGTGAGGCAACTGCAATTCCAAATAGTGTGGTCAAGGAAACTCCCATTGAAAAGATTTGAGAAAAGACTTGGAGGTAAGAAGAGCTTTCCAGGCAGGGAATAGCAAGTACAGAGGCCTTCAATCAGGAGCTTGCTGGTGCATTCAAGGCACAGTAAAGGGGCTCAGCGTGCCTGGAGTGGAGTGAAGGGGAGTGTAGCTGTAAATCATATAGGGCAAGAGTCAGCAAACCAGTGCAGCCTGTTTTTGTAAATAAAGTTTTATTGGAACATGGCCATGCTCATTTGTTTATGTATTTTCTGTGGCTGCTTTCATGCTACAACCAGAAAGTGGAGTTGTTGAGACGGAGATGATCTATCCCACAAAGACTAACATATTTAACTGTCTGAGTCTTTATAGAAAATATTTTCTGACCCCTGCTGTAGGTAAGATTTCACAGGCCACTGTAACAATGTTGACTTTGACTCTGAGAGAAATGAGAAGCTATGGGAAGGACTGAACAAAAGAGTGATCTGATTTGTGTTTTGTGATTTGTGTTTTGAAAGGATCATTATGGCTGCCATGTTGACAAATTTTAGGGAAAAGGCTGGGAACAGGAAAACCAATTAGGACTGTGGTTCAAAAGGTGTACCAGCCAGGCACAGTGGCTCATGCCTACAATCCCAGTGCTTTGGGAGGCTGAGGTGGAAGGATCTCTAGAGGCCAGAGTCTGAGATTGCAGCAGTGAGCTATGATCACACCACTACACTCTAGCCTGGGTGACAGAGTGAGACCCTGTCTTAAAAAAAAAAAAAGTGCACCAATGTGCTCCCAAGACACTACAGCAGATTCATCTGGGTGCAGCTGGGTATTTTAAATTCGTGAAGGATTCATAGCAATACCCAACATCTGTTAGATATTGCATGAGCTTCTAGCTAGTAGGTATAGTTCACAGTTTCAACATCAGGTCATGCCACATTACTTTCAATGATACTGTATCTTTGTGAAGCTGGGTTTTTGGCAAGTGCCCTATGCAAATCAGTGTGGAACAGGAAGTGATGCTGGTAATATCCAACTTGATTCTAAGGTTTGAGATGTACAGTACCCAACTGGCATACATATCCCATTAGCAAGTGATTGTGGCTAAGAGTAAGGTTTTCTTCTAACTTAATTATATTATTTTTCAGATGGCACCTTACTTGTTACAATACTCTAATGAGCATTGTATTAGTTTCTAGTCGCTGCTCTAACAAATCACTACAAATGACTTCAAAGGTTTCTGCCCCAAGCAACTGAAAAATGGCATTACCATGAACTGAGATAAAGAAAACTGTGTATGAACCAGGTTTTTTTTTTTGTGGGGGTAGGAGGGCAGATGAGAGATTCAATTTTATACACGTTTAGGAAAGAAGATACAAAGAGAAGGAAACGATGCACATTCTGACCAGGGCCTTTCTCCAGATTGTCCACCCATGAGCCCTTTAGGCTGTTGTGTTTTGACTTCTCACTCAAAACATGGACTGAGCAAGTACAGAGTTGCCATGTTAGAGAGAGGAGACTCAGCAAGCCTTGTCTGACTCAGAGTCTTAACTAGTTTGGGGCAAATGGAGCTCTGTTTAAGGGAACAGAGAACTACAGGGTTCCCATGTTTAAAATAATTATGTCAAAAGATTGAGCAGGATTTTAGAAAGATGGAGGCAGCAGTGTAGTTTTGAATCTCCTCAAATCCTCTCATGGAAATAGATCAAACCAAACAAAAAACCCATAAGTAGCCTTTATCACAAAACTAGAGGACGGTTTTCCCTATGAACCCCAAAACAAGAGGGTGGGGCAAACCATCACCAATGGGCACCAGACTTGCCTGGTATGGCACCCACACAAGAGGGAGTGGTAGACAGTATGCCTTCAAACTGCCAGCAGAGAAGTTCACTGGAAAGTACCATGGGCCAATGTGAGAACAGCAGCTGAAACTGAGGGGTTTTGCCCAGTCACAAAGTGAGTAAGTACAAGGGACCTGTGATAGACTCTGAAGCACTGAAGCAGTCTAGTCCCTTCCCACTCTTGAGCCCGAGCAGCCAGAGCTCCTTTCCAGGATGTGGCCCTGGAAACACAGAGGAAAAACTACTGGGAGGAACAACGGATACAAAGATAAAAATCAGGGAGGGAAACAGAGCTAGGAAATGTCAAAAAGCAAACCACCATGTCATTTGACACTACATTTTTAAAAAAGAGAAGTTTGGGGAAGTTTTAGAAAAGTTATCCTTAACACCTCCTTTTCAAAGTGCAGAAAAACCAATTTCACCTAAAAATGAATAACAGAAAAGGATCGTAGTCAAATCCCATACAAAGGTATTATAAGAAAAAAGAGAATAAGCAGCAGAATAGCATCCTGTCAGACAACAAAAGCAAGTCAGAAAAGACAGCCCCGCCAGCTGATCCAAAGAGTAATCTGCTATTTCAAAACTAGCTAAAAGACATTAGGAAAAAACGATGCAAAAGATGAAAGGACCATGGGGGGCAGGATGGGAAGTTACTGAATGAGTACTGTACAGAGTTTTTGTTTGGGATGATGAAAAAGTTCTGGAGATGGATAGTGGTAATGGTGGAACAACAGTATGAATCTACTTAATGCCACTGAATTGTACACTTAAAATGGTTAAAATGGTAAATTTTACATTATGTGTATTTTACTGCAATAAAAAGGGTGAGAAAACAATATAAATCAAAATTAGGTGAGATGGTAGAACTCAGAACAGGATTAAAAACAAAAGAAAAACTTCAGAAATGAAGACTAAAGTAAAAAGAACACAAGAATGAACAGGCTGGGCATGGTGGCTACATTTTAAAAAACACCTGTAATCCCCACACTTTGGGAGGCCAAGGCGGGTGGATCAGTTGAGGCCAGGAGTTCAAGACCAGCTTGGCCAACATGGTGAAACCCTGTCTCTACTAAAAATACAAAAATTAGGCCAGGGCGATGGCTCACACCTGTAATCCAAGCACTTTGGGAGGCCGAGATGGGTGGATCACCCGAGGTTAGGAGATTGAGCCCAGCCTGACCAACAAAACCCCGACTCTACTAAAAATACAAAATTAGCCAGGCATGGTGGCGCATGCCTGTAATCCCAGCTACTCGGGAGGCTGAGCCAGGAGGATCGCTTGAACCTGGGAGGCAGAGGTTGTGGTGAGCCGAGATCGCGCCATTGCTCTCCAGCCTGGGCAACAAGAAGGAAACTCTGTCTCAGGAAAAAAAAAAAAAAAATTAGACAGGCATGGTGACGTGCACCTGTAATCTCAGCTACTCAGGAGGCTGAGGCATGATAATCGCTTGAACCCAGGAGGTGAAGTTTGCTGTGAGCCAGGTGGCACCAGTGCACTCTAGCCTAGTGACAGAGCGAGAGTCCGTCTCGAAAAAAAAAAAAGAAAAAGAAAAAGAAGAAAAAAGAATGAATTAGCATAATGGATAATGCCTTTTAAAAAAAGGAAATTTTTAAAAATCAAAAAGAAGATAATAAAAAGAATTCTAGAGAAATGGCAAATAACAAAAGATAGGCAAAAAAGTCAGGACAGTTCTGAAAAGAGTAATGCAAACACATAGAAACGTAGTATACCATAAAAGTGACATTTCAAATCAATGGGACAGATTATTCAGTAAATTGTAATATGTACATGTTGGGGTAAAAATAAATAATTTATCTGGAAGAATCCTTAAAATGGCAAAAGTAGATGCTTCTAAGGGAGGGGGTGGTGGTGGCTGGGAAACTTGGGGAAAGTGTGAATTTCCATTGTCACCATTTTGTATCTTTCCAATGTTCTATCATGTGAATCTATTATCTTTTAAGTCTAAAATGCCTGTGTTCAAATCCCAGCTATTGCTAGCAGTTGCTAGCTAGCTCTTAATCTTGGGCAAATTCTTCAGATTCTCTACCTCCTTATCTGTGAAATGGGATGAATAACTTAGCCAGGTGCTGCCTGGCACAGAATAAACTCTCAATAAATATAAATTGCTGGTGGAAACAACCCAAATGTCTAGTAATGGATGAATGGATAAGCCAATGTGGTGTAGTCATACAATAAGAATACTATGCAGTATGAAAAGGAATAAAGTTCAGACACACACTACAACATAGATAAACCTTTAAAACATAGTATTAAATGAAAGAAGCCAGATACTAAAGGTCACATGTTGTATGATTCCATTTATATGAAATGTCCAGAAAAGGTAAATCCAGAGATTGGTGGTTGCCTGGTGTCAGAGGGAGGAGGGAATGAGGAGTGACCGCTAATGGGTAGAGGGTTTTTTTGCAGGGGATGATGAAAAGGTAATGGCTCAGATAGTTGTAATGATTGTACAACCTTGTGAACATACTAAATGTCACTGAACTGTACGATTTTTGTTTGTTTGTTTTTTGTTTTGAGACTGAGACTCGCTCTGTTACCCAGGCTGGAGTGCAGTGGCACGATCTCGGCTCACTGCAACCTCCCCCTCCCGGGTTCAAGCGATTCTTGTGCCTCAGCCTCCTGAGCAGCTGGGATTGTAGGCATGCGCCACCACGCCCGGCTAATTTTTGTATTTTTATTAGAGACGAGGTTTCACCATGTTGGCCAGCCTAGTCTCGAACTCCTGAGCTCAAGTGATCCGCCTGCCTCAGCCTCCCAAAGTGCTAAGATTACAGGCCGCTCCCGGCCGAATCGTACGGATTTTGAACAGTGAATTTTATGTTAGGTGAATTATATATCAGAAACTAATTTTTTAAAAAGTAAATTACTGATTTACCCATGGTGACCATCCACTGCCCCCATCTTCCCTTCCCCCACCCATTCCTCTCCTGCCCTCCCCCCACCGCCCCCAACCCTTTCTACCTCCCACTGTGCCTCGAGGGGCGTGGGGGGGGGGGGCCTCCCCCTAAGGAGCGTCTGTGGACAGTTGGGCGCCTGCGTCTTGCGGCTTTTGGAGGGGGACCCAGGGCGCGCGCGCGCCCACCACTCATCCTGTGAAAATGGACGCTCCAAGCCGTTTTGTCTCGTGTACTTCAGTTAATGGTGATGGCGGAGAAGGTTGCACGTGCTGGAATGGGTGGAGGAGGACCTGGCGGCCTCTTAATATTTAAGTCCCTCCAGAAGCTTGATTTATTATGCCTGTAACCTCCGGATTCCGCGGTCTGAAAGCCAGGCTGGCTGCCTGCAGGCGCTTGCAAACGCTGAGGACTTCGGAGACCCACAGGCCTTACCCCTTTGCACACAGTGTGACCCAAGCCCACTGCTGAACCTCACTAGTAAAGTGGCACAGTGTTACTGGTCTTGTGTGTTGTTGTGAAGGTGAACTGAAGTAGTGCGTCTCACTGCCCCTTGCATAGGTGTTGGTTGAGTAAATGGAGATCTATACTCTGGGGTCTGTTCTGAGCCAGCTTCATGCTGCTGCAGTTCATTTGGCTGGGCCCCAGGTTATCAGCTGTATCTAGGAGAACTGTGAGCCCTTGCCATTCCCCTGGTAGATTTCCCCTATGTTTTGTACTCACTTTCCCAACTGTGATCATATACGTATAAGGTAACCCAAACCTGTTGATGAGACCTGAATCTTATTTTCTAAAATACCTATCTGATAGGCCATGAGACATAAGGCTATCATCCATGGGGGATTTTGTACGTTTCTTTTGGTCCACCCAGCCTCATCTTCTGCCATCTTCAATTTATATCCAAATTTTATTCTTTTAGTCCTAACCTCAGATTCTGCATCTTACTTCTGCCATTTTCCCCATTTCTGATTCTTTGTATAAGCCCATAAAATCTCTCCCCATTTGACCTTCTTAGTCCTGGAACATGTTCCTTCCTGTTTCCTCAATTCTTATCCCTTTCTTTCTCTCTATTCTCCCATCCAACTTTTAGTTCCTTCTTTTTTTTTTTTTTTTTTTTTTTTTTTGAGACGCAGTCTCACTCTGTTGTCCAGGCTGGAGTGCAGTGGCACGATCTTGGCTCACTTTGACCTCCACCTCCCGGGTTCAAGCGATTCTCCTGCCTCAGCCTCCTGAGACGCTGGGATTACAGGCACCCGCCACCACACCCAGCTAATTTTTTGTATTTTTAGTTTTTAGTTTGTATTTTTAGTTTCACCATGTTGGCCAGGCTGGTCTTGAACTACTGACCTCAGGTGATCCACCCACCTCGGCCTCCCAAAGTGCTGGGATTATAGGCATGAGCCACCATGCCCGGCCATAATTCCTTCTTTCTAATGCAGCCTTTCATCCCCACCCCCACCAAAGAAAACCCACAGTCAACAGCATCTCAAAACTCAAAAGGCCTCTTTATTACTTATCTATTAATCAATTCTATTACATTTCTTTATTATGTTTTAAAAATATATCAGAATAAATAAATTAGTATCTATCTATATATGTGGAAAACCAGCGGTATCCAAAGTAAAACCAACAATCTCAGCTCTTAGATTGTGTAGCCATAGTATTCAGCAATTTCCATATCTCTTTCCCTTTCAATGAAAAACTGCACTTTCCCCAAAGAGGTGTATTTGGCAGCATTCTCACGCTCTTGTTGAGCCTTTCTCTTCATGGCCTCACGCTCTGGCCTCTGCTCTTCTGTGATGGGCGTTGACATTACTGGCTCAGGAACAGTGGGTTTCCTCCATGGACGGGGTTGGAGGCTGAAGTCTTGGATTAGAAATTGATTTTGAGGCTTGGGCAGTGACCGGAGACTGGTCACAGCAGTGGAAACAGGCTCCCGCTGCAGAGAAGAACAAGATGATGTTTTGTAGGCTGATGGCCTAGAAGCAGCAGATTGAGGGACAGTAGGCTGGGTAGGGTTGGCTGAACTGGGTTGGGTTGCTTTGGCTGAAATTGGCTGAGCTGGTGTGGCAGGACCTGTCAAAGATGTGTTGGTAGGAGCTGGTCGGGATGGATTGACTGCATTCGATTGAGCTGAGTTAGTAGAATCAGGTCGAGCAGGGTAAGCCACAGCAGGCCTACGTGAGGCTAGAGGGTTTGGCCGCCGAGAAACATGTCGAGCTTGAGGTTGGTCCAGGGTCAGAAAGGGCAAAGGTATCAACTTGACCTTCCCAGGTGGTGGCAACTCAGAGTGGGATGGAGATGTACACTCTTTTTCAGCACTACCATCTAGTTTCTGGGCCTTGACTTGAATTTTCTCCGGGCCTTTACCCTCATGTTGGATATCCAGCCATGGTTTGAGAGCTGGGAATGGCTGGCGGTTTTGGGTGTTGCTTGAGCTTCCCAGGGTCCTGGAGGAAGAGAATCCAGTTTTCATATCGATCTTTTTCCCGAGTGCATGGAAAACTTGCACGGACTCTAGCATGTGCATGCCTAGGGAGCTTCGGGGCTTTTTAAGGGTCTTTTGGCTAAGCTCAGGTTGATTTTTCTTCCGTTTCATATTGGGAATGGTTTGCTTCTCTTCTACCTTGACTTTTTTCCCTGACTGCTTACTCTCTTCAGATTTCTTGGAGCTGTTCTTTCTGTTCCCTTTGGTCTTTTCCTGCCCATGGCTCTTAGTTTTGCTGATCCTGCTGGATGCAGCCTTGTGAGGTTTGTTGCTAGAATGCTTGGCCTTGTTCACAGAAGCGCTGTTACTGACTGTAGCACTGCCAACAACCACTTCTCTCTCTAATAGGCACTCTGGGTTCTTTGGCTGGATTTTGGCCTTGGGAGCACCCTGGATAGGCTCGGAAGCTTTATGCTTGTTCTTCCTGACTTGATCAGAGTGACCCTTTATGACACATGACTTTTCCTGCACCTGATTTACCTTGATGGCACTGGTATCTTTGGCTTTCTTTGCTGAGGGACTTTCAGGTTGGTCAAGATCTTGTAAGGAACTGAAGATCGGGGGGAGGTAAGTATCCTCCACCCATGTAGTGATGTCTGCCAAATCACTGCTAGACTCAATCCCATTTTCAAATATCCCTTGGTCCTCAAGACTCAGGCTCTTATTTCTTAGATTGGCATTTTCAGAACCAGGCTGCTCCTCTTGGCCAAGAGGATCAATGCAGGCCAGAAGCGGGTGAATATCGGGGATTTCTACAGGAAGTAGTGGAGGATCTTGATTTCCTATTAGGATCTGGTGGACATCTAGAGGCTTTGAAAGGTTGGTTTTAATCTCATCCAAATTCTCATTCTCATTTTTTTCCTGGCTTGGAGCTGGAGACAGTGTCAAGAGATTAGTAGGACTCTGGACTGGAGTTATTGAAATGTCCCCAAGCTCAGGTGATGGGTTACTCTCAAGTGTCTGGGTATTTCTGCTACTGAAGGACTTGGAGAATTCTGGAGTTTGTGGCAGACAAAATGTCTGGCTTGGAGATTGCAATCCCAGGGAAGTATCCATCCCCAGGGAAGTTTCCATCACTACAAAGGAATCAAGGAAGAAGTCAGTCCCTGGTAAGTGAGATGCTCCCCCTACACACCAGTGCAGCAATCGGATACCTTTCCAACATGGGCAAGGCATTTCTACTAGCTCTTCTTAAGGACCATGGGCAAGACCCTGTATTAGGAGATTGGCAGTGACTGTTCTCTTACTGGTTATCATTTGATGTGATTGTTTCTTGGTTTTCTTTGTATTTCATAGGGTTGTTGTAGATCAAAAAGTGAAAGTGATTTTTAAAATAGGAGATGTTTTATACAGCCTCACATTCTTACAGGGTCCTTTCAATTCTCTCCACTCTCCTGAGAGAATAAGAACAGTTTACACCATGGACTAGGGTAAGGTAGAGAGTGGAGCCCTTCCTCATGAAATATATAAGCAAGCACAGATTCTGAGCCTGTTTGTTTTGGAGAGGATCTCTGAACACAAGGTCTTAAATCCTATTGTAAGTTAAGGAAAATCAAAATGTCACCGCCAAAATAAGAGTTCTGAAGTGCCTTCCAAAGAGACTAAAGTAATAGATTAAGGAAGGACATTACAGCGTGGTAGTGTGGGGGAAGTGATCAGTCAGGGCACTAAAAAGTGTATCCCTCAGTATGCTCTTGCGATTCTCTTACATGTAGCATAGATGGCCATTACAGTGTTCCACTTTCCCACTTATAAGGTGTTCTTATATAGAGTCTGAAAATGGAGAGCACTGCCAAAGAATAGTGGTTGAAGTCTCAGGACTTAAATTCTACCTATCCACGGACTCACCACTCGCTACAGATTTGACCCTCCTTTTCAACGCTGACATTATTCCTCTCCTTTCTTGATGTTTGTACTCACCTTGAACACTGGTTTCTGTGATGGGTTGAGAAGACACAGAGTAATACATCCCAGAAGTAGAGACTGGTGGTAGGACATTTGTGGGCTGAACCTCCTTCAGCACCATCACCATTTCTGGTTGATGGGCAGAAGCCCTATATCCTGTGTATGACACAGAGCCATAAGATTGCAGGCAGGATAGTTGAGGCCCCAGTGTGCCTTGATTATAGTAATAGACCTGGCTTCCTATCTGGCAGGGAAGTGACAGGTTATGGCCCTGCTGATTTGGAATTTGAGTTAGTGTCCCCTGAACAAGGCTGGCAGATAGTGATGGATACAGAGGGACCATAGTATTGGTATCTGAAGTTTTATAATACTGGGCTGTCATAGACATGGAAGAGACAGCTGTGTTCTGATCAATGACAGTCACAGTGAAGTCCCTGAGTGAGGATGACTTCTTTACTGTGCTTGCTGTACTATCCCACTCAAAAACGCCTGGATAAGAGGCAGCTGAAGTACAGATATGGCTCTGGCCAGTAACCCCAGACAACATAGTTGTGCTAGAATGTTGGTAAAGGTAGGCACTGCCCATGAGTGGCTGGAAGGAGGTGCCAGAGGCTGATGGCTGTAGCCATGCTGAGCTGATGGCTGGAGCAGAGGCTCTGGAGAAGTTGGAGATGCTTCCTGTTAAGAAAGCTGCATTGCTCACCACAGGAAGAGAGAACTGCCGAGAATTTGCAGTTCCAGGTAAAGACGTATTTTGGAAATATTCTGTAGGAAACAAGAGAGAGATGAAAAAACCGATGAGAGTGAAAAATTCTCACCTTATTGGAAGACTAGCATTATCTTAAGGTTGTTGCAATCAGGAAGCCTCTAATACCAATACTCACTGAGATACCAAAAGCCAAACAGTTTATGATGGCCTTGAGTGCTGAAGCAGTTTGGTCCTCTTCTGATGAACTGTCTTTGTGTCCAACTTGGACACAGATATGAAGACCCAAATGGTCTGGTTTCGTACATTATTTCCTAGGCTAGAAGCAACCTTCTCCCTTCCCTATCTTTCCCTTGAATCTGGGCTAGTATAGACTCATAACTATTTCCTAGAATTGGAGCATTTTAGAACTAGGAGGTCCTTAGAGAAGTTCTAACATTTCATTTTATGAGTCTGAGAGGTCAGATTGACCTGTTTTAAGTTTTACCATTATGTTAATATCATTACCAGGTTACAGAACCTGACTTCCTTGCCAGGAGTCTTTTCTCTGAGCATAGACCAGAAACCAGGAAATTAGAACTTTTAATATGGCATTTTTTTGGTCTACTAGAATATAGTACAGCTATTACCTTTATAATCCTTAGTGTCACATTTTGCTTCTGCAGGTCATATGATATGTCCTAGAGTTTATATTTAACCCAGGCCATTGGTAAATCTAAAAGGTCATTCTTTGCCCTCTTCAAGCCTGGCTTTTTATCATTAGTCAAAATAACTACCTGATAGAAATGTTTTCTTTTTTCTTTTTACTGAGACAGAGTCTTACTCTGTCACCCAGGCTGGAGTGCAGTGGCTTGACACCCAGGCAGCCACTCTGCCTGGCTAATTTTTTGCATTTTTAATAGAGACGGGGTTTTGCCATGTTTACCAGGCTGGTCTCAAACTCCTGACATCAGATTATCTGCCTGCCTCGGTGTCCCAAAGTGCTGGGATTACAGGTGTGAGCCACAATGCCTGGCCAAGAAATGCTTTTTGAAAGAAAAAAGCTAGTTAAACTCTGTGAGCTTCAGGCTGCCTGTCTATAAAGAAGTTGTAAAATAATAACAGTGATAATTCATACATGAATAAAAGTGATAGATTACATATGACTTATAATGAGGAAGATATAGTAAGTTCTGAAAAAACAGACAAAATAATTAAAAACATAAAATCATGGAACTAAAACAATATATAGATATTAATGAAAATTGGGGTATGTAGCTAGCATCAAAACATAGTAAAGTACTAACTAAAGCTGTTACCATACATGCAACATTAGGAAACTGAATAGTATCTACTCTTTCTTAGTGAATACTATTAACCAAGAAACAGCCCATAATAGAATGAATGAATTTCTAACAAGCATATATAGACAGAGAAATTGTATCAGCAAAAAGTGTGTAAGAAGCAGAAAATGTATAGACAAACTGTATCAGCAAAAAGTGTGTAAGAAGCAAAAAGTATGTAAGAAACAGAAAAATGCAGTAAATGTGAATGTAAAATAGCCATAATATATGTGGATAGATATTTCAATAAAAACTGGTACAAGGTAGAATGCAAAAAATAAGTGTAAAGGAATTATTATGCTCATTCATATTTCTATGAATATTACCCAGCAAATGACAGGTATTAATCCTAGTGTAATATTTAAATTATTGTAGCCACATAACAAGCAGAAAAGAACTCTTAAAAAGTATCATGAGAACTTTAATATCTATCCTCAAAACCTAGATTATAATCATCTCCAACGTCCAGGAAAATGACATTCCCATAGCTTAAAAAAAAACAACTGCTAGAATCCAATTAAAAAATGTTTTGAATGTAGGAAAGTTCAAAGGACTCCAGAAAATTTGGCTTAGATTGATATGGAATTAGAGATATGTGGCTGATATGTGGCTTGACTTTTTATTCTTAGGTCTAAAAGCAGTCCATTATGAATCAGTAGGTACTCTGTTTTTGGAAGAAAGTATTAAGATAAAAAAGCAGCTTTTACTTGGAATCTACTTTTCATGCAAAGGTATTGTTCTTCTGATGCAAATAACGATACATTCTTTTTTCAGAAAACTTAATTTTATTGTTAATAGGAGAAACATCCATATAATTTAAAAATTAGAAACAGCACACTGCAAATTACATGTCCTCCAGCTCTCTAGGTAACCACTTATTAGTTTCTTGTTTGTAGGAAGCAACATTTCTTTTCTTTTCTTTTGAGATGGGGTCCTGCTCTATCCTACAGACTGGAGTGCAGTGGCAAGATCTCGGCTCACTGCAACCTCTGCCTCCCAGGTTCCAGAGATTCTCCTGCCTAAGCCTCCCAAGTAGCTGGGTTTACAGGCGCCTGTCACCACACCCAGCTAATTTTTGTATTTTTAGTAGAGATGGGATTTCACCATGTTGGCCAGGCTGATCTCGAACTCCTGACCTCAGGTGATCCACCCGCCTCAGCCTCCCAAAGTGCTGGGATTATAGGTGTGAGCCACCGAGCTCGGCCTGGAGGCATCATTTCTAAAACATATATATATATATATATGAAATATACATGTATATTATATATAACATACATTTATATTATATAATATACATATATTATATATAATATACATGTAATATACACTAAATTTAAAATTTATATGTATATTATATATAATATACATGTAATATATATAACATACATGTATATTAATTATACATGTATATTATATATATAAAATATACATGTATATTTTATATATATATTATATATACATAAAATATACATGTATATTTTATGTATGTATATTTTATATGTATATTATATATATATAAAATATATATGTATATTTTATTATATTATATATATTATAGATATATACATAAAATATACATATATATATTATGTATATATATAAAATATATATATTTTATGTATATATATAATATACATAAAATATACATATATATTTTATGTATATATATATATATATTTTCTTTTTGAGACAGAGTTTCGCTCTTGTTGCCCATGCTGGAGTGCAATGGCATGATCTAGGCTCACTGCAACCTACACCTCCTGGGTTCAAACGATTCTCCTGCCTCAGCCTCCCAAGTAGCTGGGATTACAGGCATGTGCCACCATGCCCGGCTAATTTTGTATTTTTAGTAGAGACAGGGTTTCTCCATGTTGGTCAGGCTGGTCTTGAACTGACCTCAGGTCATCAGCCCACCTCGGCCTCCCAAAGTGCTGGGATTACAGGTGTGAGCCATCCTGCCCGGCCTCTAAAGCATATTTCTAAAATGTTTATATTAAAAACTGTCAAGTGTCATCTATGTTCAAAAAGGCAACAGAAAAAAAACAACTGAATATGACTTCTGATAAGGTGCTTTTTCTAGGGATACTCTATTCTAGCCTGTTTCCTTCCTAGTCCTTTGATCTAAGCATTTGCTAAAACCAACTTCATTTTGCTCTATTTTGAATAGATTTCACTCTGTTGTCCTTTTGCTTTTTTTTTCAAATTTAAAATATATTTTTTTATTTTAAAATCATTTCGTCATTCTCCAGGGCATATCCCAAGGGGAAAAGTAGGGGACCCTGTCTTTCTGCTTTAATTAAAATACCAAATTCCTTACTCTAGAATACCTGCCTCCTTATAACCCAGTACTCTCCATTTTCTCTTTCCACCTAGTTTAGATAGGAATGTCCAAAACATGAATATTACTTTTGTTTGTTTATTTGTTTCTTTGTGACAGGGTCTCACTTTGTCACTCAGGCTGAAGTCCAGTGGTGTGAACCTGACTCACTGCAGCCTCAACCTCCTGGGCTCAAGCAGCGTCTGATCCTCCCACCTCAGCTTCCTGAGTAGCTGGCACACCCCCAACCCTGGCTGAGTTTTAAAAAGTTTTTGTAGAGATGGGGTCTTGCCATGTTGCCCAGACTGGCCGGGAACTCCTAGGCCCAAAGCGATCCTCCCACCTCAGGCTCCCAAAGCATTGACATTGCAGGCATGAGCTACCACGCCCAACTGAATATTAAAAACATCACTACACATCAGTAAACATCACTAAATTTAAAATAGGAAAGTTGAAATATTAGTGAGGGAGATGGCCTCCCAAAGTGCTGAGATTACAGGTGTGAGCCACCGTGCCTGGCTGAATATTATTTAAAACATCACTAAACATCACTAAATTTAAAATACGAAAGTTGAAATATTAGTGGAGGGAGACTATTACACATGAAACATCTCAGAATATATTGCTAGTTTTCTAGACCACTTTGGTTTTTTCTCTGTTTCTGTTGAAATGAACACTCTCAGAAAGTCTCTGATTTCATTTTCTATACGTATACCCTTTAAGACTCAGTATTAGAAAAGAAAAAGGCCAGGGGGAATAACCAGTCTATTATCCTAGTGTAATAGATGAGGAAACAGATTTTGTGAGAGAATAAAAGTTATCTAAAGTCACACAGCTAGTTAATGTCAAAGCCAAAACTGAAATGAGGTCTCTGGATTTCTACTTCAATACTTTCCCTGTTATTCCAAGCTGTTTGGGAATATAGGGGGAAAGAAATCTAAATTTAGTGGCAAAGAAATCTCATGAAAACCTTTTTAAAAAGTTTCTCTCTTTACCTGACATGGTCAGAGAAGAAGAAACATCAACTGCAGATAGAAGGGAAGAAGAGACGATACTAGCGGATGTCTGGGTGGCTGAAGCCAACCAGTGCATGTGTCCAGTATGAAGGCCACTGGTCACTGGTTACTGGTCACTGGCCCCTTGTGATGATACAAATTTACAGGCCACGCCCAGGAAACCCCAAGATTCTACCAGGTGGCAGTTGGTTTGGTGGGAGAATGATGTCACAAAGCAGGCAGTTTAAAGGTCTGCGATAGCCAATAGGGAGGTCAGATTCCCCACAAGACAGGATTGGCTGGCAGAGGTGGTAGGAAAGGTGTAACAGCACTAAGTGGCTGAGCTCTGGGGAGGTGAAATCTGCAAGACAGACATGATAGTCCCACTTTCCCCCAGGCTCTCATGTTAGGGAGATCATCTCAATGTTTCTCATAAATGTTCACTAATATAATTAACATTTATATTTAATGTGTTACATTTCATATTATATAATACTATGCATTTATAATTATACAGTACATACACAATATCCTTGGGGAGAAAGGAAGGGGATGTCTAAGTTGAGCAATTACAGTTGTTCTAAAACTATTTCAGTGAATCTGATTAATGAATTTACTGCTGCTTTTTTATTTTATTGAATTTTTTGTGAGATGGAGTCTGGCTCTGTCACCCAGGCTGGAGTGCAGTGGCGTGATCTTGGCTCACTGCAAGCACCACCTCCCAGGTTCACGCCATTCTCCTGCCTCAGACTCCTTAGTAGCTGGGACTACAGGCGCCTGCCACTTCAGCCGGCTAATTTTTTGTATTTTTAGTAGGGACAGGGTTTCACCCTGTTAGCCAGGATGGTTCGATCACCTGACCTTGTGATCTGCTCGCCTCAGCCTCCCAAAGTGCTGGGATTACAGGCGGGAGCCACCGCACCCGGCCCTACTGCCGATTTTAAGGGCCAAAGGAAGAGATTAAAGAACCCTCTTTTGTAACTTGAACAGCAAAGTTTGTTGATTGCCCCTTGTAGGAAATGATGTGGTCCAAGGCTCTTCTCTTTTAGTTTCTTCTCCTTGAATTCCACCTTCTTTGGGCTGGGCCAGGTTGGACTTGGATCTCTCTTCTGCTCTCCCATTTTTAACCCCTTGATTTTAGGCATTGTTTCTGGGCCAAGCCTTGATCTTGCATTTTTACATTCGTGGATATTCCTTCTTGTCAACTTCCAGAGCAGGAGTCTTCTTTTCAGTGTCCTGATGTTTGGAAAACGGACTCTGCTCATGAGAAGCAAACAGCAGAGAGGTAGAAGACAAGGCTGACTGCAGACCTTCCCTCTTCTAGCCTTTGGTCACAATTCTTTTGCCCACAGTTTGCTACCTCTGGCTCCTTGGGCCACACAGACACCCTGCCATCCTGCTCTTTTATATGTGAGAGGCATTCAGGATACTTTCTTTCTTTCTTCTCACATAAGAGGATCCAGTGTGGCAGTTACTTATAGCCTCGTCTCCCTTGCAAACAGCCACTATAGAATCTTGGGCCTTTAGGATTTTCTGTCAGCCATGCTTGGGTGCAAGGGCCAGGCAAAATGAAGAGTTGAAGCATTTAGTGGAGAATAGGAAACAGGCAAGGTGAGGGTACAGGAAAAAAGAGATTTATGTGGATTTTTTGGTTTCTGTGACAAACAATTCAACATACCTATTTTGTATTAACAAAATAGACAATTCTTTTTTTTTTTTTTTGAGACAGAGTCTCTCTCTGTCACCCAGGCTGGAGGGCAGTGGCCGATCTCTGCTAGCTTCAAGCTCTGCCTCCCAGGTTCACACCATTCTCGTGCCTTAGTCTCCCGAGTAGCTGGGATTACAGGTACTCGCCACCATGCCCGGCTAATTTTTTGTATTTTTTTGTAGAGACGGGGTTTCACCGTGTCAGCGAGGATGGTCTCCTGACCTTGGGATCTGCCCACCTCAGCCTCCCAAAGTGCTGGGATTACAGGCGTGTGCCACTGCGCCTGGCCCAATATTTTTTATGTAGCTAGATAGTCCAGAACTTCCATGACTTCTGTACACTGAAGAAAATAATCATAATGTATTTTTTCCATTTTGTTTTATACCGTATTACCTCATTTATGTCATTCATTAGTATGTCTGTAGAATGTAAATTGCTTTTGTTTTATTAACTTTATTTTATTTATAAGAGTGAGACAGAATTTCACTCTTTTGCCCAGGCTGGAGTGCAGTGGCACGGTCTTGGCTCACTGCAACCTCTGCCTCCTTGGTCCAAGTGATTCTCCTGCCTCAGCCTCCCAAGTGGCTGGGATAACGGGTGCCGCCACTATCCCTGGCTAATTTTTGTATTTTTATTAAGGACAAGGTTTCACCATGTTGTCCAGGCTGGTCTCAAACTCCTGACCTCGGTTGATCTTCCTGCCTCAGCCTCGCAAAGTGCTGGGATTACAGGTGTGAGCCACCGTGCGTGGCCTGTAGATTGCTTTTAAATCCTCTGGTTTTTCTACATGTTTTTTCCTTGTCATATTTTTAAGGAATACAAGATTGTAAGACATACTGCATGTTTTTCTCATGATGGTTGTTTATTTTGAAACATCATGAACTATGGTGACCTGATGGGTTTTGTGGAGGAAATTAAAGAGGGGTCTGTGAAAAAGGCACTGTTGTGAGTTGTGCTGTGTGCCCAAGCATAAGGAACAGATGTCTGCAGTGAGCCCAAGTTGACTTGGATTGCCTTGGTTTTCATTTTCCTAGTTAGTGCTTTTCTCACTAACTTCTCTTGTAACTGTGATAAAATGAGTTAGGGCTGAGTTGCTAATGATTTACGTGTGGACTAAGCTGGTTTGGGGGAGGAAATCTATGGATATAATCATTTTCCTTGGTGGTAAGCTTTTAGAGATACCTGCATTGATCATTTGTTTGTTTATTTGTTTGTTTGTTTTTAGATGGAGTCTCGCTCTGTCGCCTAGGCTGGAGGGCAGTGGCACGATCTCGGCTCACTGCATCATGCGCCTCCCTGGTTCAAGCAATTCTGATGCCTGAGCCTCCCAAGTACGTAGGATTAAAGGTGCACACCACCACACCCAGCTAATTTTTGTATTCTTAGTAGAGATGGGGTTTGACCACGTTGGCCAGGCTGGTCTCCAACTCCTGACCTCCGGTGATCTTCCCACCTCAGCCTCGCAAAGTGCTGTGATTACAGGCGTGAGCCACCGCACCCCGCCTGGAAGCCTCATTTCTAAAACATGTTGGTTTCTTTTTTTTTTCTTTTGAAGCGGAGTTTCGCTCTTATTGCCCAGACTGGAGTGCAATGGCGCGATCTTGGCTCACCACAACCTTTGCCTCTCGGGTTCAAGCGATTCTCCTGCCTCAGCCTCCCAAATAGCTGGGATTACACGCATGTGCCACCATGCCCGGCTAATTTGGTATTTTTAGTAGAGATGGGGTTTCTCCTTGTTGGTCAGGCTTGTCTCACACTCCTGACCTCAGGTGATCAGCCCACCTCGGCCTCCCAAAGTGCTTGGTTTACAGGCGTAAGCCACCGTGCCCGGCCTCTAAAACATATTTCCAAAATGTTTATATTACAAACTGTCAAGTGTCATCTATGTTCAAAAAGGCAACAGAAAAAAGTGACTGAATATGACTTCTGATAAGCTGCTTTTCCTAGGGATATGTAATGTAGCCTGTTTCCTTTCTCGTCCATTGATCTAAGCATTTGCTAAAATCAACTTCATTTTGCCCTACTCTGAATACATTTCACTCTGTTGTCCTTCTGCTTTTTTTTTTCAAATTTAAAATATATTTTTTTCTTTTAAAATCATTTTGTCATTCTCCAGGGCATATCCCAAGGGGAAAAGTAGGGGACCATGTCTTTCTGCTTAAATTAAAATACCAAATTACTTACCCTAGAATACCTGCCTCCTTAGAACCCAGTACTCTCCATTTTCTCTTTCCACCTAGTTTAGATAGGAATGTCCAAAACGTGAATACTACTTTTCTTTTTTGTTTGTTTGTTTGTTTGTTTGTTTGTGACAGGGTCTCACTTTGTCACCCAGGCTGAAGTCCAGTGGTATGAACATGGCTCACTGCAGTCTCAGCCTCCTGGGCTCAAGCAGTCCTCTGATCCTCCCACCTCAGCCTCCTGCGTAGCTGGCATACACCCAACCCTGGCTGAGTCTTAAAAAGTTTTTGTAGAGATGGGGTCTTGCCATGTTGCCCAGACTGGCCGGGAACTCCTAGGCCCAAAGCGATCCTCCCACCTCAGGCTCCCAAAGCATTGATATTGCAGGCATGAGCTACCACGCCCAACTGAATATTAAAAACATCACTACACATCAGTAAACATCACTAAATTTAAAATAGGAAAGTTGAAATATTAGTGAGGGAGATGGCCTCCCAAAGTGCTGAGATTACAGGTATGAGCCACCGTGCCTGGCTGAATATTATTTAAAACATCACTAAGCATCACTAAATTTAAAATACGAAAGTTGAAATATTAGTAGAGGGAGACTATTACACATGAAACATCTCAGAATATATTGCTAGTTTTCTAGACCACTTTGGTTTTTTCTCTGTTTCTGTTGAAATGAACACTCTCAGAAAGTCTCTGATTTCATTTTCTATACATATACCCTTTAAGACTCAGTATTAGAAAAGAAAAGGGCCAGGGGGAATAACCAGTCTATTATCCTAGTGTAATAGATGAGGAAACAGATTTTATGAGAGAATAAACGTTATCTAAAGTCACACAGCTAGTAAATGTCAAAGCCAAAACTGAAATGAGGTCTCTGGATTTCTACTTCAATAATTTCCCTGTTATTCCAAGCTGTTTGGGAATATAGGGGGGAAGAAACCTAAATTTAGTGGCAAAGAAATCTCATGAAAACCTTTTTAAGAAGTTTCTTTCTTTACCTGACATGGTCAGAGAAGAAGAAACATCAACTGCAGATAGAAGGGAAGAAGAGACGATACTAGCGGATGTCTGGGTGGCTGAAGCCAACCAGTGCATGTGTCCAGTATGAAGGCCACTGGTCACTGGTTACTGGTCACTGGCCCCTTGTGATGATACAAATTTACAGGCCACGCCCAGGAAACCCCAAGATGCTACCAGGTGGCGGTCGGTTTGGTGGGAGAATGATGTCACAAAGCAGGCAGTTTAAAGGTCTGCGATAGCCAATAGGGAGGTCAGATTCCCCACAAGACAGGATTGGCTGGCAGAGGTGGTAGGAAAGGTGTAACAGCACTAAGTGGCTGAGCTCTGGGGAGGTGAAATCTGCAAGACAGACATGATAGTCCCACTTTCCCCCAGGCTCTCATGTTAGGGAGATCATCTCAATGTTTCTCATAAATGTTCACTAATATAATTAACATTTATATTTTATATGTTACATTTCATAATATGTAATAGTATGCATTTATAATTATACAGTACATACACAATATCCTTGGGGAGAAAGGAAGGGGATGTCTAAGTTGAGCAATTACAGTTGTTCTAAAACTATTTCAGTGAATCTGATTAATGAATTTACTGCTGCTTTTTAATTTTATTGTATTTTTTGTGAGATGGAGTCTGGCTCTGTCACCCAGGCTGGAGTGCAGTGGCGTGATCTTGGCTCACTGCAAGCACCACCTCCCAGGTTCACGCTATTCTACTGCCTCAGCCTCCTGAGTAGCTGGGACTACAGGCGCCTGCCACTTCAGCCGGCTAATTTTTTGTATTTTTAGTAGGGACAGGGTTTCACCCTGTTAGCCAGGATGGTCTCGATCACCTGACCTCGTGATCCGCCCGCATCTGCCTCCCAGAGTGCTGGGATTACAGGCGGGAGCCACCGCGCCTGGCCCCACTGCCGCTTTTAATGGCCAGAGGAAGGGATTAAAGAACCCCCTTTCGTAACTTGAACAGCAAAGTTCGTTGACTGCCCCTTGTAGGAAATGATGTGGTCCAAGGCTCTTCTCTTTTAGTTTCTTCTCCTTGAATTCCACCTTCTTTGGGCTGGGCCAGGTTGGACTTGGATCTCTCTTCTGCTCTCCCATTTTTAACCCCTTGATTTTAGGCATTGTTTCTGGGCCAAGCCTTGATCTTGCATTTTTACATTCGTGGATATTCCTTCTTGTCAACTTCCAGAGCAGGAGTCTTCTTTTCAGTGTCCTGATGTTTGGAAAACGGACTCTGCTCATGAGAAGCAAACAGCAGAGAGGTAGAAGACAAGGCTGACTGCAGACCTTCCCTCTTCTAGCCTTTGGTCACAATTCTTTTGCCCACAGTTTGCTACCTCTGGCTCCTTGGGCCACACAGACACCCTGCCATCCTGCTCTTTTATATGTGAGAGGCATTCAGGATACTTTCTTTCTTTCTTCTCACATAAGAGGATCCAGTGTGGCAGTTACTTATAGCCTCGTCTCCCTTGCAAACAGCCACTATAGAATCTTGGGCCTTTAGGATTTTCTGTCAGCCATGCTTGGGTGCAAGGGCCAGGCAAAATGAAGAGTTGAAGCATTTAGTGGAGAATAGGAAACAGGCAAGGTGAGGGTACAGGAAAAAAGAGATTTATGTGGATTTTTTGGTTTCTGTGACAAACAATTCAACATACCTATTTTGTATTAACAAAATAGACAATTCTTTTTTTTTTTTTTTGAGACAGAGTCTCTCTCTGTCACCCAGGCTGGAGGGCAGTGGCCGATCTCTGCTAGCTTCAAGCTCTGCCTCCCAGGTTCACACCATTCTCGTGCCTCAGCCTCCCGAGTAGCTGGGATTACAGGTACTCGCCACCATGCCCGGCTAATTTTTTGTATTTTTTTGTAGAGACGGGGTTTCACCGTGTCAGCCAGGATGGTCTCCTGACCTTGGGATCTGCCCACCTCAGCCTCCCAAAGTGCTGGGATTACAGGCGTGTGCCACTGCGCCTGGCCCAATATTTTTTATGTAGCTAGATAGTCCAGAACTTCCATGACTTCTGTACACTGAAGAAAATAATCATAATGTATTTTTTCCATTTTGTTTTATACCGTATTACCTCATTTATGTCATTCATTAGTATGTCTGTAGAATGTAAATTGCTTTTGTTTTATTAACTTTATTTTATTTATAAGAGTGAGACAGAATTTCACTCTTTTGCCCAGGCTGGAGTGCAGTGGCACGGTCTTGGCTCACTGCAACCTCTGCCTCCTTGGTCCAAGTGATTCTCCTGCCTCAGCCTCCCAAGTGGCTGGGATAACGGGTGCCGCCACTATCCCTGGCTAATTTTTGTATTTTTATTAAGGACAAGGTTTCACCATGTTGTCCAGGCTGGTCTCAAACTCCTGACCTCGGTTGATCTTCCTGCCTCAGCCTCGCAAAGTGCTGGGATTACAGGTGTGAGCCACCGTGCGTGGCCTGTAGATTGCTTTTAAATCCTCTGGTTTTTCTACATGTTTTTTCCTTGTCATATTTTTAAGGAATACAAGATTGTAAGACGTACTGCATGTTTTTCTCATGATGGTTGTTTATTTTGAAACATCATGAACTATGGTGACCTGATGGGTTTTGTGGAGGAAATTAAAGAGGGGTCTGTGAAAAAGGCACTGTTGTGAGTTGTGCTGTGTGCCCAAGCATAAGGAACAGATGTCTGCAGTGAGCCCAAGTTGACTTGGATTGCCTTGGTTTTCATTTTCCTAGTTAGTGCTTTTCTCACTAACTTCTCTTGTAACTGTGATAAAATGAGTTAGGGCTGAGTTGCTAATGATTTACGTGTGGACTAAGCTGGTTTGGGGGAGGAAATCTATGGATATAATCATTTTCCTTGGTGGTAAGCTTTTAGAGATACCTGCATTGATCATTTGTTTGTTTATTTGTTTGTTTGTTTTTAGATGGAGTCTCGCTCTGTCGCCTAGGCTGGAGGGCAGTGGCACGATCTCGGCTCACTGCATCATGCGCCTCCCTGGTTCAAGCAATTCTGATGCCTGAGCCTCCCAAGTACGTAGGATTAAAGGTGCACACCACCACACCCAGCTAATTTTTGTATTCTTAGTAGAGATGGGGTTTGACCACGTTGGCCAGGCTGGTCTCCAACTCCTGACCTCCGGTGATCTTCCCACCTCAGCCTCGCAAAGTGCTGTGATTACAGGCGTGAGCCACCGCACCCCGCCTGGAAGCCTCATTTCTAAAACATGTTGGTTTCTTTTTTTTTTCTTTTGAAGCGGAGTTTCGCTCTTATTGCCCAGACTGGAGTGCAATGGCGCGATCTTGGCTCACCACAACCTTTGCCTCTCGGGTTCAAGCGATTCTCCTGCCTCAGCCTCCCAAATAGCTGGGATTACACGCATGTGCCACCATGCCCGGCTAATTTGGTATTTTTAGTAGAGATGGGGTTTCTCCTTGTTGGTCAGGCTTGTCTCACACTCCTGACCTCAGGTGATCAGCCCACCTCGGCCTCCCAAAGTGCTTGGTTTACAGGCGTAAGCCACCGTGCCCGGCCTCTAAAACATATTTCCAAAATGTTTATATTACAAACTGTCAAGTGTCATCTATGTTCAAAAAGGCAACAGAAAAAAGTGACTGAATATGACTTCTGATAAGCTGCTTTTCCTAGGGATATGTAATGTAGCCTGTTTCCTTTCTCGTCCATTGATCTAAGCATTTGCTAAAATCAACTTCATTTTGCCCTACTCTGAATACATTTCACTCTGTTGTCCTTCTGCTTTTTTTTTTCAAATTTAAAATATATTTTTTTCTTTTAAAATCATTTTGTCATTCTCCAGGGCATATCCCAAGGGGAAAAGTAGGGGACCATGTCTTTCTGCTTAAATTAAAATACCAAATTACTTACCCTAGAATACCTGCCTCCTTAGAACCCAGTACTCTCCATTTTCTCTTTCCACCTAGTTTAGATAGGAATGTCCAAAACGTGAATACTACTTTTCTTTTTTGTTTGTTTGTTTGTTTGTTTGTTTGTGACAGGGTCTCACTTTGTCACCCAGGCTGAAGTCCAGTGGTATGAACATGGCTCACTGCAGTCTCAGCCTCCTGGGCTCAAGCAGTCCTCTGATCCTCCCACCTCAGCCTCCTGCGTAGCTGGCATACACCCAACCCTGGCTGAGTCTTAAAAAGTTTTTGTAGAGATGGGGTCTTGCCATGTTGCCCAGACTGGCCGGGAACTCCTAGGCCCAAAGCGATCCTCCCACCTCAGGCTCCCAAAGCATTGATATTGCAGGCATGAGCTACCACGCCCAACTGAATATTAAAAACATCACTACACATCAGTAAACATCACTAAATTTAAAATAGGAAAGTTGAAATATTAGTGAGGGAGATGGCCTCCCAAAGTGCTGAGATTACAGGTATGAGCCACCGTGCCTGGCTGAATATTATTTAAAACATCACTAAGCATCACTAAATTTAAAATACGAAAGTTGAAATATTAGTAGAGGGAGACTATTACACATGAAACATCTCAGAATATATTGCTAGTTTTCTAGACCACTTTGGTTTTTTCTCTGTTTCTGTTGAAATGAACACTCTCAGAAAGTCTCTGATTTCATTTTCTATACATATACCCTTTAAGACTCAGTATTAGAAAAGAAAAGGGCCAGGGGGAATAACCAGTCTATTATCCTAGTGTAATAGATGAGGAAACAGATTTTATGAGAGAATAAACGTTATCTAAAGTCACACAGCTAGTAAATGTCAAAGCCAAAACTGAAATGAGGTCTCTGGATTTCTACTTCAATAATTTCCCTGTTATTCCAAGCTGTTTGGGAATATAGGGGGGAAGAAACCTAAATTTAGTGGCAAAGAAATCTCATGAAAACCTTTTTAAGAAGTTTCTTTCTTTACCTGACATGGTCAGAGAAGAAGAAACATCAACTGCAGATAGAAGGGAAGAAGAGACGATACTAGCGGATGTCTGGGTGGCTGAAGCCAACCAGTGCATGTGTCCAGTATGAAGGCCACTGGTCACTGGTTACTGGTCACTGGCCCCTTGTGATGATACAAATTTACAGGCCACGCCCAGGAAACCCCAAGATGCTACCAGGTGGCGGTCGGTTTGGTGGGAGAATGATGTCACAAAGCAGGCAGTTTAAAGGTCTGCGATAGCCAATAGGGAGGTCAGATTCCCCACAAGACAGGATTGGCTGGCAGAGGTGGTAGGAAAGGTGTAACAGCACTAAGTGGCTGAGCTCTGGGGAGGTGAAATCTGCAAGACAGACATGATAGTCCCACTTTCCCCCAGGCTCTCATGTTAGGGAGATCATCTCAATGTTTCTCATAAATGTTCACTAATATAATTAACATTTATATTTTATATGTTACATTTCATAATATGTAATAGTATGCATTTATAATTATACAGTACATACACAATATCCTTGGGGAGAAAGGAAGGGGATGTCTAAGTTGAGCAATTACAGTTGTTCTAAAACTATTTCAGTGAATCTGATTAATGAATTTACTGCTGCTTTTTAATTTTATTGTATTTTTTGTGAGATGGAGTCTGGCTCTGTCACCCAGGCTGGAGTGCAGTGGCGTGATCTTGGCTCACTGCAAGCACCACCTCCCAGGTTCACGCTATTCTACTGCCTCAGCCTCCTGAGTAGCTGGGACTACAGGCGCCTGCCACTTCAGCCGGCTAATTTTTTGTATTTTTAGTAGGGACAGGGTTTCACCCTGTTAGCCAGGATGGTCTCGATCACCTGACCTCGTGATCCGCCCGCATCTGCCTCCCAGAGTGCTGGGATTACAGGCGGGAGCCACCGCGCCTGGCCCCACTGCCGCTTTTAATGGCCAGAGGAAGGGATTAAAGAACCCCCTTTTGTAACTTGAACAGCAAAGTTCCTTGACTGCCCCTTGTAGGAAATGATGTGGTCCAAGGCTCTTCTCTTTTAGTTTCTTCTCCTTGAATTCCACCTTCTTTGGGCTGGGCCAGGTTGGACTTGGATCTCTCTTCTGCTCTCCCTTTTTTAACCCCTTGATTTTAGGCATTGTTTCTGGGCCAAGCCTTGATCTTGCATTTTTACATTCGTGAATATTCCTTCTTGTCAACTTCCAGAGCAGGAGTCTTCTTTTCAGTGTCCCGATGTGTGGAAAACGGACTCTCCTCATGAGAAGCAAACAGCAGAGAGGTAGAAGACAAGGCTGACTGCAGACCTTCTCTCTTCTAGCCTTTGGTCACAATTCTTTTGCCCACAGTTTGCTACCTCTGGCTCCTTGGGCCACACAGACACCCTGCCATCCTGCTCTTTTATATGTGAGAGGCATTCTGGATACTTTCTTTCTTCTCACATAAGAGGATCCAGTGTGGCAGTTACTTATAGCCTCGTCTCCCTTGCAAACAGCCACTATAGAATCTTGGGCCTTTAGGATTTTCTGTCAGCCATGCTTGGGTGCAAGGGCCAGGCAAAATGAAGAGTTAAAGCATTTAGTGGAGAATAGGAAACAGGCAAGGTGAGGGTACAGGAAAAAAGAGATTTATGTGGATTTTTTGGTTTCTGTGACAAACAATTCAACATACCTATTTTGTATTAACAAAATAGACAATTCTTTTTTTTTTTTTTTTTGAGACAGAGTCTCTCTCTGTCACCCAGGCTGGAGGGCAGTGGCCGATCTCTGCTAGCTTCAAGCTCTGCCTCCCAGGTTCACACCATTCTCGTGCCTCAGCCTCCCGAGTAGCTGGGATTACAGGTACTCGCCACCATGCCCGGCTAATTTTTTGTATTTTTTTGTAGAGACGGGGTTTCACCGTGTCAGCCAGGATGGTCTCCTGACCTTGGGATCTGCCCACCTCAGCCTCCCAAAGTGCTGGGATTACAGGCGTGTGCCACTGCGCCTGGCCCAATATTTTTTATGTAGCTAGATAGTCCAGAACTTCCATGACTTCTGTACACTGAAGAAAATAATCATAATGTATTTTTTCCATTTTGTTTTATACCGTATTACCTCATTTATGTCATTCATTAGTATGTCTGTAGAATGTAAATTGCTTTTGTTTTATTAACTTTATTTTATTTATAAGAGTGAGACAGAATTTCACTCTTTTGCCCAGGCTGGAGTGCAGTGGCACGGTCTTGGCTCACTGCAACCTCTGCCTCCTTGGTCCAAGTGATTCTCCTGCCTCAGCCTCCCAAGTGGCTGGGATAACGGGTGCCGCCACTATCCCTGGCTAATTTTTGTATTTTTATTAAGGACAAGGTTTCACCATGTTGTCCAGGCTGGTCTCAAACTCCTGACCTCGGTTGATCTTCCTGCCTCAGCCTCGCAAAGTGCTGGGATTACAGGTGTGAGCCACCGTGCGTGGCCTGTAGATTGCTTTTAAATCCTCTGGTTTTTCTACATGTTTTTTCCTTGTCATATTTTTAAGGAATACAAGATTGTAAGACGTACTGCATGTTTTTCTCATGATGGTTGTTTATTTTGAAACATCATGAACTATGGTGACCTGATGGGTTTTGTGGAGGAAATTAAAGAGGGGTCTGTGAAAAAGGCACTGTTGTGAGTTGTGCTGTGTGCCCAAGCATAAGGAACAGATGTCTGCAGTGAGCCCAAGTTGACTTGGATTGCCTTGGTTTTCATTTTCCTAGTTAGTGCTTTTCTCACTAACTTCTCTTGTAACTGTGATAAAATGAGTTAGGGCTGAGTTGCTAATGATTTACGTGTGGACTAAGCTGGTTTGGGGGAGGAAATCTATGGATATAATCATTTTCCTTGGTGGTAAGCTTTTAGAGATACCTGCATTGATCATTTGTTTGTTTATTTGTTTGTTTGTTTTTAGATGGAGTCTCGCTCTGTCGCCTAGGCTGGAGGGCAGTGGCACGATCTCGGCTCACTGCATCATGCGCCTCCCTGGTTCAAGCAATTCTGATGCCTGAGCCTCCCAAGTACGTAGGATTAAAGGTGCACACCACCACACCCAGCTAATTTTTGTATTCTTAGTAGAGATGGGGTTTGACCACGTTGGCCAGGCTGGTCTCCAACTCCTGACCTCCGGTGATCTTCCCACCTCAGCCTCGCAAAGTGCTGTGATTACAGGCGTGAGCCACCGCACCCCGCCTGGAAGCCTCATTTCTAAAACATGTTGGTTTCTTTTTTTTTTCTTTTGAAGCGGAGTTTCGCTCTTATTGCCCAGACTGGAGTGCAATGGCGCGATCTTGGCTCACCACAACCTTTGCCTCTCGGGTTCAAGCGATTCTCCTGCCTCAGCCTCCCAAATAGCTGGGATTACACGCATGTGCCACCATGCCCGGCTAATTTGGTATTTTTAGTAGAGATGGGGTTTCTCCTTGTTGGTCAGGCTTGTCTCACACTCCTGACCTCAGGTGATCAGCCCACCTCGGCCTCCCAAAGTGCTTGGTTTACAGGCGTAAGCCACCGTGCCCGGCCTCTAAAACATATTTCCAAAATGTTTATATTACAAACTGTCAAGTGTCATCTATGTTCAAAAAGGCAACAGAAAAAAGTGACTGAATATGACTTCTGATAAGCTGCTTTTCCTAGGGATATGTAATGTAGCCTGTTTCCTTTCTCGTCCATTGATCTAAGCATTTGCTAAAATCAACTTCATTTTGCCCTACTCTGAATACATTTCACTCTGTTGTCCTTCTGCTTTTTTTTTTCAAATTTAAAATATATTTTTTTCTTTTAAAATCATTTTGTCATTCTCCAGGGCATATCCCAAGGGGAAAAGTAGGGGACCATGTCTTTCTGCTTAAATTAAAATACCAAATTACTTACCCTAGAATACCTGCCTCCTTAGAACCCAGTACTCTCCATTTTCTCTTTCCACCTAGTTTAGATAGGAATGTCCAAAACGTGAATACTACTTTTCTTTTTTGTTTGTTTGTTTGTTTGTTTGTTTGTGACAGGGTCTCACTTTGTCACCCAGGCTGAAGTCCAGTGGTATGAACATGGCTCACTGCAGTCTCAGCCTCCTGGGCTCAAGCAGTCCTCTGATCCTCCCACCTCAGCCTCCTGCGTAGCTGGCATACACCCAACCCTGGCTGAGTCTTAAAAAGTTTTTGTAGAGATGGGGTCTTGCCATGTTGCCCAGACTGGCCGGGAACTCCTAGGCCCAAAGCGATCCTCCCACCTCAGGCTCCCAAAGCATTGATATTGCAGGCATGAGCTACCACGCCCAACTGAATATTAAAAACATCACTACACATCAGTAAACATCACTAAATTTAAAATAGGAAAGTTGAAATATTAGTGAGGGAGATGGCCTCCCAAAGTGCTGAGATTACAGGTATGAGCCACCGTGCCTGGCTGAATATTATTTAAAACATCACTAAGCATCACTAAATTTAAAATACGAAAGTTGAAATATTAGTAGAGGGAGACTATTACACATGAAACATCTCAGAATATATTGCTAGTTTTCTAGACCACTTTGGTTTTTTCTCTGTTTCTGTTGAAATGAACACTCTCAGAAAGTCTCTGATTTCATTTTCTATACATATACCCTTTAAGACTCAGTATTAGAAAAGAAAAGGGCCAGGGGGAATAACCAGTCTATTATCCTAGTGTAATAGATGAGGAAACAGATTTTATGAGAGAATAAACGTTATCTAAAGTCACACAGCTAGTAAATGTCAAAGCCAAAACTGAAATGAGGTCTCTGGATTTCTACTTCAATAATTTCCCTGTTATTCCAAGCTGTTTGGGAATATAGGGGGGAAGAAACCTAAATTTAGTGGCAAAGAAATCTCATGAAAACCTTTTTAAGAAGTTTCTTTCTTTACCTGACATGGTCAGAGAAGAAGAAACATCAACTGCAGATAGAAGGGAAGAAGAGACGATACTAGCGGATGTCTGGGTGGCTGAAGCCAACCAGTGCATGTGTCCAGTATGAAGGCCACTGGTCACTGGTTACTGGTCACTGGCCCCTTGTGATGATACAAATTTACAGGCCACGCCCAGGAAACCCCAAGATGCTACCAGGTGGCGGTCGGTTTGGTGGGAGAATGATGTCACAAAGCAGGCAGTTTAAAGGTCTGCGATAGCCAATAGGGAGGTCAGATTCCCCACAAGACAGGATTGGCTGGCAGAGGTGGTAGGAAAGGTGTAACAGCACTAAGTGGCTGAGCTCTGGGGAGGTGAAATCTGCAAGACAGACATGATAGTCCCACTTTCCCCCAGGCTCTCATGTTAGGGAGATCATCTCAATGTTTCTCATAAATGTTCACTAATATAATTAACATTTATATTTTATATGTTACATTTCATAATATGTAATAGTATGCATTTATAATTATACAGTACATACACAATATCCTTGGGGAGAAAGGAAGGGGATGTCTAAGTTGAGCAATTACAGTTGTTCTAAAACTATTTCAGTGAATCTGATTAATGAATTTACTGCTGCTTTTTAATTTTATTGTATTTTTTGTGAGATGGAGTCTGGCTCTGTCACCCAGGCTGGAGTGCAGTGGCGTGATCTTGGCTCACTGCAAGCACCACCTCCCAGGTTCACGCTATTCTACTGCCTCAGCCTCCTGAGTAGCTGGGACTACAGGCGCCTGCCACTTCAGCCGGCTAATTTTTTGTATTTTTAGTAGGGACAGGGTTTCACCCTGTTAGCCAGGATGGTCTCGATCACCTGACCTCGTGATCCGCCCGCATCTGCCTCCCAGAGTGCTGGGATTACAGGCGGGAGCCACCGCGCCTGGCCCCACTGCCGCTTTTAATGGCCAGAGGAAGGGATTAAAGAACCCCCTTTCGTAACTTGAACAGCAAAGTTCGTTGACTGCCCCTTGTAGGAAATGATGTGGTCCAAGGCTCTTCTCTTTTAGTTTCTTCTCCTTGAATTCCACCTTCTTTGGGCTGGGCCAGGTTGGACTTGGATCTCTCTTCTGCTCTCCCTTTTTTAACCCCTTGATTTTAGGCATTGTTTCTGGGCCAAGCCTTGATCTTGCATTTTTACATTCGTGAATATTCCTTCTTGTCAACTTCCAGAGCAGGAGTCTTCTTTTCAGTGTCCCGATGTGTGGAAAACGGACTCTCCTCATGAGAAGCAAACAGCAGAGAGGTAGAAGACAAGGCTGACTGCAGACCTTCTCTCTTCTAGCCTTTGGTCACAATTCTTTTGCCCACAGTTTGCTACCTCTGGCTCCTTGGGCCACACAGACACCCTGCCATCCTGCTCTTTTATATGTGAGAGGCATTCTGGATACTTTCTTTCTTCTCACATAAGAGGATCCAGTGTGGCAGTTACTTATAGCCTCGTCTCCCTTGCAAACAGCCACTATAGAATCTTGGGCCTTTAGGATTTTCTGTCAGCCATGCTTGGGTGCAAGGGCCAGGCAAAATGAAGAGTTAAAGCATTTAGTGGAGAATAGGAAACAGGCAAGGTGAGGGTACAGGAAAAAAGAGATTTATGTGGATTTTTTGGTTTCTGTGACAAACAATTCAACATACCTATTTTGTATTAACAAAATAGACAATTCTTTTTTTTTTTTTTTTGAGACAGAGTCTCTCTCTGTCACCCAGGCTGGAGGGCAGTGGCCGATCTCTGCTAGCTTCAAGCTCTGCCTCCCAGGTTCACACCATTCTCGTGCCTCAGCCTCCCGAGTAGCTGGGATTACAGGTACTCGCCACCATGCCCGGCTAATTTTTTGTATTTTTTTGTAGAGACGGGGTTTCACCGTGTCAGCCAGGATGGTCTCCTGACCTTGGGATCTGCCCACCTCAGCCTCCCAAAGTGCTGGGATTACAGGCGTGTGCCACTGCGCCTGGCCCAATATTTTTTATGTAGCTAGATAGTCCAGAACTTCCATGACTTCTGTACACTGAAGAAAATAATCATAATGTATTTTTTCCATTTTGTTTTATACCGTATTACCTCATTTATGTCATTCATTAGTATGTCTGTAGAATGTAAATTGCTTTTGTTTTATTAACTTTATTTTATTTATAAGAGTGAGACAGAATTTCACTCTTTTGCCCAGGCTGGAGTGCAGTGGCACGGTCTTGGCTCACTGCAACCTCTGCCTCCTTGGTCCAAGTGATTCTCCTGCCTCAGCCTCCCAAGTGGCTGGGATAACGGGTGCCGCCACTATCCCTGGCTAATTTTTGTATTTTTATTAAGGACAAGGTTTCACCATGTTGTCCAGGCTGGTCTCAAACTCCTGACCTCGGTTGATCTTCCTGCCTCAGCCTCGCAAAGTGCTGGGATTACAGGTGTGAGCCACCGTGCGTGGCCTGTAGATTGCTTTTAAATCCTCTGGTTTTTCTACATGTTTTTTCCTTGTCATATTTTTAAGGAATACAAGATTGTAAGACGTACTGCATGTTTTTCTCATGATGGTTGTTTATTTTGAAACATCATGAACTATGGTGACCTGATGGGTTTTGTGGAGGAAATTAAAGAGGGGTCTGTGAAAAAGGCACTGTTGTGAGTTGTGCTGTGTGCCCAAGCATAAGGAACAGATGTCTGCAGTGAGCCCAAGTTGACTTGGATTGCCTTGGTTTTCATTTTCCTAGTTAGTGCTTTTCTCACTAACTTCTCTTGTAACTGTGATAAAATGAGTTAGGGCTGAGTTGCTAATGATTTACGTGTGGACTAAGCTGGTTTGGGGGAGGAAATCTATGGATATAATCATTTTCCTTGGTGGTAAGCTTTTAGAGATACCTGCATTGATCATTTGTTTGTTTATTTGTTTGTTTGTTTTTAGATGGAGTCTCGCTCTGTCGCCTAGGCTGGAGGGCAGTGGCACGATCTCGGCTCACTGCATCATGCGCCTCCCTGGTTCAAGCAATTCTGATGCCTGAGCCTCCCAAGTACGTAGGATTAAAGGTGCACACCACCACACCCAGCTAATTTTTGTATTCTTAGTAGAGATGGGGTTTGACCACGTTGGCCAGGCTGGTCTCCAACTCCTGACCTCCGGTGATCTTCCCACCTCAGCCTCGCAAAGTGCTGTGATTACAGGCGTGAGCCACCGCACCCCGCCTGGAAGCCTCATTTCTAAAACATGTTGGTTTCTTTTTTTTTTCTTTTGAAGCGGAGTTTCGCTCTTATTGCCCAGACTGGAGTGCAATGGCGCGATCTTGGCTCACCACAACCTTTGCCTCTCGGGTTCAAGCGATTCTCCTGCCTCAGCCTCCCAAATAGCTGGGATTACACGCATGTGCCACCATGCCCGGCTAATTTGGTATTTTTAGTAGAGATGGGGTTTCTCCTTGTTGGTCAGGCTTGTCTCACACTCCTGACCTCAGGTGATCAGCCCACCTCGGCCTCCCAAAGTGCTTGGTTTACAGGCGTAAGCCACCGTGCCCGGCCTCTAAAACATATTTCCAAAATGTTTATATTACAAACTGTCAAGTGTCATCTATGTTCAAAAAGGCAACAGAAAAAAGTGACTGAATATGACTTCTGATAAGCTGCTTTTCCTAGGGATATGTAATGTAGCCTGTTTCCTTTCTCGTCCATTGATCTAAGCATTTGCTAAAATCAACTTCATTTTGCCCTACTCTGAATACATTTCACTCTGTTGTCCTTCTGCTTTTTTTTTTCAAATTTAAAATATATTTTTTTCTTTTAAAATCATTTTGTCATTCTCCAGGGCATATCCCAAGGGGAAAAGTAGGGGACCATGTCTTTCTGCTTAAATTAAAATACCAAATTACTTACCCTAGAATACCTGCCTCCTTAGAACCCAGTACTCTCCATTTTCTCTTTCCACCTAGTTTAGATAGGAATGTCCAAAACGTGAATACTACTTTTCTTTTTTGTTTGTTTGTTTGTTTGTTTGTTTGTGACAGGGTCTCACTTTGTCACCCAGGCTGAAGTCCAGTGGTATGAACATGGCTCACTGCAGTCTCAGCCTCCTGGGCTCAAGCAGTCCTCTGATCCTCCCACCTCAGCCTCCTGCGTAGCTGGCATACACCCAACCCTGGCTGAGTCTTAAAAAGTTTTTGTAGAGATGGGGTCTTGCCATGTTGCCCAGACTGGCCGGGAACTCCTAGGCCCAAAGCGATCCTCCCACCTCAGGCTCCCAAAGCATTGATATTGCAGGCATGAGCTACCACGCCCAACTGAATATTAAAAACATCACTACACATCAGTAAACATCACTAAATTTAAAATAGGAAAGTTGAAATATTAGTGAGGGAGATGGCCTCCCAAAGTGCTGAGATTACAGGTATGAGCCACCGTGCCTGGCTGAATATTATTTAAAACATCACTAAGCATCACTAAATTTAAAATACGAAAGTTGAAATATTAGTAGAGGGAGACTATTACACATGAAACATCTCAGAATATATTGCTAGTTTTCTAGACCACTTTGGTTTTTTCTCTGTTTCTGTTGAAATGAACACTCTCAGAAAGTCTCTGATTTCATTTTCTATACATATACCCTTTAAGACTCAGTATTAGAAAAGAAAAGGGCCAGGGGGAATAACCAGTCTATTATCCTAGTGTAATAGATGAGGAAACAGATTTTATGAGAGAATAAACGTTATCTAAAGTCACACAGCTAGTAAATGTCAAAGCCAAAACTGAAATGAGGTCTCTGGATTTCTACTTCAATAATTTCCCTGTTATTCCAAGCTGTTTGGGAATATAGGGGGGAAGAAACCTAAATTTAGTGGCAAAGAAATCTCATGAAAACCTTTTTAAGAAGTTTCTTTCTTTACCTGACATGGTCAGAGAAGAAGAAACATCAACTGCAGATAGAAGGGAAGAAGAGACGATACTAGCGGATGTCTGGGTGGCTGAAGCCAACCAGTGCATGTGTCCAGTATGAAGGCCACTGGTCACTGGTTACTGGTCACTGGCCCCTTGTGATGATACAAATTTACAGGCCACGCCCAGGAAACCCCAAGATGCTACCAGGTGGCGGTCGGTTTGGTGGGAGAATGATGTCACAAAGCAGGCAGTTTAAAGGTCTGCGATAGCCAATAGGGAGGTCAGATTCCCCACAAGACAGGATTGGCTGGCAGAGGTGGTAGGAAAGGTGTAACAGCACTAAGTGGCTGAGCTCTGGGGAGGTGAAATCTGCAAGACAGACATGATAGTCCCACTTTCCCCCAGGCTCTCATGTTAGGGAGATCATCTCAATGTTTCTCATAAATGTTCACTAATATAATTAACATTTATATTTTATATGTTACATTTCATAATATGTAATAGTATGCATTTATAATTATACAGTACATACACAATATCCTTGGGGAGAAAGGAAGGGGATGTCTAAGTTGAGCAATTACAGTTGTTCTAAAACTATTTCAGTGAATCTGATTAATGAATTTACTGCTGCTTTTTAATTTTATTGTATTTTTTGTGAGATGGAGTCTGGCTCTGTCACCCAGGCTGGAGTGCAGTGGCGTGATCTTGGCTCACTGCAAGCACCACCTCCCAGGTTCACGCTATTCTACTGCCTCAGCCTCCTGAGTAGCTGGGACTACAGGCGCCTGCCACTTCAGCCGGCTAATTTTTTGTATTTTTAGTAGGGACAGGGTTTCACCCTGTTAGCCAGGATGGTCTCGATCACCTGACCTCGTGATCCGCCCGCATCTGCCTCCCAGAGTGCTGGGATTACAGGCGGGAGCCACCGCGCCTGGCCCCACTGCCGCTTTTAATGGCCAGAGGAAGGGATTAAAGAACCCCCTTTCGTAACTTGAACAGCAAAGTTCGTTGACTGCCCCTTGTAGGAAATGATGTGGTCCAAGGCTCTTCTCTTTTAGTTTCTTCTCCTTGAATTCCACCTTCTTTGGGCTGGGCCAGGTTGGACTTGGATCTCTCTTCTGCTCTCCCTTTTTTAACCCCTTGATTTTAGGCATTGTTTCTGGGCCAAGCCTTGATCTTGCATTTTTACATTCGTGAATATTCCTTCTTGTCAACTTCCAGAGCAGGAGTCTTCTTTTCAGTGTCCCGATGTGTGGAAAACGGACTCTCCTCATGAGAAGCAAACAGCAGAGAGGTAGAAGACAAGGCTGACTGCAGACCTTCTCTCTTCTAGCCTTTGGTCACAATTCTTTTGCCCACAGTTTGCTACCTCTGGCTCCTTGGGCCACACAGACACCCTGCCATCCTGCTCTTTTATATGTGAGAGGCATTCTGGATACTTTCTTTCTTCTCACATAAGAGGATCCAGTGTGGCAGTTACTTATAGCCTCGTCTCCCTTGCAAACAGCCACTATAGAATCTTGGGCCTTTAGGATTTTCTGTCAGCCATGCTTGGGTGCAAGGGCCAGGCAAAATGAAGAGTTGAAGCATTTAGTGGAGAATAGGAAACAGGCAAGGTGAGGGTACAGGAAAAAAGAGATTTATGTGGATTTTTTGGTTTCTGTGACAAACAATTCAACATACCTATTTTGTATTAACAAAATAGACAATTCTTTTTTTTTTTTTTTTTGAGACAGAGTCTCTCTCTGTCACCCAGGCTGGAGGGCAGTGGCCGATCTCTGCTAGCTTCAAGCTCTGCCTCCCAGGTTCACACCATTCTCGTGCCTCAGCCTCCCGAGTAGCTGGGATTACAGGTACTCGCCACCATGCCCGGCTAATTTTTTGTATTTTTTTGTAGAGACGGGGTTTCACCGTGTCAGCCAGGATGGTCTCCTGACCTTGGGATCTGCCCACCTCAGCCTCCCAAAGTGCTGGGATTACAGGCGTGTGCCACTGCGCCTGGCCCAATATTTTTTATGTAGCTAGATAGTCCAGAACTTCCATGACTTCTGTACACTGAAGAAAATAATCATAATGTATTTTTTCCATTTTGTTTTATACCGTATTACCTCATTTATGTCATTCATTAGTATGTCTGTAGAATGTAAATTGCTTTTGTTTTATTAACTTTATTTTATTTATAAGAGTGAGACAGAATTTCACTCTTTTGCCCAGGCTGGAGTGCAGTGGCACGGTCTTGGCTCACTGCAACCTCTGCCTCCTTGGTCCAAGTGATTCTCCTGCCTCAGCCTCCCAAGTGGCTGGGATAACGGGTGCCGCCACTATCCCTGGCTAATTTTTGTATTTTTATTAAGGACAAGGTTTCACCATGTTGTCCAGGCTGGTCTCAAACTCCTGACCTCGGTTGATCTTCCTGCCTCAGCCTCGCAAAGTGCTGGGATTACAGGTGTGAGCCACCGTGCGTGGCCTGTAGATTGCTTTTAAATCCTCTGGTTTTTCTACATGTTTTTTCCTTGTCATATTTTTAAGGAATACAAGATTGTAAGACATACTGCATGTTTTTCTCATGATGGTTGTTTATTTTGAAACATCATGAACTATGGTGACCTGATGGGTTTTGTGGAGGAAATTAAAGAGGGGTCTGTGAAAAAGGCACTGTTGTGAGTTGTGCTGTGTGCCCAAGCATAAGGAACAGATGTCTGCAGTGAGCCCAAGTTGACTTGGATTGCCTTGGTTTTCATTTTCCTAGTTAGTGCTTTTCTCACTAACTTCTCTTGTAACTGTGATAAAATGAGTTAGGGCTGAGTTGCTAATGATTTACGTGTGGACTAAGCTGGTTTGGGGGAGGAAATCTATGGATATAATCATTTTCCTTGGTGGTAAGCTTTTAGAGATACCTGCATTGATCATTTGTTTGTTTATTTGTTTGTTTGTTTTTAGATGGAGTCTCGCTCTGTCGCCTAGGCTGGAGGGCAGTGGCACGATCTCGGCTCACTGCATCATGCGCCTCCCTGGTTCAAGCAATTCTGATGCCTGAGCCTCCCAAGTAGGAGGATTACAGGTGCACGCCACCACACCCAGCTAATTCTTATATTTTCAGGAGAAATGGGGTTTCACCATGTTGCCTAGGCTGGTCTCCAACTTCTGACCTCAGGCAATCCGCCTGCGTCAGCCTTGCAAAGTGCTGTGATTACAGGTGTGAGCCACCGCACCCTGCCTGGAAGCCTCATTTCTAAAACATATTTCTCTCTTTCTTTTTTTTTCTTTTTGAAGCGGAGTTTCCCTCTTATTGCCCAGGCTGGAGTGCAATGGCGCGATCTTGGCTCACCACAACCTTTGCCTCTCGGGTTCAAGTGATTGTCCTGCCTCAGCCTCCCAAGTAGCTGGGATTACACGCATGTGCCACCATGCCCGGCTAATTTGGTATTTTTAGTAGAGGTGGGGTTTCTCCTTGTTGGTCAGGCTTGTCTCACACTCCTGACCTCAGGTGATCAGCCCACCTCGGCCTCCCAAAGTGCTGGGATTACAGGTGTAAGCCACCGAGCCTGGCCTCTAAAACATATTTCCAAAATGTTTATATTACAAACTGTCAAGTGTCATCTATGTTCAAAAAGGCAACAGAAAAAAGTGACTGAATATGACTTCTGATAAGCTGCTTTTCCTAGGGATATGTAATGTAGCCTGTTTCCTTCCTCGTCCATTGATCTAAGCATTTGCTAAAATCAACTTCATTTTGCCCTACTCTGAATACATTTCACTCTGTTGTCCTTCTGCTTTTTTTTTTCAAATTTAAAATATATTTTTTTCTTTTAAAATCATTTTGTCATTCTCCAGGGCATATCCCAAGGGGAAAAGTAGGGGACCATGTCTTTCTGCTTAAATTAAAATACCAAATTACTTACCCTAGAATACCTGCCTCCTTAGAACCCAGTACTCTCCATTTTCTCTTTCCACCTAGTTTAGATAGGAATGTCCAAAACGTGAATACTACTTTTCTTTTTTGTTTGTTTGTTTGTTTGTTTGTTTGTGACAGGGTCTCACTTTGTCACCCAGGCTGAAGTCCAGTGGTATGAACATGGCTCACTGCAGTCTCAGCCTCCTGGGCTCAAGCAGTCCTCTGATCCTCCCACCTCAGCCTCCTGCGTAGCTGGCATACACCCAACCCTGGCTGAGTCTTAAAAAGTTTTTGTAGAGATGGGGTCTTGCCATGTTGCCCAGACTGGCCGGGAACTCCTAGGCCCAAAGCGATCCTCCCACCTCAGGCTCCCAAAGCATTGACATTGCAGGCATGAGCTACCACGCCCAACTGAATATTAAAAACATCACTACACATCAGTAAACATCACTAAATTTAAAATAGGAAAGTTGAAATATTAGTGAGGGAGATGGCCTCCCAAAGTGCTGAGATTACAGGTGTGAGCCACCGTGCCTGGCTGAATATTATTTAAAACATCACTAAACATCACTAAATTTAAAATACGAAAGTTGAAATATTAGTGGAGGGAGGCTATTACACATGAAACATCTCAGAATATATTGCTAGTTTTCTAGACCACTTTGGTTTTTTCTCTGTTTCTGTTGAAATGAACACTCTCAGAAAGTCTCTGATTTCATTTTCTATACGTATACCCTTTAAGACTCAGTATTAGAAAAGAAAAGGGCCAGGGGGAATAACCAGTCTATTATCCTAGTGTAATAGATGAGGAAACAGATTTTGTGAGAGAATAAAAGTTATCTAAAGTCACACAGCTAGTAAATGTCAAAGCCAAAACTGAAATGAGGTCTCTGGATTTCTACTTCAATACTTTCCCTGTTATTCCAAGCTGTTTGGGAATATAGGGGGAAAGAAATCTAAATTTAGTGGCAAAGAAATCTCATGAAAACCTTTTTAAAAAGTTTCTCTCTTTACCTGACATGGTCAGAGAAGAAGAAACATCAACTGCAGATAGAAGGGAAGAAGAGACGATACTAGCGGATGTCTGGGTGGCTGAAGCCAACCAGTGCATGTGTCCAGTATGAAGGCCACTGGTCACTGGTTACTGGTCACTGGCCCCTTGTGATGATACAAATTTACAGGCCACGCCCAGGAAACCCCAAGATGCTACCAGGTGGTGGTCGGTTTGGTGGGAGAATGATGTCACAAAGCAGGCAGTTTAAAGGTCTGCGATAGCCAATAGGGAGGTCAGATTCCCCACAAGACAGGATTGGCTGGCAGAGGTGGTAGGAAAGGTGTAACAGCACTAAGTGGCTGAGCTCTGGGGAGGTGAAATCTGCAAGACAGACATGATAGTCCCACTTTCCCCCAGGCTCTCATGTTAGGGAGATCATCTCAATGTTTCTCATAAATGTTCACTAATATAATTAACTAACATTTATATTTTATATGTTACATTTCATAATATGTAATAGTATGCATTTATAATTATATAGTACATACACAATATCCTTGGGGAGAAAGGAAAGGGATGTTTAAGTTGAGCAATTACAGTTGTTCTAAAACTATTTCAGTGAATCTGATTAATGAATTTACTGCTGCTTTTTAATTTTATTGTATTTTTTGTGAGATGGAGTCTGGCTCTGTCGCCCAGGCTGGAGTGCAGTGGCGTGACCTCGGCTCACTGCAAGCTCCACCTCCCAGGTTCATGCCATTCTCCTGACTCAGCCTCCTGAGTCCTGCCACTTCGCCTGGCTAATTTTTTGTATTTTTGGTAGAGACGGGGTTTCACCCTGTTAGCCAGGATGATCTCGATCACCTGACCTCGTGATCGGTCTTCCCCTGCCTCCCAAAGTGCTGGGATTACAGGCGGGAGCCACGGCGCCCGGCCCTGCTGCCGCTTTTAAGGGCCAAAGAAGGGATTAAAGAGCCTTCTTTTGTAACTTGGTTGAACGGCAAAGTTCGTTGACTGCCCATTGTAGGAAAGGATGTGGTCCAAGGCTCTTCTCTTTTAGTTTCTTCTCCTTGAATCCTACCTTCTTTGGGCTGGGCCAGGTTGGACTTGGATCTCTCTTCTGCTCTCCTTTTTTTAACCCCTTGATTTTAGGCATCGTTTCTGGGCCAAGCCTTGATCTTGCATTTTTACATTTGTGGATATTCCTTCTTGTCAACTTCCAGAGCAGGAGTCTTCTTTTCAGTGTCCGGATGTTTGGAATACGGACTCTGCTTATGAGAAGCAAACACCAGAGAGGTAGAAGACAAGGCTGACTGCAGACCTTCCCTCTTCTAGCCTTTGGTCACATTTCTTTTGCCCATGGTTTGCTACCTCTGGCTCCTTGGGCCACACAGACACCCTGCCATCCTGCTCTTTTATACGTGAGAAGCATTCAGGATACTTTCTTTCTTCTCACATAAGGGGATCCAGTATGGCAGTTACTTTTAGCCTCCTCTCTCTTGCAAACAGCCACTATAGAATCTTGGGCCTTTGGGATATCCTGTCAGCCATGCTTGGGTGCAAGGGCTAGGCAAAATGAAGAATTTAAGCATTTAGTGGAGAATAGGAAACAGGCAAGTTGAGGGTACAGGGAAAAAGAGATTTGTGTGGATTTTTTGGTTTATGTGACAAACAATTCGACACACTTATTTTGTATTAATAGAACATAGAATTTAATATTTTTTATGTAGCTAGTCCAGAACTTCCATTACTTCTGTACACTGAAGAAAATAATCATAATATTCTTTTTCCATTATGTTTTATGTCATATTACCTCATTTATGTTATTCATTAGTATGTCTGGTTACTTTCTAGGAACCCTATTCCGCCTAGGTCTGGATTTTCTTGTGTCAACTATAACTGAGTTTGTTCTCACCCCAATGTTGTGTCTTTTAGCAAATTGAAAGTGTAAGCCCAATACAGCTTTTCTAGCTTCTGAAAGATTTATGTCACGTTTTGTATCTTGTCATGTCTATAGACATTTGTAACATTTGTAGTTTTGGGCTACTATACACCTATTGGAATTTTTCATGCATTTCAGAAAAACATTGTATTATTTATTTATTTATTTCGTGATACAGAGTCTCGCTCTGTTGCCCAGGCTGGAGTGCAATGGCACAATCTTGGCTCACTGCAACCTCCGCCTCCCATGTTCAAGCCATTCTCCTGCCTCAGCCTCCCAAGTACCCTGGACTACAGGTATGAGCCACCACGCCCAGCTAATTTCTGTATTTTTAGTAGAGATAGGATTTTACCATGTTGGCCAGGTTGATCTCTAACTCCTGACCTCAAGTGACCTGCCCGCCTCGGCCTCCCAAAGTGCTGGAATTACAGGCATGAGCCACCATGCCCGGCCACAATATTTTACAATTTAATGTCAAATTTGAATGTGGGCTGGGCGCAGGGGCTCACGCCTGTCATCCCAGCACTTTGGGAGGCCGAAGAGAGCAGATGACTTGAGGTCAGGAGTTCAAGACCAGCCTGGCCAACTTGGTGAAACCTTGTCTTTACTAAAAATACAAAAATTAGCCGGGCATGGTGGCACACGCCTGTAGTCGCAGCTACTCAAGAGGCTGAGGCAGGAGAATTGCTTGAACCCAGGAGGCAGAGGTTGCAGTGAGCTGAGATCGCGCCACTGCACTCTAGCCTGGGTGACAGAGAGAGACTCCATCTCAACAACAACAACAACAAATAATTAAATGTTCCTAATTGTAGGTTTGTTATGTTCTGCTATCCTGTCTTTTTCTTTTTCCAATGAACAATTTATGAATATTGACACATTTTTAATGATGTGGAAATTTTCAGAATTGTAAATGTTTATGTATTTAAAACTGGTTGGAAAAGTACTGTCTCAAAAATGTTAATAAAGCTAGCAGTCTAGCTTTATTAATATTCATTTATTCAATAGCTCTGACCTTTCTTATCCTTGGTTTACCCAGCTCTGAAATGGTTGCAAAGATTACTAAAAATATATGTAAGTTACTTTCATAAATTAGAAACTAAGAAGTAAAAATTACTTTCAAAAATCTGCCATTGGCCAGGTGCGGTGGCTCAAGCCTGTAATCCCAGCACTTTCGGAGGTCGAGGAGTGCTGATCATGAGGTCAAGACATCGAGACCATCCTGGCCAACATGGAGAAACCCTGTCTCTACTAAAATACAAAAAATTGGCTGGGAGTCGTGGCATGCACCTGTAGTCCCAGCTACTCAGGAGGTTGAGGCAGGGAGAATTGCTTGAACCCGGGAGGCGGAGGTTGCAGTGAGCTGAGATGGCACCACTGCACTCCAGCCTGGTGGCAGAGTGAGACTGGGTCTCAAAAAAAAAAAAAAAAAGTCTGCAATCATAATTACTTACAGTTTAATCTGGAATTTAGTACTCTATTCTATTTTCAAAGCTGCTATAGGGTATGCTGTCCTTTGTAGTTCCACTTTTAGCAGAATTGAACGTTTTTCTAACGGGTACAGATCTTTATGCTTGAGACTGTGTGGAAACCTTGGACTTGAGCTCCACTCTCAGTTATTTTTTGTATTTGCTAAAACTTAAATACATTCTGTCCACCTCTAGCATGATACCTGGTATGTGATAGGAACCCAATAAAAGTTTGGCTTTGATGGGAGTGTATGTTTCTACATTATTTTTGGAGGGTAATTAGGTAGTATCTTTCCAAATTTTAAGTTTGTATGTGTTTCATTCCAGACATTCTACTTCTAGGAATTTAGATATAGTTGTATATATGTATAAGGATGTTCACATTGCAGCATTGTCTGTAACAAGATTTGAAAAGAACCTGAAAACAACTAAAGGTCCATTAATATTGAACTGGCTAAATACGTTATGGTACTTTTAATTATGTTACTCATAAGCAAGTAAATTGCCTATAGCCATTAAAAATAGAATCTATGTATGCATAAATTGACTGGGATAATCAGTGTTTAAGGTATACTGTAGAATATGTACAGTTACTCCTTTTGTATAAAAATAGAGGATATACATATATGTGAAAGTAAATATGTATACAAAATATGCAAAATGTGAATGTAAGCGCTGGTAAATATCTAGAAGAACACACAAGGAACCGGGGCGTGGGGCGGATCGGGCAGAGGGACTTCCCTGTGCCTCACTGTTTGAATTCTGAAGGGTGCATACACGCCCTTATTGACCTGTGCTACTGGCCTCTGGCTAAAGAGGGCGCTGTAGCCACCAAAGTCCTGTTTACAGATCAGGAGTCTCAGTAAGCCAGCGTGGCTACGCCATCACGACCGGCGGTGGCACATGCGCAATAGCGAGACGCTGGAGCGCGGCGTAGGTGGCTGCCGAGTCTTTTCCTGTTTAGGGTCTTATCCTGGCATTGAGGGCGCCGGACTGGCGCTTTTGGCCGACTTGGCATTGGGTGGGCGGCTTCTTGGGACCCACATGAGCCAGTGGCATCATCCCCGCAGTGGCTGGGGCCGGAGACGCGACTTTTCAGGACGCTCCTCAGCCAAGAAGAAGGGCGGAAACCACATCCCCGAAAGGTAGTATGTCTTGGTCCCTTGGCGTGGCCTTTCCAGCTCGTGGCTTCTGGGTCTGGGCTTCATCGTTTGTGGTCTCTGCCTCTCGCCGTTGCCATCGCAAGCTTGACTTGTCCGCCGCTTGCTTTGAGGCTTTGACCCTCTGCGCCACCCGCTGTAGCTGAAAGGGGCGATGTCTGTGATGTCCTGTGATTTCTCCATATTCTTGTAAAAGGGAGGTTCTGGCCATTGCTCTTAGGTAAAATACGGAAGGATTGCTTTAAGGTGGGACTGTTACTGTTGGGGACACTCCTTAATTCCCAAAATGGAACCTCCTCAATTCCTTGTTACGTTGGCACGGAAAGTGTAATGGTTTGAGTTAGGAACCCAGCAGTAGTAGCGCCCTGAGATCTCACATGGAAAGTTGGTTTGTATTGTTTCCAGAAATCACAAAGAGCATACTTTGTTACTTCCTAACAGGCCTCATTTGAAAGATAACTCCTTTATACGTACAAATGATTAATTTTGAGACTTTGCACGTAGGTGCATTGAACTGTTTTTACTCCTTGAGACCATCCTCCACCATCTCATACCTCAATAAATCCTCTTCATTTTATCTACTATCTTTTGACTGTCACTTTCTGTCAGTACCCTAATACAGGTCTTGCCTGACTTATTGCAGTGGGGTTCTAATTAGTGAATCTCCTGTTTGTTTTCTTCCAATCCGTTTTTTTGTTTTTGTTTTTGGGATGGATTTTTGCTCTTCTCCGCCAGGCTGGAGTGCAATGGTCCAATCTCGGCTCACTGCAACCTCCGCCTCCCGGATTCAAGCGATTCTCCTCCCTCAGCCGCCCAAGTTGCTGGGATTACAGGCGCCCGCCACCACACCCGGCTAATTTTTTTTGTATTTTTAGTAGAGATGGGGTTTCACCATGTGGGTCAGGCTGGTCTCGAACTCCTGACCTCAGGTGATCCACCTGCCTCAGCCTCCCAAATTGCCGGGATTAACAGACGTGAGCCACCGCGCCCGGCCAGTTCCTAGCATTATTAAGTGAAGTTCACAGTCCCTCTTCTAGCAGGTTTTCTCTTAAAATATGAACTTGAAGTTTCCTACTAATTGAACTTTATGGCATCAGTCGTATGAAAACTAAAAGCGTGAAGTGAAATAATTGAATTTAAATTATTTCAGTGAATATGTTTGTATTAATGGCACTTTAGTATCTGGTACTGGGCCAAGTTTAACAGGGATACAGAAGTTCTGGGTATCTCCGGTTTTATATAGGCCTTATTTGAGTTGTACTGTTGTGTTGGCTTGTGTTCGTTTTTATGATGGGGAAACAGGAGAGAAGGACGGTATAGGTCGTTACTTGGTGGGGTTTAATAAGTGGAGTGGCGAAATGCAAAGCAGAGAGGAGAGAGGACATGTTGTGCGGGCTATGATTCCCATTTTCAAAAAGTCTTATTTTGTGCAAGGAAACAAGGCTAACATACAATTTGGCTAACAAAAAATATATCTAATAGGTGGAAAGACTATCTCCCAGTTGGACAGCGGATGCCTGGGACTCGTTTCATTGCTTTCAAAGTTCCTTTGCAAAAGGTAAGCAAAAGTTAATTCAGTATTCTTTCAGGCATCTGAGTTCACCATGCAGAACACTGCTCTCCACTCTATCACATTCCATTTTCTCTTTTTATAGCAAATACTTTGTAATGACCCCTTTACTATCCTGAAATGAAGTTCATAGGTACATACAACCTACTTCATATTTTAAACAAAAATACCAATTAACACCCTAACTATAATATAAAAAATAAAATAAAAGTAATTTATAATAAAATAATATTTATTTCAATATATAAATGTTTGGACATGACTACATTAAAAGACATAGAGTAATAGTTGCCTGCGCCATGAATTCAAGAATTACAAATGTAGACTGATCTAGGTGGGTTGTATTGCTTTAGTGGTAGGAGTTTCTGTAATAGATTTCCAAATATAACAAAGTATAATCTTCATTTGGTTGATAAGGTGATTATTATCCTGGAAAATTCAATATATATTAGTATTGTACAAAAAATACTTTGTGTTTATTTGTGAAATGGAGTTAGGTTCTGAGGCCAAGCTAAATATGAACAGCTTTTTATCTATATTAATCTTGAATAGGACATCCAAAAGCCATTCAGGATGTGGGACACATTTGTAGGACTGTCCTGAATTTGGCAAGTTGTTTAGAATTTGTAACCCTTACCCACTGAATGCCAGTGGGACTCCTTTCCTTCCATGGTCACAATCAGAAATATCCCCCGGATCATCAAGGTCAGGATTTCAGTGGGGAAAATCTGAAGATTGTATTTTTGTTTAAACTAGGAAAGGAATAGGAGGGATAGGAGGGGAAAGCTTTTGACAGCCATAAAAAAGATGAGAAGGTGAAGACAAATAATTGTTTTCTAGATTCCATGTCTTTCTTATTAGACTTCCCCAGCATAGCTCAGATTAGTATCAGGAGAAGCCTACTTGAAACGTTTTGGGAATTTACTTAATTTGTGACTTATAGATCAGATTTCCTTTTTCAACTGCTGTGTCAGCTTCTCTGCATGTCTGGGCTTAAAAATGAGTCATTTCAGGCCAGGCCTGTTGGATCATGTTTGTAATCCAGTACTTTGGGAGGCAAGGTGGGTGTATCGCTTGAGTCCAGGAGTTTTAGACCAGCCTGGGCAACACTGAAACCGTGTCTCTACAAAAAATACAAAAATTAACCAGGCGCGGTGGCGTGTGCTTGTAGTCTCAGCTGCTCAGGAGGCTGAAGTGGGAGGATCGATTGAACCCAGGAGGTCAAGGCTGCAGTGAGCCATGATCATGCCACTGTACTCCAGCCTGGGCAACAGAGCAAGACCCTGTCTCCAAAAAGAAGGTGTTGGAGACACAGGGAATTTTTAGGGAAGTGAAACTATTCTGTGTGATACTCTAAGGGTGGATACATGTTATATATTGATCAAAACCTATAAAAGGGCTTCACGTATATTAACACATTTCACAACAATCCTGTGCTGATGAAGTAGCAGTAGTACTAATATCTCTTACTGAGTGCTTATTCTGCACTAAGCTCAGAGAATAGATGGTTACATCTAATAAATAATTTTGTAGATAATCAAACAGGCTCAGAAAAGGAAGAATCAAAACTTGAACTTAGTTCTTTCTCTCATTTTTTTTGTGGCAAAATATATATAACATAATATGTACATACAATGCATAACATAGAATGAATCACGCATACCTAACCTCTAGACTTTGGTGATAACGATGTGTCAGAGTTGGTTCTTCATTTGTAACAAATGGACCACACTGGTATGGAATGTGGATAGTGGGGGAGTCTGGGTGGGTTGGGGAAGGCAAAGTACATGTGGGAACTATCTGTCCTTTTGGCTCAGTTTTGCTGTGAACCTAAAACTGCTCTGAAAACTAGTCTATTTTTTTTTTTTTTTTTTTGAGATGGTGTCTCGCTTGTCGCCCAGGCTGGAGTGCAGTGGTGTGATCTTGGTTCACTGCAAGCTCTGCCTCCTGGGTTCACGCCATTCTCCTGCCTCTGCCTCCTGAGTAGCTGGAACTACCGGCGCCTGCCACCACGCCTGGCTAATTTTTTTGTGTTTTTAGTAGAGATGGGGTTTCACCGTGTTAGCCAGGATGGTCTCGATCTCCTGACCTCGTGATCCTCCTGCCTCGGCCTCCCAAAGTGCTGGGATTACAGGCTTGAGCCACCGCACCCAGCCAAACTAGTCTATTTTTTAAAAAGTACATTGCTGGCACCTGAGTAGCCAGACAGATTGAAGGAACAGAGCATAAAGTTCAAAAATAAGCCACATACATAAAAGAATATTCAGCAATGAAAGCCATCCTTCATATATGTAGACATGTGAGAAATATTTATTTGTGAGGCCGAGACAGGAGGGTTGCTTGAGCTCAGGAGTTTGAGATCAGCCTGGGCTACATGGCAAGACGGCAAGACCCTATCTCTTTTTTTTTTTTTTTTTTTTTTTTAAATTTTTTTTTTGAGATGGAGTCACTCTGTCACCCAGGCTGGAGTGCAGTGGTGTGATCTCGGCTCACTGCAAGCTCTGCCTCCCGGGTTCACGCCATTCTCCTGCCTCAGCCTCCCGGTAGCTGGGACTACAGGCGCCTGCCACCACCCCTGGCTAATTTTTTGTATTTTTAGTAGAGACGGGGTTTCACAGTGTTAGCCAGGATGGTCTCGATCTCCTGACCTTGTGATCCTCCCGCCTTGGCCTCCCAAAGTGCTGGGATTACAGGTGTGAACCACTGCGCCCAGCTGACCCTATCTCTTTAAAAAAAAAAAAAAAAGGCCAGGTGTGGTGGTTCATGCCTGTAGTCCCAGCTACTTGTGAGGTTGAGGTGGGAGTATTGCTTGAGCCCAGGAGGTGGAGGCTGCAGTGAGCCATGTTTGTGTCACTGCACTCCAGCCTGGATGACGGATGACAGAGCAACACCCTGTTTCAAAAAAAAAAAAAAAAAAAGAAAAGAAATATTTATAAGCACTAAATATGATAAGCACTCCACCTGGAGCTGGAGATACAGTGGTGAATAAAATCTGGGAGATTACAGTCTGATTAGGAGACCAACATGAAACAAATACAGAAATACATATATAGAAGTGGGCTTATTTTTTTCTTTCTGACCACTCTGGAAGAAAGGATTGTTGTAATATACCTTCTATGTTCCAGGAGAATGGAAACTTTCCTTTGAATCTCGTTGTATGTTAGCATCACAGGACTTGAATAAATGCCTAATGTAGTACAGGATTTTAAGCACATATTTGCTCTTATTTCATTCTCTGTGACAGAGTTTTGAAAAGAAACTTGCTCCAGAAGAATGCTTTTCCCCTTTGGATCTTTTTAACAAAATCCGAGAACAAAATGAAGAACTTGGACTGATTATTGATTTAACATATACTCAACGCTATTATAAACCAGAGGTAAGTGGAACCCTTCAATGAAAAGAACTTTCTTCCTTCTGATCCTAAAATAATTTATAGTAATTCAGTAATCATCTTGTGCTAATGTGAAGCTTGGCCTTCTTTGATGGGTAGTAAGTTTAAAAGAGAACCAAGTGATTTCTCTAATTACATGTTTTTAATTGCTGTCTTAAATGGAATATTATTCAGCCATAAAAAAGAATAGATTTAATACGTGCTACAATATGGATGAACCTTAAAAACATGCTTAGTGAAATAAACCAGACACAGAAGGACAAATATATGATTCCACTTGTATGAAGTACCTAGAATAGACAAATTCACAGAGACAGAAAGCAGACTAAAGGATCTATGAGGTGGGGAGAAAAGGGAATTATGGTTTAGTGGTCAGAGTCTTTTTGTCGGGGATGATGAAAAAGTTTTGGGTATAGACAGTGGTGATGGTTACACAATACTGTGAATGTAATGCCACTGAACTATACACTTGTGGATGGTTAAAATGATTTTGACTTAGCCTCTTCTGTCTTTTATCTGTATCTACTTTTCTCCCACCCCAAGAATATCGGTTCTCAATAGTGCCTGGAATTCCCTCTATCTCACAATTCAAATCCAAGTTCTTCTGACTCTATTCTCTACTCTTCTACTTAAATCATAGCTGCTTTATGAAGGCACTGGCCCTTGAATTATAAAATATTAAATGGAACTGTTTATATAATTTATAGTTAAATATGCATTCATTCACATGGAATTTGCTTTCAGTTTTGTATACCTAGTGACTATCTATTATGTAGTTTTATTGAAAATCAAGTGATACTTCCTGGTTGAAGCAGTGTTGGAAAAAATGGCTCTTTTATCAGAATTGTGTATACTGATATTGGCATATTAAGTTTGTTATAATCTCTTGGCTTATATTCTGGGTCCCCTAATTACTCTTTAATTATTTCTCTACAAGTGAAATAATACACATCTTTTATGGTTTTGCTTTATAGGATTTGCCAGAAACTGTTCCTTACTTAAAAATTTTTACAGTTGGACATCAAGTGCCTGATGATGAGACTATTTTTAAATTCAAACACGCTGTTAATGGGTTTTTGAAAGAAAATAAAGATAATGGTGAGTTTTTGTTCTTACCTGAACTGTGGTGTGCATTATGAATGGGGTTGGGGATTTTTGGTATTTTTTTATAGTTCCAACCTCAGACCTGTTGTATTTAATGATGCTAAGGTGATGAAAATGTCAGATGGTGCTAATAGGGTAAGATGTTTTTCCTTTTGTTGATCACAAATAATTTAACTTTGGAATGTTAAATTAGTTTTAGTGCAAAATATGAACTGAACTGGCTCATCTTTCTTTTTTAATTTGAATGAGAAATATATAAAATTAAAATGTTATTTTTGTCTTCTATATTGGTTAAGAAGTGAGAAGTAGAAGAAAAGATTAAAAAACTCTGAGTCTTAGAGTTATGTGAAAGAGACAAGAAAGGGCAAAGATTAAGAATGGGACGGACCCCTAGAAGCAAAACAAGAAAGAGTGCACCAGTGGAATTGCCCCTTTGTCATATGTATTTAAGACACATGTATACATATGTAACAAACCTGCACGTTGTGCACATGTACCCTAAAACTTAAAGTATAATTAAAAAAAAGATATTTCTGCTGTTTTTCCGCTTTGAGTACAGATGGGGAAGGATACCACCACCTCTTATTCTTCACATGGGAGAACTTAAGCCAAAGGCTGGTGCTTTCTTGTTCCTGCTTTAAGATTTACCTTACTCTTTTGAAAATAGAACTTAACAGCTTCTTTATCTTAAGGATCCAGTTGCCTTTTTCTGGCATCTCTCTGCCAGAAAGAACATGATATTTGTCATATTTTAAGACTGAAGAAGCTTTTATCTTTGGAAAGCCACTGACACCCACAGGACAGAGGCTTCATTTGCCTTCTTTCCAAATTTAGCTTGAGGAGTGTACACTTTGTTACATAAATCTGACAGTAAATACTCCTTTTTAAAAAATGTGATGGAGTAGTGGAGAAAGAATAGAGACAGAGGTGGGAAGATAGGGAATGGAAGGTGAGAGATAGAGACTGGATCAGTGGGTTTGAAGATAAAATTTCAAATTGTAACCTAGTCGCTCACTTAATGTGGACACTAGCTTTTAATTATGTTAAACCTTGTTCACAGATCTTCCCCTGTACTTTAACTTTAAAACTTGAGAGGTTTGGCTTTCCCATTTGTATAAGCTGTTGTCACAGAAATACTACCTTTTAAGATATGAGGGTACAGCTGATGGCCTATTCACTGCTTCCAGGCTCTTTTCTGTGAAATTTTTATATAGCACTTCATCTGTTCTGTGAGGGCTAGGAGGTCCTTATGAATACATGAGAACACATTTTTAAATCTTAGTTGTTCACGTTATACTGATTGTAGTCAGTTGGATAGACTGAACTCCATGTTGGTCTTCTGCCTGAGTGGTGCTGACTGTCTAAGTCTTGCAGTACTCACTGCCATAGCAGGCTTGGGACCTTGTTTATAATCAGTTTTGGCTACCTCTGCTATAATCCCTTCCCACAGATAACAGGCTCACTGATAAAAAGAGGACACTACACTCTCCACTCGCTTCTAGAACTAGTAGGGACTGAGAAAATAAATTGATTCAGTAAACACTGAGATCCTTTTAGATTTGTTGTTAGAGCATGAAGACACAGAGATGATAGCAGTCTTTGTTTTTTGTTATAGCAGTTCACAGTTATCTAGGAAAATAAATATGTAGTGCATGTGGTTTAAGATGTGGGTTAGGCTGGGCGCGGTGGCTCATGCCTGTAATCCCAGCACTTTGGGAGGCCGAGGTGGGCGGATCACGAGGTCAGGAGATCGAGACCATCCTGGCTAACACGGTGAAACCCCATCTCTACTAAAAATACAAAAAATTAGCCAGGCGTGGTGGCAGGCATCTGTAGTCCAAGCTACTCGGGGGGCTGAGGCAGGAGAATGGCGTGAACCCGGGAGGCGGAGCTTTCAGTGAGCGGAGATGGCGCCACTGCACTCCAGCCTGGGGGACAGAGCAAGACCCTGTCTCAAAAAAAAAAAGATGTGGGTTAATTATAGAACAAAAAAGCCGGGCGCGATGGCTCATGCCTGTAATCCCGGCACTTTAGGAGGCCGAGGTGGGCAGATCATGAGGTCAGGAGATCGAGACCATCCTGACTAACATGGTGAAACCCCATCTCTACTAAAAATACAAAAAAAAAAAAAAATAACCCAGGCATGGTGGCGGGCGCCTGTAGTCCCAGCTACTCGGGAGGCTGAGGCAGGGGAATGGCGTGAACCTGGGAGGCGGAACTTGCAGTGAGCCGAGATTGCGCCACTGCACTCCAGCCTGGGCGACAGAGCGAGACTCCATCTCAAAAAAAAAAAGAACAAAAAAGACAGTTCATCATAATAAAAGAATAAATTAAGTGCAGTGAGAATATAGAGGAGAGATTGAGGAAGGCCTGACAGGAGACAACATTCGAGCTGCAGGGATGAGAATTTTGCCAGTATGAGAAAAGGGCAGCCCAGTTTTGGGGATTAGGCACAAAAGGCACAGGGCCTAAAGCCATGGAGAGGCAGCCTCTTGTGTGACTAGAAGATAATGTGAAAAGGCATGGAATTCATATGTTCATTTGCAACAAATAATTATATAACCTATGTTGAAGTCACTTTTCTAGAAAGTGGAAATAGAACAAAGTCCTTGCCCTTATATACTTTACATTCTAGTCGGGGAGAGAAATAAGCAAATAAATACATGGAATATATATGGTGATAAGTGCTTTGGAGAATAACAAAACATGATAAAGGGATGAGGGAAGAGGTGAGTGATCAGGAAGGCCTCTTTATGAAGATGTCATTTGAGCAGAACCTTAAAGGAAGTAATGAACCAAGCCATTGGGTGTCTGGGGAGGAATGTCCTAAGGCAGAGGGAACAGCAGGTGCAAAGTCCCTGAGGCATGACTATGCTAGGCATGTTTGAGGAATGTTACAGAGCCGAGTGTGGCTGGAGTGGAGTGAGTGAGGGTAAGAGCAGGAGAAACGGGATCAGAGAGGTTGGGGCTGGGCAGAAGGGAGGTGGATCATATCAGCCCTTGTAAATCATAGTTAGGATCATTGTGGACTTAGATCGGTTGGAAAGACAGATTGATACCAGTTTATGAAGGATTCTAAATGCCATGCTAAATTTGGGCTTCATGCTATGCTAAATTGAGATTTTTAAGCAAAAACAACCCAGCCAGGCTTATGTTTTAGAAAGATAACATCTGCCATATGGAGGATCAGTTGAGATAGAAGTAGGGAGATTAGTTTGTTGTAGTAATCCAGGCTGGCGATGATGAGTGCCTTCTTTTTTCTTTCTTTTTTTTTTTTTTGAGATGGAGTCTCACTCTGTCGCCAAAGCTGGAGCGCAGTGGCACCATTTTGGCACACTGCAACCTCCGTCTCCTGGGTTCAAGCAATTCTGCTGCCTCAGCCTCCCGAGTAGCTGGGATTACAGGCACCCACCACCACACCTGGCTAGTTTTTGTATTTTTAGTAGAGATGGGGTTTCACCATATTGGCCAGGCTGGTCTCGAACTCCTGACCTCAGATGATCCACCCACCTCCGCCTCCCAAAGGGCTGGGATTACAGGCGTGAGCCACCATGCCCGGCAGAGTGCCTTCTTTTTTTCTTTTCTTTCTTTCTTTTTTTTTTTTTTGAGTAGCTGGGATTATAGGCTCCCGCCACAATACCCAGCTAATTTTTTGTACTTTTAGTAGAGACGTGGTTTCGCCATGTTGGCCAGGTTGGAAAGTGCTGGGATTACAGGCGTGAGCCACCACACCTGGCTGATGAGTGCCTTCTTTACCAGACACTACCTAGTCATGGACACAGATTTTGCAAAGATAAACTACACTTTTTTTTATTTAATTCCTCATGTAATTTTTTAAAAAGATGGACTAAGAAATACTGTGGTGTAATGGGAAAAATCTTAGACTTGATTCTAGTCTTGTACTATTTGCCTGCTTTGACTTACATCTCCAAGCCTTGCCTTTTCATTGTAAAATGTGAATAGTGCTATTTACCTGAGTACTTCACAGGGCAGGTAGACCTGTGGTATGTGTGGAGCACCGAACAAGAGAAGGAATAGAAGCTCTTCGGGAACTCAAGAGTACTATGGAAACTGTCCTTAATATTCAGTATCAAGAGTGAAGGCCTTTTATTTGTTTGATTCAGAAACAAATTTCATTCTTCTCTTAGCCTGTTGTTGCTTTCACTCCCTTTTTGTATAATTAAATCAGTTGCTGATGGGCATTCTGTTTTAAGATAGACGGGTTTGTCTCATTGCAGTTTTAGCTGTTAGTGTCTGACCAGGCTTGCAGTTTACATCACTGAGTCTAATTGGGACTATGCAAAGTTTCCCAGAAGCAGTGAGTTTTGGCTTTCTGTTAGATGATTCTTTATAGTATGTTCCTAGAAAAAACAATTCCTCTTAAGAGTTATTCATTTTCAGGGCAGTGATAATGTTATATACTTGTGTATCTACTTCAGTTACTTAACCCTGTATTTTCTTTTTATAGATAAACTTATTGGTGTCCACTGTACCCATGGTTTAAACAGGACTGGCTACCTCATTTGCAGGTAAGTTGCCAACCCCAGAGGCAGACCATTTTAAATTGTTTTTGTCTGTTTACAATGGTAATGTAAGGTTGTAAAAAATGGAACTGGTATAGAAATACATGAAGTAGAAGGCAGTCTTGCTCCCCACCCAGAGATTACCACCATTAATAATTTAGTACACATCTTTTCAGACTCTAAAAATGCAGATACAAGCATACATGTTATTGAATGGTATAATAGTTAGACATTCTGTTTTTTAATTTAATATGTGATAGACATCTTTCTTTGAAAATACTTGGACTCCTTATTCTTTTTTTTTTTTTTTTTATTGAGACGGAGTCTTGCTCTGTCACCCAGGCTGGAGTGCAGTGGCACCATCTCGACTCACTCCAAGTTCTGCTTCCCAGGTTCACGCCGTTCTCCTGCCTCAGCCTCCCAAGTAGCTGGGACTACAGGTGCCCGCCACCACGCCCGGCTAATTTTTTGTATTTTTAGTAGAGATGTGGTTTCACCGTGTTAGCCAGGATGGTCTTGATCTCCTGACCTTGTGATCCACCCGCCTCGGCCTCCCAAAGTGCTGGTATTACAGGAGTGAGCCACCGCGCCTGGCCAGACTCCTTATTCTTTTTAAGGCCTGCGTTGTTCTTTGCACACCGATGAACACAAAAGTCAGAAGTTTTTGATATTATAAAACATTGAAGTAGTGAACATTTCTATGTAAATATTTTTGAATGCATATCTCATAGCCCCGGAGGTAATTTCACTCAAAATAGAATTTCTTAATCAAATAGTATGTGTCGTTATGCTTTTTATGGATGTTGCCACACTGTACTGAGTTATGTTTGTTCATTCAGAAAATATCTCCTGAGCATCTATTATGTGTAAGCAGTGTGCTGCGTGTTAGCAAAGAGACTTTAGCTGCCCTTTGTGCGTCCTAACAGTCTAGGGAGGGAGTAGATATTAAAGAATCACACAAATGCCTATACAATTACAATTCCAACAAGTGCTGAGAAGGGGAGTGACATGGTACAATGAGAGCATAGAATAGGGAGGATTTGACTTCAACAAGAGGACTAGAGGTTTCTGTGGGGAGGTCTGAGCAAATATCTGAAGTATAAGTAGGTGTTAACCAGGTAGGGATGTTGTGGAGAGAATTCTGAACGTAAGGATCAGCAGAGACCATATTAACAGGAAAATATATACTGTGTTGGAGGAACTGGCTAGGGAGACTGGGCCATGGGGGTAGTATGGCGTTAAAATGGAGCTGGAAATATGAATAGGAGCTGAAACCATGCAGAGCTATGTTTAAGGTTTTAGTCACTACCTTAAGAGCAATAGAAAACCATTGAATTTTTTTTGTTGGGGATGAGTGTGGGGAACACATTCAAATTTGTATTTTCAACCTATCATTTTGCTGCTGAGTGGAGAATACACTGCAGAGGGAAAGAGGTAGAAGCAAGGAGACAAGTTGGGAGGTGTTTGTAGGAACTGAGGCATAATGGTGGATTGGACCAGGGCATGGTGGTCATTTTGGTAGAAAGATACAGATATACTCTATAGAGATATTTAGGTAATATTGTTGTCAGGAGTTGGTGGTGAATTGAATATGAGAGTTTGGAAGAAATGGCTGACAGTGATGGTGACTCCCAAGTTTCTGGCCCATTCTGTTGGTTATACAGTATTTTTTAGATATAATGTTAATATTTTTCCCAATTTGTCTTTTGTTCATTGTTGGTTTCTGATAAATACTCTGTCATATTAAGGAAGTCTCTATTTTTAGTGTATAAAGCATTTTGATAAAAAATGATTCTGCATTTTCTTTCCTTTTGTTTATTAAATTACATTAATGTAAATAAATATATAAATAGATTTTCTGGAGTTGGGTCATCCTTGCATTCTTGAAAAACGTCTTTTTGTGGTCATGGTATGTCATTCTTTAATAACTGCTGGATTTGATGTGCTGATATTTTCTTAGGATTTTTATATCTATGTCTATAAGTTGAAATTGGACCTTTTTTGAAAAAACTTGATTTTTTTCTTTTCGTATATAAATGACCCAAATTATGTTGTTTTGTTAGATATTTGATTGATGTAGAAGGCGTGAGGCCAGATGATGCAATTGAATGTAAGTATGAGGGTTGACACTATTTTTCCCTTTTATTAAAGTTAAAGGTGGAAATGTAGAAGAATTTATCAAATTTTGGAAAAAAAGAAGTTTGTAATTCGTTTGTTCCAATATAAGATAGTCTTGCCAAAAGTCTATAGATGTATGTGGAAGTAGTGAGATATAACAGCTTGAATAGTGAATTTCAGCTTAATTTGCTTTTTCTGGAAAGATCTGCTTTTTGTACAGTTATTTCTAACAGTTTATCCTCTCCTCAGTATTCAATAGGTGCCGGGGACATTGCTTAGAAAGACAAAACTACATTGAAGACCTTCAGAATGGTCCTATCAGAAAGTAAGTCTTATGTTATATATGTGAGATTTGTGGGTCAGGGAGATCTCTGTTTATGTAATTTAAGTTGCATATGTTCATTCTTCTGGTAGCTTGTTTGTTTGTTGGGGGGAGATGTAAACAAATAGGAATGGGAGAAGGAAGAAATTGTTATTTTCATATGCCAAAATATAGTCACTAAATTGACTACTAAATTTGGAAACCAGTAATATTGTGTGGAAAATATTCTCTTTAAGGAATTGGAATTCCAGTGTACCCAGGTCAAGTGATTTTGAAGACTCAGCACATCTCATGCAACCAGTCCACAATAAGCCTGTTAAACAAGGACCTAGGTATAATCTACATCAGATCCAGGGTCACTCAGCTCCTCGACATTTCCACACCCAGACCCAAAGTTTGCAACAATCAGTCAGGTACCTCTCTCTGTTTTCCCTTTTCTAGAATTGAGATAGAAATTAATACTATAGTTAATGAAAACACATTATGATACTGATGAGGAATTCTTCGTTTTTTTTTTTTTTGGAGACAGAGTCTCGCTCTGTCATCCAGGCTGGAGTACAATGGCGCGATCTCGGCTCACTGCAACCTCCACCTCCCAGGTTCAAGCAATTCTCCTGCCTCAGCCTCCTGAGTAGCTGGGACTACAGGCACCCGCCACCATGCCCAGCTAATTTTTTGTATTTTTAGTAGAGATGGGGTTTCACCATGTTAGACAGGATGGTCTTGATCTCCTGACCCTGTGATCTACCCGCCTCAGCCTCCCAAAGTGCTGGGATTATAGGCGTGAGCCACCGCGCCTGGCCGATAAGGAATTCTTGCTGTTCAGTTTGAACCAGGAGATATTATTCTGCTCTGTATTTTGCATTTAGCACTGGAAAATCAGTTACAGGACAGGGAATATGTGACTTTTCAGAGGCAATTCGGAAAGGGACTTAGAAATTTTGATTGATTTTAAACTTAAGCCAAGAGTTTGATGTGGCTATCAAAAAGGATCTTATATTCTTAGGCTACATTAATGTAGTATAGTTTTTAGAATAAGGAAGATTGTTATTTAAGGAGTTGATATGAATTATAAGAAAAATAATAAAATCCTAATAGAGAAATAGCAAAGGATCTGAACAGATAAAACGACAAAAGTATTTTCACTTGGAAAATGGGGAAGACCTCAGTATGGTTAAAGTGGTACATTAGTATGAGTTCTCCAGAATGATAGAACCAGTAGGATGGATGGATGGATGGATGGATGGATGGATGGATAGATGGATGGGTGGATGGGTGGGTGGATGGGAGGAGGAGCTTTTTTATTCGGGGTATCAGCTTATGCACTTGTGAAAGCTGAGAAGTTTCATAGTAGGCTGTCTGCAAACTGGAGAACCAGGGAAGCTGGTAGCATTCAGTCCAACTCAGAAAGCCTCAGAACCACGGAAGCCAGTGGAGTAACTCTCAATCCAAGGCTGAAGGCCTGGGAATCTGGTAAGGGTTGGAGGACACTGGTATGAGTCCTCAAGTCCAGAGGCCATGAAGCCTGGAGTTCTAATGTCCAAGAGTAGGAGAAGAAGGTAAGGTATTCCAGCTCCAGGAGAGAACACAATTTGCCTTTCCTCTGCCTTTTTGTTGTATCCAGGCCCCCAGCCTATTGGATGGTACCTACGCAAACTGAGGGTGGATCCTCCCACTCAGTCCACCCACTCACACACCAGTATCCTTTGGACACACCCTCACAGACACTCCCAGAAATAATACTTTACCAGCTATCTAGATATCTCTTAACCCAGTCAACTTGACACCTAAAATTAACTATCACAAATAGCAAGCTATTATTCTTGCCTATTAATTTAGCAACAGTTTTGTTTGCTTTTTTTTTGGTGACAGAGTCTCACCCTGTCGCCCAGACTGGAGTGCAGTGGTGCAGTCTTGGCTCACTGCAACCTCCACCTCCCAGGTTCAAGCAGTTCTCCTGCTTCAGCCTCCCGAGTAGCTGGGATTACAGGCACTGCCACCACGCCCAGCTAACTTTTGTATTTTAGTAGAGATGGGGGTTTCACCATGTTGGCCAGGCTGGTCTTGAACTCCTGACCTCAGGTGATCTGCCTGCCTCGGCCTCCCAAAGTGCTGGGATTACAGGCATGAACCACCTCGCCCAGCCAGTTTAGCAACAGTTTTTGATAAGCACTCCATTGTAGTGGTTGTCAGGCTGGACCTGGATTTGCATGTTGGCTTTGTTACTCACCTGCTTTGTGATCTTGGATAAGATACTTAGCCTATCTACATTTCATTTTTCCCATTAGTCAGATAGATATTTTAATAATACATACCCCATAGTGGTTGTTATTGACAGTTAACATGAATTTAAACAGTTTAGCACGTTGTAAACACTTTCAAAAATACATTGCCATTTTTAGGCCAGGTGCATTGGCTCACACCTGTAATCCCAGCACTTAGGGAGGCCAAGGTGGGAGGACTGCTTGGGCCCAGGAATTTGAGACCACCCTGGGCAACATGCTGGAATCCTGTTTTTATTAAAAAAAGAAAAAAGAAACTTTAAAAAAATTGACATTTTTAAAAGATGTAAACAAACATTTCAAAAAACATGTCACTTGCGGCATTGAAAATTGGTATAAGCCTTTTGAAGCACAATTTCAAGAGCCATAAAAATACTTTACCTAGTAATTTCATTCTGAGACTTAAGGAAATACTTCAAAGTACAGAAAAAGCTATATTTACTTAATCATTCAGCACATTTCTCAAACTCCCTTCCATGTGTCAGATGCTGGGCTAGCTCAGGATACAGTAGTATATGTTTTGCAGTGTTAATCCCAGCATTATTTGTGGTTGTGGAAAAACTTGTAGCTGCTATATTTCTAACAGTGGAGAATGTAGCTAAATAATTATATCCATACTATAACATTTTATAAAGCCATTGGAAGTGTTAGCTCATTTATGATAAGTGAAACTAATAGGCTGTGATTCAACAGTCAGAAAAAGATGCTGGGGAAAAGAACAAAAGGAAATACTAACTAATTGAATTATAGTAAGTGGGATTGAGGGCTCTGCAGTGGGGGGTTTTTCTTTTCTCATATTTCCAAAGTTTCTTTATTTTTTTTTGTAAGATGGAGTTTTGCTCTTGTTGCCCGGGCTGGAGTGTAATGGTGTGATCTCAGCTCACCGCAACCTCCACCTCCCGGTTTCAAATGATTCTCCTGCCTCAGCCTCCCCAGTAGCTGGGATTACAGGCTCCCACCACCACACCTGGCTAACTTTGTATTTTTAATAGAGATGGGGTTTCTCCATGTTAGTCAGGCTGGTCTTGAACTCCCGACTTCAGGTGATCCGCCCGCCTTGGCCTCCCAAAGTGCTGGGATTACAAGTGCGAGCCACCACGCCCAGCCCCAAATTTTCTTTTGTATAATTATATGAGATTTTCTGGTCTTGCTTTTGAAACAAGTTAATTTAAATCCTAATTTTTCAAATTTGTTGCATATACCATGCTTAAAGTTTTTCACACTTCATAATTAATTTATGTATGTTCGTTTATAAAGTGGAAGCAGATATCTGTTCTCAGTACTAACTAGCTTATTCTGTCTTATGTCAACCCTGCCAGACTTTGGGAGAGAAAGTATTTGATTAGAATAGTATGGGCATGCATTTATCTCTGTAGGGAAAGGTGGAAAGGCTTCTGGGAATCCACGGTGTGCCAGGGCATTGTAGGTAATTGAAATGTATTTTTTTAATTTAGCTTCATAACAGCTCGTGAAGGTGAAAAGTATTATTAGCCCCATTTTATAAAGAACTTAGGGAAATAACAATTAAGTATTTTATCTGCTTAGGTCACACAGGTAGGAAACAGTAGAATATATATTATTTTGTAAATTTATAAATTTAAAATATTTTATGAAAATATAAATTTAAAATAAATAAAAATTATTGTATTAATCCTAGTAATGGCTTATTACTTTTTGTTTTGCTTTAAGAAAATTTTCAGAGAATCCACATGTTTACCAGAGACACCATCTCCCTCCTCCTGGTCCCCCTGGAGAGGACTATTCACACAGGAGGTATTCTTGGAATGTGAAGCCCAATGCCAGTCGGGCAGCCCAGGATAGAAGAAGGTGGTATCCTTATAATTACTCCAGACTCTCCTATCCAGCCTGTTGGGAATGGACCCAGTGATACAAACCTGTCCTGGAATTCTACCTGGAGACCAGAGCTGGCCTGAAAATTACTGGTGTGACTTTTAATTAGTTCAGGTCTAATCAGGTTTCTTTATTGTTCCCTTATGTATTCAAGCTTAAGGAAAAATTGCATTGCTGTTTACCTCTTTGCTGATAAATTTGCAGTAATTACAGCATTGCAGGAAAAACAATCTGTTATTCCAGTCTTAAATTTTTCTAAAAGAAGACAATATTTTAGAACTGAAGCATTGAGAACTTCCCTTGCAAATTATTTTTAAAATTCTATCTTGTTTTTCTATGTATTTCTTTCTGACTAGACTTGTGATATGCGTGTGTTTATGTACAGAAATTTTTAGTGTTTTTGTTATGTTCTGTTATTGACCCAAAGGCCATCTTTATTTTCTATAACTGTTCAAAATTTATATTAAAATCTACTTAGGAGATAATTTCTTTAGAACCTAGTTACTACCTGTAATTAATTGTGGTATTTTTGTGATTAGATATTACTTTCTTTGGCAGTCAGTTGTGGGATTTGACCAACTTCCTTTGACTGAATTGTCAGATATACGGTCTCACACAGGAATGGATGAACTTTTAGGGATTGTCAATTGAGCAAGAGAGACTGACTGATAAACCAGATTGCTGGTTTATTCAATTATAGTGAGTAAGTTACCTGGCAGGGTAATTGCCATCAACTGAGTAGAACTATCCAGAAAACTTGAAAACTTTTATAAAGGTGATAAACAGAGTAGAATATGTCCATTTAAAGGCTGTGGATGTCTAGCAAGACTACTGTGTTATTGCTCCGTTGTTGAATATAACCTCCTGGGATCTTTCTCCAGTTGCCTCTCCTCTTAAGTGGAGTTGTGGCTTACCTTTTTTTTTTTTTTTTTTTTTGAGACAGGGTCTTGCTCTGTCACCCAGGCTGGAGTGCAGTGGTGCCATCTAGGCTCACTGCAGCCTCTGCCTCCTGGCTGAAGTGATCCTCCCACCTCAGCCTCCCTAGTAGCTGAGACTACAGGTGTGGACTACAATGCCTGGCCAATTTTTTGTATTTTTTTTAATAGAGACCAGGTTTTGCCATGTTGCCCAGGCTGGTCTCAAACTCCTTAGCTCAAGCGAATCCACTCACCTCAGCCTCCCAAAGTGTTAGGATTATAGCCATGAGCCACTGTGCCTGGCCTACCTTCACTTTTTCCAAGTTGTCTCTTCTGCTGCTATACCTGTGGAACACACAGACCCTTCATTGGGGAGGGTAATTATTTTTAGTTGCAGAGGAAGCCAGAAACCTTTGATGGCTCAAAGAAGTGTCTCATCATCATAACACATAGTAAGCCTCAGTAAATACTTGATGAATACTTGAGCAACCTGGCTTCATTTTTAAATTATTTTAATTAATTTATTTTTAAATTTTTGATAGAGATAAGGTCTCACTTTGTTGCCCAGGTTGGTCTTGAACTCCTGAGCTCAAGCGATCCTCCTGCCTTGGCCTCCCAAAGTGCTGGGATTACAGGCATGAGCCACCATGCCCAGCCATTGGCTTCATTTTTTAAAGCATCTGATTTTGAGGATTTGTGTCATTGAATGTCTGATGCTGCATGTGATAGTTATTTTCTCTTCTCTCATCTATGAACAACATCTGGACCCTGATTTTAAGGAGCTACTGTAGCTCAGCTGTTCTTGGCTGTACGTGATTAGCTCAGTCAGGTTGCTGTTGTAGAACCCCAAAAGTTAGGTTCATGTACCCGGTGCACAGTAAGCCAAACACTGACACATTAATGCTTAGAAAGGTTTATTCAATTTGGCCAAAGTATGAGGGTGGGAGAAGCAGATTCTCAAATATGACCTTCCTTTGCATGTAATTGGGGGCTTTCCCTGATGATCAAAGCTGCTCGTGTCCCTTGGCCAGTCAAATTTCTGGATGCCATCAGGGAGGTCAGTATGACCTAAGGATCATTGTTCTTTAAAAGAAAAACAAGTACGTTAATCTTGCAAGCAGCCCCTGGGGGTTAGGATATAAAGTTAATCACTTGTTAGTGACTGCTCTCTACCAAAATGACTACGTGCGAGCGATCCTGCCTGGAGGAAGCTAAGGACAGAGAAAGAAAAATAAGTAAAATAAACACCTGATGATTTTTCTAATATAGGCTGGGTTACAGTATCCCCACTGACACTGTTCCTTTCCTCAATCTTCAGTTGGGGTGTTGACTCAGTCTAACTACTTCCCGCTGGCAAGGGGCATTCCTAGGGGGCTGAGGAATGGAACTTACTTACCTGCAGTTGAAAATATTCACATGTCCCGGGACTTAGGCAATTTTGTTGTAACATTGTTGAACAGGGTGTCAGGAGCTTGAGAAGGGCGATCTTGCAATCCCACATATATAGTGCCACAGCAGTATAATCCACAGCCAAGGAGTATTCCTGTTCCTATAGTCATAGCTAGAATTACCAGTAATTTTTTCCACCAAGAGGGTACTGACCGGAAGTATTAAGATAATCATTGGTTTAGTGACATCATGAGGTTGGACACAGCATCAGTTTGTACATATCTTGAAGGGCCAGGGTGATGTTTCCTGAATTGTCTGGAATGTACACATAGCATTCAGTTTTCATTATGGCACAAGTTCTCCTTGTGTAGCTGTGAAGACATCAAGGGCCATGTGGTTCTACAAAACTGCTTTTTTCATCATAGTCATCTGAGAGGTGACTAAAGAGATGCCTTTGAATGCATCCTTCAGCACATGCTGGGTATAATTTGTTAGGATCTCAACATGTCAGATAACATTTTTTAAACTAACTTGGGGAACAAAAATGGAGAGGGGATGGTCATACCAGTGGAAAACTGACTTGGTCCGTTGATGCAACACATTTGGGAAATTTCCAGGTTGTCCGTTGGTTTTTGCCAAATGGCCCTGGACCTGTGAGAATCCCAGAGCATATTGTCCTATCTAGCCAATGGGTAATCAGGGCCAAAGATTAGTCCCACATAGCCATTGCACTCCGTATGAAGCTAGCCAATTGAATTCCTGGCCTGTGTCCAATTGGTAGCAAACCAGTCAGTTTGTTGCAGCCCTGGAGTATGTTCACACTGGTGGGGGGAGCATCCAGCCCATATTCTTAGTGATATTTGGCCAGTTATCATAAGAATGCTGTTTTTTTTTTTGTTGTTGTTCCCAACATAAAGGGGCAATTTGATTTATGTGGCCGGTGGCAGGATAAGGGTAGGGGAACACAGTCATTCAAAGATAATCATCCCAAGCTTGATAAAAACCTTCCTCAGTATAGTGGCTATTAATAGCCAAAATTTGGGGGGCTGCCAAGGGAAATTCCTTCAGGAGAGGAGGAGCAGTGTATTCAAAAGTTCGTTGAACAGTCTGATATATAGTAAAAGATTTTCTGTGACCTGGGTTGTGAAGGGTTATATTAATGCCAGGCCATAGCCTTACATTTCCTCGTGTTAGCACACCAGAGACCTGATTTTCTTTGGAATAGTTTTTCATAAAAGTTTGTTACTGTACTCAGTTGTTTCCTTGTAAGAGCAAGACCGACCAAGGTAATACCAACATGCTAGAGATAGGTAACAGCCCTCAAACCCTACGAGCTTCTGTAGGCTATCTGCATAATGTGCCCATTGTAGGAAAAGATTGGTTTCAGCAGACACCGTAAGCCATATAGTACTGTGGTGCTTAGCAAGAAGGCTTTACTTATCTGTGGATGTTTTCTTCAAAAGCAGCTTCAGGTTTTTAGTTGGTTCACATGTCCTTTCAGGTCTATTAACCTGATAGGTCGGGCTGAGGCGGGGGCAATTTTTATCCAGGTATAATGTACCCACGGTTTAACTCCTGCCCAATTGATGAATGCGTGGTCAGAAGGACCTCATAGGGTCTTACCCTTTGAGGGGCTAGTTGGTGATTCAGTCCAGTCTCCCTCCAGGTTTTAAGTAGAACTTGGTCTCTAGCCTAGAAAGGGTGAGGTGGCCTGTCCATGGGGAAGAAGCAAACTCATGAACAGAAGTCGGTATTTCATTTAGCAATTTTAAATAATGTCTAATAGCTCCTTCCCTTTCTAAGATTTTATAGCCTGATCTAGCCCCAATGTGGCTAGGAAGGGTCTCTCATACATAATTTCTAAAGGGCTCAACTAGAGCCTGTTTCAGGGAATGACCCAAATCCTCAGCAGGAGAGAAGGTAGTACTTTGTCCCAAGTTAGATTAGTTTCCTGGCACACTTTAGCAGCAGTTTTTTTTTTTTGTTTTTTTGTTTTTTTTGTTTTTGAGACAGTCTCACTCTGTCGCCCAGGCTGGAGTGGAGTGGCATGATCACGGCTCACTGCAATCTCTACCTCCCGGCTTCAAGCAATTCGTGTGCCTCAGCCTCCCAAGCAGCTGGGACTAAGGGCATGCGCCTCCACGTCCAGCTAATTTTTTTGTATTTTTAGTAGAGATGGGGTTTGCCATGTTGGCCAGGCTGGTCTCAAACTCCTGGGCTCAAATAATCCACCTGCCTTGGCCTCCCAAAGTGCTGGGATTACAGGTATAAGCCACCACACCTGGCCTAATTGTTCTTTAAATAGTTTGATTCAGTTTTTTAGTCTTTCCGGTGGGCTGTGGCTGTGCTGCATGAAGTTTCCATTCAATGTCTAGGACTTGAGACACTTCCTGTACTACCTGAGAGATGAACACCGCACCATGGTCACTCTGAATCGTCAAAGGGAGTTCATACTGGGGAATTATCTCTTTAGTATAGTGTGGGCCACTTCAGCTCCCTTTCTGTTCGGATAGGGTATGCCTCTACCCATCCTGTAAATGTGTCTACAAAAAACAAAAAGATGTTTTTTGTACAAAAAGATGCCCTGTAGCCTCCAGGCACCCGTGGCATTGTGGTGAAATTAACTTGCCAGTCCTTGCATGGAGAGTCTCCTCAATGTTGTACCCTTGAACAGGGGTGGGGTCAGTTTTAGGGCAGTTTGGGCACAAAGCATGCATTGATAGATCACATTTTGAATGACCCCATTGCATGTCGGGGTCAATCAAGAACTCACATGCCATTGAAGGGTTGCATCTTTTCTGTAATGGATGCTTTGATGAAACTAGCTCACTATATCTTTAAGGAGGGCACTGGGAACCAATACGATACCTTCCAGATTACATTTCCAGCCTGGATGGGCCAGGGCTGGGATGTGAATCCCCATTCCTTGGCTCACTTTAAATCTCCTTTGGTATAGCAAGGTTGGAACTTGGTCAGATCATTGTGAGGTATTAGTGGGGCTAAGAAAGCCTCAGAGTCCAATGTTTTTGTGGCTTGCTTGGCTGCCAGGTCGGCAAGCTAATTTCCTTTGACTATTCGGGAGTCTCCTTTTTGATGGCTGGGACAGTGGATGATAGCCACTATTAGAGGGGGCATTTACTGATTTTTTTTTTTTTTTTTTTTTTTTTTTTTTTTTTTTTAGATAGAGTCTCACTCTGTTGCTCAGGCTAGGGTGCAGTGGCACAATCTCGGCTCACTGCAACTTCTGCCTCCCGGGTTCAAGTGATTCTCCTGCCTCAGCCTCCCAAGTAGCTGGGACTACAGGCATGTGTCACCGTGCCTGGCTAATTTTTATATTTTTTAGTAGAGACGAGGTTTCACCATGTTGGCCAGGCTGGTCTTGAACTCCTGACCTTAGGTGATTCACCCGCCTCAGCCTCCCAAAGTGCTGGGATTATAGGCATGAGCCACCATGCCTGGCCTTTTACAGATTCTAATAAGGCCAAAATATCAGAAGTATATTTGATTTCTTTATTTTTGCTAGTCAAAAGACCTCTCTCTACATAGCTCTGTGGGCATGTGCCACCAAGAAATCATATTGGGAGTCTATGTAAATATTCATAATTTTTTTTCTTACCCAATTGGAGGGCATGCATAAGGGCACCTTGGCCCACTGAGCTGAGGTGCCTAGCAATAAGGCTTTGGCTTCCTTAATTCCTTGTAAGGTAATGACCTCAAATTCAGCATGATGATGTCCATGGTCCATGAAGCTGCTTGCATCTGTGAACAGTCCTAGTTTGGAGCACAGCAGGGGCTGATCTGCCAGGTCTGGTTGCCTTGGAAAGACCTGCTCATTAATTGGAAGGCAATTTTGTATGGGCCCTGGCTCCTTCTCTGGAGGTATTAAGGTAGCAGAGTTAAGAACCGAGAACACCTTTAACTTCACCTCTGGATTGTCAAGGAGGGTGGATGGCTTGGTATTTTCCCAACCTCTCAGAGGTCAGCCAGTATCCACCTTTTTGATCTAAGAGACAGGAGATGTGATGCAGTGTGTGGACAGTGATGAGCTGAGCTAGAGTTAGCTTTTCAGCCTCCTAGAAGAGGTTGCAAGTTGCAGCCACTGCTCGGAGGCAGGGGGACCAACCCTCACCACCTGGTCAAACTGTTCAGAGAAATAGGCAATCAGTCTTCAGTCAGTTCCCAAGCTTTGAGTTAGGACACCCAAGCCCATGGCTTGTTTTTTGTGCACAACTAAATTAGAGGGCTTTCTTAAATCTGGAAGGCCCAGCAAAGAGGCAGTCTTTAACTTTTCTTTGACTTTATTTTATTTACTTATTTATTTTTTTTGACATGGAGTTTTGTTCTTGTCACTTAGGCTGGAGTGCAGTGACACGATCTCAGCTCACTGCAACCTTTGCCTCCTGGATTCTCCAGCCTCAACCTCCTGAGCAGCTGGGATTACAGGCACCCACCACGATGCCCAGCTAATTTTTGTATTTTTTAGTAGAGACAGGGTTTTGCCGTGTAGGCCAGGCAGGTCTCGAACTCCTGACCTCAAGTGATCTGACTGCCTCGGCCTCCCAAAGTGCTGGGATTACAAGCATGAGCCACCGTGCTCAGCCTCTTTGACTTTTAATTTTGGCATTCTGAAGTCCAGATCAGGGGCTCAGAATTTTTTCCTTTTAGGGCCTCATAAAGGAGTTTTACCGTAAGTCCAAAATTCAAAATCCAAATTCAACAGAATCCCATCATTCCTAGAAACCGTTGCAGTTGTTTACAGGAGATGGGGACAGCTACCCAGACGATTGCCTCCAGGTGGCCTGGGGGAAGGTTTCTATGCCCCTTATTCAGTTCAAACCCTAAGTATTTTACTATCTTTTGGCAGATCTGGGCTTTCTTTTTGGAAACCCAGTAGCCTGTTACCACTAGGAAATTCAGTATTTGAATGGTATTTTCAAGGAAAGCTCTGAAGGTCTTGCAACACAGATTTCATCCACATATTGTAAAAGCGTTCCTTCTGTCAGCCAGATGTCCGTTAAGTTCCATGCCAAAAATTTCCCAAAGATTGTGGGGGAATTTTTAAATCCTTGAGATAACAGTACTGCTGATTGACCTGTGTCCCAGCCTCAGAGATTCAAATTCAAAGATCTCTTGTGTCTCCTTGTCTAATGCAAAATAAGGCATCTTTACAGTCCAAATCTGTAAACCAACCTAGTTCTCCTGACAAAGTGATCAGCAAGCTATAGGGGTTAGTTACCATAGGGTGTATGTCCTAGACTGTTTCATTACTGGCCCTAAGTCTTGTACAAACTGTAGTTGTCTTTTTTTTTTTTGAGACGAATCTCGCTCTGTCACCCAGCCTGGAGTGCAGTGGCACGATTTCGGCTCACTGCAAGCTCCGCCTCCCAGGTTCAAGCCATTCTCCTGCCTCAGCCTCCTGAGTAGCTGGGACTACAGGTGCCTGCCACCACGCCTGGCTAACTTTTTTGTATTTTTAGTAGAGATGGGGTTTACCATGTTAGCCAGGATGGTCTTGATCTCCTGACCTCGTGATCCGCCCGCCTCGGCCTCCCAAAGTGCTGGGATTACAGGCGTGAGCCACCACGCCCAGCCGAAACTGTAGTTGTCTTAATGGGACTTGCATGATGGTAAGATGTAGGGACCAGCCCCACAGGGTCAGTGGGTTTTTCTCCCCATGTGTGGAGACGAGAGATTGTAGAAATAAAGACACAAGACAAAGAGATAAAAGACAGCTGGGCCTGGGGGACCACTACCACCAAGATGCAGAGACCAGTAGTAGCCCCGAATGCCTGGCTGCACTGTTATTTATTGGATACAAGGCAAAAGGGGCAGGGTAAAGAGTGTGAGTCATCTCTAGTGATTGATAAGGTCACGTGAGTCACGTGTCCACTGGACAGGGGGCCCTTCCCTGCCTGGCAGCCGAGGCAGAGAGAGGGAGAGCGAGAGAGAGACAGCTTACGCCATTATTTCTGCATATCAGAGACTTTTAGTACTTTCATTAATTTTGCTACTGTTATCTAAAAGGCAGAGCCAGGTGTACAGGATGGAACTTGAAAGCAGACTAGGAGCGTGACCACTGAAGCACAGCATCACAGGGAGACAGGGTCAGGCCTCCGGATAACTGCGGGCGGGCCTGACTGATGTCAGGCCCTCCATAAGAGGTGGAGGAGTAGAATCTCCTCTAAACTCCCCCAGGGAAAGGGAGACTCCCTTTCCCGGTCTGCTAAGTAGCGGGTGTTTTTCCTTGACACTGATGCTACTGCTAGACCACGGTCTGCTTGGCAATGGGCGTCTTCCCAGACGCTGGCATTACCACTAGACCAAGGAGCCCTCTGGTGGCCCTGTCCGGGCATAACAGAAGGCTTGCACTCTTGTCTTCTGATCACTTCTCACTCACTATGTCCCTTCGGTTCCTATCTCTGTATGGCCTGGTTTTTCCTAGGTTATGATTATAGAGCGAGGATTATTACAGTATTGGAATAAAGAGTAATTGCTACAAACTAATGATTAATGATATTCATATATAATCATGTCTATGATTTAGATCTAGTATAACTCTTGTTGTTTTATATATTTTATTATACTGGAACAACTTGTGCCCTCGGTCTCTTGCCTCAGCACCTGGGTGGCTTGCTGCCCACCGTAGAACAGGAATGTTAAAGGGAGAATTACAGGACCAAATCAGTCCTTGTGCCAAAAAAGCCTTCCAAGAGTGGTTGAATACCCTTTCATGCCACTTCCTTTAATGGGTATTCTGTGTCTCTCTTTTAATTTTTATGGGTTTGGCTGTGACCACTCTCCCTGGCTTCCCTTGGGCCCAAACATCTCTCCTTACCTGTGTGAGAATTTCTTCTGGAATGTCCTGAACCTCTTCGTTTTCTGGTTGCAGCAGGAGTATTTGAAACCTGCAAACTTGTTCAGAAGGAATCATTATATCTAGGCATCTGGGGGGAAAGACAAGTTGAGCATACAATTTGGCAAGCAAATCCCAGCCCAGGAGGGGCACTGGGCATTAAGCATGTACAAGAAACTATGCCCTAGGCCGGTCTCTCGTAAATGGTAACCTGAAGATTGTAGAAAGGGATAATGGTGTCTCCCAATATCCGTGTAACAGTAATGGTTTTTCCCAAAGCTGGAGAGAGACAATTGTTAATTAATTAATATGTGGCACTGTGTCAAGTAAAAAGTCAATCATTCTGTTCCCCACTGTCAGTTGTATCTAGGAATCCTGTGGGGATATAGCCACTGGTTGCTCCAAGTCTAAGGGAGTCCCTGGGACACATCAGTCTTCATCTAAATATTATTCTCTCTCCTCATCTGATTTTGAGGGACACTGCACTTGCTAGCTGCTTTGGTCAATTTGGGACAGCCCTTTTTCCAGTGTCCCTCCTTCTTACAATAGGCATATTGGTTTTTTTTCTGAAGGGGGCGTGAGCCGCTCTTTGATTTCTTCCTTTTCCCCTAGGTTGGTAGTCAAGCACAGCTGCCAGTGAGTTACTTGTTGCTTCAATTTGCACTTTCCTGAGCCTCATCCTGAGCATAGTACACTTTAAAAGCTAAGTCCACTAAATGTGAGATTGGCAACCCAAGGATCCCATTTACCTTTTGCAGTTTTCTTTGAATATCAGGGCACTGTGGCTGATAAAGGTCACATTGACCATTCTCTGATTGTCCGGTGCCTCAGGGTTAGTTAGCGTCAACCTACTTTCCACATGTCTGATGGAGTCTTTCTGGGAATTACAAAGGGTCCTCATATGCTTGCCGCTGTACTTCCTGTACCTTATTGAGGCTCTTAACCTGAGTAACCCCTTTCCTCAAACCTTCAAGGATGTGGTTCTCATAGTGTCCTAAGTGGGAAAGGCCCCACCATTTACATCGCACCTGGTCTCTGTGTTAGGGACTGAGTCTATTGGCCAGGGGTGATTGTTTCCTGCCTCCAGATGGAGCCGATTTGCTTCTTCCCTAGCCTTTTCTGTGACTACATGCCTTTCTTCTGCTGTGAGCAGCACTTTAACAAAGTGAGTATCTGCCCTTGTCGGGTGGTAGGTCAGAAATATAGACAAGAATAGCCCAGCCATTTGCTTGGGTTGGGATAGGGGGGATTATTGTTTTTCCAAAGATATTGTTTTCCCACTGAACAGCTCCAAAGTGGGAAAAGGAAATGTAACCACATCATGCCAAACTGTTGTCCATTCAAGTCCCACAGTGGGGAATTGACACAGAGGAAACTGCCCTACTAAGGGACCAGTGGGTCCCAGGCCAAATTGGGTTTCCTGTCAGTTGCAGGAAGGCGAGACCACAACCTGTCCTAATTCCATGGGGAGGACAGGTTTGGGAGTGTTCCCCTCCTGCTCCAGACAATCCCATAAGGAGGTGGAGGTGCTGGAGCCATAGCTGACTGGGGGGCAGAGGATCAGGATGATTATTCAGGGGATTCAAAGCACCAAGCAGTGCCCTGTCTTCCCCACCTAATGGTGGGAGTCTAAAACCTTAGGTTTGGGCTGTTTTTCCTTTTGCAGCATCAAATTATACCTCTTTTGAGTAGGTTCATTCTGATAAAAGAGTATAAAAGCCTGGACATACAGGATTGCATCCTATTTTCTCTGCTCTTACAGAATAGTTGCAGTTGTATTATAGTAGCATAACTTAAAGAACTGTTTGTCAGCCATTTTTTCCCAAATTCTAAGGCATATTGAGGCCAAGCAGCGTTACAGTTAAAAAAATTTTATTTTTCTTCATGGGCTCATAGCTGAAAGTGGCCCAATTCTGGAGAATGCAGCCAATGATGCTACTCTCTGGGATCAATTCCAAATTTGCCCTGTTCAGTCTTTTCACATAACACACACACCACACACACACACACACACAGATACACACACACACACCCCCCAAACCAAACAACAACAACAACAAAACAAAATCACAAACAGAAAACCAAACTCCCTACAGGAAAGCAAACAAGAAAATGGGCATAGTCCACCATTCTATTACTCCCCCAAAAGGGCCCTCTTCACAATGCAAGCAGAGAGAGTGAGATATGGCTGTGTGCACCGCAGTGACTTACCCTTCAAACCAAAACCAGAAGTCCAGATAGCAGTCTGAGATGTTTCTCTGCTCTAAGCTTCTAGAGTACCAACAGCAGCCTACACTGACCTAGAAGAGCGACTTTAGGGCCCCCTGACCAACACACTTGGGCAGCTGCTGGGACACTCGTTCGCCTAACCTGGCCAGGGCCTATTGCCATGCTAGACCTGGCATGGTTGCCAAAATCTGTTGCAGAACCCCAAAAGTTAGGTTCAAGTACCTGATGCGCAGTAAGCCAAACACTGACACATCGGTGCTTCAGAGCAGAGAAAGGTTTATTCAATTTGACCAAAGCATGAGGGTGGGAGAGGCAAATTCTCAAATTCAGCCTCCCTTTGCACGTAACCAGTGGCTTTTATGAGTAAGGTAGGTATATGGGAAGTGAGATCCCCTGATTATCAAAGCTGCTTGCATCCCTTGGCCAATCAAACTTCTGGGTGCCATCAAGGAGGTCAGCATGACCCAGGGATCATTGTTCTTTACAAGAAAAACAAGTTCATCAATCTTGCAAGCCGCCCCTGGGGGTTAGGATATGAAGTTAATCACTTATTAGTGACTACCCTCTACCAAAATGACTACATGCAAGCAGTCCTGCCTGGAGGAAGTTAAGGACAAAGAGAAAGGAAAATAAGTAAAACCTACATGATTTTTGTAACATAGGCTTGGTCACATTGCTATATTTCATCTAAGTGATGGCTATACAGTTTTTCTCTGCTTGTCACATTTAACAGAGATATAAAAGTTCTTGCTAAAAGGCTAGTCTTGTAGAGTACGTCATGAAGGCTCATCATGAATACATCATGAAAGCCCACTTGGGAAGAAATCGGAGCAAGACAACTGGCGAGGCAAAAAGAACAAGCAGGGGCAGACATGGAAATCCACCTAGTCTGTTTTAAAGAGCCCCTGGGCAGGCAACTTCTGAGGAGGACGCTGTCAGCAGAAGTGCCATCATATAAACACTACACCTTCAAAAAAGTTTCCTGACCCTATTGTCCCCTCTGTGTCCTCCTCATTTCAGTTAACATGGCCTGTTAAAAAATCTTGTCACCATTAGATGTTTCATGTCTTATTTATTTAACACACTTGTTCTGTGTCTGGCTAAGAGGACTAGCAAGTCTTTTGTTTAAAAATGTCTTTAGGCCGGATGCAGTGGCTTACGCCTGTAATCCCAACACTTTGGGAGGCCAAGATCACCTGAGCTCAGGAGTTCGAGACCAGCCTGCCCAACATGGCAAAACCCCATCTGTACTAAAAATACAAAAATTAGCTGGGTGTGATGGCGCTCACCTATAATCCCAGCTACTTGGGAGGCTGAGGCAGGAGAATTGCTTGAACCTGGGAGGCGGATGTTGCAGTGAGCCAAGATCACCCCACCACACTCCAGCCTGGGCCACGGAGTGAGACTCTGTCTCAAAATTATATATATATATATATATATATATATATATATATATATATATATATATATACAATTTAATAAAAAGGTCTTTAGTGGTCTGCTTAGGTTTTAAAATTCTTTCATTATTCATAAACACCTATGAGTTGTTTACAATTCAAATAGCTCCACTGAGATTATCATGAAAAGGGGCGGTCTTCCACCTTACTCCTGGATATCATTTCCCAAAGGCAGCCACTTTAAGTATTTTTGCATTATTTATTGGCATTTGCCTCCATATTTAAATAATGTGCTTATATCGCCACTTCTTGATTTTTCCATTAGTGTTATTACCTGTTGATTTCCTCCTATGGTAGATAAGAATTTAGCTCTTTCATAATATCCACCCACACCACACCACAGTTGTTTCTCAACCTTTGGTTAAGTCAGCGATCTAAGTTCATGTTATTTACTAGCTAAATATTCATCATGAGCCATAGTGTACCATGATTGTGTTTCTCAGACCACTTTTCCCCCCTCACTTTTACTTCATTTGTTTGCCTCTTTTCCTATGGATTGATGATGAATTCATCCCCCAAATCTCTGATAGCATTATGTAATCTTGTATATACATCAAATTCTTTTTTTTTTTCTTAATCTTTCCTGGTTCCCTTGTTCTGGGTTCAGTGCTATATTCGTTTACTAGGGCTGCCATAGCAAAGTACCACAGACTGGGTGGCTTAAATAAGAGAAATTAATTTTCTCACAATTCTGGAGATGGAAAGAGCAAGGTGTCAGCAGGGTTGGTTTCTTCAGAGGCCTCTCTTCTTGTCTTGTAAATGGCCGTCTTCCTGTGTCTTCACATGGTCTTCCCTTTGTGTCTCTCTGTGTCTAAATTTCCTTACCTTAAAAAGATGCTAATTGGAATGGGACCTCAATTTAAAAGAAAAGAAAAAGAAAAAGGACGCTGGTCATATTGGATTGGGGCCCACTCTAGTGACTTCACTTTTACTTATTTACCTGTTTAAAGGCCCATTTCCAAATACAGTCACATACTGAGATACTGTGGTTAGAACTTTAACATGACTTTTGGAGTGACACAACTCAGCCCAGAACAGGCACTTTGGTTATTCTTTTTTTTTTTTTTTTTTTTTTTTTTTGAAGACAAGGTCTCACTCTGTTGCCCAGGCTTGAGTGCAGTGGTGTGATCTTGGCTCACTGCAGCCTCCGCCTCCTGAGTTCAAGCGATCCTCCCACCTCAGCCTCCTGAGTAGCTAGGATTACAGGCATGCACCACCACACCCAGCTAATTTTTAAATTTTTGGTAGAGAGTGGGTTTCACCATGTTGGCCAGGCTGATCTCGAAATCCTGACCTCAAGTGATCTGCCCGCCTTGGCCTCCCAAAGTGCTGGGATTACAGGCGTGAGCCACTGCACGTTGGTTATTCTCTAGACCTCAGGCATAGCTTCTGCCCTGGGATTTCTCTTTACCTTCACCCTGGTCATTTCTTCCTCTCCTGTCTCCTGGATCCCATAGCTGCTGCTTTTTGGTTTACTTTCCTGTTGGGTGGAGTATATCTTTCAGCATCCCAGGGAAGGTCATTGGGATATAAACTTTTCAAGACCTTTGCCTGAGTGAAATGGGTTTATTTTACTCTTTCACTCCTTTGATAGTTTGATCGTGGAATTGTAGGTAAGCAGTTTTAAATGCATTAATTCATTGTTGTTCTAGATTTCATCTCTGCTGTTGAAATCCTGTGCTATCCTGACTGCAGAGCTTTTATTTGTGACCTGTAATTTTCCTCTCTGGCAGCTTTAGGATCTTTATCTCAGGTGTTCTGAAATTTCATGTTATGACTTAGTGGGTGCTTTTTTTTTTTTTTTTTTTTTTTTTTTTTTTTTTTTTTTTTTTTTTTTTTGATACAGTCTCACTCTGTCGCCCAGGCTGGAGTGTAGTAGCATGATCTTGGCTCACTGCAACTTCCGTCTCCCAGGTTCAAGCGATTCTCTTGCCTCAACCTCCCAAGTAGCTGGGACTACAGGCACATGCCACAATGCCTGACTAATTTTTGTATTTTTGGTAGAGACGGGGTTTCACCACATTGGCCAGGCTGGTCTCAAACTCCTGACCTCAAGTGATCCATCCGCCTCAGCCTCCTAAAGTGCTGAAATCACAGGTGTGAGTCACCGAGCCCAGCCAGTGTGGGTGCTTTTTAATTCATAATGCTAAATACTTAGTGAGCTTTTTCAATCTGGCAAGTTATGTGCTTCAGTTCTGGGATATTTCAATTTTAATCACATTTTTTTTGCGGGAGGGGGGAGTTTTATTAGTTGAATGTGGGATTTTCTGAAATGTACCTCTAAGTTTTTTTTTCTCTTGTTTTCCATTTTTAACCTTTTGCCTTTTTTTAAAATTTAGGATGATTTTCTCAGCTTTATTTTCTACCTTTCTGTTGGCTATCTACATTTTCTGCTATATATATTTTTTCTGCTCTATGATTTTAATTTCCAAGAGCTAGCTCATTTTTTTTCTGGAAAAAAATGCTATTAGAAAATGAATTCATTATCTCTCTAATGTCAATTATTTCTACATTTCTTCTGTTCCCTGAATCAACTTTTTTTTTCTTTCTTTCCCGTCCGCTACTTGTTTATACCTCTGTCTCTGCTCTTAGAAGTGTTCTTGAAATACCTCATGACCATGTTTACTGCTCATTTGTCCATACTTAACATTGAGGCACTAAAAGCTGATGATGGACGCTCTAGTCTTGTCATGGTGGCCTTGTAATAAGGTGGTTAGTCAGCTTGGTTTTTGTTTACTTTCCTCCTGCCGCACACATTTAAGTTTTATTTTTCTCCATTCTGACAGTTACCATCTTTGAAATTTTAATTTTTGTTCACCACAAACACTTCTACTATGGAAGGGAGGACCCTTCTAGTATCCTGTGTGAACCTCCTTTCTGATGTAATTCTAGCAACTGCCCCAGAATTACGTCCTGAAAACAAGCTGATTTGTGTTTTTCCCTTTGGGAATCTTGAATGGCTTCTGGCCTTCAGAACCCATTTTCAGTTCCTTGTCAAGGCTTTCTGTGATCTGACTCCAAGCTGAGTTTACAAAGCCCTGTACTGTATTCCACTCCATATCTCAGGATGCCAGCCATTTCCTGAGTACATTGTGTTACATGTGCTTATGCCACCGTGTCCTTTGTCTTTCAGGTTGTTCTCCTGGCTATAATTTCTCTTCTGTGGCCTCTGTGAGCACATCGTTCACATTCTTTAAGCCCATCTCCTTAGTAAAGCCTTCTCTCCCACCCTACATTATTCACAAACAGCCTACCCTTCCAGGTGGATGATTCCTCTCTCGGCAAGGTACCTTGTGTCATTATTTAGCATTTGTTTCATTTATATCTCATCCTGTATGAAACACAGATTCTAGAGCACTGTCTCAGATTCCATCAACCCCATCAACCCCTTGAGCTTCTGCTGACAGGTTTAAGGCAATGATCCAGAAGTATGGAGGAGTCAGCTCCCTCTGGAGGGCCTTGATTAGTGAAATGCAGAGGACAGGAGGGAGCCTGGCAGGCAAGCGCCCCCTCCTGTCTCCCTCCTGTGAACTCCTCTCAGCCATGGTTTTGCCTTGCATGCCTTCCAGAGAAGACACACAGGTTGTCTGGCAAATGTGTTCGGCTAAGTAAATGCACTTGGCAAACACTCCGTGTGTCCTCCTGGCTCACTGTGAAGCCTGCGGTGAGGTAATGCATTACATCACATTGCTATGCATCGTTCCTTGCTTCATTTACCTTTTTCCTCGCCCTCACCTCTCTGTTCTTACATATCCCAAATAAAATACCAGTGCTTACATGTGCCGTGTTGGTGTGCTGCACCCATTAACTCGTCATTTACATTAGGTATTTCTCCTAATGCTATCCCTCCCCCATCCCCCCACCTCATGACAGGCCCCGGTGAATGATGTTCCCCGCCGTGTGTCCAAGTGTTCTCATTGTTCAATTCCCACCTATGAGTGAGAACATGCAGTGTTTGGTTTTCTGTCCTTGTGATAGTTTGCTTAGAATGATGGTTTCCAGCTTCATCCATGTCCCTACAAAGGACATGAACTCATCAATTTTTATGGCTGCATAGTATTCCGTGGTGTATATGTGCCACATTTTCTTAATCCAGTCTATCATTGATGGACATTTGGGTTGTTACATATGTAACAAACCTGCACATTGTGCACGTGTACCCTAGAACTTAAAGTATAATAAAAATAAATAATAAATAAAATACCAGTGCTTTAATCCTTGCCTTGGGCTCTGCTTTCTAGAGGGCCTAGGTTAAGACACCCAGATATTTGTTTAAAAATCTGACAGTCATAAGTGTTTAATCATTCAGACATGTGTATGACAGCTGGAAGTACCACATCTCTCACTGATTTGACATTGAAGTCCTACAAATATTTATACCTTTTAAGAATATAGAAATGTCAGTTACATCCAACATAACAATTGATCAAGAATTACAAGTTTCATTTTCGAAGTTATTTTCACAAGACATGGGGATTGTGTTTGGAGTCTGGGTATCTTACCTGACCCATTTGTTCAGATAACATTTCCAAGGTTAGATTCATTTTAACACATGGTAACAGTTATGCATATTTATACAAGTCTATATATTGCAGAGAAGAATAAAGTTGATATTGTTTTGAAAGCTCTCATCTAACACCTTATCAAATTAGATCTTTTGAACTAATTTTATGGTACATAACCCTTGCAAGTCATAAGGGATCATTTTTACCTCTGAGATGACTTAAAAAATAGTCAAATAGTAAAATTCACCTCTTTTAGTGTACAGTTCTACAAATTTTGACAAATGCGTAGTTTTATAACCATCACCACCACCACCACAATCAAAATATACAACCATTCCATCATCCCCTAAAATTCCCTCATGGCATTTTGTAGCAATCCATTCTCACCAACCCCAGACTTTGGCAAATGCTGACCTATTTTCTGTCCCTATAGTTTTGCTTTTTCTAGAATGTTGTATAAATGGAATAACAGAGTATGTAGCCTTTCAAATGTGGCTTCTTTCATTTAGCATAATGCTTTTGAGCTTCCTCCATGTTGCTGAGTAGATCAACAGTTCATTCCCTTTTGTTGCTGAGTATGCTGTGGATATACCACAATTTGTTTTCCATCTACTAGTTGAAGGATATTTGGGTTATTTACCAATATTCGAATTTTGAACAAAGCTGCCATAAACATTTGCATAGAGATTTTTGGGTGAATTGTTTTTATTTCCCTTGTACTGGGATTGCTGTTGTGGGGTAAGTGTATATTTAATTTTATAAGGAACTGCCAAACTTTTGCAAAATGTCTGTATTACACAGCATCCCCGTGAATAAGCTATGAGAGCTCCAGTTGCTCACATCCTCACCAATACTTAGTGTTGTTAGTTTTTTCTAATTTTAGCTGTTCCAACAAAAAGATGTAGTGTCTCATGTTTCTTAAACAGCGTTAGAGAGATAATTGACATGCAATATGCTGTATATTTTTATAAGCATACAATTAGATTCACATGACATATACACATCCATGAAGCCATTACCATAATCAAGGTAGAACACATCTATTACTCCACAGTTCCCCCACACTCCTTTGTAATCCTCCCTTTGCATCCTAGAACCCCTACTCAAGCGACCACTGATCTGCTGTCACCATAGAGTAGTTTTACATAAACGGAATCATATAGTATGCACTCTTTTTATGTCTGGCTTCTTTGATTTGGCATAATTATTTTGAGATTCATCCATGTTGCTGTATATAGCAATAGCTGACTTCTTTTTATTGCTGAGTTGCAGTCATTGTATGGATGTGTGACACTTTGTTTATCCATTCACTCGAACATTTGGGTTGTGGGTTGTTTCCAGCTTTTAATAGTTAGAAACAAGCTGCTATGAACTGAGACAACTTTTTTTTTTTTTTTTTTGGAGATGGAGTCTTACTCTGTCACCCAGGCTGGGGTGCAGGGTGCAATTCTGGCTCACTGCAACCTCTGCCTGCTGGTTTCAAGCGATTCTCCTGCCTTAGCCTCCCGAGTAGCTGGGATTACAGGCGTGCGCCACCATGCCCAGCTAATTTTGTATTTTTAGTAGAGATGGGGTTTCACCATGTTAGCCAGGCTGATCTTGAACTCCTGACCTCAGGTGATCCACCTGCCTGGGCCTCCCAAAGTGCTGGGATTACAGGCATGAGCCACCATGCCCGGCCAAGACAATTTTTTTATTCCATGGGACTCTGCTTGATATGAGACAACAATTTTTATGTCTGTTTTCGAATCAACTTTATTGAGGCATAATTTGTAGTTTATAAAATATGCTCTTCTAGGCTGGGCATGGTGGCTCATGCCTGTAATCCCAGCACTTTGGGAGGCCAAGATGGGCGGATCACAAGGTCAGGAGTTCGAGACCAGCCTGCCAGCATGGTGAAGCCCCATCTCTACTAAAAATACAAAAATTAGCCTGGCGTGGTGGCGCACCTGTAATCCCAGCTACTCGGGAGGCTGAGGCAGGAAAATCGCTTGAACCTGGGAGGCGGAGGTTGCAGTGAGCCAAGATCGTGCCACCGCACTCCAGCCTGGGTGATAAAGCAAGACTCTGTTTCAGAAAAAAAAAAATTATATATATATATTTTTTAAAATATATTAAATATATATTATATATAATATACTCTTCTAAAGTATACCTAATTTGATGAATTGTAACAAATTCATACTTCCTTGTAACTGACACCACATCAAGATATAGAACATTGGCTTCACCCTAAAGATTCCCTTTGGGTCCTTTCCAGTCAGTGTCTCCCACTTCCCTATCCCAAGCAACCACTGATTTGCTTTCAGTCACTCCATAATAAATCTGTAATCTCTAGCATTTTGTAGAAATGAAATCATATGGTAATTTATTTTATTTTATTTATTTATTTTTGAGACAGAATCTTCCTCTGTCGCCAAGGCTGGAGTGCAGTGGCACAATCTTGGCTCACTGCAACCTCTGCCTCCCAGGTTGAAGCGATTCTCCTGTCTCAGCCTCCCGAGTAGCTGGGATTACCGATGCTTGCTACCACACCCGGCTAATTTTTGTACTTTTTGGTAGAGACAGGGTTTCACCATGTTGGACAGGCTGGTCTCGAACTCCTGACCTCAGGTGATCTTCCTGCCTCAGCCTCCCAAAGTGCTGGGATTACAGGCTTGAGCCACCGTTCCCAGCCTAGTAATTAATTTTAGATTGTCATTTTGCTGAGCACATTCTAAAGACTCATCCATGTTGCAAGTATTGTTGGAAGTATCTGCAGTTCATTCCTGTTCATTACTGAGTGGTATCTCACTGTATGAATTTGCCACAATGTGTTTATCAATGTATTGTTGGGCATTGGTTATTTCCAGTTTTTGGCTATTATGAGTAAAGTTGATATGAACATTCAAGAACAAGCTGCAGGACAATTCTCCAGGTCACCTTAGACTCGCCCAGTTCTTCCCTCTTTCTCACGTGTGTTCTCAACAATAACTGTAGAATGTGCTGGGAATGCAACATCCTGCGATAAAGAGGGACTGACAAGAACAGCTCACAGGCTCTCTCTGTTCCTGTCTGCCTCTGAGAAACAAGATGTCCATCAACACTTTTGCCCAGCGTGTCATGTGGTCCCCAGGGTATTAAATCCAGTGTGGGATGCTTTCTAGTGTCCCTCAGCTGCAGTGCAAGTGGGACACATGCCCCACTTGTGAGAATCCATCCACCCTCGGTAGCTTTCTTGAGCCTTGGGAGATTGGCTCACAATGAATTCCGGGCTTCTGTTGTGCCTCAGGGCCAATCTGTAAGTAATAAACCCACTTCATGTAACTTGTGTGTGGGCATTCCATCTTACCATCTCATTGGACTCAGGCAAGTTGATAACCAGTGCACAATGAGCCTGCTTCACAAAATTGACACAACAAACAGGGTTCAGTCTAACAGAACCATGTTTTCCTGGTGAAAGGAGGTGGTGATGTCAACCTGTGGGTGCAGAGGCTGGACTTGCAACTGGACATTTTATGGGAAAGGAGGGGTGATACGTGAGACATTAGGTCACGTGCAAACACACCCTGTGGATGTGACTGAGCTGGCTGAATGGGTGGAAGCAGAGAGAAAGTAAGGTGGAGCTGAAATGCCACACAGGATCCCTTGGTTGTTAGCCACTTATGTGATTGCTCATTTCCAGGGCTGATGATTGGGGACCCAAACATACCCTAAGGCACTTAAGAGAAAGAAGAGGGATGAGGTACTCACATGGTCCCTGAAGCATCTGAGAGGAACCCACATGCACAACGTGGCCCGTCACAGAAAGGGAGACTCAAGTCTAAAGGACCACAGTCTTAGACATGGAGAAAGGCCAAGGAAGTCACATGCATCCTGGTTGATGAATATATTTGATAAAGGGACATTGCAAACCCAAATGTCTTGGGCTGTATGGCACGGGTAGGAATGGGGCCCAAGGTCTCTGGATCCCCACCAGAGGCCAATGGCTCTATACTCCTATTAAGATAAAATGGGGCCAGGTGCAGTGGCTCATACCTATAATTCCAGTACTTTGTGGGGCCAAGGCAGGAGGATCCCTTGAGCCCAAGACTTAGAGACCAGCCAAAGCAACAAAGTGAGACCTCGTCTCTACAGAAAATTTAAAAATAATTAGGTGTGGTGGTGTGCTTCTGTAATCCCAGCTATGTGGGAGGCTGAGGCTGGAGGATTGTCTGAACCTGGGAGGTTGAGGCTGCACTCCAACATGGACAATGGAGAGAGATCCTGTCTCAAAAAAAAAATAAATAAATAAAATGGGGAAAGATGGAAATTCTGATTTCTTTCGAGTTCTTGGATACTGAAGGCCACATGACAGAATTTCCAGGTTCCTTTAGGGGAAAAATTAAGCTGGTGACACCAGGAAGTTTGGGGATGAACTCGGTGACACATAGTGTTTATCTGCTTGTGGTGCTTATCTGCTTGTGGGTGGAGGCCTTTGGGCCATTTCAGGTGTCAGTGACCATGGTTCCCACCACTGAGTGCTTTATAGGCATTGACATTTTGGTGGCTTGTGGCACAGAATGTCACTGCCACCAGAGGGGCTATGACCCCTAACAGCTAAGGATTTGAGCCATAACAGTGGGGCACATCCCCTCCCACCTACCACCATATCTTGCCACATTTTTACTGACTCATGGGCCATTGCCAACAGCCTAGCCATCTGGTCAGGGGAATGGCAGCAGTGATTGGACTATTAAAAGATTCCATGTGTGGGGACAAGGGCTATGGCAACAGCTTGCTGTTGGAAGGGACTCTATATGCCACTCATGTGGATGCTCTGACTACCACAGCTGCCCTTGAGAGGACTTATGTTTTTGGATACCCCATGGGACTTCACTCTGACCAAGGAAAATCCTCACTGCCCAAGCAACATGACAGTGGGCACACTCATGCAATACAGTGGGTTTTCCATGCACTCTGTCATCCACAGGCCAATGGAGCCATTGAATGATGGACCAGTCAACTCACAAAGCAACTGAATAAAGGACATCAGGACAGCCTGTTAGTGGGGTGGCACCTCAACCTGACTAGGGCAGTGTGGACACTAAGCACTGTTCTCCAATCAAGGGAAACACAGCACTGCACACATCTTGAAAAACGCTGAGCTTGATGTGGATAGAGGTGGACCAGGTGACTGCCTGATGAGGCTGCACCTGTGAAATTCCAATCTCAGTGTTCCCAACCATTGTCTTTTCTTTTTCCATTTAGAGTGCACATCCTGTAGGTGGCCGGTGGTTCAAGCTGCCAGAGCACCCGACAGGCCCCTCTGACTCTGATCTAGAGGTGATACGTCCCCCGGGTGCCTCTCTTCTATGAAATCCACAGGGATACAGGACAGGACCAAGGAGTATCAGGGTGCTAGGCTTAGTGGCACCAGGAACACCTGATCCTTCCATTCAGGTAGGTAACCTTATCAGACATGTCGAGTTTGTACAAGACAAACCTTCCCGGACTGGACGACTGAAGCCAAAAGGCCTGGGTCATGCAACAAGCGGAATGGGTACTCTCGGGACTGCAGCAGTCAGACTGGGACACTACACTCAGCTCAACCTCTATCACATAGGTAGGGAATACCCGAGGATGCAGGAAGTGTAAGGGGCAGGGCACTAACCTGTCAGTCTGCTTTTTCCACAAGGACGTGACTGCAGAGGCCTAGAAGCATAACGCGTTTGTTAGGCTCTCCCAAGCTGTGGCTACCATAGGAAAGTGCTGGATCTGTCATCCCAGACCCCATTATGTCACAGGCTACAGCAACCTTCTCGTCCTGCCAGTAGTAAACTCTACCAGTATTATAGTGGCACAGTGAATATCAACAGAACCTGAGCCCTGGCTTACTGAGTGAGGATCTAACATCTGCCACATGGGAGGGAGGTAGACTTAATTGGCCTAAGGTGGCAAAACATCATGACAACTAATAAGATCTTGGTGGGCTGGCACCTTTGACCTATTATGTTCTTACCTGGATCACTGGATCCTGGACTAGGTTGATGCTCCAGACAGACCTGATCAACCTGTTTGTGATGTAGTCCTCCTGGGCCTAGTAAAATGTATTCTGGCTATGGCTCAACAATGTTGTACTGACATTGTGTCTGTGAAGGTGTTACATCGATCTGATAAGACAAACTTCCGCCTCCAGATACTAGGAGGTTGGTGGGCATATGAAACGGACTAGCTTTGCTAAAGGGTATAATCTGGGTTAAGGGCATAGACTGCAGGACAGTTCTCCAGGTGGCCTTGGACCAATTTAGTTCTCTCTCCTTTCTCACTTGTGGTTCTCTAGGATAACTGTAGAATGTGCTGGGAATGTAGCATCCTGTGATAGAGAGAGACTAACCAGACCAGCCAGGGCCCTGTTCCAGTGTCTCCCAGAAATAGAATGTCCTTCATATATATATGTATATATATATATATATATTTTTTTTAATTTTAATTTTTATTTATTTATTTTTTTTTGAGAGGGAGTTTCACTCTTGTTGCCCAGGCTGGAGTGCAATGGCGCGATCTCAGCTCATGGCAACCTCTGCCTCCCCAGATCACGTGATTCTCCTGCCTCAGTCTCTTGAGTAGCTGGCATTACAGGCATGAGCCACCATGCCTGGCTAATTTTTTATTTTTTAGTAGAGACGGGGTTTCTCCACGTTGGTCAAGCTGGTCTCGAACTCCCGACTTCAGGTGATCTGCCTGCCTCGGCCTCCCAAAGTGTTGGGATTACAGGCGTGAGCCACCGCACCTGGCCGAATGTTCTTCATGTTTTAGCCCAGTGTGTCATGCCTCCCCACCTCTTCCCCCTGCCCCTGCCCCCTGCAATTAGGCTGTTGCATTGCCACAAAGAAATACCTGAGACTGGGTAATTTATATAGAAACGAGGTTAAATTGGCTCATGTTTCTGCAGGCTGTACAGGAAGCATAGTACCACCATCTGTTTGGCCTCTGAGGAGGCCCCAGGGAGCTTTTACTATTGGCAGAAGGAGAAGAGAGAGCAGGCACATCACATGGTGAGAACTGGACCAAGAGACTGTGTTGGAGGGTGCCACACACTTCTAAATAACCACATCTTCCTGGCACTCACTCACTATTGCAAAGACACCAAGCCATGAGAGATCCACTTCCATGACCCAAACACCTCCCATCAGGTCCCACCTCCAAAAATGGGGACAATTCAACATGAGATTTGGCAGGGACATATATTCAATCCATCCCTGGACCCCCAAATCTCATGTCCTTCTGACATTGCAAAACATAATCATGCCTTCCCAATCACCTACCAAAATTTTAACTTGTTCCAGCATTAAACTCAAAAGTCCAAAGTGTCACAGGAGACATGGCCCAGAAAAAGAACTAATCCCAGCTCCTTGGGAGGCCAAGGCGGGTGGATCACGAGGTCAGGTGATCCAGACCATCCTAGCTAACACGGTGAAACCCCGTCTCTACTAAAAATACAAAAAATTAGCGGGGCGTGGTGGCGGGTGCCTGTAGTCCCAGCTGCTCGGGAGGCTGAGGCAGGAGAATGGCTTGAACCGGGACGCGGAGGTTGCAGTGAGCCGAGATTGCACCACAGCACTCCAGCCTGAGTAACAGAGCAAGACTCTGTCTCAAAAACCAAAGAAATCTCCAGCAGCGGAAATGTATGTAGAACTCATTTTGGTCAGTACTTTTCCTTGTACAGGAAGAAACTGAGGTCGCCCGGTGCAACGCCCAACACAGGTTAAGACAAAGCCGAGACTCAAAACCAGACCCCAGCTTCCGGTCCCAGCCCATAGATTCTTCCATTTCCTTCGCCGGAAGTGATATACAGCCCCTGTTCTCCTTCGCGTCCGTTGACGGGACCCAGGTTGGGGAGGCGGAAGAATGGGCGGGACCATGGGCGGAAGCACCCCTCCTACCAGGACCCGGAAACAGATGGCCACCCCGAGCCGGCCTATCCGGAAACTGGCTCGAAGAAGACGGGGATTGGCCATCGCTTCCGGAAGTTGTGAGCTTTGTTTCGGAGCGGGAGCTCTTCCGAGACGCACTGGGGGCCGGATGGTGAGTTTTCCTTGCGCTCTAACGGGCAGGCTCGGGAGCGGGAGGGTCCGGGCAGTTTTAGTAGTGTCTTTGGGACAACGGCTGCGGTTGGTATTTCTCAAGCGGCAACGAGGCCAGCCCCTGGGAATGCAGCACGAGAATGATAGAGTCAGGCTGTCCCCTCAAGAAATAGTTTAGTGAGGAGACATGCAGCGGATAGGCGCAGGATTCTTCAGAGTTGTGATTGGGCCCAAAAAGGAGCTAGTCCTCAGACTAAAAAGAGCCGTAGTGCCGGGGTTCTGGGCGCTGTAGTAAATGGACTCCAAATGGAGTTGAAGGGAGGGAGGAGTGCGTCAGGCGGAGATGAAAGGAGAGAGGGAACTACCTGTCCGATAGGGCAGAATCGGGGAGAAAGGTTGGTGACTTGAGCTTAGAGAAGGCCATTGCGGCGGTAGCAGAAGAGGAGAGGCAGGGACCAGATCGTAGAGTGTGGAACACCGTGACACAAAGTTGGGGCTTTATCATAAGAGCAGCAGAATGACAAGATCTGATGTACATTTTGAAAGGATCACTGTAACTGCTGGTGACGACTGGATTATAGGAGGGCAGGAATTGTGAGAAACCACTCAGAAGGCTACTGCTGTAGATGAGCGATGTGACCTAGCGTATGGGAGAGAAGTGGACGAATCAAAAGTATATTTAGCAGGTGAAAATTCAGGACTTTACGGATTAGATATAGGATTTGAGTGACAGGTTGGGTCTCAACGATGATTCCAAGTTTCTGACCTGAGTGAGTAAATTACGCTAAACAAGAACAAACTATTTTGAAGTTTTCTAAGGGTTCTTCCCCCCACTCAGTGTTAAAAAGCACGTTTTTTTCCTTTCTTATTATGTGTACTCATGTTTTGTGTGCTTACTGTAGAAAATTCAGAACATACATAACAAAATATTTTCTTTTATATAAAGGACAATAAAAATCACCTCATAACCTCACTACCCAAGATGGTCATATTTTAGTGTTTCTTTCATGTATTTTAAAAAAATATGTGTATCTTTTTATATAATTGGGATCCTACTGATTATGTCTTTCTGTATCCATTTTTTCCACCTTAGCATGACTAATGATTGAACTGTGTGCCAGGATATCGTTCACAAATATATTTTTTTCTGTTTGTAACAGAAAAAGTCAAATTAATTCTAAATAAGAGATAACATTAACTTTTTGGTGTATTTTCTTTTTAATATTTGTTTAAAAGCCTTTTAAAAAACCCACATTTTGGCCAGTTTGTGTTTTGTTTTCCATTCAGATGTTTTTACTTACTTAATGTTATTTATTGCCGTTTTTACACACCGTCAAGACCACATGTTTTAATGGTTGTTAAATAACAACTAATCCCATCATTAGCTAGATAGGTTATTTGCAACTTTTTACTGTTAAAATAATGAGAGGAACATCTTATATAATTATTGGATTCCTAATGACTTCCATCAGAAAGAGTTCTAGAAATATAATCTGCCAGGTAAAAGGATAAAATGAGTCTCAAATTGCCCCACCAAAATATTTTATTAAGAATTTGATAGAAATTGTTTTAAAGAAATTTTTGCAATACATAGTTTTTCCATTCAAAGATATGGTCATGTCTTTCTGGTTATTCAAGTTGTCTTTTATGTTTCTTTTATGTCTTTATATATAATAACCTATCCTTTTCTTGTTAAGCTTATGTCCAAGAAAGGAGCGACATTGATTATTTAATAATTGTACCCTCTCTGCTTAATTTCCATGCGTGGAATGAATATCTTTGGGTCAAGTGGGATACTTTATCCTTTTTTTTTATTTTTATACTTTAAGTTCTAGGGTACATGTGCACAACGTGCAGGTTTGTTACATCTGTATACATGTGCCATGTTTGTATGCTGCACCCATTAACTCATCGTTTACATTAGGTATATCTCCTAATGCTATCCCTTCCCCCTATTCTTTTTTTTTTTTGAGACGGAGTTTCACTCTTGTTGCCCAGGCTGGGGTGCAATGGTATGATCTCGGCTCACTGCAACCTCTGCCTCCCAGGTTCAAGCGATTCTTCTGCCTCAGCCTCCTGAGTAGCTGGGATTACAGGCATGCGCCACCATGCCTGGCTAATTTTTTTGGCATTTTTAGTAGAGACGGGGTTTCTCCATGTTGGTCAGGCTGGTCTCGAACTCCCAACCTCAGGTGATCTGCTCGCCTCGGCCTCCCAGAGTGCTGAGATTACAGGCATGAGCCACTGCACCCAGCCTACTTTATTCTTTAAAATTATTTTCTTCCTTAATATTTATGTCTAGGCCTTCCTAAAATATAAATAAAATGATGAGATCAGGAAGTTAAAAAGACTAAGATAGAGTAAGACTTCATTAATACCGTAAGCAACCTCTGGTTTAAAAAATTCCTGACATTCTGCTCCTACTTGTCTGCTGGGGAAGCAGCCCTTCAACCATGCACCTGAGCCTGCCTCATCTGAACAAACAGCAACCAGCTGGGCCCCTTGGCGTTTCCCTGGGGATGACAACAGAACAACTCAGAAGGGTTAGGAAGACAACATCTCATGAGGATGCCAAATGGGCTTTGGCGATGGATTTTTCTAGTTTAACACTTTTATCAAGTTACTTTCAAAGTTTTTGAATATTTATTAAGAAATGAGTTCTGATGTTAACTTTTAAATGAAATCTTTTGGTCTTTTCATTTTGTGTGCAGTAGAATCCTGCTTATCTGTGAAATGCAGTTAACACATCAGCTGGACCTATTTCCCGAATGCAGGGTAACCCTTCTGTTATTTAAAGATGTAAAAAATGCGGGAGACTTGAGAAGAAAGGCCATGGAAGGCACCATCGATGGATCACTGATAAATCCTACAGTGGTAAATATAAATTTTAAGAATGAATGAGCCTGCTGGGTGCGGTGGCTCACGCCTGTAATGCCAGCACTTTAGGAGGCCGAGGCGGGTGGATCATCTGAGGTCAGGAGTTGAAGACCAGCCTGGCCAACATGGTGAAACCCTGTCTCAACTAAAAATACAAAAATTAGCTGGGCGTGGTGGCGGGCGCCTATAATCCCAGCTACTCGGGAGGCTGAGGCAGGAAAATCATTTGAACCCTGGAGGCAGAGGTTGCAGTGAGCCAAGATTGCGCCATTGCACTCCAGCCTGGGCGACGAGCAAAACTCTGTCTGGAAAAAAAAAATGGCCAGGCATGGTAGCTCACGCCTGTAATCCCAGCCCTTTGGGAGGCCGAGGCAGGCAGATCATGAGGTCAGGAGTTTGAGACCAGCCTGGCCAATATGGTGAAACCCTGTCTCTACTAAAAATACAAAAATTAGCTGAGCATGGTGGTGGGCACCTGTACTCAGGAGACTGAGGCAGGAGAATCGCTTGAGCCTGGGAGGCAGAGGTTGCAGTGAGCCGAGATTGTGCCACTGCACTCCAGCCTGGGCAACAGACCAAGAATCCGCCTCAAAAAAAAAAAAAAAAAAAAAGAATGAATGAGCCATACAGGGCATTTAAGTATACATTAATATTTGTGATGTTATAGGGTAGCCTAAAAATCTGTCACGGTTAGGGAAAAAATTCTTGTCCAAGTCAGATGCAGCCAACTTTGACTATAACAGTGAATAGAGGCAGAAGTGCCAGGTCCTGCCCTAGGAAATAGGAAAGGTTGTGGTCTGGGTCTAATATGGGAAATGCCTGGATCTCCAGCTTCTCATCTTTAAAATGGGGGTTCCTAACAAGACAGTCTGTAGAGGAGGAATAGTGTAGTGGTTAAGAGTACACACAGAGGCCAAGGTGGGTGGATTGCTTGAGGCCCGGAGTTTGAGACCAGCCTGGCCTACATAGTGAAACCGTGTCTCTACTAAAAATACAAAAAGTAGCTGGGTGTGGTGGTGTGTGCTGGTAGTCCCAGCTACTCGGGAGGCTGAGGCACAAGAATCATTTGAACCTGGGAGGCGGAGGTTACAGTGAATTGAGATTGAGCCACTGCATTCCAGCCTGGGCAATGGAGCGAGAGACTCTGTCTGTCTCCAAAAAAAAAAAAAAACAAAAAAACAGGGCACACGCAGTGCGATCATGTTACCGGGAATTAATCCCAGACCTACTACTTAGGCCTTTGAACAAGACATAACCAACCTTTATATAGTGCTTACTGCATTCCTAGCATTGTTCCAAGTGCTTTACGTATACTAACTTGCTTAATCTTCACAACAGCCTATGGAGTGAATACTGTTTCATCGGTCTCTAACAAATAAAATGCTAATGAACTTGCATAAGTTTCCTAGGTGATAGGTGACAGAGATGGGATTCAAACCCAGACATTCTTTGCCTCAATTTCCTCATCAATTACATACTACTACTACTGCTACTACTACTAATAATAGTGTCAATTTCATAGGGTAGTTTTGAGGATTAAAGAAAATATTACAAGTAAAATGTTTGCAATATGATCATGCCCATAATATTAGCCCTCAATTAATGTTATTTAAAAAAATTTTACTATTTGCATAAGTTCCTTGCAGCTTTAAAATTCTGTGATTTCCTGACTACCCAGGCCCTTGGGATAATAGTTGTTTTTTGTTTTTTTTTTTTTTGAGACAGTTTCACTCTTGTTGCCCAGGCTGGAGTGCAATGGCGCGATCTTGGCTCACGGCAACCTCTGCCTCCCGGGTTCAAGCAATTGTCCTGCCTCAGCCTCCTGAGTTGCTGGGATTACAGGTGCGTGCCACCACGCCTGACTAATTTTTGTATTTTTAGTAGAGAGGGTTTCGCCGTGTTGGCCAGGCTGGTCTTGAACCCTGACGTCAGGTGATCTACCCACCTTGGCCTCCCAAAGTGCTAGGATTACAGGTGTGAGCCACCGTGCCCAGCCGGGATAATAGTTTTGAAAATACAGACCGTAAGAATTGTGATGAAGTAAAACAGCTTGACACTGGAGTTAACCATGAGTTACCATGTGTTTTCAGGCACTGCAGATTCTCCATGTGTAATTAATTCTTTTTCCTTGCTTTGGTAGATTGTTGATCCATTTCAGATACTTGTGGCAGCAAACAAAGCAGTTCACCTCTACAAACTGGGAAAAATGAAGACAAGAACTCTATCTACTGAAATTATTTTCAACCTTTCCCCAAATAACAATGTAATGTGCACTTTCCTATTTCTGTTGACCGTGTCATAATAACATATGTGTTCCTCAGTGTTGGGTTGGAGGCTAAATTCCTGCAAGCCAGTGGTTAGTAATAAACCCAAATAATAGTGAAGAGAGCTCTGGACAGAGAGTTGAGGTTTAACCCTGCCTCTTACTAAGACAGTTTACATATGAGTAAACAAAAATTTAGCTAAATTAAGCGAGGTTAATTTTATCTGTTCTTACCATATAGGGTCAGGAAGACCCCTCAAGTATTTTTGCTTGAGAAGCTGACAGAAATCTAAATGATAAAACATTAGGCGTGGATATTTTGTGTGCTAGCCTGCATATCATTCTCTCTTCCCGTAAACTCCTTGAGGGTGGGATCCATGTCTTTTTCATATACCAGGAACTTGCTTGTACCTATAACAGTCCTTAACACAGCCTCACTCACACACCCAGTACATAGGTAGAGTTTGTGGTTTGAAATACTTATAGTAATGCTTTTTCAATGAAAGTTATCAAGCTAAAGACATCACACATGTAGCACATGAAAAAAATGACTGCAATTTTGCTGATGAAGTTTTAGTATTACTGCTGCTGTTAATAACAACCAGGTACTAATGTCATCTACAGGAAACCTGTAGCATAGGTTAAAATACAGATGATTGACAAGTTTATAAAATGCAGTTATCTCAGCATGGTAATAGAGATTCCCAGTACCTGGAATAAAATTTACTAATTATGGTTTCCTTGAGATCATTAGACATAATTCAGAAAACTCTTGAATTCAGTAAACATCTGTTGAACTTTTTCCCCGTTCCATTTACAGTTCTAGGGGCAGAAGAGGCAAATATGTTCCTGAGGAGAGGCAGATAAACAAGACAAGTTAAAATGCCCTAAGATAAATGATATAATGGGAAAATGAATTCAAATCTAGGGGTACAGCAATGAAGCCATTCATTTTGGAGGGAGGAGGGTGTGGTGGGGAGTGGCATCAGAACTGTGGACCCTGAAGCATGTGTTCAGCAGCCAAGCCATGAGGAGAAGGGACATGCGAGCAGAGGACAAAGCTTGAGCACAGGCAGAAGGGCATGAAATGTGACTGGATCCCCAGGCAGGCTGGACTGGCCAGAAGGCAGAAGCGCCTGGCTGGAGGGCCACTTGGCACCAGAGGGAGGAGGTGTTTTTGTGCAGCGCCAAGAGGCTGGGCTTGATTCCATAGGAACAAGGCGTACCTTTAAGCAGGGAGTGCTTTTGAGGAAGTGCCAATGGATGTTGGAAAGGAATCATTAAAGTGAAAAAGTAGGCAGTGAGAACTGTTAGGACATGAAAAATAAGAGCCTGACCAAGGAAGAAGGCAGATCAGGAAATGTTTCAGACGTAGGAAACAATGGTTAATGATCTTGTGTTTTTTTTTTCATTTTTTTTCTCTTAGATTTCAGAGGCTTTGAAAAAATTTGGTATCTCAGCAAATGACACTTCAATTCTAATTGTTTACATTGAAGAGGGAGAAAAACAAATAAATCAAGAATACCTAATATCTCAAGTAGAAGGTCATCAGGTTTCTCTGAAAAATCTTCCTGAAATAATGAATATTACAGAAGTCAAAAAGGTTTGCCAGTCCATATTTTTAGAAAGAGTGTGATAGATGAGCAATAATGCTGATGCCGTTTGCCTATTGATCACCAGAGCTCCTTGTTTTTTGAACTTTTGAGAAAGTTAATCTAATTTTAAAAATTACTTAAAAATTACAGATACAAAGAACTGGGAGGTGTGATGGTTTATGTAAAATATAATTACAAACTCAGCTGACATAACCATTCTCCACATTAAGAAAGAGAATACCTTTAAATATCAAACTTACATAGTATATTTAAAATGTAAAATAAATTTAGTATGCTTTTAAAATGGATAGAAATTTGGTTTTTATGTTCTTGAGAGTTACTCCCATAGCAGCAATTTAAAGGGGATACAAGTAATGAATTGCCCTCTACTTTGAATATTTTAATCACATTTGTTGTTTGTTATACCATGAACCCAATAATTGAATGAGGAATAATTTCACTTACACATGTTTGTATAATGACAATTAGTAGTGAATGACGATATCAGCAAGTCATAATTTGTCTTTCATTTTTACAGATATATAAACTCTCTTCACAAGAAGAAAGTATTGGGACATTATTGGATGCTATCATTTGTAGAATGTCAACAAAAGATGTTTTATGAAATGTCAGAAATATTAACAAAAATTCTCAGCATTAAAGAAAACATTGATTTTCCTTTCCTGACTATAAAACTAATTGTGCATTATAGAAAAGTTTAAATCACAGAATGGTATTAAAAAAAAAAAAAAAAGGCCAGGCACGGTGGCTCACGCCTGAAATCCCAGCAATTTGGGAGGCCAAGGCAGGTGGATCACCTGAGGTCAGGAGTTCAAGACCAGCCTGGCTAACATGGTGAAACCCCATCTCTACTAAAATACAAAAATTAGCTGGGCATGATGGCAGGTGCCTGTAATCCCAGCTATTCGGGAGGCTGAGACAGGAGAATCGCATGAACCTGGGAGGCACAGGTTGCAGTGAGCTGAGATCGTGCCATAGCACTCCAGCCTGGGCAGCTGAGCGAGACTCCGTCTCAAAAAAAAAAACCAAAAAAAAAAAAAACAAAAAAACCACTTGTAGTCCTACCTCGTTGTATTTTAAAAGATAATCAGTTACTATTACTTGTTATTGCCTTCTAGAGTTCTGTTTCTATTCAAATATATTTTATTTTTATATAATTAGAATAAAAATTGCAAACACTTATGGAATGCCTACAGTGTACTAGGTTCTTGCCTTAGTGATTTTTTTTTTTTTTTTTGTAGAGATGTGGTCTCACTATGTTGCCCAGATTGGTCTCAAAATCCTGGACTCAAGTGATGCTTCTGCTGCGCCTCCCAAAGCGCTGGAATTACAGGCATGAGCCACTGAGCCCAGCTGGTTATTGTTTCTGTTTTTAAATTTTTTGCCTTGGTGATTTTATATCCTCAGTTCACCTCCCTCTCCATACTTACCATGGCTACTCCAGCTCACCCTTCGCAAGCCTCTGGATCCTGGTTCTAAGTGTCTTTCACTTCTAGGAACTCATTTAGTTCTTGCAGCAACCTTATGAGGTAGATACTGTTATTACCCCCATTTTACACACAAGGCCCAGGGGCAGCTACTGTGCAGAGGCCTGGCGGCTCCAGCTGAGGGTGGTCACTCAGAGGGACACCTCGGCAGAGCTCCCACCCTTCTTCCTGGCAGAGGCCCAAGTGGAAGTGGGGGTGTTCCTCGTGAGAAGAAGAAAGGTTGTGCCAGGGGGACTCTGAGGGTGCACATGGAGCCTGGGCAAGGGGAGGCAACCAGGGCCACAGCAGAACTGGTGCCCCTGCTCCCAAGAACCCCCAACAACTGTACCCTTGCAGTGCCACTGTGAACCTGCCATTGCCCCTTGGCTTCCAGAGGGCAAAGAGCCATGGGGGAAGGGGAGTCAGAACACAACCCCAAGAGGTCAGACCCCAGCTGCTGAGGCAGGTCCGTGGCCCCAGCCTGGGTCCTGCCTCAGCACTCTTCTGAGCACTCTCACCTCATCCCTGACCCTGTCAGGTTCTTGGGAGGGCTCCGTCTTCCTCCTCCACATTCACATGCACCTTGTCCAACACCTGGCCCCCTGGCAGGATCCTCATTTCCCAGTCTCCCTTCTTCGGAGGTGCACTGGGCAAGTGGAGCCAGGCCCCTTGGGGTCCCCTGGAGTGGAAGGAGGTACAAAATGGGATGGGTAAAGTATAACTGCCACAGGCATTCACCCAGGAATGTCAGCAATGAAAGAGAACGAATTCCTCTCTCCAGGCAGTATGGAGTCCCAGGAAGACTCTAAGTTCTGCTACTGATGGATGAACTGGGTGCCTGTAGAGTGTGGAAGGCCTAGGCATGGGTTCTAAACTCCTTCTCAGCTGCCTGACCCCCAAAGTCCGGCCTCTGGCGGTGGGGAAATAGAATTACAAACAAAATCTATCCCAGCAAGCCTCTCTGCAGAGGTAGAAGAGGAAGAAAACACTTTCATCATTGAAGAGGCATTAACTCAGAGTGAGATGTGCATCACAGACAATGATCCGCTAAGATGCTGCAAAGACAGAAATCTCACGCTTATCTAGCCAGTGGGTCCAACCCATTGTTCACTGCACGCATTCTCAAGAAGAGTAATGCCTAGTCCTCAGATCAGTGGACTTCCCAGCACCTTTGGCCACACCCATTTATTGGAGATTCAACCTCAATTTACCTGACCACCTGCGTTTGCTAATTACCTTGTTACAAAGGAAAATAAACTCTTACCTTCGTGACAGGAGGTAGATTTACTACTCACAGCAGATGTTAGGCCCCCACCATCCCACAGAGACTGGCAGATAGGGCCCTGGCTGCTCTGATGATGACGTTTCAAAGACGGGCTCCCAGGTCCTTCAGGAACACAGTCCTGGGTTGCAAAGCTGGCAAGAGGCTTATTTAGTTGTCAAAAAGCATTGCATGCCCCTCAAAGGGGCAGAGGAAGATTTACAATGACAAGTTTTCCAAAGAAAACGCTCAGAGAGGACACCACTTCCCTTGTTTTGTTTTGTTTTGTTTTTTATTATTATACTTTAAGTTTCAGGGTACATGTGCACAATGTGCAGGTTAGTTACATGTGTATACATGTGCCATGCTGGGGTGCTGCACCCATTAACTCGTCATTTAGCATTAGGTATATCTCCTAATGCTATTAGTCCCCCCTCCCCCCACCCCACAGCAGTCCCCAGAGTGTGAGGTTCCCCTTCCTGTGTCCACGTGTTCTCATTGTTCAGTTCCCACCTATGAGTGAGAATATGCGGTGTTTGGTTTTTTGTTCTTGCGATAGTTTACTGAGAATGATCATTTCCAATTTCATCCATGTCCCTACAAAGGACATGAACTCATCATTTTTTATGGCTGCATAGTATTCCATGGTGTATATGCGCCACATTTTCTTAATCCAGTCTATCATTGTTGGACATTTGGGTTGGTTCCAAGTCTTTGCTATTGTGAATAGAGCCGCGATAAACATACGTGTGCATGTGTCTTTATAGCAGCATGATTTATAATCCTTTGGGTATATACCCAGTAATGGGATGGCTGGGTCAAATGGTATTTCTAGTTCTAGATCCCTGAGGAATCGCCACACTGACTTCCACAATGGTTGAACTAGTTTCCAGTCCCACCAACAGTGTAAAAGTGTTCCTATTTCTCCACATCCTCTCCAGCACTTGTTGTTTCCTGACTTTTTAATGATTGCCATTCTAACTGGTATGAGATGGTATCTCATTGTGGTTTTGATTAGCATTTCTCTGATGGCCAGTGATGGTGAGCATTTTTTCATGTTTTTTGGCTGCATAAATGTCTTCTTTTGAGAAATGTCTGTTCATGTCCTTTGCCCACTTTTTGATGGGGTTGTTTTTTTCTTGTAAATTTGTTTGAGTTCATTGTAGATTCTGGATATTAGCCCTTTGTCAGATGAGTAGGTTGCGAAAATTTTCTCCCATTTTGTAGGTTGCCTGTTCACTCTGATGGTAGTTTCTCTTGCTGTGCAGAAGCTCTTTAGTTTAATGAGATCCCATTTGTCAATTTTGGCTTTTGTTGCCATTGCTTTTGGTGTTTTAGACATGAAGTCCTTCCCATGCCTATGTCCTGAATGGTAATGCCTAGGTTTTCTTCTAGGGTTTTTATGGTTTTAGGTCTAACGTTTAAGTCTTTAATCCATCTTGAATTAATTTTTGTATAAGGTGTAAGGAAGGGATCCAGTTTCAGCTTTCTACATATGGGTAGCCAGTTTTCCCAGCACCATTTATTAAATAGGGAATCCTTTCCCCATTGCTTGTTTTTCTCAGGTTTGTCAAAGATCAGATAGTTGTAGATATGTGGCATTATTTCTGAGGGCTCTGTTCTGTTCCATTGATCTATATCTCTGTTTTGGTACCAGTACCATGCTGTTTTGGTTACTGTAGCCTGGTAGTATAGTTTGAAGTCAGGTAGCGTGATGCCTCCAGCTTTGTTCTTTTGGCTTAGGATTGACTTGGCGATGCGGGCTCTTTTTTGGTTCCATATGAACTTTAAAGTAGCTTTTCCAATTCTGTGAAGAAAGTCATTGGTAGCTTGATGGGGATGGCATTGAATCTATAAATTACCTTGGGCAGTATGGCCATTTTCACAATATTGATTCTTCCTACCCATGAGCATGGAATGTTCTTCCATTTGTTTGTATCCTCTTTTATTTCCTTGAGCAGTGGTTTGTAGTTCTCCTTGAAGAGGTCCTTCACATCCCTTGTAAGTTGGATTCCTAAGTATTTTATTCTCTTTGAAGCAATTGTGAATGGGAGTTCACTCATGATTTGGCCGTCTGTTATTGGTGTATAAGAATGCTTGTGATTTTTGCACGTTGATTTTGTATCCTGAGACTTTGCTGAAGTTGCTTATCAGCTTAAGGAGATTTTGGGCTGAGACAATGGGGTTTTCTAAATACACAATCATGTCATCTGCAAACAGGGACAATTTGACTTCCTCTTTTCCTAATTGAATACCCTTTATTTCCTTCTCCTGCCTAATTGCCCTGGCCAGAACTTCCAGCACTATGTTGAATAGGAGTGGTGAGAGAGGGCATCCCTGTCTTGTGCCAGTTTTCAAAGGGAGTGCTTCCAGTTTTTGCCCATTCAGTATGATATTGGCTGTGGGTTTGTCATAGATAGCTCTTATTATTTTGAGATACATCCCATCAATACCTAATTTATTGAGAGTTTTTAGCATGAAGTGTTGTTGAATTTTGTCAAAGGCCTTTTCTGCATCTATTGAGATAATCATGTGGTTTTTGTCTTTGGTTCTGTTTATATGCTGGATTACATTTATTGATTTGCGTATATTGAACCAGCCTTGCATCCCAGGGATGAAGCCCACTTGATCATGGTGGATAAGCTTTTTGATGTGCTGCTGGATTCGGTTTGCCAGTACTTTATTGAGGATTTTTGCATCAATGTTCATCAAGGATATTGGTCTAAAATTCTCTTTTTTTGTTGTGTCTCTGCCCGGCTTTGGTATCAGGATGATGCTGGCCTCATAAAATGAGTTAGGGAGGATTCCCTCTTTTTCTATTGATTGGAATAGTTTCAGAAGGAATGGTACCAGTTCCTCCTTGTACCTCTGGTAGAATTCGGCTGTGAATCTATCTGGTCCTGGACTCTTTTTGTTTGGTAAGCTATTGATTATTGCCACAATTTCAGAGCCTGTTATTGGTCTATTCAGAGATTCAACTTCTTCCTGGTTTAGTCTTGGGAGGGTGTATGTGTCGAGGAATTTATCCATTTCTTTTAGATTTTCTAGTTTATTTGCGTAGAGGTGTTTGTAGTATTCTCTGATGGTAGTTTGTATTTCTGTGGGATCGGTGGTGATATCCCCTTTATCATTTTTTATTGTGTCTATTTGATTCTTCTCTCTTTTCTTCTTTATTAGTCTTGCTAGCGGTCTATCAATTTTGTTGATCCTTTCAAAAAACCAGCTCCTGGATTCATTAATTTTTTGAAGGGTTTTTTGTGTCTCTATTTCCTTCAGTTCTGCTCTGATTTTAGTTATTTCTTGCCTTCTGCTAGCTTTTGAATGTGTTTGCTCTTGCTTCTCTAGTTCTTTTAATTGTGATGTTAGGGTGTCAATTTTGGATCTTTCCTGCTTTCTCTTGTGGGCATTTAGTGCTATAAATTTCCCTCTACATACTGCTTTGAATGTGTCCCAGAGATTCTGGTATGTTGTGTCTTTGTTCTCGTTGGTTTCAAAGAACATCTTTATTTCTGCCTTCCTTTCGTAATGTACCCAGTAGTCATTCAGGAGCAGGTTGTTCAGTTTCCATGTAGTTGAGCAGTTTTGAGTGAGTTTCTTAATCCTGAGTTCTAGTTTGATTGTGCTGTGGTCTGAGAGACAGTTTGTTATAATTTCTGTTCTTTTACATTTGCTGAGGAGAGCTTTACTTCCAACTATGTGGTCAATTTTGGAATAGGTGTGGTGTGGTGCTGAAAAAAATGTATATTCTGTTGATTTGGGGTGCAGAGTTCTGTAGATGTCTATTAGGTCCGCTTGGTGCAGAGCTGAGTTCAATTCCTGGGTATCCTTGTTAACTTTCTGTCTCGTTGATCTGTCTAATGTTGACAGTGGGGTGTTAAAGTCTCCCATTATTATTGTGTGGAAGTCTAAGTCACTCAGGACTTGCTTTATGAATCTGGGTGCTCCTGTATTGGGTGCATATATATTTAAGACAGTTAGCTCTTCTTGTTGAATTGATCCCTTTACCATTATGTAATGGCCTTTTTTGTCACTTTTGATCTTTGTTGGTTTAAAGTTTGTTTTATCAGAGACTAGGATTGCAACCCCTGCCTTTTCTTGTTTTCCATTTGCTTGGTAGATCTTCCTCCATCCTTTTATTTTGAGTCTATGTGTGTCTCTGCTCGTGAGATGGGTTTCCTGAATACAGCACACTGATGGGTCTTGACTCTTTATCCAATTTGCCAGTCTGTGTCTTTTAATTGGAGCATTTAGTCCATTTACATTTAAAGTTAATATTGTTATATGTGAATTTGATCCTGTCATTATGATGTTAGCTGGTTATTTTGCTCGTTAGTTGATGCAGTTACTTCCTAGCCTCAATGTTCTTTACAATTTGGCATGATTTTGCAATGGCTGGTACCGGTTGTTCCTTTCCATGTTTAGTGCTTCCTTCAGGAGCTCTTTTAGGGCAGGCCTGGTGGTGACAAAATCTTTCAGCATTTGCTTGTCTGTAAAGTATTTTATTTCTCCTTCACTTATGAAGCTTAGTTTGGCTGGATATGAAATTCTGGGTTGAAAATTCTTTTCTTTAAGAATGTTGAATATTGGCCCCCACTCTCTTCTGGCTTGTAGAGTTTTTGTCGAGAGATCAGCTGTTAGTCTGATGGGCTTCCCTTTGTGGGTAACCCGATCTTTCTGTCTGGCTGCCCGTAACATTTTTTCCTTCATTTCAACTTTGGTGAATCTGACAATTATGTGTCTTGGAGTTCCTCTTCTCGAGGAGTATCTTTGTGGCGTTCTTGTATTTCCTGAATCTGAATGTTGGCCTGCCTTGCTAGATTGGGGAAGTTCTCCTGGATAATATCTTGCAGAGTGTTTTCCAACTTGGTTCCGTTCTCCCCGTCACTTTCAGGTACACCAATCAGACGTAGATTTGGTCTTTTCACATAGTCCCATATTTCTTGGAGGCTTTGTTCATTTCTTTTTATTCTTTTTTCTCTAAACTTCCCTTCTCACTTCATTTCATTCATTTCATTTTCCATCACTGATACCCTTTCTTCCAGTTGATCAAATCGGCTCCTGAGGCTTCTGCATTCTACACATAGTTCTCGAGCCTTGGCTTTCAGCTCCATCAGCTCCTTTAAGCACTTCTCTGTATTGGTTATTCTAGTTATACATTCGTCTAAATTTTTTTCAAAGTTTTTAACTTCTTTGCCTTTGGTTTGAATTTCCTCCTGTAGCTCAGAGTAGTTTGATCGTCTGAAGCCTTCTTCTCTCAACTCGTCAAAGTCCTTCTCCTTCCAGCTTTGTTCCGTTGCTGGTGAGGAACTGCGTTCCTTTGGAGGAGGAGAGGCACTCTGCTTTTTAGAGTTTCCAGTTTTTCTGCTCTGTTTTTTCCCCATCTTTGTGGTTTTATCTACTTTTGGTCTTTGATGATGGTGATGTACAGATGGGTTTTTGGTGTGGTTGTCCTTTCTGTTTGTTAGTTTTCCTTCTAACAGACAGGACCTTCAGCTGCAGGTCTGTTGGAGTTTGCTAGAGGTCCACTCCAGACCCTGTTTCCCTGGGTATCAGCAGCAGTGGCTGCAGAATAGCGGATTTTCGTGAACCACAAATGCTGCTGTCTGATCGTTCCTCTGTAAGTTTTGTCTCAGAGGAGTACCCGGCCATGTGAGGTGTCAGTCAGTACCCCCTACTGGGGGGTGCCTCCCAGTTAGGCTGCTCGGGGGTCAGGGGTCAGGGACCCGACCCACTTGAGGAGGCAGTCTGCCCGTTCTCAGATCTCCAGCTGCGTGCTGGGAGAACCCCTGCTCTCTTCAAAGCTGTCAGACAGGGACATTTAAGTCTGCAGAGGTTACTGCTGTCTTTTTGTTTGTCTGTGCCCTGCCCCCAGAGGTGGAGCCTACAGAAGCAGGCAGGCCTCCTTGAGCTGTGGTGGGCTCCACCCAGTTTGAGCTTCCCGGCTGCTTTGTTTACCTAAGCAAGCCTGGGCAATGGTGGGCACCCCTCCCCCAGCCTCGCTGCCACCTTGCAGTTTGATCTCAGACTGCTGTGCTAGCAATCAGCGAGACTCTGTGGGCGTAGGACCCTCCGAGCCAGGTGCGGGATATAATCTCCTGGTGCGCCGTTTTTTAAGCCCATCGGAAAAGCGCAGTATTAGGGTGGGAGTGACCCGATTTTCCAGGTGCTGTCTGTCACCCCTTTCTTTGACTAGGAAAGGGAACTCCCTGATCCCTTGCGCTTCCCGAGTGAGGCAATGCGTCACCCTGCTTCAGCTCATGCACAGTGCACTGCACCCACTGTCCTGTGCCCACTGTCTGGCACTCCCTAGTGAGATGAACCTGGTACCTTAGATGGAAATGCAGAAATCACCCGTCTTCTGCGTCACTCACGCTGGGAGCTGTAGACCAGAGCTGTTCCTATTCGGCCATCTTGGCTGCCCTCCGCTTCCCTTGTTTTTAACAGGGAGAATTAAGCCTCTTCATTGTCTTTATTCTTTTTTTTTTTTTTCAATTGCCCTAACAGTTTCCGAGAGCAGTGTTCCGTGACTCCTCAGTTAAGCCACCAGTTCTTCCGAGCCCAACACAGGGTCTTTGGTGTGAAAATTTCTGTTTTTTCCTTATTGCTTTAAAAAAAAAAAAAAAAAACCAGCCACTCAGCTTGCTTAGTATTTTGCATAAACCTGCATTTCCCTTAAAGAAAACTTTAGCTCGAGGAAGTGAGGTGAGATGTGGTTAAGGCACCTCCCCAGGCTGGGCTGCTGGTTTGCCCCTGCCCCTCATATAGGCTTCCCTGGTCACCCCTCACTGTCGCAAAGTAAGACCTGAATATGAAAGCTTTCACATGCAGCCCAGATCCACGCACCTTTGGGTTTGCACTTCAGGCATTGTCTGCAGCAAGTGCTCAGTTCCAGGCCAGCTTCCAGAAGCTCCAAGACTCATCCCTTTATTCAGGAATTGAAAATGAACTGGAACTGAAGACTTTTAAACTGGAAGACATTTCAGAAATGATCAAATTTAATAGTTCCCAAGCTTTTGGAATCACAGAGACCTTTGAAGATCTGATGTAGAAAGTGAGCCCATAAATTTGCACACCATTGCGAGTTTAAGGAGCCGCTTTGGCGCCCACGAAGCAGCCCTTCATGTTTTAGTTGAGGAGGCTGCAGCTGAGCCCTGTCTCCTGAGGCAGAGGTCTGGGCTTTTAGTGGGAACAATAGCACCCACGTCACCGCAGGCAACAGAAGCTCACTGGCTACGCTAAGTCTGATTAAGAAAACTCCTGTGAGCGTTTTTGAGAGGCTGCATTTTAGAGGCTTTGTTTCAGGTTTTCTGTGTGGCCGATCAGTTCTATGTTCAAGGCTGGCTGCCAGGAGTGGACTTTAATTACTGGGCCTACACATCAGTGTCACAGAGAGGCAGACGAACTGCATCAATAGTCTCTTCCCTCTGTCCCACTGAGGGCAGTCTCAGTGACAGGAGCCTCTGTCCCTGACCCCAAACCGTTCTGTCCTCCACTCCGTGGGCTTCTGAAAGGAACAGAAAGGGCCAAGGCCAAACCCGCATCTGCACCTGGGGAAAGGAATCTCAGCAGAATCCGGGTGGCCCACAGTTCCCTTATCCTATGAGCCATGGGGTTCAGGGTTCAGGAAAACCCAACCAAGCGCCCTGCACCATGCTGTGAGGCTGCCCTAAGGCCTGCAATCCTGAGACCCCAACCAATGGAACAGGCCCCCTCTTAGTCAAGGGGACCCCAGGGAAACTTGAAAATGAATTCCTGGCCATGGTGGAAGGGGAGGTCAGAGACACCTCATGAAAGCCCTGCACCTTTGGAGTATAAAATAGGCATAGTTAGATTATTCAGACTGGACTCTGGACAATCAGTTACAGATTATGAACAAGACCTGAGGCCATGCAAGGCAAGAATTAACACACACCTAGAAACCACAGAGTCTCCTTCAATGGGTTGTAAAATCACTGAGGATACTGTGGCTGACTTTCCTACCTGACTCTGGGACAGCATCACGTGGCAGAGGCAGACCCTCTCTCTGAACTGAAGCATTCCTTTGTACCAACTTCACGTCTTTAGACAAAGCTGAACTCTCAACCAATTGCCAATCGGAAAATCTTTGAATCCACCTATGACCTATAACACCCCCGACTTCAAGATATCCCACCTTGTTAGGCCGAGTCAATGTACACCTTCCATGGATTGATTTATGATGTTACTCCAATTCCTGTCCCCTCAAATGTAGAAAACGACGGCCCCGGCACACGTTTTCAGGACCTCTTGAGATCCCCAGGCCATGGTCACTCATATTGGCTCAGAAGATACCTCTTACAGATCATTTAAGAGTGTGGTGTTTATGTTAACAAGCCCAACCACAGGCCTTGACATACCGTTTGCTCAGCTTGGGAATTCCCAGACCAGCTACAGGCCCCCGCCTTCTCCTCCCAACCAGCACACTCTTTGTCCCCATCCACCATCAGGTCCACCTGTGCTCACCTGGGTGGGCCTCTGCCGGCTGCCGATCTGCACCTGTTTCCCACCCCTCCTGACTTCAGAGTGCCCCCTCTGTGGGCAGTGCTCACTGTCACTCAGCCCCTCAGCCCCTGAGCTGCCTGGGGTTCTCCATCTCTATAGGGTGCTGGTATCCTCAGGCCAGGACTCCTTTAGTATAACCTGGCTCCTGCTATGAAATGTACAGTACCCAGAAAGTGTGACTGAGTCCCGATGTAAACCTTCCCTGTCACCTGGAATGCAGGGCATAGCCCTCACCTTTCTGCTGGTGGTGAGCAAGGAAGCAGAGAGCTTCAACTGGGTTGGCAAACACCCGATGTCCTATGCAGTGCCAGTCTTGGGAGGAAGCTGACGCCATGCACAGAATGGCAGAAAAACACCAGGTGAAACCCACTTTCAGGTCACCCTGTCTGTCTTCCTAGAGTTGGTGGTTTTTTGAGCCATTAGATCACCTCTATTACTTAAGGCAATTTTAGGTGGCTTTTTGATACCTGCAATGTAAAACTCCTGACTGTCAAGTTCAGTCTCCTAACAAAGTTATTCTGGATGTGACGTCTCCACCATTGTCCTGTTCCTGGAGCCCCATCAGGTGTGTCCTCCTGGGTGGCAGCCACGCCTCCGACATCTCGTGCCTTCATGCCAAGCCCAGGCCCAGCACACTGCAGATTCTCAGCCTGCTGGGCTCCCTTGCTCCAGGCTCATTCCCTGTGACCACACGGGGGAATACACTGGGGAATGCACTCCCTATTGTGTTACAGCCCAGCTCTTTGACCCTAGGGTTTATGATTATCAAAAATTAAGGAGCCAAGCAATGAGGGGGCAGCCAGCCTGCTTTCCAGGGATGGACGGGTCCTGGACACTATCTCCTGGATGCCAATGAGTGGCTGAGAGCTGAAGCTCCATGGACGCTCAAGGCTCTTGTGGTGACAGGTGAGGGGACTGGGTGGAAGGACAGTGCTCTGAGCATGCACCTTCCTTGGGATCTGGAGGCTGGGCTGTTTTTTGTGCTTGGCTCTTATGCCCCGTCAGCAACCTAAACACTTGTTATCAAGGGGGAAGGAGTCTTTGCTGAAACTTGTGCTTGGACACAGGATTTCTGTGATGTATGGTCCCTGGAGAAGGACTAAAGTGTTGGATATGTGGCCTGCCTGCGGTAGGTGCCCCCTCAATGCACCAAGAAGCTGAGAGAGCCAGGAAAAGGGAACAGAGGGAGGAGGGGTGGGTAGTTCATCTATCAAGGCTTTATAAAAGTTATTTCATTCAATCTTCAAAACAACTCTAGAAGGCAGGTTTTCTTCTCCCCTGTTCTATAGATGAAGAAGTGGAGGCTCAGAGAGGTTAAGTGACATGCCCAAGGTCACACAGCTAGAAAGGCATGGAGCCAGATTCCAATGCAGGTCTTTCTCATGCTACCTTCTCCCAGTGGCAGAGGCCTGCTTCCTCATGGGCAAACGCGGAAAGACACACCCTTAAGCAGGTCTCCCTGTTCCTGCAAGGCTGGAAGCCATGCAGGCACTCAGATGGTTTCCTCTCTCTTCCCCAGGCCTGGCGTAAAGGCGTGCAGGGAGGCCTAGCTCTGTCTCCCAGACTTAGAGATTTCCCCAAGAAATGTGTGGTTCAAACCAGGGACGCCAAGGAGTTCAAACCAGGAGACGCCAGGGCCACAAGTCTTGGGCATGTGGCCTCCCTAGAGGCATGTTTTCCTTCTTCGATCTAGACTCCATATTTTCCACAGGAACAAACCAGGAAATTCCTGCAGGAAATAGTTTTTAGAAGGAAAACAGATTTTTCACTTTTTTACAGCCCCACCCAGCTTTCATCAAGGACATGCATGTAATACAGGCTCTCAGGGGTCTCAGCTGTCAGTGGCCACAGGGTGCCCTTGAGTCTGGTTTCACTGCAGGGATGACTGTGGAACTGCAGTGCTGGATACTTTGAAAACCTGACAAGGTGGTGGCTGGGGGTAGGTGAGTCCACACAGTGTCACTTGGAAACAAAGAATCTTAGCATTGTAGGTGTTAAAAGAAAAACTTTAGCCAAATTAAATTTAAAAGACTTTGAGCAAAAAATGATTCGTGAATCAGGCGGCCTCCTGAGCCAGAATAGGCTCAGAGACTCCAGTGCACCCATGTGGTGGAAGATGATTTATGGACACAAAATGATAAGCAGTGTATGGAAGGTGGAAGTAAGCCACAGAAACAGCCGGATTGGTTCCAGCTCGACGTTTGCCTTATTTGAACATGGTTTGAACACTGGGCCACCTTTGATTGGTCAAAACATGGTGAGTGGCAAAGAGTAGGCTATAGTCCATTTACAAGCCCATTTAGGTTACAGTTTGTGGAGTACAGAGAACCCTTTAGGACGAATTTAAAATATGTAAGGAAGCAGTAGGCTAAACTTACTTAACACAAGGAACTTGAAATTCACTAGTTTCTCTGCCACAAAATCTGGAAGGAGAAACTGACCTTCACGGGAATTCTCCTTGTTCCTTTTTAACTTTTGTCCCCAGGAAACAAAGAGCACTTTCACTTCAAGTTTTTCTTCTGACCAAGAAGCAGTCACATCACTGTCCTCTTCTAGTTTAGCCTCACTGGAACTTGGAGTCTGGGAAGTTATCATGATATTGTGTGTTTTTTGGCACTGTTCACAGTCTCCAAGTTACCCGAGGACATCTCTGGGAGCAGCCTTGAGGCTGAGTGGGCAGGTTTATTCAAGTAAGGAAGGGAACCCTTTTTAATGTTTCACACACAGAATGCCTTTGTGTGGGGTGAGGGATGGGAGGAGAAGGAGAGAAAGAGAAGGAAGGAGGGGGAGAGGGAGGAAGAAAAGTTTTTTATTTCTAGGTCAGTTTAGACATTAGCGGGAAAGAAGAACTAATATGGGCTCAAAGGGTAAAGGATTTCGATTTAGATGCCAAGTGGGAAAGACAAACCCCAAGTCCTGCCGGCAGTCACCCCGGTAAGGAAGTGGTGGACAGAAGTAAAGACAGGACCCAAGAGGAGAAGGCAATCAAGAGGGAGGTTTACTTGCGTTTGATAAAATTTAAAGTGTGTAGAAAGGCATCATTGGAAAAGCTTCCCTTCCACTCCTGTTCTCCATTCACTCTGTTCACAACCCTACAGGATTTCAGAGAATTGTTTTACATTCAAGCAATTCTCTTCCCTCCTTTATTTGTTAAAAAAACGCAAGTTGTAGTATGATACACACTGCTCTGCACTTTTGATTTTTTTTTAAATTATGTGTCTTGGAGATCTTTCCATACTGGTATAGACAGACCTTCCTCATTCTATGTAGGACTTCATTATCTGGATATACAGTAATTTATTTAACAGTTTGTCTACTGATGGACAGATAAACTGTTTTAATTTTCTGCTATAACAAACTGCTTCAGTCGTTAATTTTGTACACTATTTTGCACATATGCAAGTATCTATAGCTTAAATTCCACATGTGCACAGTATATCATAAATTCCAAAAGTAAAAATGCTGGGTGAGCTGGGTGCAGTGGCTCACACCTGTAATCCCAGCACTTTGGGAGGCCGAGGCAGGCAGATCACTTGAGCTCAGGAGTTCGAGACTAGCCTGTGCAATATGGTGAAACCTCGTCTCTACCAAAAAATACAAAAATTAGCCGGGTGGTGGCACATGCCTGTACTCCCAGCTACTCAGGAGGCTGAGGTGGGAGGATCACTTGAGCCTGGGAGACGGAGGCTGCAGTGAGCTAAGATCATGCCACTGCACTCCAGCCTTGGTGACAGAGTGAGACCCTGTTTCAAAAATAAAAATAAAATTCTGGGCGAAAGTAATTTAGATAGGAACTGTTAAATTACCTTTCACAATGAACCAACTTCTACTCCCACAAGAATATATAAGGGACTCTATTTCCCTACACTCTTGCCATCAAATTTGAATTTTTGATAATCTGGTGAAAAAAGGCAGTTGGATACAGTTTTAATCTTCATTTGAGAGAGGTTGCGTATCTTACATATTTAAGAGCCATTTGTATTTCAATGGAAAAGTTTGAATTTAAGTAATTGTTTTGCATGTATGCTCTTATTTAATTTGTGCTTGTTGCAAAGTGCAGACTTTGAGCACAAGAAACTACTGGTAGACGATGAAATAGAGCAAATCACATGTTTTCCTACCTGGAAAAAGAAAAGAAACCTTGGTATCATTACTGCAACCAATGTCAGTTACCCACAGGATAAGCAAGCCTACAAGTCTCCAGGAGCCCTTTTTAATCCAATTCAAACTGTTCAGATGTAGTTGGGGGAAGCCTGAGACAATGTGAACATGCTGCCATGTATCTGTAATTGTTGTAGTTGGATAGGACCTGAGCTCTTGCAAGATGATAAGACAAAAAAATCCTGGCTGTATTCGTGGGGCTTGGAACAACTCTGATGGGGATGTTAATTTTTCATATGATAGAGTCAATAGATACTGTTTCGTGTCTGAGAGTGATAGATTGAGAAAGTGGTTGAAGCATATCAGTTAATTAGATTACATGGCTACTAAGTTATCAGAAAAACAGCTCAAAGAAGCATACATTATGGCTGGGCGCGGTGGCTCACACCTGTAATCCCAGCACTTTGGGAGGCTGAGGCAGGCAGATCATGAGGTCAGGAGTTCGAGACCAGCCTGACCAACATGGTGAAACCCCATCTCTACTAAAAATACAAAAATTAGCCAGGCATGGTGGCGGGCACCTGTAATCCCAGCTGCTCAGGAGGCTGAGGCAAGAGAATCGCTTGAACCTGGGAGGTGGAGGTTGCAGTGAGTCAAGATCGTGCCACTGCACTCCAGCCTGGGTGACAGAGCGAGACTCAGTCTCCAAAAAAAAAAAAAAAAAAAGAAAAGAAAAAAAGAAACATATATTACATAGTAATAAAAAAAGATTGGAAATGGCAATAAATCTGTAAAAATCATAAGATATCCTGGATAGCCAAAACAATTTTGAAAGAGAACAACAATGTTGGAGGACTCACACTACAACAATGTTGGAGGACTCACACTTCCTGATTCTAAAACATATTACTGGCTGGGCACAGCATCTTTCAGACGTGTAATCTCAGGACTTCTGGAGACCCAGGCTGGAGGATCACTTGAGCCCAGGAGTTTGATACCAGCCTGGGTAACATAGTGAGATCCCCATCTCCACCAAAAAAAAAAAAAACAAAAAAAACAAAAATAAAAAACAAAAACAGGATTAAAATATGAACCAGTAATTTCGCTCCTAGGTATACATTGAAAGAATTGATAATAGGTATTCAAATAACTGCTTGTATGTGAATGTTCACAGCAGCATCATTCACAATAACCAAAAGATAGAAACAACCTTAATGTCCATCAATGAATGAATGGATAAACAAAGTGCGGTATAAACATACATGGAATTTTGAGCCCTAAAAAGGAATGAAATACTGATGCATGATGCAACACGAATGAATTCTGAAAACATTAACTGAAAGAAGCCACACATAAAAGGTCAGATATTGTACAATTCCATTTATATGAAACATCCACGATAAATAAATCCATAGAGACAGAAAGCAGATTAGGTTGCCAGGGATTGGGGAGAGAGGGAAATAAGGGGGAACCACTTAATAAACAAGGAATTTCCTTTTGCAGTGATAAAAATGATTCGGAACCAGAAAGGGGTGGTCGTTGCACAACATTGTGAATGTACTAAATGCCACTGAATTGTGCACATTAATTGGATTAATTGAAATAATAAAACCGGACGCGGGTCTTACCTTTAGGAGCTCACAATCACACTTGAGTCCCTGAGTCCCTTTAGACTTCCAAGATTCAGTTTCACTGTCTGAAAGCAGGGCCAAGTGCCTAGAATGTGCAAAGACCTTCAGAGTTTATCTTTTATGCAGAGAATCCCCCACAATTCCTCTTTTCAGAGGTAACTGCTACCAACATTTGGTGGAACCACTCAGACTTTTCTCTCTGCATGCTTGTTTGTGGATATCATTTTTCAATACCATTTTTCCAAAAATAAATCCAAACATATTGTTTTATAATCTTTTCTTGCTTGTTGCTATAGTTGGGCAATGTTTTTCATGTCAGTAAACCCTCATCAGCATTGGTCATGGCTGTGAGGTACTGTGCTACAGAAATAGAGCAGGATTTATTCAGCCAGTCCCCTCTTGTTGCACTTTAGGTTGCTTCTGTGTCAATAAACTTTACAGTGATAAACATCCTTATACAAACATCTTTGCACATTTGACCAGTTACTTTCTTGAGCTCTAACCCTAGAAGTTGAATTTGGATCAAGTCTTTTCAAAGGATTTTGAGGTCGAGCAGGGTGGCTCACTCCTGTAATCTCAGTGTGTGGGAAGACTGCTTAAGCCCAAGGATTAGGGACCAGCCTGGTCAATATAGCAAGACCCCGTCTCTAAAAAAAACCTTTTTTTTAATTAGCCAGTTGTGGTGGTGGGTGCCTGTAGTCCCAGCTGCTTGGGAGGACAAGGGCAGAGGATCACTTGAACCTGTAAGTTTGAGGTTACAGTGAGTTATGACCTTGCCACTGCACTCTGGCCTGAGCAATGGGGTGAGACTCTATTTTGATTTAAAAAAAGGATTTTGACATGCTGTGTAATGATTCTCCAGCAAGGATCTCCCATTTCAGTATTCCATCAAAAGTGTGTGTGTCTGCACATTTCTTTGTGCTTGTCCTACATTAGCTCATACCATTCTTTTAATTCTTTACCATAATGATAGGTAAAACCTAGATAGTATTTTGATTTTTATTTGATTTCTAGTGAGTTTTTGTATATTCTTTTTTGTACACTTTTAAAATATATTCATAAACCATATTTGCTTCTTCTTTAAAAATTCTCCATTCTTATCCAGAGTCCATTCTATCCATTTGGCATTTTTTTCCTATTAATTATTAGGAAGGAAACATGAACTTTTCTGTTTTGAGGAAAGCTTCCATTTGAGGAACACTCAAAATGAAAGCTTGAAAAAGAACCATCAAAGAGGGAAAGACAGACCAGGAGAGAAGGGGGTATGAAATGAAGAGCCATGTGTTACAGCAGTTGGGTGGCTGCTGGACCCAGAAACCTCCTCAGTTGACATTATTTGCCTGACTCTTAGTTGCTCTGGTAGGAGCCAGTCTCTTGCACCTCTCTGCTCTGATCTTATTTCCCTTACATCTAAGCTCTTGGACTGACTCCAGTGCCTTAGTCCATTCGGGCTGCTGTAACACAATTACCATAAACTGGTCAACACTTTACATTTAGCTTGTAAACAGAAATTTATTTCTCACAGCTCTGGAGGCTGGGAATCCAAGATTAAAGTGCCAGTAGATTTATGTCTGGTGAGGACCTGTTCCTCATAGATGGTACCTTCTGTGTATCCTCACATGGCAGAAGGGGCAAACAAGCTCCCTTGGGCCTTTCTGTAAGGGCACTGATCCCATATGTGAAGACTTCATCCTCACGACCTAATCACCTCCCAAGACCCCACCTCTGAATACCATCACCTTGGGGATGAGGTTTCAACATAGGAGTTTTGGGGGGACATATTCAGTCCATAGCACCCAGGTACTGCAAGCAGCTGTATGAATGGAGGAACTCCCTCAGCATTCAGCATGTTTGAGGACTATAAAGCATTCCTGGTACTTGGCAGTTAGGAGGCCCCTGATGATCTTACCAGGGGTGGTTTTAGAGGGTCCGTGGAGGCAGCAGCCAGCAGTGAGGAGTGGAAATGAGGTAGCTCCATGTGGAGGTCAGCCTGCTCTTCTGGGCTGTGAGTGAGAGCACCATTCGGAGGTAATGGAGGTGAGAGAGCTGCACTGGCCATCTTTGGAGTGGGGCCCGGGGACAGTGTGAGTGAGTCTTCCCTCCAATTAGCAACTGCCTTCCTGTGCGTGTCCGAGTGCAAGGGGTGCTTTCTATGGGGTATAGAAGAATCCTGGGTAATAGATAAGGATGGAGTTCAGATGCCGTAGGGTGATACTGAGCCTGGAAGCCTGTAAGTTTCATCACAGAACTGGCTCCTCATTGGCTTTCTTCTTCTCCCCCAGCTCCACCCTGTCAGATTCTGTCCTTACTGAACAGAAGAGGCAACTACTGGACAACGGCTTATCATTTCTCTCCCCCTCAAAGAACAATGCCTCTTCTCTGACCCTCACTCTTAGTTGGTAATATCCTTTCCTAGTTCATTGTTAAAAACCAAGACACAACAGAAGAGGCAATGGAGAGAACTTCTGCCAAGCCCAGCACATAACACACTGTCAGTCCCTGTTCACATTCCTGCCTGCCCCTTTTGCTTGACTGTCTCATACGGGCCAGCCCCTCCCAACCAGTCAAGAGCACCGTCCCAAAGGTATCCCCACCCCTATACCGTCACTATTTGGCTTGCCTCTGGATCTCTTCAGCAAACAATTATTTCACCTACATCCCAGGAAGCAAAACCTTATTTTACTTTAACTCTTATTTTAGGTTCAGGGGTACAGGTGCAGGTTTGTTATATTGGTGAATTCATGTCATGGGGGTTTATGGTACAGATTATTTCATTACCCAGGTACTAAGACTAGTACTCAAAATTATTTTTCTGCTCCTCTCCCTCCTCCCACTCTCCACCCTGGGGAAGGCCCCAGTGTCTGTTGTTTCCTTCTTTGTGTTCATAAGTTCTCATCATTTAGCTCCCACTTATGAGTGAGAACACATGGTGTTTGATTTTTTTTTTTCCTTTTTTTGAGGCTGAGTTTCCCTTTTGTTGCCCAGGCTGGAGTGCAATGGCGTGATCTCAGCTCACCGCAGCTTCTGCCTCCTGGGTTCAAGTGATTCTCCTGCCTCAGCCTCCAAAGTAGCTGGGATTACAGGCATTCACCACCAAACCTGGCTAATTTTTTTAATTTTTAGTAGAGTCGGGGTTTCTCCATGTTGGTCAGGCTGGTCGCAAACTCCCGACCCCAGGTGATCCACCCACTTCGGCCTCCCAAAGTGCTGGGATTACAGGCGTGAGCCACCGCACCCAGCCTGGTTTTCTGTTCCCGTGTTAGTTTGGTAAAGATAAGGGCCTCCAGCTCCATCCATGTTCCTGCAAAATACATGATCTTGTTCTTTTTAATGGGTGCATAGTATTCCACGGTGTATATGTACCACCTTTTCTTTATCCAATCTGTCATTAATGGGCATTTAGGTTGACTGCATGTCTTTGCTATTGTGAATACTGCTGCAATGAACATTCACATGCATCTCTATGGTAGAACGATTTCTATTTCTCTGGATATATACCTAGTAATAGGATTGCTGAGTCAAACGGCAGTTCTGTAACAAATCTTTTTGACTGCACCCTCCTCTGCAGCTGCCAGGCATCTCCCTGTTTCACTCTGTGGCAAAACTGCTCCATGGTGTCCTCTGCACTCAGCTCCAGTTCCTCTCCTGTGAAACCTTCCCCTGTCAGGAGGTCTTTGGGGACCACTGAACCAACGCTGCTCCTGTCAAGGTCATCAGTCATCCCCATGTTGCTGCATCCTGTGGTCAATATCAGTCACTTCCCAGGCCCCATCTCACTTGACCCATCACAGAAGCCTTCGACTCTGTTGATATTTGTACCATGAACTTTATTCCACAAATAATAAAGAAAGGTTTTGAAAACCAGATCGTGTCATCAGTTTTTAAAATTATGTTATAATGGATACATACAAAAGAAACTGTGGAATGCATATATTAATATTCAGGTTAGATACAAATGTGCCCTTCCCACCCTGTTGAGTCTTACACATGTGGGGATATTATTCCCTTGCACAAATTAGGAGAGGGGGGTCAGAGAGGTTAAGACACCTGCAGGAGGCAGAGCTAGGATTTGAACCCAACTCTGACTCTAAAATCTGTATTTCATCCAGTAGGCAGCACTGCCCTCAAGGAAGATCCAGGTTTTTTGGAGCCTGAGGTAAATACATTTCAGAGCCTGTTTGCAAAATATAAATTGTAAAACCACAGTAGGTTTTTTTTTTTTTGTAAGGTGCTGGTGCAGGGGAAAGAGGAACTTTGAAGCTTAAGATTTGTTAGCTTCCCAATAAAACGTGTCTCTTCTCTGTTCCTGCCCTACTGGGAATACCCAAACTGGCTGTCTGTTGTTTACTCACTCAACACGCACTTACCGAGCACCTAATATCTGTCAGGCTTGTTCTGGGCACTTAACATACATGAGTGAACCGAAGAGCCAAAGATCCCTGCTTGCAGAGCCTACTAAATACAAATCAACAACAGATGCATATCCTTAGCATTTAGAGCAGGTTAGAGGTGATAAGAAAACTTAGAGCCAGCTATGGGGATAGGGAATGGCCAGGTAGGCTAGGGGTGAAGTGCACTGTGAAATAGGGTGTTCTGGGTAGGACTGGCTGAGAGGAAGGCCTGGGATCAGGGTGTGGTAGAAACCTAGTCACCCTTGAGGCTGCCGGGAAGGTACCCTGCTGATTGGTTATGAGGCACTTATGGCCTTGATCAGCAGATTGGCCTAAAGTACCTAGGGCTGAGTGGTCCGGGGCAAAAGATCGGCCCAAGGCGAAGCAGCCTTGTCTGGTGATCCCAACAGCAGGAACACACCTGTGTGTGCCACCAGCCTTGGCCCAACTTCCAGCGGCAGCAAGAGCTGTGGAGCCCCAGGTCGGCTGCCTGAGGCCAGTTATGCACAAGCGGGGTCCCCCGCCCCAGCTCTCCTGGTGGACAATGACAGGATATGAGAAGTTGGCAATGATGCTGTTCCCTAGGGAGAAGAGCTGAGGGGTGGCAAGAAGGGCCTAACCCAGCAATGGGGTCTGGGTGGGGGACACGTATCTGGAGCCCAGATGCAGCCAGCCAGGGGTGGGGGAGCACAGGCTCAGGGGTGGCTCCTGTGCAGGGACCTGACTGATGGCTTCAGGTGTGGGTGGTCACTCAGAGGGACGCCTCGGCAGAACTCGGGCCCTTCTTCTTGGTGGAGGCCCAGTTGGGGGAGGGGTGCACCAGCGGGACAGAGAAGGGTCTTTCCAGGGGGACCAGGGGGCACATGTGGAGCCTGGGCAGACGGGGTGGCCAGGGTGGGACCCATACCCCTGCTCCACAGGAACCCCCAGCTCCCCAGGGCACCCCATCCCCCCCACCCCCGCCCACAGTGAACCTGCCACTGTGGCCTCCAGTGGGCCTCCAGTGGGCCAAGAGCCTGCACGTGGGAGGGGGAGTCAGAAATGCAACTTCAAGGAGTCAGCCCCAGTTGCCTGGGCAGGTTGGCGGCCCCAGCCCAGAGCCATGGCTTCCTGGGCACCCCCACCCCATCCCTGTCCCTGTCCGGTTCCCAGGAGAGGGCTCCATCTCCTTCCTCCTAGTTCACATTCACCTTGACCAACACCTGGCACCCTGGTGGGACCCCCAACCCCAGTCTCCCTTGGGGGTGCTCTGGACTAGCAGGGCCAGGGCTCTTGGGGCCCCCTGAGGTGGAGAGGGGGCACAGGGTGGGACTAGGGTATGGGTAACCGCCACACACAGTCATCCAGGAGTGTCAGCAATGAAAGAAAATGAGTTCCTCTTTCCAGACAGTATGGGGTCTTCCAGATAGTGTTTCTGCTACTGCTGAACTGAGGGAACTGAGTGCATGAGCCTTGGGGAAGGCCTAGGCATGGGTTCTAAACTCCTTCCCAGCTGCCTGACCCCCAGAGCCCATCCTCTGGTCGTGGAGAAATGGAATTACAAATAAAATCTTCTCCCATCCCAGCAAGCCTCTCTGCAGAGGAAGAAGAGAAAGAAAAACACTTTTATCCTTGAAAAAGGATTAACCCAGAGTGAGATGCGCATCACGGGCAATGATCCGCTAAGAAGCTGCAAAGACAGACAGAAATCTCACCGCTAATCTAGCCAGTGGGTCCAAACCATTGCACACGTTCTCAAGAGAAGCCATGCCTAGTCCTCAGGTCAGGGGGCCTGCACAGCACTTTTGGTCACACCGAGTTTACAGAGATTCAACCTCAATTCACTCGACAACCTGCGTCTGCTATTTGACTTCATACAAAGGAAAAACAACCCTTATCTTTATGATAGGAGGTAGATTTATCACACAGGGCAAAAGTTAGGTTCCTGCCCTCCCATGGAGACTGGGAGATAGGGACCTGGCTGCTCTGATGATAACGTTTCAAAGATTGGGATCCCAGGTCCTTCAGGAACACAGTCCTGGGTTGCAAAGCTGGCAAGAGGCTTATTTAGCTGTCAAAAAGCTTTGCATGCCCCTCAAAGGGGCAGAGGAAGGATTTAAAATGACAAGTTTTCCAAACAAAATGCTCTAAGAAAAGGGACAGAGGATACCTCTTCCTTTAACAAGAAGAATTAAGCCTCTTCATTGTTTTTCGTTTTTTTTTTTTTTTCCCTAACATTGTTTCTGAGAGCATTGCCCCATGACTCCTGAGATGTGCCACCAGTTCTGCCGAGCCTAACACAGGGTCTTTGGAGTGAAAAGTTCTGTTTTTCCTTATTGCTTAAAAAATTAAAATCTCAGCTTGTTAGTATTTTGTATAAATCTGCACGTTCCCTTCAAGAAAACCTTATCTCTGAGGAAGTGAGGTGAGAGGTGGTTAAGGCAGCTCCCAGGCTGCCTTGGTTTGCCCCCGCCCCTCATATAGGCTTCCCTGGTCACCCCTCACTGTCGCAAAGTAAGACCTGAATATGAAAGCTTTCACATGCAGCCCAGATCTACGCACCTTTGGGTTTGCACTTCAGGCACTGTCTGCAGTAAGTGCTCAGTTCCAGGCCAGCTTCCAGAAGCTCCAAGACTCATCCCTTTATTCAGGAATTGAAAATGAACTGGAACTGAAGACTTTTAAACTGGAAGACATTTCAGAAATGATCAAATTTAATAGTTCCCAACCTTCTGGGATCGCAGACACCTTTGAAGATCGGATGTAGAAAGTGAGCCCACAAATTTGCACACCATTGCAAGTTTAAGGAGCCGCTGTGGTGCCCACGAAGCAGCGCTTCATGTTTTAGTTGAGTAGGCTGCAGCTGAGCCCTGTCTCCCGAGGCAGAGGTCTGAGTTTTTAATGGGAACAATAGCACCCATGTCACAGCAGGCAACAGAAGCTCACTGGCTACACCAAGTCTCATTTAGAAAACTCTGGGCCTGGCGTGCTGACTCCTGCCTGTAATCCCAGCACTTTAGGAGGCCGAGGCAGGCAGATCACGAGGTCAGGAGTTCGAGACCAGCCTAACAAACATGGTGAAACCCTGTATCTACTAAAAATACAAAAATTAGCCGGGCATGGCGGCGTGTACCTGTAGTCCCAGCTACTTGGGAGGGTGAGGCAGGAGAATCACTTGACTGGCATGAATGTTAAAATAGGCATCATTAGATTATTCAGAATGGACTCTGTGACAATCAGTAACAGATTATGAACAAGACTTAAGGCCTTGCAAGGCAAGAATTAACACACACCCTAGAAACCACAGAGTCTCCTTCAGTGGGGTTTAAATTGACCCAGGATACTGTGGCTGACTTTCCTACCTGACTCTGGGACAGCATCACGTGGCAGAGGCAGACCCCTCTCTCTGAACTGAAGCATTCTTTTGTACCAACTTCACGGTCTTTAGACAAAGCTGAACTCTTTCAACCAATTGCCAATCGGAAAATCTTTGAATCCACCTGTGATCTATAATGCCCCCTGCTGCTTCACAATATCCCACCTTGTTAGGCCCAGTCAATGTACACCTTCCATGGATTAATTTATGATGTTACTCCAATTCCTGTCCCCTCAAATGTAGAAAACGACGGCCCCAGCACACGTTTTCAGGACCTCTTGAGATCCCCAGACCGTGGTCACTCATATTGGCTCAGAAGATACCTCTTTCAGATCATCTAACAGTTTGATTTTTCTGTTAACAGGCACCACCACAGGCCTTGGCACACCTTTCGCTCAGCTTGGGTTTCCCAAACCGGCTACCGGCCCCCAGCCCTCCACTCCCAACCAGCACACTCTTCATCGCACCAGCAACTCCACCTGTGCTCATGTGGGTGGGCCTCTGTTGGCTGCCGATCTGCACCCGTTTCCCACCCCTCCTGACTGCAGGGCACCCCCTCTGTGGGCAGTGCTCACTGTCACTCAGCCCCTCAGCCCCTCAGCCCTTGAGCTCCCTGGGGCTCTCCATCTCTATGGGGTGCTGGCATCCTTCGGCCAGGACTCCTTTAATATAACCTGGATTCTGCTATGAAATGTACAGTCCCCAGAAAGTGTGACTGAGTCCCCATGTAAACCTTCTCTGTCACCTGGAATGTGGGGAATAGCCCCCACCTTTCTGCTGTTGGTGAGCAAGGAAGCAGACAGCTTCAACTGGGCTGGCAAACACCCGACATCCTATGCAGTGCCAGTCTTGGCAGGAAGCTGATGCCACCCACAGAATGGCAGAAAAACCAACAGGTCAAACCCACTTTCAGGTCACCCTGTCTGTCTTCCTGGAGTTGGCAGTTTCATGGGCCATTAGATCACCTCTCTTACTTATGACAATTTTAGGTGGCTTTTCAACAAGTGCAACATAAAAGTCCTAACTGTCAAGTTCAACCCTCCTAACAAAGTTATTCCGGATGTGATGTCTCCACCATCATCCTGTTCCCAGAGCCCCATCAGGTGTGTCCTCCTGGGCGGCAGCCTCGCTTCCAACATCTGGTGCCTTCATGCCAAGTCCAGGCCCGGCACACCTCAGGTCCTCGGGAACTGTTTGTTGAATGAATAAATGAATCTTTCAGGTCTGACAAGGAAAGCCCAGGCTTTTATCAGGAAAGCTACAAAAATGCAGAAGTCACAGTAGATCCTGGGAGCAAGAGATGCCTGAATGTCAAGTGAGGTCGCTGTGTTTTGAGGAAGCCACAGCCACGGGTGAGCATGGAGGAAGAGACAGCACACAGGGACGGAGCACAAACCTCTCCCCCTCCAAGTGACCGGCAGGTTTCTGACTCTGAATATTGGTCAGACTCACACTAGAAGTACTCAGTGGTGCTTTGAAGCAGCTGCTCACCTCTTGTAATTCCTAGGCCAACTCCTGCTTGACACTGAACTGTTCTGAGAACACTCTAAAGATAAGCCATGGACTTCCTGCCCAGACTTGATGCTCCTTAGACTTTTCCTCGGAGGTGGTGTTGGGTACCAAAGATCTGGAATCTCAGCAGCCTCCACTGGCTGGCCCTGGGTTCCTGCTGCTGACTCCCAGCCTCTGGTTTCTGCTGAGGAAGGCTGCAGGGCAGCACCTTTAGGGGAAGCCTTGACTTTTCCAGATCTGGGCTCTCTCCAGTGTTTTCCTGAATGCCCCTACCAGAAGCCTGGCTGTCATCTCTGAGCCCTTCCTCATCCTCCTCCCTGTGTGAATCATTCCAACTCCTGCCATTTCTGCCCCAAGTGCACCTCCATGTGGCTCATGTCTCACATTCTTGACTTCCTCCCTCTGTTGAAGCCACTGCTGTCTCATGGGCCTCTGCTAGCCCAGGCGGCTTCTTTGTGAACACAGAGCTAGGCACAGCCTCAAGCCATGCAGTCCACTGGATGCAGAGTTTAGCAGGCAAGCAATGCCTTCGAGCAAATAAGAAAAGGTTGCCTTTTCCTTTGGCCAGTCTCAGTTTCGTGCCATGGCTCATGGCTTGGCAACGGGAGGCCCGATTTTAGCTCCTACCAGCCCCTCTGGGCCAGCTGCTCTTGTACAGTGAGCACCTGCATCCCTGCACTGGGGGCCCTGCTGTTGCCTGGATGCGGCACTAGCCTTAAGGGGTAGCTGCTTCCATTCCCACCTCCTCAGATCCATTGTCCACCTGCAGCCAGAGTGAAGCGCGCACACACACACACACACACACACACACACACACACACACACACACACACACACCCCTTCTCCCCTCTGTGCATATCAATGTCCTCCCCTTGCTCTTGGAATAGAGTCCAAACTACCTAACCTAGATGACGGGCCCAGCGTGGCTGATCAACAATGGGTTGGCTAATCTTTTAGGGAAGTTTCCCTTCAATAGCATGTAAGTTGGTGTGGAAAAGGGCTTTTTCTGTTAGGTTTTGCTTTTGCCTATCTTGTATATGTTGCATCCTTGTAATTGGGCCCCTTGAGATTTCAGCACCATACCATGTTTTAGTGACTGAAATAATGAACATTCTGATCAGACCGTTGCTGGCTTGCACATGTTAACCACTTGCTTTTGGTCCAATATTCCTTGTTCCCACAACATAATGATAAACTGCTCATGCACTGTTTCTTTGTTCAGCAGGAAGACATTCCTTCAGGGTCAGGAAAAGTTTGCAGAAGGAATGAATGCCTTGAAGGACACTGTGACCAGCTGCTGACACTGAGAAGCCTGGTTGCACAAGGTGTTATCTCAGACTGAGGAAACACAGACTTTTCCTCTCAATCCCCCTGAACTCCCCCTTCCTCACTCTCTAGCTGCATAAAAACATTCTGCTGCTGCTTCTTTGTTGAACTGAAGTTGAGAGATCTTCCTCTCCTGCCTTCTTGCTTTGGCCAAATCGAATACAACTTTCTCTATCTCCAAGCACCCATGTGTCAGTGTTTGGGATCAGCTCCACGTCGGGTACAAGAGCTTGAATTTGGGCCTCTCCAACATCTGCAGTGCAAAATATTTAACAACGGGTGTGGCACAGCCTCTGACCAACAGCCAGAACACACACAAGCCACACACAGCCATGCCTGTCAGCCGAATGTCAACCTTGCTCATGGCTGAAATGACCCCCAGACATGGGAAGTGCATCGCACACACCTGTTGACTGAATCAATGAATGGGTGGAGGTGGGGGTTGGTGAGGTGAGTGCAAAGAACTGCCAACAATCGATGCTTTGTGGACCAGGGAAACCTCAGCATGGAGAAGCCTAGCTGGGAAGGGCCTTGTTGCCAAGTGTGGGGACTCGGCTTCTGGCCAATGGTGACTGAGTGCAGGGTGAATGGCACAGTTCTCAGGCTCGTGGTATATGTGTACAGGGACCAAGGTGGATCTCAGAGAGTATCAAGTGTGCCAGGTGGCAGAAAGATGCCCAGGGCCTGAACAGGCAAGAGAGGTGGCAGGCCTTCCAGAAGGGCAAGGAACCCAGGCGGTTCCAGACCCTGAGTTTCCCCCTCCAGGCCATTCCCTTTGACTATAAAGGGGAATGCACACTGGGCTCCCTGCTGTGTTACAGCCCAGCTCTTTGACCCTAGGGTTGATGATTACCAAACATTCAGGAGCCAAGCAATGAGGCAGGCAGCCTGCTTTCCAGGGGTGAGCAAGCCCCAGACGGTATCTCCTGGATGCCAGTGAGCGGCTGACAGCTGAAGCTCCCTGGACACTCAAGGCTCTTGTGGTGACAGGTGAGGGGACTGGGTGGAAGGACAGTGCTCTGAGCATGCACCTTCCTTGGGATCTGGAGGCTGGGCTGTTTTTTATGCTTGGCACTTATGCCACCTCAGCAACCTAAAAACTTACAATAAAGCTGGAGGGAGCCTTTCCTGAAACTTGTGCTTGGTCACAGGATTTCTGCGATGTATGGTCCCTGGAGAAGCACCAAAGGGTTGGGCATGTGGCCTGCCTGAGGTAGGTACTCTCTCAATGCACCAAGAAGCTGAGAGAGCCAGAAAAAGGAAACAGAGGGAAGAGTGGTGGGTAGTTCATCTATCAGGGCTTTATAGAAGGTATTTTATTCAATCTTCGAAACAACTCTAGAAGGCAGGTTTTCTTCTCCCCTGTTCTATAGATGAAGAAGTGGAGGCTCAGAGAGGTTAAGTGACATGCCCAAGGTCACACAGCTAGAAAGGCATGGAGCCAGATTCCAATGCAGGTCTTTCTCATGCTACCTTCTCCCAGTGGCAGAGGCCTGCTTCCTCATGGGCAAACGCGGAAAGACACACCCTTAAGCAGGTCTCCCTGTTCCTGCAAGGCTGGGAGCCATGCAGGCACTCACGTGGTTTCCTCTCTCTTCCCCAGGCCTGGCGTAAAGGCGTGCAGGGAGGCCTAGCTCTGTTTCCTGGACTCAGTGACTTCAGACACAGAAGTCTGTCCATGGCTCCTTATCACATCCGCAAATACCAGGAGAGCGACCGCAAGTAGGTCGTGGGCTTGCTCTCCCGGGGGATGGCCGAACACGCCCCAGCCACCTTCCGGCGATTACTGAAGCTGCCTCGAACCCTCATACTCTTACTTGGGGGGGCCCTTGCCCTACTCCTGGTCTCTGGCTCCTGGATTCTGGCCCTCGTGTTCAGCCTCAGCCTCCTTCCTGCCCTGTGGTTCCTTGCCAAAAAACCCTGGACGCGGTATGTAGACATAGCATTGCGCACAGACATGTCTGACATCACCAAATCCTACCTGAGTGAGTGTGGCTCCTGCTTCTGGGTGGGTGAATCTGAAGAGAAGGTGGTGGGCACAGTAGGAGCTCTGCCCGTTGATGATCCCACCTTGAGGGAGAAGCGGTTGCAGCTGTTTCATCTCTCTGTGGACAATGAGCACCGTGGTCAGGGGATAGCAAAAGCCCTGGTCAGGACTGTCCTCCAGTTTGCCCGGGACTAGGGCTACAGTGAAGTTGTCCTGGACACCAGCAACATCCAGCTCTCTGCCATGGGCCTCTACCAGAGCTTGGGCTTCAAGAAGACGGGCCAGTCCTTCTTCCACGTGTGGGCCAGGCTGGTGGATCTTCATACAGTTCATTTCATCTATCACCTCCCTTCTGCTCAGGCAGGGCGTCTATGATTTCTTTCCTTCTGTATTGGTCAGAATAGAATCCATTCGGCTGTAGCAGCAAGCAATCCCCAACCTCTGACTGCAATGACCTTTCTGTGCAATAAAAGCTTATTGTCCATTAACATCTGAGTCCCATGCGATTGCCTGTGGGGTAGCTTCTGGGTTTCTGCTTCATTCAGTCTTTTTGATTCCCATCTGTTTCATTTTTCTAGTGCCAGGATAATGTTGCATAAGAACAATCATAAAATGAAATCAATATTTATTTAGCTCATGAGTCTGAAGTCAGCAATTTTGCCTGAGCTTGGCTGGGCAGTTCCTCTGGTCTCAGACTGCATTGTGCAAATGCAGTGGGATTGGCTGAAAGATTAGCTCAATGGTGCTTTTTCATTTTCCCTCAGGCTAGCTCAGGCATGGTTTCAAGGAAATTGCAGAGGAGCAAAAACAAAAGCAGAAGCAAACAAACGTGTTTTCAAACTCCTGCATGCGTCGCATCTTCCCCAAATTCAAGGAGAGAGGAACCTGCCTCTGTAATGATCATGAAGGGCTGCAAAGTCACATAGCAAAAGGGTGGAATGCAGCCTCGGGAGAAGAATTGGGGCCAGAGACACAACCAATCCACTCTAACCACAGGGTCTCTGCAGAGGGAAGAAGGTGGCCTCAGAGGGGAGTGTGGGATTTACCATGGTCTAGACCTGGAAGTAGTATAACTCTTCCAGGGGATCATAACAGAATACCTGAGACTGGGTAATTTATAAGGAAAAGAGGTGTATTTGGTTCATGGTTTTGCAGGCTGTACAAAAAGCACAGTGCAGGCATCTGCTTCTGGTGAGGGCCTCAGGAATCTTTCACTTATGGTGGAAGCTGAAGGGGGAGCAGGTGTGTCACACGGCGAGACAGCACACAAGAAAGATGCTAGGTGCTTTCAAACAACCAGCTTACATGTGAACTAACAGGGCCAGAACTCATTCATTACCATGGACAGAGCACCAACCCATTCATGAGGAATCCACCCCTATGAGCGAAACACCTCCCACTAGGCCCTACCTCTAACATTGGGGGTCATATTTCAACATGTGATTTGGAGAGAACAAACATCTAAACTATATCAGTCTGCCTCTTACCCCAAAATCTCATGTCATCTCACATTGCAAAATGCAACCATCCCTTCCTGATAGTTTCCCAATGTCTCAGCTTGTTCCAGCATCAACTCAAAAGTCCAGAATCCATAGTTTCATCTGAGCCTCAAGGCAAATGCCTTCCACCCATGAGGCTGTTATATCAAAAACAAGTTACATACTTCCAAGATACAACTGTGTTACAGGTATTGGGTAGGCATTCCCATTCCAAAAGCGAGAAATTGGCCAAAAGAAAGAGGCAACAGGCCCCACACATGTCTGAAACCCAGCAGGGCAAACACTAAATCTGAAACTTCCAAAATCATCTTCCTTAACTCCATACTGGTGAGAGGAGTGGGCTTTCAAGGCCTTGAGCAGCCCTGTCTCTATGGCTTTGCTGGGTGCAGCCCACATGGCTGCTCTCACAGGTTGGGATTGAGCCTGTGGGTCTTCCATGCTGAGGTTGCAAGCTGCTGGCGACTCTACCTTTCTGGTGTCTGGAAGGCATTGGCCCCATTCCCACAGCTCCACTAGGCAATGTCCCAGTGAGGACCCTGTATGGGGGTTCCAACCCTATGTTTTCCCATGGCTCTGCCCTAGTAGAGGTTCTCTGTGGGGTCTCCGCCCTGTGCAGGCTTCTGCCTGGGCACCCAGGCTTTTTGATACATCTTCAGAAATTTAGGTGGAAGCTCCCAAGCCTCCTTCACTCTTGCATTCTGCAAGCCTGCAGACCTAAAACCATATGGAAGGCTGGGCATGGTGGCTCACACATGTAATTCCAGCACTTTGGGAGGCTGAGGCAGGTGGATCACCTGAGGTCAGGAGTTGGAGACCAGCCTGACCAACATTGTGAAACCCCGTATCTACTGAAAATACAAAATTAGCTGGGCATGATGGCACATGCCTGCAATCCCAGATACTTGGGATACTGAGGCAGGAGAATCACTTGAACCTTTGAGGCAGAGGTTGCAGTGAGCTGAGATCGTGCTGTTGCATTCCAGCCTGGTTGACAGGACAAGACTCTGTCTCAAAAAAAAAAGACAAAAAAAAAAACATATGGAAGCTGCTAAGGCTTAGGGCTTGTACCCTCCAAAGCAGTGGTCTGCGCTTCACCTGGGGCCCTTTGAGCCAAGGCTGGAGCTGGAGAAGCTGGGATGTGGGAAGTAGCATCCTGAGGTGACATAGGGCAATGGTGTCCTGGGCCTGGTCTCTGAAACCATTCAGTCCTCCTAGGCCTGTGGGCCTGTGATAGGAGGGGCCTTCTGAAATGCCTCTGAGGCCTTTTCCCACTGTCTTGAATATTAGCACCTGGCTCCCTTTTAGACATGCTAATGTCTCCAGCAAGTAGTTGCTCAGCAGGCTGCTTGGATTCCTCCTTGTCTACCACATGGCCAGGCTGCAAGTTTTATAAATATTTACACCCGCTCTCCATTTTAATTATAAGTTCTGTTAAAAGAAATCCATTAGACAAATTAAATTTCACAGAGTAATTGAGCAAGAAAAATAAATATTTTGCAAGTTGGGCAGCCCTCAGAATTACAGCAGATACAGACAGACACCAGGGATGCTGTGTTGTCAAAGCAAATTTGTGGACAGAAAAAGGAAAGTGACATACAGAAAATGGAAGTGAGGTACAGAAACAGCCAGATTGGTTACAGCTTGGTGTTTGCCTTATCTGGGCATGATTCCAACAGTCGGCTGCCTGTGAGTGGTTGAAGTATGGCCAATGGGATTGGCTGAGACTCAGCTATTGCTAAAGAAGCATCCTCCTAAGTTAGGTTTTCAGTCTGCCTGCCTACTAGTTACATTACGGTTCACCCTTAAGAACTCAAGCATGGCAATATGAAGGCTTCCTCAGGCCGGATTTGAGTTTCATTTATCAACTCCCCTCTCTTTGTCAGACTCTCAATTTAGAGAGATTGATCAAAAGTTTAGGCATTGATGCCACTCTCCCACTATTGTAAATTGGCTCAGTATGGAATTCACAAGTCCTTTTAGTCTCAGTATGGAGTTCACAAGTCTTTATTGGTGTCACTATGAAGTTCACAAGTCACAACTTCACACTAGGTAAATGATTCTTTATGTTCTTGCTGACCTAGTTGAAGTGAGACCATTCAATTCTCAATGTATGGCTGCATACAAAACATTTATGACTTGAGAGGATGCAGCACACCAGGGAACTATTATTATGACTATCAAGAGAATAATATCAAAATACCAAGGTGCACCCCTTAACAAGAGTTCTTATGAAATAAATGAAACCAACTTAAACCAGTCAAAGTTCAGGCAACATAGGCAGTTCAACAATAGTAAAGTTTAATTGGTCATAGTTCTTGTTTGAAATGTGATAGCAATTAAGGACCATAGTTCACTGTAAAGTGGCCTGATTTAAAGACGTAGCCATTTTCATTGTTACTCTGGTAACACAGGCCATACTAACCTGGACACCTACTAGAAGACATATAAAGACTAGAAACCTTTGGGAAACCCAAGCTTGCCATCCACCATTTAGGATGCCTACAAACCAACTGTTAGTTGCTCCTGTAAACACACCATGTTTTCCTCTTGAGAGACTTCTTTATTGTATTTGGTGTCAGTGTCTAAGGAAACAGCAGTATCAGCCACCTTTACATTAAGCTTTCTGTAGTAACAAAATCAGTAGAGAGAAAATTGCAGCATTCCATTTTGTTCAATACCAAACATAGGCCCCAGCTTGAGTAAAAAGGAGATATGAAGCTGCATGATGTTCCATTAACTGTAACATCTACCTCGTTTATTTTATTTATTTATTTATTTATTTATTTATTTATTTATTTATTTTTTTGTGAGAAAGGGTCTCGCTCTGTTAACCAGGCTAGAGTGTAGTGGGGTGATCTCAGCTCACTGCAACCTCTGTCTTCTGGGTTCAAGCAATTCTCCTGCCTCAGTCTCCCAAGTAGCTGGGACTACAGGCACACGCCACCATGCCTGGCTAATTTTTTGTACTTAGGAGAGATGGGGTTTCACCATGGTGGGCAGGCTGGTCTCGAACTCTTGACCTCAGGTGATCCACCTGCCTTAGCCTCCCAAAGTGCTGGAATTACAGGCATGAGCCACTGCACCAGGCCACATCTACCTTTTGGAGAGTAGCTTCTACCTGTCTGGAACATTGGGATGTCTGATTGGCTATAAAATCCAAGACCCCAAATATGGATTAGCTTCAGATTCCATACAACTAGTATCCCACCACCACCAAGAGTGAGTCCCCAGGAACCCCACTGGAATCTTTCCTCAGTGGAAACTAGCTTATCTTTGTCTATTTCAAAGCTAGTGCTAATTTCAGTTATTGTCTATTTTGGCCTCCAATCATAAGAGCTGTTAGGAGAATTTTTAGGTGAAACTATTTGAAAGGCAGAAGTGAGCCAGACCAAACAGCAAGGTCTGAGTCAACGAGGAGGCAGAATGAAATGCGCAGATTATCCACAGACCCAGTATAGGCCCTTGGGAGTTGAAAAACAGGGCCACATAGTTGCATTTGAGCAGGGGTCAGTTAGATTTGTTCATTAATAAACCTACACAGCTCCTGAACAAAATCCACTGGGAAATTGACCTTTTTGTGCTCGCCCTGTAGTATGTTGTAAGGGTGTATAACACATTTAGTAAAAAGAGACCCTGTTGAATTTAATCTGGTGATATTATACAAGCAATTACTTGTACTCACATAGGTAATTCCCGTAACTTGAGTGCATGATGCCTGAAAGCACAATATATCTTTTGCAGGCATCACTTGGACTGGTTTTCTATATTTTGGTATTGATCAGGTTATTAATTGAAACAGTTAAGGCCAGGCATGGTGGCTCACGCCTGTAATCCCAGAACTTTGGGAGACCGAGGCTGGTGGATCACTTGAGGCAAGGAGGTTCGAGACCAGCCTGGCCAACATAGCAAAATCTAGTCTCTACTAAAAATTCAAAAATCAGCTGGATGCGGTGGTGCATGCCTAGAGTCCCAGCTACTTGGGTGGCTGAGGCAGGAGAATTGCTTGAACCTTGGAGGTGGAGGCTGTAGTGAGCCAAGATAAGGCCACTGCACTCCAACCTAGGCAACAGAGTGAGACTGCCTCAGAAAAAAAAAAAAAAAGGAAAAGTTAAAGTGTTGCTTTTAGTGAGTGCAGGAAAACAAGTAGCAATGGTGTTCAGAATATCAAGGATAGCTTTCTATCCTTCCCTTGGAATTTTGGGGTGACTCTCATTGGCAACATGGAGAGGCATTGGCATTAGCGGAATTGTTTCCTTATTTTTTTGGCAATAAAAACAAACCCAATAAGCCACAAACTCTGGTTCTGTGCTAGAGCATATGCTCAAGCTAAAGCCATCCACTGATTATCGTCCCATGGATTTTTCTGTAGGGAAAAAGAAAGAATTAGGGCAACAGGAAATGCGGAGAAAAGAAAAAATGTAAGGCTTTCATGATGATACAGAAGTCTTGATCTGTGATCTTGGGAAAGCTGTCCACAGCTAGAATGCCCGCTGCTCTGGAGAGATATTTCCTTAGACAGCTTTACCTTAAAGTCTCCAGCAGGTGTACAGTTCCAGGAGTCTGAAGAGGCCCTTCTGAGTTGTGAGGTGTGGACCCAAGTTTCAAGGCCCTGAAGCTTCACTGCAGTGTAGGTGTTGAGAAGATCTCAGCACGGTCCCTTCCAAAGAGTTGTCAAGAGCAGCCTTTCTCTGATGTCATTTCCAGAAGACACAATCTCCAGGTTCTAGACTGTGGAAGGTTTGATTATCCTCAGTTGGTGGATCTTGAAAAGCTTCCTTTATCTGGTGAAAGTACACTTTGGTATAATGGCCTTGCAGTACTTACTCATATCAGAATTTAGGAGACAGAAAGATGCATGAGGTTTCACTATTGGGGCATAGGCCTTCTAGTGACTATTTCATAAGGGATCCACTTCTGTTTTTTAGTGAGAGTGGATCTGATTGTCATTAAGTCCAATGATAGTACCTTTGGCCAAGGCAACCCAACTGATTCAGTTAACTTTGCCAATTTCAGTTTTAATATGCCATTTGTTCTTTCAACCTTTTCAGAAGACTGAGGGCGATAGGGACAATGGTAGTGCCATTGTGTCCATAACACCTTGTTTAACTGCTTTATAACCTGCCTAATAAAATGAATTCCCCTATTGCTGGGGATTTTTCCAGGGATGCTCCATAAAGAAAACACATTTTCTAATAATTTCTTAGCTACTGTCACAGCATCAGCTTTCCTACACAGGAAGGCCTCTACCCAACCAGAAAACATGGAAACTATTACAAGAACATACTGAGACCCCCATTGAAGGTGGCAACTGAATGAAGTCTATCTATAATTGTTCAAATGATCCATTAGGTGGTGAAAATACAATACACCACCTGAATCTTTTGTTTTTCCAGGACTATGGGTTTGACAAGCCAACATTGGTTATAAAATATTCTAGCAGGCTGGGTGCAGTGGATAATGCCTGTAAGCCTAGCATATTGGGAGGCCGAGGCAGGTGGATCACAAGGTCAGGATATCCAGACTATCCTAGCTAACATGGTGAAACCCCATCTCTACTAAAAATAAAAAAAAATTAGTCGGGCATGGTGGCACACACCTGTAGTCCCAGCTACTCGGGAGGCTGATGCAGGAGAATCACTTGAACCAGGGAGGTGGAGTGTGCAGTGAGTTGAGATCGCGCCCTTGCACTCCAGCCTGGGTGACAGAGTGAGACTCCGTCTCAAAATATATATACATATATATATATATATATATTCTAGCAATTTTGGAACAATCATCCCACAAGTATTTTTTCACAATTTGGACGTATTTTTCTGTTCCATGATGAGTTGTGGAGTACAGAGCTTTTGAAAATAGAAGCTTCAAAGACTCAGGAAAGACCAGACAGCCATCTAGGCCCTCTGTGAGTCTGCACTTAACATTGAATTTATATCCTTTTAGATACCAGTTTTGTTTTTCCAAATGAGGTGCATTGCACTGTTTATTAAATAGGTCATTGTAAGGTAGTTGGATTGGATTAATCTTATGAAGTTCATTCAGGTTGCATATCTGAACAGTTTCAGTACTAGCTGATTTAGCATAAATATCTGCTAAGCATTCCCTTGATATTCAGGTTCAGTTCTGCAGGTATGAGCTTCGATCACTAACAGCAAACTAGGAGTTTATCTAACTGGAGTCCATTTTTGATGGTGATCCCACTAGAAGTGAGAAACCCTTAGAGTTTCCCTATCATGCCAAAATCATGTACTACTCCTAAAGCGTATCTACTATCTGTCTAAATACTTACTGATTTGTCTTTAGCTATACGACAAGCTTGGGTGAGGGCAAAAATCTTCAAGAGTTAAGCTGACTTATAGAGCTTAGACTAATAGAGCTGACTAATAGAGGAAGGGGTCCCTTCTCTATTAACTCATTTTGGTAACAGCATATCCTAGCTGATATTTTCCTTCTGAGCTTTTGGCATAGGACCCATCAACAAAAGTATTAACTCAGGATTGTCCAAAGGACTAACTTGTAAATTAACATGAGGGGCCACTATTTCTGATGCTACACTTATGCAATTGTGGTCTTCACCATCATCAGGCAGCAGTAATACAGTGGCATGGTTAAGTAAATTGCAGTGTTTTAGAGAGAGATTAGAAGGAGACAGAGTATTTCATGTTAGTCTACTTACTAAAAAATGCTGGGTTTGGGTGGAATTTAGCATGTGGGACTTCCAAATTAAATTCATTTCCTAAAACCAGATCAGCTGAAGCTTCTTTCATCCTGGTTGCTGCTGCTACTGCTTTTAAATAGTTAGGATATACCTTAGCTACTGGGTCTAATTGCAGGCTATAATATGCAATGGGCCTATGTTTCTCCCCATGTTCCTGGGTAAGAACTCCTAAATGCCTGATTATTACTTTCATGAGCCAATTAGGTAAACAGTTTAGTGCAATTTGGAAGTCCTAAAGCTGGAGGCTGTTACAAGGTCAATTTTATTTAGCTAAAAGCCTGCTCGTAACTATCATCCCAAGATAAAGGCTCTGGTACAGCATTTTTTAGGGAGCTCATGAAATGGTGAGGCTATTAAGGAAAAATTCAGAACCCAGGAATTTTATATCCTGCAAGTCTAAAAACATATCCTGCAAGTCCAAGAAAACTATTTAATTATCTTTTGGTTGCAGGCCAAGGAAAATTTTGAATAGTTTTTAACTTTTTAGGTGAGAGGGAAATCCCTTCAAGTCATGTCCCAAATAATGGACTTTTTCCCCTTGAAAACTGAAGTTTTTCTATTGAAGCTTTCTGACCTTGATGTGTGAGTTGCTGTAAAAGGTAAACTGAGTCCATTTCAGAGCACTCTTTAGTGGGAGAGCATATAGTAAGTCATCTATGTACCGAATGAGAGTAGAATTTTAAGGAAACTATAATGTCATTAAGTCCTGATGCAAGGCCTGGGAAAAATACGAAGGGGCTTCGGTAAACCCTTGCGGCATCACAGTCTAGGGGTACTGCTGATTTTTCCAAGTGAAGGCAAATAAGCATTGACTCTCTTTACGAATTGGATTGCAAAAAGAGGCTGAGCAGAGATCTAATATTGTGAACCACTTAAGAATCAGCATGTATACTGGATAATAAAGTATTAGGATTTGGGACTATAGGAAACCTTGCTACTACAATTTTGTTAACTGCCCATAAATCTTGAATAAATCTTCAACCTCATCCATTTTTTTTTTAACCAGTAGGATTGGAGTGTTACAACGGCTGGTGCATAGAATTATAAGTCCCTGTTTAATTAAATCTTCTATAATTGGCGAGAGCCCTTGAATTGCTTCTAGTTTTAGTGGATATTGGGTAATTTAGGCAAAAGTTTAGAGTGGTCTATTTGGACTTTTATAAGTTCCACACTTTAAATTCTTCCTGTGTCAGTTGAGGAAGAGACCCATAAACATTCATGTATTTTTGGAAGATCAGGCATTACAGGCCTGAGTTTCAATCTTATTAATTTCTGCCTATAGAGAGCATAACAATTCTGGTTCAGGAGAATCAGGAAACTGATTCTTACTCCTTCTAAGGAAAATTTTACATCCTCCCCACTTTTAAAAATTTTTTAATTTAAACAATTTCAATTGTTTTGGGAGTACAGGTGGTTTTTGGTTACATGGACAAGTTCTTTACTGGTGAGTTCTGAGATTTTAGTGTGCCCATTTCCCAAGCAGTGTACAATGTACCCAATAGGTAGTCTTCTATGCCCTTTCAGCTTTGAAAGTAAATCTCCCTCTAGCAAATTTACTGGAGCACTATCATACAGTAAAAAAGTGTGATTTTCTGAAGAGTGCCCCAAAGTCAATTGGACGGGTTCAGATATGGGAACCTCTTGAATTTGATTTGAAACCCCAACCACAGAAATAGCCTTTTTAACTCTGAGGGATCTGTTGGCGTATGAAAGTGTGTTTTACGGTAGTGGCAGATAAGGTAGCTCTGGTATCCACCAAGACTATACATGAGTCCCCATTTATTGTAACCTCTGTTTCTCCATATTCTTTTAAGGGTGTTATGAGGAGCAATATACTGGGAAATCCCTCAGAGCCGCTTCAATGCTGATTATCTTCAGGAGAGCTAAGGTCTCTTGTGCTCCCTCTAGTGGTGAAACAGGCTGGCCTAAAGGGAGGGTCATTGGTGGGCTGGTATAAAAGGGCACAATCCCTATTCCACTGTCCTGGTTGTTTGCAATAAGGCAGACATCTTAGGGTGAAGAATTTCTTGGTCTAATACCTCTTGGTTGTGATTTAAAATGAGAATGAGAAGATCCCTTTGGTCTTGGCCCCTGTAACTGTTGTAATTGAACAGTCATAAGCTTGTTAGCCTTTTGGGTTTTTTCTTGCTCTACAGTCCTCTCAAAATGTTCAGCTAGAGCCACCAATTCAGTCATGGCTGTAACTTCCCATCCGAGTTTATGTTTTCTAATTAAATTTCTAAGTTCAGGATGAAGTCCCTTTATAAATAGAGTAGTTAATACCATTTCAGTCCCTGCAGGAAATACTCCTTGCTGGTACTCTGAGCCCAGAATGTTTCACATTATTTCTAAGCAAGTTCTGTAATCTGACACTGGTTCATTCTTTTTTTGGTTTACAATATTGTATGATGTACCAATCAACTTTTGCGGAAAAATTTTAGCACTTGAATTTAAAAGATTTTCAGCAATTTTTTTTTCCTTCTTTTCTTTTGAGATGGGGTCTCGCTCTGCTACCCAGGCTAGAGTGCAGTGGCACAGTCATGGCTCACAGTAGCCTCAAGCTCCCAGGCTCAGGTGATCCTCCCACTTCAGCCTCATAAGTAGCTGGGTCTACAGGCGTGTGCCATCATGCCCAGCTAACTTTCTGTATTTTTCGTATAGACAGGGTTTTGCCATGTTGCCCAGGCTGGGATTTGCAGCAATATTTCTAGCTCCTGTTGGGCCTTCTCATGAGGAAGTTTTGTGGGGGCGGGCAGTAGGGGCAGAGTCTTTAATATCTTCCTCCGGTTTGTTCCATTCTGCTGCTGCCATCCATTTTTGAGCTTCACCAGGCCTCCATATCATATGAATAAATTTATATGAACCTTTGTCAGGGAGTCCTGGATCATAATCTCCTATGAGGATTCTACACTCCTCAGTCAATTTTTGAGGATTCTCTCCTAGATCAGGGAAGTCTTCTACAATAGCTCTAAGCTCAGTTTTAGACCATGGAGTGAAAGTGGTTATAGCAGGCAGGCCTGGATAATCAGAAGGTCTTCCTTTGTGAGGCGTACATCTAATTCCTCTTTTTTCATCATCTTGAGAGTGAAAGGTCAATTTAGTAAAAAGGTTAGTAGACTCAGAGTACGTAGGTAGAGATGCATAAAGAGAAGAATCAGTTGGGGTTAGTTCAGTCAGAGTACAGTTCTCTTTCATCATGTCCTTAGCCTGTTACTTAAGCTGTTCACTTGCTTTTGCGAAGAATCTTTTAAGGAGGCAAGTTTTCATTCATTTTGTCTTTTAGAGGCTTCCATGTACCAATGAAAGACTATATCCCACTGTTTTTGTGGGGTTTTGACCCCCTTTTTCTAATATGCCATGCAAATAAACAATTTTATACAAATTAAAACTTCCCCATTGTGGCCATCTTTTCTCTAGTAAGGTTAATCTATTTTTCTAAAAATGCACATATTCTGGGTCCATAATTTTACATATCAAATTAGATGGAGTCCCAGAAGGTAGAGTCCCAGAATCTTTGGATTGAGACAAACCCATTATCAAAAAAAAAAAAAAAAAAAAAGTGCCTAGTATAGGTCTGAGGCTCTAACGGAACCTAATCCAGTTAATTATTGATTCAAATTTGATCCTGAACCCAGTCCACTTTAATATCGCTCCAGTAAAGTTGGAGAGCTTCAATTAGAATACACATTAGTGGAGCTCTGAATCCAAGAGAAAACGCATCTACAACCTCCAGTTACAATCAAGAGATCAGTGAGCACAACTGGCCTGGTCACCTGGTGTTCCTGGAGGTCACCAGAGTTTTACTTCAAATTGCACTTCCAACACCAGATCTGGTAAAAGAAAAACCTTAGACAAACTAAATTTAACAGAATTTAATTTTGAAGAAAAAAAAAAAGACAATTCACAAATCAGGCAGTCCCTAGAATCACAGCAGATTCAGAGCAACACCAGAGATGCTATGTGGTCGGAAAAAACCTTATGAATAGAAAAAGTAAAGTGACACGCAGAAAGCCGAAGTGAGGTACAGAAATAGCCAAATTGGTTACAGCATGGTGTTTGCCTTATTTGAACATGGTTTGAACAATAGGCTGCCTGTGAGTCACTGAAGCATGGCTGCTGCGATTGGCTGACGCTCAGCTATTGCTACAGAAGCATCCTTCTAAGTTAGGTTTTCAGTTGGCCTACCTACAAAGTTAGGTTATGGTTCATCCTTAAGGACTCAAGTATGGGAGTGAGGAGGCTTTCTCAGGCCAGATTTTAGTTTGATTTAATAGTTCCAAATTTAAGTCAGTCCTTTGCTCCAATATCTGATCATAGGCTATTAGAAGCAGCCAGGCCATTTCTTGAATGCTTTGCTGCTTAGACATTTCTTCTACCAGATACCCTAAGTCATTACTCTTAAGTTCAGCCTTCCACAAAGCCCTAGGACATAGATACAATGCAGCCAAGTTCTTTGCTAGGGCTTAACAAGGGTGACCTTTGCTCCAGTTCCCCATAACTTCCTCATTTCCATCTGAGACCTCATCAGGCTGGCCTTTACTGTACATATTTCTGTCCACATTTTGGTTACAACGACATTACAAATCTCTAAGAAGGTCCAAACCTTTTCTCATCTTTCTGTCTTCTGGGCCCTCCAGACTCTTCCAACCGCTGCCTCATACCCAGTTCCAAAGCCACTTCCACATTTTCAGATATCTTTATAGCAACGCCCTACTCCTCGGTACCGACTTTCTGTGATAGTCTATTTTGCGTTGCTATAAAGAAATATCTGAGACTAGGTAATTTATAATGAAAAGATGTTTATTTGACTCACAGTTTTTCAGGCTGTACAAGAATCACAGGGCTGGCATATGCCTCTGGTGAGGGCCTCAGGAAGCTTTTACTCATGGGGAAGGGTGAAGGGGGAGCAGTTGTGTCACATGGCAAGAGAGGGAACCAGAGAGATGCCAGGCTTTTTTAAACAACCAGCTCTCACACGAACTAATAGAGTAACAACTCAGTCATGAGGAGGGCACCAAACCATTCGGGAGGGATCCACTTCTTATGACCTAAACACCTCCTACTAGGTCCAACCTCCAACACTGGGGGTCACATTTCAACATGAGATTTGAAGAAGACAAATATCCAGACTATATCCACCTTCTAGAGGGGACAGGGCTTCTGCTCCTGGAAATTCAGACCCAGGAATAGGACTTGGCATTCTTCTGCTCCATCTTATGCCCACTCCCCAGCCACACAGAGCTACTTCTACTTCTTCAATACCTGAAGCTCTCTTTCTGCTTGAGGCCTTTGGGCATGTTGTTCCTTTTGCCTGGAACATTCTTATCCCCACCCCATCCCCTTGTTAGTTCAGTGACTCCCTAGCTGCTGAGCCAGGAGGAAGCAGTTCATCCTGTTTTTTTTTCTCCCCCCCCGGCAGTTATTGCAATTTAGTCCTTTGCTACTCAAAGTGTGATCCCCAGACCAGTGCAGCAGCCTTGCCTAGAAGTGTGTTAAAAATAAGTGTGGGGTCTACGGCCATACCACCCTGAACACACCCAATCTTGTCTGATCTCGAAAGTTAAGTGTGGGTACGACGTTTATTATGCCCACAAGATTAACATTAGCAAAACAGTATGAATCTTGCACAGCTTCTTCCTAAATGCAACACAGTGGCCGCCCTCCCATGAGGCAGAGAAATTCAGGTGTGTCCTCTGCTGGTCGACGCTCCCATTGCCTGGGCATCGATGGGCAGTGCTGATTTGCTGAAGACCAGGGAGAGAGGAGGGGCCAGCTGCCCTGACTGGTGCTCATCTTCCTTGGACCAAGTCTACACTCACTGCTAAGGGAGTTACAAGCTCTTCTTTCCTGAAGGACTCAGATAGGAGGCCCAAAGCTGTAGGAGGGAATGCGTCTGTGTTTGTGAATTGGGGGAGGGTATTATTGGGGCAAGATAGTGGGCTCGAGGTAACAGGAAGTTAAACTGGAACTTCGCACTGAGGCACTGGATATAATAGGTAAGAAATTCTGCTGTGAGATCTGACACCAAAATGAAGAAATGCCAAAGGAGGCTGTCAAGAACGGTTTGGGGTTGCCAGGGTTTGAGGGGAAGGGGATGTGAGGAGTGACGGTTCCATGACGACAGGTTTCCTTCCTGGGTAATGAAAATGTTTTGGGGCTTGATATGGGTGTTGCTTGCAAAACACTGTGAATGTACCAAATGGCAGGGAACTGTACACTTGAAAATGGCTAACTGTAGGTTATGTAAATTTTGTCTCCAAGCATTGGGAAAAAAGAAGAGTTCATGTGGCTCTAAAACTCACAAGGAGTACAAGGGTCAGAGAACTAAGACACTGAGGGATTTTTTTTATGGGGAGAGTTGCTGCTGTGCTGAATCTGCCCTCATCTAGCCTCAGCCAAGGGGCCGATGGGCGGTGCCACTGTGACCTCCAGACAGCTTCTTGGCCAAGGTGACTCCAAGTCCTCCTCTGCCAGGGAGCAACAGGACTGATGTTGACACTTGCCAGAGGAATCTGAAAGTCAAAGTCCACACCTATTCAACCTGGAACTCTGGCAGAGGTAGAATGTTGCTGGCTGTGTGTGTGTGTGCGTGTGTGTGTGTGTGTGTGTGTGTGAGAGAGAGACAGAGAGAGAGACAAAGAGAGAGACAGAGAGAGAGACACAGAGAAACAGAGAGACAGAGACAGAGAGAGAAGGCGGGGGGAGACAGAGAGAGGAGATGGTGGGGAGAGAGAGATAGAGAGAGAGAGAGGAAACAGAGAGTGGGGAAGAGGAGGGTAGAAAGAGAGTGAAAGGAAAAGAAAGGAATGACAGAGAGGGAGAGGGAGTGATTGCTTTGCCTGGACTGGGGCCATGGGCAGTGGCAGTGGATGAGGCCAGGCCTTGGGAATGTAAGGGCTTCCAGGGAATGGCAAGTGCAGATTTGTGATTTGTATGGGAAACTCTTTGGGCAAGCATAGGGTAGGAGACTGATTGTTTTCCAGAAAGTAGGAAGGAGGGAGGGCATGATCTAAGATAATTTTAGAGGTCAGTGACTTGGACCAATCAGTGAGAAAATCTAGACTGTTAATTCCAAACTTCCTTTCACCTTTCTTCGGCTAATAAGTAATTTGTTCATTTTGAAGGATGGTATTTTATTCTGAACCTGGTAAAATTGTAATGACATTCAGATTTCCTTTTACATATTGCTTACTGGTTAAATTAGAATTTCTTTTTTTGCTTCATTTTTGTTTTACATGTGTGCACATGTGAAGATGTGCGTACATGCAGGGAAAGTCAGCCAGCCTGAGACAATCTCCCCTTCCTTTTTTTCCCCCTAGTTTTTATTATGGCAAAATACATAAAACATACAACTAACCATTTTAACGTGTACAGTTCAGTGGTACTAATTATGTTCACAATGGTGTGTAACTGTCACCACAATCTATTTCCAGAAGTTTTTCATCATTTCAAACAGAAACTCTGTACCCACTAGGCAAGAACTCCTTGTCTTCTCCTCCAGCCCCCGGAAAGCCCTGTTCTACATTCTGTCTCTACGAACTTGCCTATTCTGACAATTTCATATAAGTGAAACTATACAATATTTGTCCTACTGTGTCTGGTTTTCCTTTCCCAGAAAATCCCCCCACCCGACTCAAGGCACAGATTAGAAAACCTTCCCAGGCCTTGAGTCTCCCCCTGCAGGCGGTGTCCTTACATGGTCTGGGTGCTGCTTCCCGACGTCACCGGGATCCCTGGGTGTTTCTCTCCTTTCCCTGGAAGCCTTTCTTTCACCCACAAGGCACCGGGAAGCCTTTGTGCTACTGTTCCTCCTGCGTGTGTCCTTGATAAAGTACAGAATGGACCAATAAATTTAAACTTATCATAAACAGTGGGCAATTTTTAGCATGGGACAGAATCAAACATTAAAAATCATTTATCTGAAATTCAAATTTAATTGGGCATCCTGTATTTGTGTTTGCCTCATCTGGCAGCCCTACTATGGACACTTCTCTAAATTCCAGACTCAAGTCCAGTCCACAGGTTGTCCACCCTTCTCAGAAGTCCAGGGATAAGGGATATGGACCAATCTCTAAAGAAAAACCTCCATTTCAGGAGGAGTTATGCTACAGGTGCCTGTGACTCCAGGTCTAGATGCTGGCTTTCACCACTTGACAGGGATTCCCTGCAGTGGGAGAGGTTCAGTGGCCTGGGGCTGACTCACGTCTGACAAACCCAGAGTGTGGGTTTCAGGGCCTAGCTAGGCTGTGGCCATGAGGTGATCCTGCACTCTTAAGAGTTCACCCCAGCATAGGATGCATAAGTGTTTCCTGAGGACAAGGTTTGGGACATGCAAGAGGCTGGCACTGGGCCAAGAAGACTCTGAGTCTCAGTGGAGTGACTGCTAGAAACCAGGTTTGGGGAGGAGGAGGAGGAGGAGGAGGACCAGAAGCTGGAGGAAAACCTATTGCTTGCATTGCTGGAGTTACGATCCAATATTCCAGAGGGAGGCCTCAGAAGAAGCCATGAAAACACCCAAGAAAGTCAGCTTGAGACAATGAACTGCCAGGGTGAGAGGGCAGGATGCCAAGCTATGGTCCCCATCCCCACCACATAGACACACACACACAGATGGGTCAGACACCTCCCTGTGCTGCTGAGGAGGAGAGCCCTGTCAGGCAGGGACAGAGGGGACTATGCTCCCCTAGATGGTGCAGAGAGGTCTGGCAGGGGAAGAGAGAAGATTTTAAGTGGAACTCAAATTGGGAGTTTCGATTATTACACTTTTACTTATTGAGTGGAGACTGGGCTTTCAGTGAAAAGTCAGCACGGTAGAACATGTAATCCCCTGACAGTGATCCGAACAGTCGAGGCATTACCTGAGTTCTCATCTCCAGTATAAGGGGAAGAACTCCCCAATTGAGCAGGCTTACAAAAGGCAGTGAGAGACAAGTGCAGTTGGGTCCTGATATTCACAGCAGCATTGTTCACAAGACCTACACATTATATGCAGTTATGAATCTGTTTACCAAACTGCTTACTGTAAGATTAGAAAATATTTGATATAATAAAATGTCTCACATAAATTATGGTGCATAATAAAATGAATACCCCTGAACCCAGCACCCAAATGAACTAGAAAGGTCACTATATTTGACAATACTTTCAAAGCTAAGTGTCTCTTCTCCAATCCCAGCTCCCTAAGGATGTAACCACTATTTTGAGTTAAAAAAATCCATCTGTCTGTCTATCTATCATCTGTCCATCTATCTGTTTGATCCTAAAATGACATGGGTCCCTAGGTGTCCCTGCACATGTTTACCTTGGCTTGCTTTTAAACCTTATGATAAAAGTATCATACAATATATTCTTCTGAATTTTTTTTCCTACTCAACATCGTCTCAAAGATTCACTAAGTTTGATGTTCCTTAATTTTCTCTTCTGTCTAGAATTCTTTTGCGTGACATACCACTTGCCATTTACTCATTCTCTTGTCAAAAGACACTTGAGTTGTTTCTAGTTCTTTGCTAGGGTGAAAGGACATATTTGGTGAAGATGTCCTTGTGAACCTTCCTGGGCTGATTATTGGTGAGCACTTTTCAGAATGCTGAATTATAGAGTGAATGCAAGCTTCCTCAAGCAGTGTGTGAATTCCAGTTGATCAACATCCCTGTCAACATTTAGAGTGGCACAAAGACAAAACTTTGTGCCAATCCAGTGAATGTAAAAAGGTATTTTATTCTATCCATAACATGCATTACCCTAATTAATAATGAACTCAATCTACATTTTATGTTTATGGGCTATTTGTGTTTTTCTATAAAGTTGCCTGCTCATGAGTTTAGCCCATGTGTATTAGTCCATTTTCATACCACTGTGAAGAAATATCCAAGACTGGGTAACTTATAATGAAAAAGGCATATCTTACATGATGGTAGGCAAGAAAGCTTGTGCAAGGGAACTGCCTTTTATAAAACCCTCAGCTCTCATGAGACTTATTCACTATCACAAGAAAATGGGAAAAATCTGCCCCCATGATTCAATTACCTCCCACCAGGTCCCTCCCACAACACATGAGGATTATGGGAGCTACAATTCAAGATGACATTTGGATGCGGACCAATCACAGCAGAACGTGAAGGAGGAGCAAAGGCACATCTTATGTGGTGGTAGGCAAGAGAGGGTGTGCAGGGGCACTGCTCTTTATAAAACCATCAGCTCTCATGAGACTTATTCACTAACACAAGAACATGGGAAAAATCTGCCCCCATGATTCAATTACCTCCCACTGGGTCCCTCCCACAACATGTGGAAATTATGGAAGCTACAATTCAAGATGAGATTTGGGTGGGGACACAGCCAAACCATATCACCATATTTCTATGAATTGTCTATTTGTTTTAAAGAGACTTAAATATAAATTGTGTTTTTAAAAAACCGACTCATAGAAGTTCTTTATATATTCTGGATACAAATTCTTTGCTGGTCAGATGTGCTGCAATTATCTTCTCCCATTTTGTGCCTTGTCTTTTCACTGTCTTTATGGTGCCTTTTGATAAACAAAAAATTTATCAAGATGAATTTATCAATCTTTTTCTTTATGGTTAGCACTTTGTGCCTTAAGACATTTTTCTGTTCTTACTCTCTTATATTTTCCTCTAAAAATTGTAATGGTTTTGCCTTTCATGTTTAAGTCTTTTTTCTTTTTGGTTTTTATTTCTATTAAAATTATGTATGTAACTATTATAAACAGCCAGGGTTCAATGGCTCTGTCATGTGAAACAGCAGCCCCTACATTCCCCAGCACTTCTTTCACAGGCTGTGTGACTCCTGCTCCATTGTCCAGGTCTAGCCTGCCTGCTGTCAGCTGCTGAGGAGGGTGAAGACAAGTCTCCTCCATGCATATACGCACTCCTCCCCTGCTCAGCTTCCCAGTGTGGTTAGATGGCCCTTTGGGCTACTTCACTATTCTGTGTTATTTTAAGCTAAGCTATACAGTAAGCCATGATGACTTATCCTTTCCTGAAGGCTTTTGATTTGTATCTTTTCCCTTAGAACTGATACTTTTCTTTTTGCCGTTGTTCAGTTTTCTGTGTATTTATCACTTATTCAATGCCAAATTCTATCAGATGTCCAAATGTCTCCTCTTAATATTTAGATGACGTGATTTAACGATTAGATCTCCCTGGTCTTTTCCAGCACCTCTGATCTGTCATTTGGATTGTTTATTTTCTGTGTGCCATTCAACAAACTCCACTTTAAAAAAAAAAAAAAAAAAAAGAAGATAGGGGTCTCACTATGTTGAACAGGTTGATCTTGAACTCCAGGCCTCAAACGACTCTCCCACCTCAGCCTCCCAAAGTGCTGGGATTACAGGCATGAGCCACCACATCTGGCCCCCATTCGACAAATTCTTATTGGGCCAACCACGTGCTACATGTTGTGTTAGACTCCAGAGAAACAAGGAGAACAAGATGGTTGTCATTCTTGCCTATGTGGAGCTTACTATCAAATTCAGGGGAAAAAAAACCCCAACAAATTCTGGAGCAATGTTTGCTATTCCTAACTGTTTGACTGGCTCTGAAGCTGATGCCTGCCTGTCATAAGATGGCACCAGTGTGGGGGACTCCTGAGTAAGAGAGGGGTCTTCCCCAGTTTCCTGTGTGGCCAAGGCTCTCTGCCTAAGTTAGGGATGAATACAGAGAAGTCTCTGAAGCACCTTCCACCTTTTCTCAGTTCACCTCTGTCTCATGAAATGAAGACTGTGATAGCCATTTTGTTAAGTCTAGCCCTACCTGTCTCATAGTTCCTTGAGGTTCCTGGACTTAGTGGAGCAATGGTGAGGCCAGACGAACTGTGTGATGAGACACCATCAGGGATCAAAGGAATATGTGAATTTGGCCATGACTTTTTGGGGACAGGCTGGAACATTGAACCCCAAGCCCCATGCAGAAGTCTAGCAAGTTGGGCTGACCTCTCAAGAGGGCTCTATTTTCTCCAGAGTGGAGCCTTGGGTCTCATCTCTGCAACAATCAGACTATCTAAAGTAAAGCCACCAGCATTGGAGGAAACAAATCCAGGATAGAGTAAGACAAGACACACACACCCATAGGCAGAGATTTTACTCCAGTGTCTATGGAGGAGATGGCTTGGGCTACTGAGCATTTTTTGGCCCATCATAGCTCCCTGAAAGGCTGGAGAGGAGCACATAGGGCTACGGCTGCTCAGGCAAAGAAAATTAATAGTCCACATCTATGTTCTCTGTGACTATGATCCCCTTAAAATGTAGCCTAGTCAGGTTTGGAAAATAATGCCCCCATTGCCACCACCCCAGCCTTGGTGGTGGTGGAGTTTCCTTAGATCAGGACTCTCATCTTGGGCAGCTGCAAGAGCCAAGGGCTATGGAGATGAGCCATGAGTGCCCCCTAGAGGCCAATGATGTTAGCTTTAATTTTAATATCATTCCCTTTTCCCCATGCCCACTCCCCACCATCCCCTTTCATGAGTATTTCGTGAGAAACTGGGAAAGGGCTGTAAGCAAGGCTTCAAAACCAGTAAAAATAAGTCTAGCATCAGAGGTAAAATCACCCAGCTCCCAGACTCGTAAAGACATAGACTGTGTCAACAGTTCAGCTTGGCCTCACTTCCTAAGGACTGGCTATATAGACAAGACAGGGCGGGCCCCCAGGGAGTGAAGGAATTTAATGAATTTGAGCAATTAGCCCGTTTTACAGCCTTCTGCCTTGCAGACGGTTTTGTCTCAAACCCTGTGTGAAATGTGGTCACCTAGTCAGTTGGAACCTGCTCCTGACAGACCCCAGCAACTTATAGATGAACTCACTTACAGTGAACTTTCCTCATTACAATGCTAAATCCTGCACCCTGGGAGAGCTATAGTTTCATTACCATAGCATGCGTCCTATGTGGTGGCACGATGACTCCCTCCATCTGTGTCACTGGGACCCCTCCTCTTCATGTGATGATGCACCTTCTCCCCTCTCGATCACTCTATAAAGCCTTCCTGTCATTTTCTCTTAGGAGACACTGCTTTGACGAATATTCCCAGAGCTCTTCCTACTTGTGACAAGTAATAAAACTCCTATTGATCAAAGTCTGTGTTCTCAGCGACTTTTGTTACTCACCAGGCAAACAAACCCCGCTTTTTTTTTGGAGGCAGTGGGGTGGGAGGGCCTGGGAAACAAATCTGGTTGATCCAGATGGGACTATGGACTGAGCCCTGACTCGACCTCCCTTATAGGCTGCTTACAGGCGAAGCAGCAGTCTGAGGAAGCATGAGTGGGTTAAGTTGCCAAGAGGGAGATTGGTGAAGGGCCTCAGGCATGCCAACCCCATCCCCCCAGCCCACCAGGAAAGCAGAAGTGGCTGCTTGGACCTTTCATTTGGTGCAATTTTGAGGCAGTAAGTGGTGGTGGTTCTGTGAACTGACTAAAAGAGTGGTTTTGGTTTTGATTATTAGGACTCTGGGTTGTCAGGTTTAGGACCTAGCTCAAGGGATCCAGGACTGTTGGGAATGGGCAGGACTCCCCTTCAGGTCTAGGAGTTGAGAGATGTCTCCATCCATTTTAACAGGGGAAGCCCTAATATAAAGACGAGGACTCTCATCTTTAAGACTTTGTCCCTGTCTGGTATATCTGTAGGCTGAATGCTTGTCACTTTTGCCAATACTTGTGTTTCTTTGTGGCCTGAATGCATGTGAAGTCTGGATTCCCTTCTCCTTAGTCTGTGGTAATCCCTAAAATATTGGGCTTCCATATTCCAGCAGTCACAGAAGAACTGTTATTGATTTGAAGAGGCCTAATTTAGAATGGGGCAGTTTGGGTGGGAATTCCTGGAACCAAAATACAGTGATGTAGACTTTACATGAGCAGAGTGTGCACCCTCTCCAGAAAGAACACCTTGCTTACTTGATTGATTTACATACCTCCCACCACTCAAGCTGGATCCGGAACTACTGTGGAATCTCCATGAGATTTCCAGGGAAGCTACCCAGACTGAACATGATCCAGGGAGAGGCAACCCCTATTGTCCTCTCCTAGCTTCCCAGCACCTCCACTCCATAGTGGCCTGCGTGTAGCAGCAAGCTGAAAGGACCAGAAATATCCTACAGGCTAAGAGTTACAGGATTTGTGTCATCACTAATCCCCAGTGGAAGCTTCTTGGAGGGTGGAATCAGCCTTCTGGGCAAAGACCCTAGAATATGGGGAACCAGGTCTCAATACTGGAGGAGAGCCCGTTACAGTGCCTCCTCCAGCACTGGAAACTATTTGGATACCCATATCCATGACCAAAAAGCAAATGATATATTACTGTAATACCATATGGCCCCAGTGTTCCCTACGGAATCAAGAGAGATGGTCTGAACATGAGTTACTTACATACATTAATACTACAATTCTCCAACTGGGACTTATTTTGTAAGAAACAAGGTAAATGGGATAAAATACCTTATGTATAATGTCTTATGGCCCTCTATCAACACCCAGCCCTACAGAAGAAATGCAGGATATGTAATCAGCCAAAGGATCAAAGGGAACAATGTTGCTAATTCTAGAAGCCCCTGGAGAGGAAGAATCAGTCACGTGGGGACTTGTAGGGAAGGGAATGAGGAGGAGCCTCTCTACTTCTCCTTCAAGAGAAGTGAGGTCCTCTAGTTCTACTCAAAAACTAGAACCTTTGCCAATACAGGGAAATAATCCCCTTACTTCCTCGGGAATTAAACTCTCAGCACCTCCAGGGGAAAGCAAGGGTCTTCCTCCATACTTGCCAGGCCCTCTGAACTATGTGGAGCTGGCTGTGGCTCCTGCTACGGCCCCAAAATAAACAACAAAAAATCAATATAAGACCAATATACGATAGAGAAAAATCAATAAAACCCAAAGTGGGTTATTTGACAATACTAGTGAAATTTATATACCCCTTGGAAAGAGTGATCAGGTAAAAATGACAGGAGGCAAAAATAATATCAGGAATAAAAACGGAACATCACTACAGATCCTAGAACGTCCAGACATTAAAAAGATAACAAAGGGCCAGGTGCGGGGGCTCATGCCTGTAAACCCAGCACTTTGGGAGGCCGAAGAGGGCTGATCACGAGGTCAGGAGATCGAGAACATCCTGACTAACACAGTGAAACCCTGTCTCCACTAAACATACAAAAAATTAGTCAGACGTGGTGGCGGATGTCTGTAGTCCCACCTACTCGGGAGGCTGAGGCAGGAGGATGGTGTGAACCTGGGAGGTGGAGCTTTCAGTGATCCGAGGTCGTGCCACTGCACTCCAGCCTGAGGGCGACAGAGCGAGACTCCGTCTCAAAAAAAAAAAAAAAAAAAGATAACAAAAGGATATTATAACATTGGATCATCAATTTGTAAATTTCTAGGAAATGAACAAATTACGTAAAAAACACAACTTACTAAACCTTGGCATAAAAGAAAAACTGAAATCTGAATAGTTATTGAAAAAAATGAATCCCACAAAAGAAAATCCAGGCCCAGATGGGTTTCACTGGTGAATTCTCCTAATTATTTAAGCAATAAATTACATTACATTCTTCTAGAGAATAAGAAAGAAAAACTTCATTCCAACTCATTTTATGAGGCGTGAGCCACTGTGCCTGGCTGACAAGTGGTAGTTTCTTAAAAATTAGTTGCAAGGTGGAATCTGAAAGCATGTCAGCAAACTTTTCCTATTCTGTTACATAAAAATCCATCAGTCTATCTTGTACTATTTGAATCTTCTATCTATTCCCTGATTTTGTAACAAAAAGCAACAATCATTTGGAAAATCCTGGTCCAGGGAGTTGTGCAGATCTTCCAAATGTTGACAAATGTATTTAGATAACATGAAAAACGTCACATTTGTTAATGTCACTGCTATCTCGTCAGAAAGGTCTAAGTACTAAGATGTCATCAAGCCCATGGTGGTGAATACAAGTTTTCTAGAATTCTATTGTTGGCTTGAAAACTCACATTTTCTTTGGCAACAGATACTGTCAGACATTTTCCTGAAGTCAGAGAGTCACTTCTTCATTTTCAAGAAAATGTCTGCTAAACACAAGTCAGAATAATTGGTTTTCTGTCAGTTACTCTTTCAATTAAAAGTCATGTTCCATGACAAAGGCAGCTGGTTCAGCTCACGACACAAACCATGGCATAAGTGCTTTTCCTTGAAACAGTCATCATCTTTCACGGTGCAAAGGAAGTGCTTCCCGTTTACCTCCATTTACACTGCTTCCTTGTTCTTCCATCACACTCCTGGCGGGAGGCTGTGCAGGATACAATGCCTATTAGACTAGTACGGTTTGGTGCCACCGTCTTGAATAGTGGTAAGACACCAATGGTTTTACTCCTCTCCCAGTACTCTTGCATCATCAGTGCAAATAGCCAACACAGCAAAAAAGGCACAGAACATCCTGGTGTCATTCTGAAATTAGTTTTGACCTTGCAAATTGCCTGAAAGGGTCTCAGCGACTTCCAGGACTCCACAGACCACTCTCTGAGAACCACTGGACTAAAGCATCCAAAGCATCCCTTTGGATTGCCTATAAAGACTGACTAGAAAGAGTAAAAACAAGATTTCAAGAGGAATGCTTAAAGTCCGTAAGATAAACTGTTTTAAAGTACCTTTACTTCAGAAGCATTATGCCAACTAAGAAACTATTCTCATTAAAGCAAGTCTCTAATGAACACCTAAAAAAGTCAACCTTAACTTATTCTCTGGCATTCCCATGATCAATATATCAATATCTGAAATGAATTAATTTTTTAAAATATTATTTATTATTTTTTAGATACAGAGTCTCAGTCTGTTACCCAGGCCAGAGCGTAATGGTGTGATCATAGCTCACTGCAGTCTCAAATTCCTGGGCTTAAGAGATTCTCTCACCTAAGACTCCTGAGTAGGTAGGATTACAGAAATGTACCACCACATCCAACACTCAAATGAATTAATTTATGAGTAACTAATGTTCGTTCCTCATGACACAACATTCAAAAAGTCAAAAAATCTACTACATCCTACATCAGTTCTCCTTTCCAAAGGCAATCAGTATTATCAGGTTTTTCTGTCTTCCAGAAATATTCTATGCATATAAAAGTATACACGTCTACATAGGCACAAATACTTACTTTTAAAGACCACAAATGGAAACAGTGTTGACATACTTCGAAAATTTAATTTTTTAAAAAAGTTTAACTTAATATGTTCTGGAGAACACTGTTCTTTCTCACCCTATGGGATCAATTCCAAGAAATGGGATTGCTAAGATAAAAGGTATAATAACCCAAATACATATTTAATTTTATTTTAAAATAATCTTTTTTTTTTGAGATGGAGTCTCGCTCTGTCACCCAGACTGGAGTGTAGTAGTGCCATCTAAGCTCACTGCAACCTCTGCCTCCCAGGTTCAAAGGATCCTCCCGGCTCAGCTTTCTGAGTGGTTGGGATTACAGGCGTGCACCACCACGCCCGGCTACTTTTTGTATTTTTAGTAGAGACGGGGTTTCACCATGTTGGCCAGGCTGGTCTCGAACTCCTGACCTCAAGTGATTTATCCACCTTGACCTCCCAAAGTGCTGGGATTACAGGCGTGAGCCACCGCACCTGGCCTAAAATATTCTTTATTTACATTTAGGTTAATAAAGAGGAGCCTAAGATATGCAAATTAATGAGAAGTTTTTCATCTTTTGCATATGAGTCATTCATACCATGATGTGCTACTTTTTTTTTCAGTGCCATAAGTGAGAAATGACTCTCACAACTTTCTCATAATGTTTAAATTTGAGCATAATGCCTTTATTCTGGGTGCAAGCCAGAGCTCCTGACCACTTGGTGGCCTGGTTAACACTTGTACACAAACTCTTGTTTTCTTGGTCTTACCGTTTGGACCTCTGAATCATTTCCTTCTTGCTGATAGGCTTGTTCTTCTGGACAGCCAGGAAGACTAAGGAAGAGAAGAAAGGGTTTTCAGTGGACAGTGACTTAACCCAGAGGGTGTGGTGCAAGAGCTGGGAGAGGGAGCTGCTAGGACTTGGTGCCCCTACCCTGAGCTGGCAAGACTGAGTGGGGAGCAATGACCAAGGCAAGCCAGGGTTAGACTAGGGTAACAGGACAGCAGCCTAAGGCCCTAAGGACCTAACACTCTGTAGCAAAGACTAGGCTTTGAATTAAAAAACTGGCCAGTTTCCAGGTAAGGCTTGATGAAAGAATTAGATAGTACTTTGTAGTTTTCACAGCTTTCATTATTTTATCAAGATCTGCTTACCATAATTGTTAAGAATGCAGACTCCAGAGCAGCACACCTGAGTATGTCACCTTGGGAGAGGTAGTTAATCTCCCTTTGATTCAGTTTTCTCACTATAAAGTAGATATATTAATAGTACCTACTGAGAGTGCTGTAAGCGCTAATGTGAACAGTGCCTGGGCAAGATGTAAGGACTATGTGTTTATTATTATCATTATTACCATCCTAAGAGGTAGGCAAGCCTGGAATCAGCCCCATCTTTTCAGGAAAAATCAATATACTTTTGGAACTAACTTGCTCACAGACAGAGCTGGTTTAAGATGCAGTGACAGGGCTAGAGTAACTGGGCTTACTTGGATCATGAATGTGCTGACGGCTAAGGTGGGGAGGTTCTGTTAGCTAAGAAGGTTTGAGTCTTGGCAAGCAAAAGGTTGCTGTCTGCCCAGGTAACTGGCCTGGGCTGGCCTTTAGCAGGGCTCTGCAGCACAGCAGCAGACCTTGCCTTCTCTATTCCACTCACAGGAAAGTGAACGGGCAGGGCGTACCTCTCTTGGGTAGTGGGCGCATGCGATTCTGGTGGCCCTGCCGTTCCCTGTCAATGTCGAATAGCGCATCCCGCTCGCTCTTTAACATGCTCTGCAGCTTTCTCTCCTGGACTATTAACTTCAGACGCTTTATCCGCTCCCCAATGTGGGAGATGAAGTCAGGTCTGTGAAACTGAAGCGATTCCTTAAAAAAAAAAAAAAAAAAGAGAGAGAGAGAGAAAATACCCAGCCTCAGATTAATGATGCAATCTACTCTCCATATGGCTGGAAACACACCACGTACCCAAGAGGTCTGGGGAAGCCTGATTCAAATGCCGAGAAAATACCTAGAGTTGAAGAAACCTCTGACACCTCTCTATGGCGGAGAGCTGCAGCTTGGAACCCACAGGGATCAAAGACATGCCTTCAGCATAGGCCAGGAACTAAGACTATGGCGATTACAACTCTCTGAAACATCAACGCAATACAGCTCTGCCCATGCTGCTATTTTAAAGATCTATTCAAACAAATACATCATTAATAACTTTTCCTTTATCCCCAGAGGGACACATCAGAAGAGACTTGGTTTCCTTTAAATCCGACATGGAGCAGAAACAGGAGCTGCGGACATGGAGGAACATGCATGAGGCTGCACAAGCATCAGGCCTCTGGGCCCTCCACACACAGGGACCCACAAACCCAATGAGCAGAGCCACAAATCCTCCCTCCTGTGCCCTTGTCTCCAGATCCTGACAGTGATGCACCATCTATGGCTAAGAGTAAGGCAGCCTTTGACAGATGATGAGAAACTCAGTCCTCACGTGTGAAAACAGGTGAACTGCGGAGGTGCTGGAAAAGAGCGTCTCAGGCCTACACCTCAGCTCGCCAAGTCACAGAGCCAGCTTCTCTGCGCCTTACCCTTCTTCTCCCTACATGTAGGGCTAAAGTTAAGTAAACGTCACTGCACCTGCAGGGTTGCTCTCACAAACAGCTTCAGTGGGTTTCTGCCATCCTCTCTGCCTGGGCCTGCCAGGTAGCCCCGACTGTCCAGGTGCTGCCCCTGCCAGTTCCGCTCCCACAGTGGCTCCCTCCACGGCTTGGTCTTGGTTACTGGTTCCAACCGGGAGATGCCAGGGTCATGAGTCTTGAGCATGTTTTCCTTCTTTTTATCTAGACTCCACATTTTCCACAGGAACAAACCAGGAAACTCCTACAGGAAATAGTTTTTAGAAGTAAAACAGAATTTTCACTTTTTACAGCCCCACCTGGCTTTCATCAAGGAGATGCATATAATACAGGCTCTCAGGGGTCTCAGCTGTCAGCGGCCACAGGGTGCCCTTGAGTTTGGTTTCACTGCAGGGATGACTGTGTAACTGCCATGCTGGACTTCGAAAATCTGACAAGGTGGTGACTGGGGGTAGGTGGGGGTCACATAGAATCACTTGGAAACACAGAGTCAGCATTGCAGGGGACTTGAAATTCACTAGTTTCTCTACTACAAGATCTGGAATGAGAAACTGACCTTCATGGGAATTCTTCTTGTTCTTTTTTAACTTTCTGTCCTCAGGATAACTGGTAAAGAGCATTTTCTCTTCATGTTTTTCTTCTGACCAAGAAGTCACATCACTGTCCTCTTCCAATTTAGCCTCGCTGGAACTTGGAGTTGGCTCGAGTGTGTTTTTCGGCACCGTTCACAATCTCCAAGTTACCTGAGGGGAAGGATCACAGGTGTCTCTGGGAGTAACCTTGAGGCTGAGTTGACAGGTTTATTCAAGTGAGTATGTGAACCTTTTTAATGTTTCAAAAATACAATCCCTTTGTGTGGGATGGAGTGATGGGAAGAGAGAGGAAAAGAAGGAAGGACAGGGGAGAGTAGGAGGGAAAAAGAGGGAGAAGAAAAAAGAAAGGGTTTTATTTGTAAGTCATTTTAGGTATGAGAGGGAAAGAAGAATGAATATGGGTTCAAAGGGTAAAGAATTTCCACCTGGATCCCAAGGCAGAAAGACAATAAATACTTAGAGTCCTTTTGGTAGTCACCCAGGTATGGAAGAGGTTGACAGAAGTAAAGACAGGATTTGAGGGGAAGAAACAAATCAAGAAAGTTTATTTATTTTTATTTTATGAAACCAAAAGTATAGAAAGGCAATAGCTAAAAATCCTCCTTCCCACTTCTGGTCTCCATTTACTCTGTTCACAACCCCATATGGTTCCAGAGAATTCATTTTGCACATTTAAGCAATTCTCTTCCCTCCTTTATTTCTTTTATTTAAAAAAACTCATATTGTAGTATGCCATACACTGTTCTGTACCTTTTCTTAAAATCAGTTATATGCCTTGGAGATCTTTCCACGTTAGTAAAGAGAGAGCTTCCTCATTCTATGTAGAATTTCATTCATTATCCAGATATACAATAATTTATGTAATCATTCAGCTATTGAGGAATACCTAAATTCATTTTAATCTTCTGCTATAAAAAACAATGTTTCAGTGGTTAATTTTGTACACTATTTTGCACATATGCAAGTATATCTATAGGTTAAAATCCACATATTCATAGTATATCTATAGCAGACATTTCAAAGGTAAAAATGCTGAGTGAAAGTAATTTTGACAGGACCTGTCAAATTGTCTTTCACAGTAAACCAACTTCTACTCCCACTGGAATATACAAGGGAACACACTTCCCTACACTCTTGCCCACAAACTTGCCATCACACTTGAATTTACGCCAATCTGATAAGATGAAAATTGGCAGTTGGATATAGTTTTAACTTCATGTCCTTTACTATGATTGAGGTTGAGTATCTTATATGTTTAAGAGCCATTTCAATGTATTTCAATGAAAAAGTTCAGATTCAAGTAATTACCTGCTTGTGTGCCCTTGTTTAACATGTGTACATTCTGCTTGTTGCAAAAAGTAGAGTTCGAGCTCAGGAAACTACTGGCAGAAGAGGAAATAGAGTCAGAAGAAATCACATGGTTTGCCACCTAGAAAAATAAAAGAGATCTTGTTATTATTACCTGCAGTCAATGTCACAGTTACCCACAGGATAAGCAAGCCAACAAGTCCTCTTTCTAATCCAATTCTAACTGTTGAGATGTATTTGGAGGAAGCTTGAGATAATGTGAACATGCTGCCTTGTATCTGTGTTGGGAGAATGTAGTAGTTGGATAGGACTTAAGCTGTTTGTTGTAAGGTGGTAAGACAAAAAAAGCCTGGCTATTTTCACTGGGCCTGGAAAAACTCTGAAGAGAATGCTAGCCAAACATTAGTCTGATGCATCTTCAGAAGGAAATTCTGAAGTGACACTTGCATATAATTTTCATGTGAGATAAGGAGGCCTGGAGATAGCTAAAAAAAGTGATGAACTTCAAAACCACCGGAGGGTTCCAAGATAGCTGAATAGGAATAGCTCCAGTCTACAGCTCACAGCATGAGGGATGCAGAAGATAGGTCATTTCTGCATTTCCAACCGAGGTACGAGGTTCATCTCAATGGGGCTTGTTGGACAGTGGGTGCAGCCCATGGAGTGTGAGCCGAAGCAGGGTGGGGCATCACCTCATCCGGGAAGTGCAAGTGGTAGGGGAATTCCCTTTACTAGCCAAGGGAAGCCGTGACAGATGGTACTTGGAAAATCAGGACACTCATACCCTAACACTGTACCTTTCCAACAGTCTAAGCAAACGGCACACCAGGAGATTATACCCCACGCCTGGCTTGGAGGGTCCCATGCCCACAGAGCCTCACTCACTGCTAGCACAGTAGTCTGAGATCAAACTGCAAGGTGGCAGCGAGGCTGGGGGAGGGGTGTCCGCCAGTGCTGAGGCTTGAGTAGGTAAACAAAGCAGCCGGAAAGCATGAATTGGGTGGAGCCCACCACAGCTCAACAAGGCCTGCCTGCCTCTGTAGACTCCACCTCTAGGGCAGGGCATAGCTGAACAAAAGGCAGCAGAAACTTCTGCAGTCTTAAACATCCCTGTCTGACAGCTTTGAAGGGAGTAGTGGTTCTCCCAGCATGGAGTTTGCCATCTGAGAACGGACAGACTGCCTCTTCAAGTGGGTCCCTGACACCCGAGTACCCTAACTGGGAGACATCTCCCATTAGGGGACAACTTGACACCTCATACAGCTGGGTGCCCCTCTGAGACAAAGCTTCCAGAGGAAGGATCAGGCTGCAACATTTGCTGTACTGCAATATTTGCTGTACTGCAGCCTCCGCTGGTGATACGCAGGTGAACAGGGTCAGGAGTGGAGCTCCAGCAAACTCCAACAGACCTGCAGCTGAGGGTCCTGACTGTTAGAAGGAAAACTAACAAACAGAAAGGACCTCCGCACCAAAACCCCATCTGTACATCACCATCGTCAAAGACCAAAGGTAGATAAAACCACAAACATGGGGAGAAACCAGAGCAGAACAGCTGAAAATTCTAAAAATCAGAGCACCTCTTCCCCTCCAAAGCAACAAAGCTGCTTTCCAGCAATGGAACAAAGCTGGATGGAGAATGACTTTGACGAGTTGACAGAAGTAAGCATCAGATGATTGGTAATAACAAACTTCTCTGAGCAAAAGGAGGATGTTCGAACCCATTGCAAAGAAGCTAAAAACCTTGAAAAAAGATTAGATGAATGGCTAACTAGAATAAACAGCATAGAGAAGACCTTAAATGACCTGATGGAGCTAAAAACCATGGCACGTGAACTATGTGAGAGATGCCCAAGCTTCAGTAGCTGATTCAATCAAGTGGAAGAAAGAGAATCAGTGATTGAAGATCAAATGAATGAAATGAAGTGAGAAGTTTAGAGAAAAAAGAGTAAAAAGAAATGAACAAAGCCTCCAAGAAATATGGGACTATGTGAAAAGACCAAATCTATGTCTGATTGGTGTACCTGAAAGTGATGAGGAGAATGGAACCAAGTTGGAAAACACTCTGCAGGATATTACCCAGGAGAACTTCCCCAGCCTAGCAAGGCAGGCCAACATTCAAATTCAGGAAATACAGAGAATGCCACAAAGATACTCCTCGAGAAAAGCAACTCCAAGACACATAATTGTCAGATTCACCAAAGCTGAAATGAAGGAAAAAATCTTAAGGGCAGCCAGACAGAAAGGTCAGGTTACCCACAAAGGGAAGCCCATCAGACTAACAACTGATCTCTCAGCAGAAACTCTACAAGCCAGAAAGGAGTGGGGGCCAATATTCAACATTCTTAAAGAAAAGAATTTTCAACCTAGAATTTCATATCCAGCCAAACTAAGCTTCATAAGTGAAGGAGAAATAAAATCCTTTACAGACAAACAAATGCTGAGAGATTTTCTCACCACCAGGCCTGTCTCACAAGAGCTCCTGAAGGAAGCACTAAATATGGAAAGGAACAACCGGTACCAGCCACTGCAAACGTATGCCAAATTGTAAAGAACATCAATGCTAGGAAGAAACTCCATCAACTAGCGAGCAAAATAACCAGCTAATATCATAATGACAGGATCAAATTCACACATAACAATATTAGCCTTAAATGTAAATGGCCTAAATGCTCCAATTGAAAGACACAGACTGGCAAATTGGATAAAGAGTCAAGACCCATCAGTATGCTGTATTCAGGAGACCCATCTCATGTGCACAGACACATATAGGCTCAAAATAAAGGCATGGAGGAAGAGCTACCAAGCAAATGGAAAACAAAAAAAGGCAGGGGTTGCAATCCTAGTCTCTGATAAAACAAACTTTAAACCAACAAAGATCAAAAGAGACAAAGAAGGCCATTACATGATGGTAAAAGAATCAATTAAACAAGAAGAGCTAACTATCCTAAATACATATGCACCCAATACAGGAGCACCCAGATTCATAAAGCAAGTCCTTAGAGACCTACAAAGAGACTTAGACTTCCACACAATAATAATTGGAGAATTTAACACCCCACTGTCAACATTAGACAGATCAACGAGACAGAAAGTTAACAAGGATATCCAGGAATTGAACTCAGCTCTGCACCAAGCAGACCTAATAGACATCTATAGAACTCTCCACCCCAAATCAACAGAATATACAGTCTTCTCAGCACCACATCGCACTTATTCCAAAATTGACCACATAGGTGGAAGTAAAGCACTCCTTAGCAAATGTAAAAGAACAGAAATGATAACAAACTGTCTCTCAGACCACAGTGCAACCCAATTAGAACTCAGGATTAAGAAGCTCACTCAAAACCGCTCAACTACATGGAAACTGAACAACCTGCTTCTGAAAGACTACTGGGTACATAACGAAATGAAGGCAGAAATAAAGATGTTCTTTGAAACCAATGAGAACAAAGACACAACATACCAGAATCTCTGGGACACATTTAAAGTAGTGTGTAGAGGGAAATTTATAGCACTAAATGCCCACAAGAGAAAGCAGGAAAGATCTAAAATTGACATCCTAATGTCACAGTTAAAAAAACTAGAGAAGCAACAGCAAATACATTCAAAAGCTAGCAGAAGGCAAGAAATAACTAAGATCAGAGCAGAACTGAAGGAGATAGAGACACAAAAAACCCTTCCAAAAATCAATGAATCCAGGAGCTGGTTTTTTGAAAAGATCAGCAAAATTGATAGACCGCTAGCAAGACTAATAAAGAAGAAAAGAGAGAAGAATCAAATAGATGCAATAAAAAATGATAAAGGGCATATCACCACCGATCCCACAGAAATACAAACTACCATCGGAGAATACTATAAACACCTCTATGTAAATAAACTAGAAAATCTAGAAGAGATGGATAAATTCCTGGACACATACACCCTCCCAAGACTAAACCAGGAAGAAGTTGAATCCTTGAATAGACCAATAACAGGCTCTGAAAATGAGGCAATAATTAATAGCCTATCAACCAAAAAAAGTCCAGGACCAGACAGATTCACAGTTGAATTCTATCAGAGGTACAAAGAGGAGCTGGTACCATTCCTTCTGAAACTATTCCAATCAACAGAAAAAGAGGGAATCCTCCCTAACTCATTTTACAAGGCCAGCATCATCCTGATACCTAGGCCTGGCAGAGACACAACAAAAAAAGAGAATTTTAGACCAATATCCCTGATGAACATTGATGCAAAAATCCTCAATAAAATACTGGAAAACTGAATCCAGCAGCACATCAAAAAGCTTATCCACCATGATCACATTGGCTTCATCCCTGGGATGCAAGGCTGGTTCAACATATGCAAATCAATAAATGTAATCCATCATATACACAGAACCAAAGACAAAAACCACATGATTATCTCAATATATGCAGAAAAGGCCTTCAACAAAATTCAACAGCCCTTCATGTTAAAAACTCCCAATAAACTAGGTATTGATGGGACATATCTCAAAATAATAAGAGCTGTTTATGGCAAACACACAGCCAATATCATACTGAATGGGCAAAAACTGGAAGCATTCCCTTTGAAAACTGGCACAAGACAGAGATGCCCTCTCACCACTCCTATTCAACACAGTGTTGGAAGTTCTGGCCAGGGCAATCAGGCAGGAGAAAGAAATAAAGGGTATTCAATTAGGAAAAGAGGAAGTCAAATTGTCCCTGTTTGCAGATGACATGATTGTAAATTTAGAAAACTCCATTGCCTCAGCCCCAAATCTCCTTAAGCTGATAAGCAACTTCAGCAAAGTCTCAGGATACAAAATCAATGTGCAAAAATCACAAGCGTTCCTATACACCAATAACAGACAAACAGAGAGCCAAATCATGAGCGAACTCCCATTCACAATTGCTTCAAAGAGAATAAAATACCTAGGAATCCAACTTACAAGGGATGTGAAGGACCTCTTCAAGGGGAACTACAAACCACTGCTCAATGAAATAGAAGAGGACACAAACAAATGGAAGAACATTCCATGCTCATGGATAGGAAGAATCAATATTGTGAAAATGGCCATACTGCCCAAGGTAATTTATAGATTCAATACCATCCCCATCAAGCTACCAACGACTTTCTTCGTAGAATTGGAAAAACCTACTTTAAAGTTCATATGGAATCAAAAAAGAGCCCGCATTGCCAAGACAATCCTAAGCCAAAAGAACAAAGCTGGAGGCATCACGCTACCTGACTTCAAACTATACTACAAGGCTACAGTAACCAAAATAGCATGGTACTGGTAACCAAAACAGAGATATAGACCAATGGAACAGAACAGAGCCCTCAGAAATAATGCCACACATCTACAACCATCTGACCTTTGACAAACCTGATAAAAACAAGAAATGGGGAAAGGATTCCCTATTTAATAAATGGTACTGGGAAAACTGGCTAGACATATATAGAAAGCTGAAACTGGATCCCTTCCTTACAGCTTATACAAAAATTAATTCAAGATGGATTAAAGACTTAAATGTCAGACTTACCACCATAAAAACTCTAGAAGAAAACCTAGGCAATACCATTCAGGACATGGGCATGGGCAAGGACTTCATGACTAAAACACCAAAAGCAATAACAACAAAAGACAAAATAGACAAATGGGATCTAATTAAACCAAAGAGCTTCTGCAGAGCAAAAGAAACCACCATCAGAGTGAACAGGCAACCTACAGAATGGGAGAAAATTTTTACAATCTACCCATCTGACAAAGGGCTAATATCCAGAATCTACAACGAACGTAAACAAATTTACAAGAAATAAATCAAACAACCCCATCAAAACTAGGCAATGGATATGAACAGACACTTCCCAAAAGAAGACATTTATGCAGCCAACAGACACATGAAAAAATGCTCATCATCACTGCCCATCAGAGAAATGCAAATCAAAACCACAATGAGATACCATCTCGCAACAGTTAGAATGGTGATCATTAAAAAGTCAGGAAACAACAGGTGCTGGAGAGGATATGGAGAAATAGGAACACTTTTACACTGTTGTTGGGACTGTAAATTAGTTCAACCATTGTGGAAGACAGTGTGGTGATTCCTCAAGGATCTAGAACTAGAAATACCATTTGACCCAGCCATCCCATTACTGGGTATATACCCAAAGGATTATAAATCATGCTACTATCAAGACACATGCACACGTATATTTATTGTGGCACTACTCACAATAGCAAAGACCTGGAACCAACCCAAATGTCCATCAATGACAGACTGGATTAAGAAAATGTGGCACATATAGACCATGGAATACTATGCAGTGATAAAAAAGGATGAGTTCACGTCCTTTGTAGAGACATGGATGAAGCTGGAAACCATCATTCTGAGCAAACTATCGCAAGGATAGAAAAACAAACACCTATGTCACTCATAGGTGGGAATTGAACAATGAGAACACTTGGACACAGGATGGGGAACATCACACAGTGGGGCCTGTTGTGGGGTGGGGGGAGGGGGGAAGGATAGCATTCGGAGATATACCTAATGTAAATGACCAGTTAATGGATGCAGCACACCAACATGGCACATGTATACATATGTAACAAACCTGCACGTTGTACACATGTACCCTAGAACTTAAAGTATAATAATAATAAAAAAGAAATATTTTAAATGATTTAAATATCTGTTATTAGGGAACTAATTAAACAGTATAAGTATACAATGGAACTCATAAAGCAATAAAAAAGACTACATAAATCTGTATTTCACACAGAAAGATGTCTATTATGATATATTAAATGAACAGTTTCAAAACAAACAAAAGTTGAAAATAAGACTTTCAAATCACCTGGTATAATTCCATTTTTTAAAATAAAACAAGGTATGTGAATCATAAAATATAAAACTGGAAGATTATATATAAAATGTTAATCAGGACTATTTCAGGATGGGGAGAATTACGGATGAATTACAAGGCCTTTTTATTTTCTATGTTGTTGAACTCTTTATATTTAACTATCCTTTTATCTTTATACTTAATAAAAGATTACATATTTGGTAATAAAGAGAAAGATGTAAGGCAGTAGAAACATCAACAGAAGCCATCCTGTCACACTTGTCCTCCCCAGTCCATGTGAGGAATGACTAAAGCATGGTTCCAGTGAAGAGGAAGCAGCCTATAGATACAGAGAAGCTGAGTAAATAGGAGAGAGAGAAACACTGAGAAAACAGGTGATGGATTTTAGGAAATAGACAGGTATAATGAATCTCCTCTTCCATGACTGAAATATACAAACAAACAAAACATGAAAAGAATCTTCAGAATCCAGAGAAGGGGCTCAACTCATATCACAAATTTAGAGCTAATACACAGTTCTTTCTCCACAAAGGATCATACATACAGAGGGTGAAAGGTGAGTCATTACATTCAAAATACCCTACGGATAGCCCACTTTTGACAGAAAAGGTGACTAAGGTAAGAGATAAACTTCTCAACTAGAGACATGCAACCCTGTTTAAAAAAGAAAACAGCATTTCTGCCCCAGCTTGAATGAAGATTAATCATATACTCCTTCTAGCCAGAAAGAAATCAGAAAAATGTCTAGAAAATTATCTCTTAGATCTGAATAGCTTAGCTGCATTATGAAGATTTGCTAGAAAAAAAATCAGGCCCAGCAATATTACTGTACACTAGGAAGCCACCAAAGCAGCCAACAGCCACCTTAAAGAAGTACAAAAGCAAAACCTCAAGGGCACGTCCCATAGAACTAGGTATTTCCCTTACCCTGCAATTGCTAAAGCAGCCATCAGTTTGTGAGTTTTAAAACAATCGCAGAGAAAAATGTCACTTCAGGAGGTTGCACAGAGTCCTAGAATCACCTACTCCCTCTCTGGCTTCTCCAAGCTCCAAGGAACAAAATTAATACAAACCACACACAATTACCAGTCATGTCCTGGGAAGGGGATTCAAACAGCAACTTATAAACATGTATAAGGCAGTTAAAGAGAATTCAACCACATTACTATGGGCAACTAAATGGTTTCCATAGTGAGTGAGAGCCCCTGGGGGATCTACACTTCCTGCGGGGACCTGTGCAATCCTGGGATGGGAGATTCCTCCTGACCCCCAGGCATATAGACTGATACAGGGAGCTGCCTGCCCAGAGTGTATAAGGAGGCAACACTCAAGTCCACAAGGGACCTCCATAGGCCTTGGACCCCAGAGCAGCCTGGTAGATGCACAAAACATCTTCCATGAAATCCAACACCCCTTCATGATAAAAACCCTTAACAGACAAGGCATTGAAGGAACACACCTCAAAATAATAAGAGCTTTCTATGACTAACATAGAGCCAACATCATACTGAATAGGCAGAAGTTGGAAGTATTCCCCTTGAGAACTGGAACAAGACAAGGATGCCCATTCTCACCACTTCTAGTACTGAAAGTCTGAGCCAGAGCAATTATGGAAGAGAAAGAAGTGAAAGGCATCCAAATAGGAAAACAAGATGTCAAACTATCTCTCTTTGCTGATGATATGAGTTACATAGAATACCCTAAAGACTCCACCAAAAGCCTCCTGGACCTGATGAACAAATTATTAAAGTTTCAGGATACAAAATCAGTAGCATTTCTCTACATCAGTAACGTTCTAGCTGAGAACCAAATGAAGAACACAATCCCATTTACAATAACCACAAAAAATGAAATACCTAATCAAGGAGGTGAAAGATCTCTACAAGGAGAACTATAAAACATTGCTGAATGAAATCAGAGATGACAAATAAATGGAAAAAAATTCCATGCTTATGGATGAGAAGAATCAATATTATTGTTAAAATGGCCACACTTCCCAAAGCAATTTACAGATTCAATGCTATCCCTATCAAAATAGCATATCATTTTTCACAGAATTAGAAAAATGTATTCTAAAATTCATTTGGAACCAAACAAGAACCCAAATAGTCAAAGCAATCCCAAGCAAAAACACCAAAGCCAAAGGCATCACATTACCCAACTTAAAACTCCACTGTAAGGCTACAGTAACCAAAACAGCATGGTACCGGTACAAAAACAGACAAATAGACCAATGGAACAGAGTAGAGAACTCAGAAATAAACCTGCACACCTACAACCATCTGACCTTCAAAAAATTGGCAAAAATAAGCAATGAAGAAAGAACTCTGTATTCAATAAATGGTGCTGGGATAACTGGCTAGCCATATGCAGAAGAAACTGGACCCTTACCTCTCACTATATTTAAAAAAATCAAGGTACATTAAAGATTTAAATGGAGGACCTCAAACTACAAAAATCCTAGCAGAAAACCTAGGAAATACCCTTCTCAATATTGGCTTTGGAAAATAGTTTATGGCTAAGTCCTGAATAGCAATTGTAACAAAATAAAAAAATTGATGATTGGTACCTAATTAAACCAAAGAGCTTCTGTACAGTAAAATAAATGATCAATCAAGAGACAACTCACAGAATGGGAGAAAATATTAGGAAATTATGCATCCAACAAATCTCTAATGTCCAGAATCTGTAAGGAAATGTAAAAATTTAAAAAGCAAAAATCAAATAATTCCATTTGTAAAAATGGGCAAAGGGGCTGGGCACGGTGGCTCACACCTGTAATCTCAGCACTTTGGGAGGCCAAGGTGGGAAGATCAATTGAGGCCAGGAGTTCAAGACCAGCCTGGCCAATATGGCGAAACCCCATCTCTACTAAAAATTTAAAAAATTAGCTGGCCAATATGGCGAAATCCCATCTCTACTAAAAATTTAAAAATTAGCTGTAATCCCAGCTACTCAGGAGGCTGAGGCACAAGAATTGCTTGAACCTGGGAGGCGGAGGTTGCAGTGAGCCAAGATCGTGCCACTGCACTACCGCCTAGGTGACAGAGTGAGACCCTTTCTCAAAAAAAAAAAAAAAAAAAAAAAAGTAGGGGGAGCAAAGAACAGGAAGACACTTCTCAAAAGCAGATGTACAAGCAGCTGACAAACATGAAAAAATGCTCAACATCACCATTCATCAGAGAAATACAAATCAAAACCACAATGAGATAACATCTCACACCAGTCAGAATTCTGATTATTAAAAAGTCAAAAAATAACAGATGCAGTCAAGGCTGCAGAGAAAAGGGAATGCTTATACACTGTTGGTAGGAATGCAAACTGGTTCAGCCATTGTATAAAGCAGTTGGGAGATTTCTCAAAGAACTGAAAAAGAACCACTGTTCAACCCAGCGATCCCACTACTGGGTATATATTCGAAGGAAAAGAATTCATTCTGTCAAAAAATCTCATGTACTCACATGCTCTTTCCCGCACTATTCATAATAGCAAAGACATGAAATCAACCTAGGTGGCCACCAACAGTGGATGGATAAAGAAAATGTAGTGTATATACACCACGAAATACCGTGCAGACATAAAAATAAAATAAAATCATGCCCTTTGCAGCAGCATGGATGGAGCTGGAGGCCATTATCCTAAGCCAATTAATGCAAGAACAGAAAACCAAATACTGCATGTTCTCACTTACAAGCGGGAGCTGAACACTGAATATACATAAAGATGAGAATAATACAAAGTGAGGACTTCTAGATGGGAGGAAAGGAGGAGGGAATGGGCTGAAAAACCACCGATTGGGTACTATGCTCACCACCTGGGTGATGGGATTATTTATACCCCAAACCTCAGTGTCAAGCAATATACCCATGTAATAAATGTGCACATGTGTCCTTTAATCTATAATAAAAATTGAAATTATTTTAAAAAGGAATTAGAAAAAGATGAGCTCTACGTAACTAAAGTTCTATGTAACTAAAACAAAAATAAGTAGAAGGAGGGAAATGCTAAATGTTAGAATGGAAATAAATAAAACAGAGATTAGGAAAATGCAAGAGAAAATTAAAGAAACCAAGTTTGGTCTTTGAAAACATCAACAAAAACTGAAATCTTTAGCTAGATTCACCAAGGAAAAACCGAAGACTCAAATCACTAAAATTAAGAATGGATGAGGGGATACTATGAACAATCATATACCAAGATATTAGACAACCTAGATTAAGTAGACAAATTTCTAGATAAAGAAATGATCAAAATCGATTCAAGAAGAAATAAAAAATCTCAGTAGGCTTATAATGAGAAAAGACTGAGTTAATAATCAGAAAACTTCTCCAAAAGTAAAGCTTGGACCAAGCTTCACTGATAAGTTCTGCCAAATATTTAAAGAAGAGGTAACACCAATTATTCACAATCTCATACAAAAAACATAATCAGAAGGATCACTTCTTGATTCCTTCTATGTAGGCCAGTATTATCCTGATATCAAAGGCAGACGAAGATATCACAGAACTGCAGACCAATATCCCTTGTGACTACAGATGTAAAATACTACAAAAATACTAGCTCACTGAATCCAAGAAGACAGAAACGGGATTACACATCAAAACCAAGTGGGATTTATCTCAGGAATGCAAGGTTGGTTTATCATATGAATAAATCAATATAATGCACCATATTAATAGAATAAAGGGAAAACATATAATCAGCTCAATAGAAATAGAAAAGGCTTCTGGCAAAATAAAAAACCCTTTCATGGTAAAAACACTCAACAAACTAGGAATGGAAGGGAACTTCCTCAACCTGTTAAAGGGCATCTACAAATAACTCATCCCTCATATTATGCTTAATGACTGTCAAGCTTTCCCTTTTAAGATTAGGAACAAGACAAGGACATCCATTCTTGCCACTTCTATTCAACATAGTTCTGGAGGTTCAAACAAAGGCAATCAGCAAAGAAAAAGAAAAAATAGCATAAGATTAGAAAGAAAAACCATCTCTATTTGAAGATGACATGGTATTCTATATAGAAAATCCTAAGGCACACATATACACACACAAATTATTAGAGCTGATAAACAAGTTCAGCAAGCTTGTACAATCTATGATCAATGTAAGAAAAATCAGTTGTATTTCTATACACTAGCAGTAAACAACCTAGAAATGAAATTAGGAAAACAAATTCATTTACAATGGCATTAGAAAGAAGAAAATATATAGAAATACATTTAATGACAGATGTGCCGAACTGCAAAGAAGTAAAAACTATAAACATTGTTGAAAGAAATGAAAGAAGACTTAACTAAATGGGAATAGATCCCATGTTCATAGATTAGAAGTCTTAATATTTTTAAGATGTCAGTACTCCCCAATTCCAACTATAGATTCAATGACATCCCTACCAAGATTCATGCTGCCTTTTATTTTTTTTCAGAGACTGGCAAGCTGATCTTAAAGTTCACAGAACCCATAAATAGCTAAAGCAATTTTATAAAAGAAAAACAAAGTTGGAGGACTCACACATCAAAATTTACCACAAGAACACCACAACAAGACGGTGTGGTGGTGGCATTTGCAGAGACATATGGATCAATGAAATAGAATTAAGAGTCTAGAAATAAACTCTTACATTTATGGTCAATTAATTTTTGGCAAAGGACCCCAGACAATTTAATGGAAGAAAGAATAGTCTCTGCAACAAATGGTGCGGGGTCAACTGGATATCCATATGCAAAAAATGAAACTGTATCCCCTGCCTCACATTACATACAAAAATTAGCTAAAAAATGATCATAGACCCTAATTTAAGAGCTAAAATTATAATACTCTTAGAAAAAAGCAAAGAAGTAAACTTTTTTTGTGTGTGATGTTGGGTTAGGCAATAGTTTTAAACACAACATGAAAAACACAAATGACAAAAGTAGATAAATTGGACTTTGTCAAAACTAAAAATTTTGTACTGCAAATGATACCATCGAAAGTGAAAAGCATCCCAAAGAATGGGAGACATGTTTTCAAATTACATAGTGAATAAGGGACTGCTGTTCAGAATATATGGAGAACACGTCGAACCCAATAATAAAAGAACAAAAATAAGCCAATTTAAACATGAGCATAGGATCTGAATAGAAATTTCTGCAAAGAAGATATTCAAATGGCTAATAGGCACTTAAAAAGGTGCTTCTCATTATTAGTCATTAGAGAAATGCAAATCAAAACCACAATGAGATGACACTTCACACTCATTAGGATGGTTATAATCAAAAATCAGAAAATAACAATTATTGACGAGGACGTGGAAATACTGAAACCCTAATATGATCCTGGTGGAAATATAACGCGGCACAGCCACTTTGGAAAACAGTTGGGGAGTTACTCAAAGGTTAAACAGAGAGTTACCATATGACCCAGCTGTTCTACTCCTACGTATATATCCAAGAGAACTGAAAAAATTATGTCCACACAAAAACGTGTACACAATCTATAACAATTTATAACAGCATTATTTGTGAAAGTAAAAAAGTACAAACAACCCAAGTATCCATCCATTCATGAATATATAAATAAAATGTTGTAAATCCACGTAACGGATTTTATTCTGCAAACCAAAAAATGAAGTACTGATATACGCTACAACCTTAAAAATATCATGTTAAGTCAAAGAAGCTAGATACAAAAAGCCACATATTTTACAATTCCATTTATGTGGAATGTCTCATATAGGCAAACCCATAGAGACAGAAAGTAGATTAGTGGTTGCCAGGGCGAGGCGGGGGTGCAAGAACAAGGGTAATGGGAGGTAACTGCTAATGGGCACACGGTTTCTTTTTGGGGAGACAAAAATGTTCAGGAATTAGGGGTGAAGGATGTATAACTTTCTGAATATACAAAAACATGCTGAATTATATACTAAAAAAGAATTGTATGGAATGTGAATTTTATCTCAATTAATAAAAAAACAGAGCTTGACCTACATTGAGACATACCCTAGAAAAGTAACTAGACTTAAAATCTTTTTTTTTTATTTTGTTCAATTTTTTTTTAATTATACTTTAAGTTTTAGGGTACATGTGCACATTGTGCAGGTTAGTTACATATGTATACATGTGCCATGCTGGTGCGCTGCACCCACTAACTCGTCATCTAGCATTAGGTATATCTCCCAATGCTACCCCTCCCCCCTCCCCCCACCCCACAACAGTCCCCAGAGTGTGATATTCCCCTTCCTGTGTCCATGTGATCTCATTGTTCAATTCCCACCTATGAGTGAGAATATGCGGTGTTTGGTTTCTTGTTCTTGCGATAGTTTACTGAGAATGATGATTTCCAATTTCATCCATGTCCCTAAAAAGGACATGAACTCATCATTTTTTATGGCTGCATAGTATAAAATCTTAAAAACCTACAAGAATCCACGAATAAGTAAAGCTAGTCAATGTAGTAATACTACTACAATGAGCTGACACAAAATCCACAAAATATAACCATTATTGGTTAGTTGGGGGAATGTCTGTATGTGGGGGCACAGGTGGGGAGAAGTGCAGTCACTTTCTTAATTTTTCATATGATAGAGTCAACAGATACTGTTTCGTGTCTGAGAGTGATAGATTGAGAAAGTGGTTGAAGGATATTAGTTAATTAGATTACATGGCCGCTAAGTTATCAGAAAAACAGCTCAAAGAAACATATATTATGGCCGGGCATGGTGGCTCACGCCTGTAATCCCAGCACTTTGGGAGGCTGAGGCAGGCAGATCACGAGGTCAGGAGTTCAAGACCAGCCTGACCACCATGGTGAAACCCCATCTCTACTAAAAATACAAAAATTAGCCGGGCATGGTGGCACATGCCTGTAATCCCAGCTACTCAGGAGGCTGAGGCAAGAGAATAGCTTGAACCCGGGAGGTGGAGGTTGCAGTGAGCCAAGATCATGCCCCTGTACTCCAGCCTGGGTAACAGAGCGAGACTCAATCTCCAAAAATAAAATAAAATAAGAAGCATATATTACATAGTAATGAACAAAAAAGATTGGAAATGGCAAGAAATCAGTAAAAATCATAAGACATCCTGAACAGCCAAAACAATTTTGAAAGAGAACAACAATGTTGGAGGACTCACATTTCCTGATTTTAAAACATATTACTGGCTGGGCACGGCGTCTCAGACCTGTAATCTCAGGACTTCTGGAGACCAAGACTGGGGGATCACTTGAGCCCAGAAATTTGATATCAGACTGGGAAACACAGTGAGACCCCATCTCTACAAAAAACAAACAAACCAAAATAATCAACAACAACCGAAAACCCAAACATATTACCAAAGGTGCAATAATCAAAATAGTGTGATAGTAGCATAAAGACAGACGAATAGACCAACGAAATATGATAAAGTGCCTACAAATAAACTCTCACATATGGTCAAATGATTTTTTTTTTTTTTTTGAGGCAAGGTCTTGCTCTGTCGCCCAGGCTGGAGTGCAGTGGCACGATCTTGGCTCTCTGCAACCTCTGCCTCCTGGGTTCAAGTGATTCTCCTGTCTCAGCCTCCTGAGTAGCTAGGACTACAGATGTGCGCCACCACACCCAGCTAATTTTTTGTATTTTTAGTAGAGACAGGGTTTCACCATGTTGGCCAGGCTGGTCTTGAACTCCTTACCTCAGGTGATCCACCCACCTCGGCCTCCCAAATTGCTGGGATTACAGGTGTGAGCCACTGTCCCTGGCCAAAATGATTTTTGACAAGGGTGCCAAGACCACTCAATGGGAAAAGAACAGATTTTTCACAAATGATGCTTGGAAACCTGGACATTCACATGCAAAAGAATGAAGTTGGACTCTAGTCTTATGTAAAAAAATTAACTCAAAATGGATTAAAGACCTATGTGTAAGGCCTAAAACTATCAAAGTCTTGGAAGAAAACATAGAGGAAAGGCTTTGTGACATTGAATATGGCAGTGCTTTCTTGAATATGACACCAAAAGCACAGGCAACAAAAGCAAAAATAGACAAATGGGACCACCAGGCTTAAGTTGTGCCTCAGGGGATGCATTCAACAGAGTAAAAGACAACCTACGGATTGGGAGAAAATATTTGCAACTCATGATTCTGATATACAGAATACACAAATAACTCTCAGAATTCAACAATGACAACAAAATCAATAACCTGACCAAAAATGGGCAAAGGAATTGAATAGACATTTCTCCAAAGTTGATATACAAATGGCCAACAAGCATGTGAAAAGATGCTCTATATCGCCAATCATCAGAGCAATGCAAATCAAAACAACAATGAAATATCACCTCACACCCACTAGGACGGTCATTATAAAAAAAAAAGAAAATAACAAGTATTGGTGAGGATGTAGATAAAATGGGTCTCATGTGTGCTGTTGGTGGCAATGTAAAATGGCACAACTGCTCTGGAAATCAGTATTGAGATTCCTCCAAAGGTGAAACTTAGAACTACCATTTGATTCAGTAATCCCTCTTCTGAGTATGTCTCCAAAAGCACAGTAAGCAGGGACTTAAAAAGCTAACAGCATACCCATGCTCACAGCAGCACAACTCACAATAGGCAAATGTGGAAGCAACACAGATGCCCATCCACTGAGGAATGGATACATAAATGTGGCACACACAACCCACGGAAAATTATCCTGACTTAAAAAGGGAGGAAATCCTGTCACATGCTACAACATGGATGAATCTTAAGGATCTTATGCTAAGTGAAATGAGTCAGTCACTAAAGGGTAGATATTTTATTTCTCTTATCACACAAAATCAGGAATTAAAAGATATTTCTTATCTTCCAAACTTGGTATCGACAAATTCACAGAGACAGAAAGTAGAATGGTGGTTACCAGAAGCTGGGGGAGGAGGACAAGGGAAGTTGTTATTCAATGGGTATAGAGTTTCAGGTTTGCAATATTCAAATGTTCTGGAGATCTGTCTCACAACAATGTGAATATATTTAACATTACTGACCTGTACACTTAAGAATGCTTAAGATGGTAAACTTTATGTTAGGTGTTTTTTACTCCTTCCCACCGTTTGAAATGGAATTTAGTTTAACAAACATTAACTTAATAAGTTTACCAGAAAAGGAAAAAAAAACAAAAAGGGAAATGATAAAATTTAAACCAAACATATTTGTTACAACAATGAACTTAAGTTGAACTCACTTCAAAAAAAGACCTTCAAATTGGGTGGGGGAAAAAAGTTAAATTCAAGTAGGTGCTACTTCCACTTGAGTGAAGTGACTCAGAAAAGCCAAAAGTAAAAGGATGGACAAAGAGCAATGGTACAAATCCACATTTAATAAAACTGTATTGGATGAAGTAGAATAAAAGGCAAAACATATTCAAAATGTAAAATAAAAGTTACTTTATATGATTTATGGTATGATTCACAGTGAAAAAAGTGTCATTAATATTCATGTCATTAATATTTATGTGCCGAAAATAAAAATATATATAACCAGGCCGGGTGCTGTGGCTCATGCCTGTAATCTCAGCACTTTGGGAAGCCGAGGTGGGTGGAACGCTTGAGGTCAGGAGTTTGAGACCATCCTGGCCAACATGGTGAAACCCCATCTCTACTAAAAATACAAAACTTAGCCGGGTGTGGTGGTGCACACCTATAGTCCAAGATACTCAGGAGGCTGTGGCAGGAGAATCGTTTGAATCCAGGAGGCAGAGGTTGCAGTAAGTCGAGATCACGCCACTGCCCTCCAACCTGGGTGACAGAGGCAGATTCCTTCTCAAAAAAAAAAAAAAAAAAAAAAAAAAAAAATATATATATATATATATATATAAAACCATTCAATTAACAAAAGCTATATTCAATTAACTTAAAATATACTCTTTGAAGTTCTCGACAGATTAAGAAAATCAATATTCAGGAAGAATATAATTTAATTAATAAAATGATTTAATAGATGTATATTAAGAAATGCATTGTTAGGTGATTTCATTGTTGTGTGAACATCACAGCGTATGCTTACTCAAACCTAGATGGTACAGCCTACTACACATCTAGGCTATAAGGTATAGCCTATTGCTCCTAGGCTACAAACCTGTACAGCATGTTACTCTACTGACTATTGTAGGTAATTTTAACACAGTGGTAAGTATTTGTGTATCTAAAATATCTACATAAAGAAAAGGTGTAGGAAAAATATACTATTTTAATCTCATGGGACTGCTATCATTTATATGTTCTGTGGCTGACTGAAATGTTGTGTGGAATCTGACAGTGACTGGAATGTCATACTCTATTTGGAAACTCTACCTTCTTTAAAACACCCATGGATTACTTATATTTAGCCACAAAGAAAATCTCTATGTATCCTTAAAACACAAATAGAACACAGTACAATCTCTAATCACAATACATTAAAATTATAACTTAATAAGTAGTGACAATAAATCCAACATGGAATTAGCAAAAAAAAAACTCTTATATGTCTTTTGAATTAAATAGAAAATCCAAAGCTACAGTTACATAACATCTAGAAAGTAATACCAATAAGAATACTAATAGGTACTAATATACTGGGTATATACACCTGATTTCCACTTCCATATCTAGAAAACTGGATACTATATTGCTCCCCGCCTTATGGTAAGACAACAACAATGGCAAAGGGGTAGAAATGGCAAGTTCTTAACTTTTCTGAAAGCCAGCAGCAAGTTGAGGAGTGGAGGGAAGAGAGCGTGAGGCAGGCTTGGTATTGATTGTGCCTTGGCCCCAGGCCTGCTCTAAGGGCAGCCTGCTCTGCCCAGGTCCTTTCAGGTTCCAACAACTCTCCCTCCTCCTCAGGGCTATGGGTTCCTGTGCCATCCTTGTTGCTCCCCTCTACCCATCTACACTTTCATAATTAGTCCTTTGATTACCTATATCTACGAAGCTACTTGAAATGTTGGGACCTGATATCTTCTGTAGAGAATTTGTTAAAAGGTTAGGTTAAAGAACGTGTCCTCTCTGAAGAGCTAGGACCACCATCCTCGGATTTCTGGACATCTAACCAAGGATGACCTATCTGTCTACTTTCATTCTGCTTCATATGATAAGTCCAGGGCACTGATCTGATGTTGGGTTATTGATGAGAGATTGGGGGAGATGATATCCTTTCCAGGAGCCTATGTTAAATGAGTCTGAATCGATTTTTCTCTTCCTCTGAGACTCCCAGAATGTATTGGCCCTGGATTGTCCACCTTCCGCCTCACTGGCCCCTTTCCAGGCTGGGCTGGTCCAGTGGAGGAGTGATCTTCCCGGATGCAGGCATGGGGTGGCACTGACACGCTGCTCTGAAACCTGACAGCTCTGGGAATAACAGTGACTCCAACAATACAATGATTTATTATAATCAGGTTCATAGAGGCAATAGAAAGACAAAATAGTTTATCAGGGTAGTTGAACTGTTAATTTCTAGTCTAATTAACTATGATAAGTTAATTATTAAGTAAGCAACAAATGGCAGCAATACAAGTGCTTAATGAGAAATGCAAAGGCTTCCAAGGAGGGAGGGACTGGGACCAGATTCATCTGGTTGGGTGGTCAGAAGTGGACGGAGCAGGTAGCACTAAACTGGATCTTGAAGAAGGAACAGAGCCTTAGTCACATATGGGAATTTGGTCAAGGGTGTCCTGACCACTGGCAACAGGATGGGGGTGATGGGGCCTTACTGGTGAATCTTATGCGCCTCCACACAGAGCTGCTTCTCTGGGCTTGTGAGGCTTTATGTGAATTTCAGACTCACTAAACACTTGTCAAATCCCTGCCTGCAGGGTCAGCATGCTGTACTGAAAAAGTAAAACAGTGCAGGCTTTGGAGTCAGAGCTACCTTAGGTTTGAGCTTTCACTTCCCATATGGGGCCGTGGAGAGGAAACCTCAGGTTTCTGGACCTCAGTTTCCCATTTGCCAAATGGGGATGTTAATAATACCAACCTTAGCTCCAAGGCTGTTAACATGAAATTGCACAACATGGGAAGCCCTCTTTCTCACAGTGCTGGGCATCTAATAACTTCTTGGTAAAAAAACAGCTATTGCTTCTTCCCTTTATGTTCTAGGCAGTAGTGCTGAGGCAGGCAGTGGAGTAAAATAAGGTTCACTGCTGGTGGGAAAGTAAACTACAGCTGACACTTTGGAAGACAGTTTGGCATTTCCTCAAAATGTTAAACAGGATTAAAATATGAACCAGCAATTTTGCTCCTAGGTATACATCGAAAGAATTGATAATAGGTATTCAAATAACTGCTTGTACCTGAATGTTCACAGCAGCACCATTCACAATAACCAAAACGTAGAAACAACCTTAATGTCCATCAATGAATGAATGGATAAACAAAGTGCAGTATAAACATACATGGAATATTATTGAGCCCTAAAAAGGAATGAAGTACTGATGCATGATGCAATACGAATGAATTTTGAAAACATCAGCTGAAAGAAGCCACACATAAAAGGTCAGATATTGTACAATTCCATTTATATGAAGTATCCACAATAAATAAATCCATAGAGACAGAAAGCAGATTAGGTTGCCAGGGACTGGGGAGAGAGGGAAATAAGGGGGAACCACTTAATGAATAAGGAATTTCCTTTTGCGGTGATAAAAATGATTTGGAACAAGAAAGGGGTGGTCGTTGCACAATATTGTGAATGTACTAAATGCCACTGAATTGTGCACATTAATAGGATTAATTGAAATAATAAAATAAAACCGAACACGGGTCTTACCTTTAGGAGCTCACAATCATAACTGAGTCCCTTTAGACTCCCAAGATTCAGTTTCACTGTCTGAAAGCAGGGCCAAGTGCCTAGAATGTGCAAAGACCTTCAGAGTTTATCTTTTATGCAGAGAATCCCCCACAATTCCTCTTTTCAGAGGTAACTGCTACCAACATTTGGTGGAACCACTCAGACTTTTCTCTCTGCATGCTTGTTTGTGGATATCATTTTTCAATACCATTTTTCCAAAAATAAATCCAAACATATTGTTTTATAATCTTTTCTTGCTTGGTGCTATAGTTGGGCAATGTTTTTCATGTCAGTAAACCCTCATCAGCATTGGTCATGGCTGTGAGGTACTGTGCTACAGAAATAGAGCAGGATTTATTCAGCCAGTCCCCTCTTGTTGCACTTTCGGTTGCTTCTATGACAATAAACTTTACAGTGATAAACATCCTTATGCAAACATCTTTGCACATTTGACCAGTTACTTTCTTGAGCTCTAACCCTAGAAGTTGAATTTCGATCAAGTCTTTTCAAAGGACTTTGAGGTCGAGCAGGGTGGCTCACTCCTGAAATCTCAGTGCTTTGGGAGGCTGAGGTGGGAAGACTGCTTGAGCCCAAGGATTAGGGACCAGCCTGGGCAATATAGCAGGACCCCGTCTCTAAAAAAAACTTTTTTTTTAATTAGCCAGATGTGGTGGTGGGTGCCTGTAGGCCCAGCTACTTGAGAGGAGGACAAGGGCCGAGGCTCACTTGAACCTGTAAGCTTGAGGTTACAGTGAGTTATGACTCTGCCACTGCGCTCTGGCCTGAGCAATGGAGCGAGACTCTGTTTTGATTTAAAAAAAGGATTTTGACATGCTGTGTAATGATTCTCCAGCATGGATCTCCCATTTCAGTATTCCGTCAAAAGTGTGTGTGTCTGCACATTTCTTTGTGCTTGTCCTATATTAGCTCATACCATTCTTTTAATTCTTTACAATGATAGGTAAAACCTGGATATTAATTTGATTTTTATTTATTTGATTTCTAGTGAGTTTTTTTGTATATTCTTTTTTGCACAGTTTTAAAATATATTCATAAACCATATTTGCTTCTTCTTTAAAAAATTCTCCATTCTTATCCGGAGTCCATTCTATCCATTTGGCATTTTTTTCCTATTAATTATTAGGAAGGAAATATGAACTTTTCTGTTTTGAGGAAAACTTCCATTTGAGGAACACTCAAAATGAAAGCTTGAAAAAGAACCATCAAAGAGGGAAAGACAGACCAGGAGAGAAGGGGATAGGAAATGAAGAGCCATGTGTTAAAGCAGCTGGGTGGCTGCTGGACCCAGAAGCCTCCTCAGTTGACATTATTTGCCTGACTCTTAGTTGCTCTGCTAGGAGCCAGTCTCTTGCACATCTCTGCTCTGATCTTATTTCCCTTACATCTAAGCTCTTGGACTGACTCCAGTGCCTTAGTTCATACGGTCTGTTATAACACAATTATCATAAACTGGTAAACACTTTACATTTAGCTTGTAAACAGAAATTTATTTCTCATAGCTCTGAAGGCTGGGAATCCAAGATCAAAGTGCCAGTAGATTTATGTCTGGTGAGGACCTGTTCCTCATAAATGGCGGTTTTTGTGTATCCTCATATGGCGGAAGGGGCAAACAAGCTCCTTTGGGTCTTTCTGTAAGGGCACTGATCCCATAGGTGAAGACTTCATCCTCACGACCTAATCACCTCCCAAGATCCCACCTCTGAATACCATCACCTTGGGGATGAGGTTTCAGCATAGGAGTTTAGGGGGGACATATTCAGACCATAGCACCCAGGTACCGCAAGCAGCTTTATGAATGCAGGAACTCCCTTAGCGTTCAGCATGTTTGAGGACTATAAAGCATTACTGGTACTTGGCAGTTAGGAAACCCCTGGTGATCTTACCAAGGGTGGTTTTAGAGGGTCCGTGGAGCCAGCAGCCAGCAGTGAGGAGTGGAAATGAGGGGGCTCTATGTGGAGGTCAGACTGCTCTTCTGGGCTTACTGTGAGTGACAGCACCACTTGGAGGTAATGGAGGTGAAAGAGCTGCACTGGCCACCTTTGGAGTGGAGCCTGGGGACAGTGTGAGTGAGTCTTCCCTCCAATTAGCAGCTTCCTTCCTGTGCATGTCCGAGTGTAAGGGGTGCTTTCTATGGGGTATAGAAGAATGCTGGGTTATAGATAAGGATGGAGTGTTGGGCAGTTCCAAGATGAGCGAATAGGAACAGCTCCAGTCTACAGTTCCCAGCATAAGCGACGCAGAAGACGGGTGATTTCTGCATTTCCAACTGAGGTACCAGGTTCATCTCACTGGGACTTGTCAGACAGTGGGTGCAGGACAGTGGGTGCAGCCCACTGAGCATGAGCCGAAGCAGGGCAAGGCATCGCCTCACCCAGGAAGTGCAAGGGGTCAGGGAATTCCCTTTCCTAGCCAAGGGAAGCTGTAACAGACAGCACCTGGAAAATCAGATCACTTCCACCCCAATACTGCGCTTTTCCAATGGTCTTAGCAAACACTACACCAGGAGATTATATCCCGCGCCTGGCTTGGAGGGTCCCACGCCCACAGTGCCTCGCTTTTTGCTAGCACAGCAGTCTGAGATCGAACTGCAAGGTGGCAGCGAGGCTGGGAGAGGGGCGCCCATCATTGCTGAGGCTTGAGTAGGTAAACAAAGCAGCCAGGAAGCACGAACTGGGTGGAGCCTACCGCAGCTCAAGGAGGCCTGCCTGCCTCTGTAGACTCCACCACTGGGGGCAGGGCATAGCTGAACAAAAGGCAGCAGAAACCTCTGCAGACTTAAATGTCCCTGTCTGACAGCTTTGAAGAGAGTAGTGGTTCTCCCAGCATGGAGTTTGAGATCTGAGAATGGACAGACTGCCTCCTCAAGTGGGTCCCTGACCCCCGAGTACCCTAACTGGGAGGCATCCCCCAGGAGGGGCAGACTGACACCTCGCACGGCTGGGTACCCCTCGGAGACAAAGCTTCCAGAGGAATGATCAGGCAGCAACATTTGCTGTTCAGCAATATTCCCTGTTCTGCAGCCTCCGCTGCTGATACCCAGACAAACAGGGTCTGGAGTGGAGCTCCAGCAAACTCCAACAGACCTGCAGCTGAGGGTCCTGACTGTTAGAAGGAAAACTAACAAACAGAAAGGACCTCCACACCAAAACCCCATCTGTACATCACCATCATCAAAGACCAAATGTAGATAAAACCACAAAGATGGGGAGAAACCAGAGCAGAAAAGCTAAAAATTCTAACAATCAGAGCGCCTCTCCCGCTCCAAAGGAACACACCTCCTTGCCAGCAACGGAACAAAGCTGGACAGAGAATGACTTTGACGAGTTGAGACAAGAAGGCTTCAGACAATCAAACTTTTCGAAGCTAAAGCAGAAAGTTCAAACCCATCGCAAAGAAGCTAAAAAGTTTGAAAAAAGATTAGACGAATGGCTAACTAGAATAACCAGGGTAGAGAAGTCCTTAAATGACCTGATGGAGCTGAAAACCATGGCATGAGAACTATGTGATAAATGCACAAGCCTCAGTAGCCAATTCGATCAACTGGAAGAAAGGGTATCAGTGATTGAAGATCAAATGAATGAAATGAAGCGAGAAGAGAAGTTTAGAGAAAAAAGAGTAAAAAGAAACAAACAAAGCCTCCAAGAAATATGAGACTATGTGAAAAGACCAAATCTACATCTAATTTGTGTACCTGAAAGTGATGAGGAGAATGGAACCAAGTTGGAAAATACTCTGCAGGATATTATCCAGGAGAACTTCCCCAACCTAGCAAGGCAGGCCAACATTCAAATTCAGGAAATACAGAGAACGCCACAAAGATACTCCTCGAGAAGAGCAACTCCAAGACACATAATTGTCAGATTCACCAAAGTTGAAATGAAGGACAAAATGTTAAGGGCAGCCAGAGAGAAAGGTCGGGTTACCCACAAAGGGAAGCCCATCAGACTAACAGCTGATCTCTTGGCAGAAACTCCAATCCAGAAGAGAGTGGGGGCCAGTATTCAACATTCTTAAAGAAAAGAATTTTCAACCCAGAATTTCATATCCAGCCAAACTAAGCTTCGTAAGTGAAGGAGAAATAAAATTCTTTACAGACAAGCAAATGCTGAGAGATTTTGTCACCACCATGCCTGCCCTACAAGAGCTCCTGAAGGAAGCACTAAACCTGGAAGGGAACAACCGGTACCAGCCACTGCAAAAACATGCCAAATTGTAAAGACCGTCGATGCTAGGAAGAAACTTCATCAACTAATGAGCAAAATAACCAGCTAACATCATAATGACAGGATCAAATTCACACATAACAATATTAACCTTAAATGTAAATGGGCTGAATGCTCCAATTAAAAGACACAGACTGGCAAATTGGATAAAGAGTCAAGACCCATCAGTGTGACCATCAGGAGACCCATTACACGTGCAGAGACACACACAGGCTCAAAACAAAGGGATGGAGGAAGATCTACCAAGCAAATGGAAAACAAAAAAAGGCAGGGGTTGCAATCCTAGTCTCTGATAAAACAGACTTTAAACCAACAAAGATCAAAAGAGACAAAGAAGGCCATTACATAAAGGTAAAGGGATCAATTCAACAAGAAGAGCTCACTATCCTAAATACATATGCACCCAATACAGGAGCACCCAGATTCATAAAGCAAGTCCTTAGAGACCTACAAAGAGACTTAAACTCCCACCACAATAATAATGGGAGACTTTAACACCCCACTGTCAACTTTAGACAGATCAACGAGACAGAAAGTTAACAAGGCTATCCAGGAATTGAACTCAGCTCTGCACCAAGCAGACCTAATAGACATCTACAGAAGTCTCCACCCCAAATCAACAGAATATACATTCTTCTCAGCACCACATCGCACTTATTCCAAAATTGACCACATAGGTGGAAGTAAAGCACTCCTCAGCAAATGTAAAAGAACAGAAATTACAACAAACTGTCTCTCAGACCACATTGCAGTCAAACTAGAACTCAGGATTAAGAAACTCACTCAAAACCACTCAGCTACATGGAAACTGAACCTGCTCCTGAATGACTACTGGGTACATAATGAAATGAAGGCAGAAATAAAGATGTTCTTTGAAACCAATGAGAACAAAGACCAGAATCTCTGGGACACATTTAAAGCAGTGTGTAGAGGGAAATTTATAGCACTAAATGCCCACAAAAGAAACTCCATCATCCCAGCCCAAAAATCTCGTTAAGCTGACAAGCAAATTCAGCAAAGTCTCAGGATACAAAATCAATGTGCAAAAATCACAAGTACACCAATAAAAGACAGAGAGCCAAATCATGAGTGAACTCCCATTCACAATTGCTTCAAAGAGAATAAAATACCTAGGAATCCAACTCACAAGGGATGTGAAGGACGTCTTCAAGGAGAACTAAGTCCTAACTGTCAAGTTCACCTTCCTAACAAAGTTATTCCGGATGTGATGTCTCCACCATCGTCCTGGTCCCAGAGCCCCATCAGGTGTGTCCTCCTGGGCAGCAGCCTCGCTTCTGACATCTGGTGCCTTCATGCCAAGTCCAGGCACAGCACATAACAAGCCTTCGGCCACTGTTTGTTGAATGAATAAATGAATCTTTCAGGTCCGACAAGGAAAGCCCAGGCTTTTATCAGGAAAGCTACAAAAATGCAGAAGTCACAGTAAATCCTGGGAGCAAGAGACGCCTGAATGTCAAGTGAGGTCGCTGTGTTTTGAGGAAGCCACAGCCACGGGTGAGCATGGAGGGAGAGACAGCACACAGGGACGGAGCACAAACCTCTCCCCCTCCACGTGACCGGCAGGTTTCTGACTGAATATTGGTTAGACTCACACTAGAAGTACTCAGTGGTGCTTTGGAGCCACCGCTCACCTCTTTTGATTCCTAGGCCAACTCCTGCTTGACACTGAAATGTTGCGAGAACACTCTAAAGATGAGCCATGGACTTCCTGCCCAGACTTGATGCTCCTTAGACTTTTCCTCGGAGGTGGTGTTGGGTACCAAAGATCTGGAATCTCAGCAGCCTCCACTGGCTGGCCCTGGGTTCCTGCTGCTGACTCCCAGCTTCTGGTTTCTGCTGAAGAAGGCTGCAGGGCAGCACCTTTAGGGGAAGCCTTGACTTTTCCAGATCTGGGCTCTCTCCAGTGTTTTCCTGAATGCCCCTACCAGAAGCCTGGCTGTCGTCTCTGAGCCCTTCCTCATCCTCCTCCCTGTGTGAATCATTCCAACTCCTGCCATTTCTGCCCCAAATGCACCTCCATACGGCTCATGTCTCACCTTCTTGACTTCCTCCCTCTGGTGAAGCCACTGCTGTCTCATGGGCCTCTGCTAACCCAGGCGGCTTCTTTGTGAACCCAGAGCTAGGCACAGCCTCAAGCCATGCAGCCCACTGGATGCAGAGTTTAGCAGGCAAGCAACGCCTTTGAGCAAATAAGAAAAGGTTGCCTTTTCCTTTGGCCAGTCTCAGTTTCGTGCCATGGCTCATGGCTTGGCAACCAGAGGGAGGCCCAGTTTTAGCTCCCACCAGAGCCTCTGGGCCAGCTGCTCTTGTACAGTGAGCACCTGCATCCCTGTACTGGAGGCCCCGCTCTTGCCTGGATGTGGCATGAGCCTTGAGGGGTAGCTGCTTCCATTCCTACCTCCTCAGATCCATTGTCCACCTGCAGCCAGAGTGATGCTTGCGTGCGCACACACACACACACACACACCTCCTCCCCTCCGTGCATATCAATGTCCTCCCCTTGCTCTTGGAATAGAGTCCAAACTACCTAACCTAGATGACGGGCCCAGCGTGGCTGATCATCAATAGGTTAGCTAATCTTTGGAAGGGAAGTTTCCCTTCAATAGCATGTAAGTTGGTGTGGAAAAGGGCTTTTTCTGTTAGGTTTTGCTTTTGCCTATCTTGTATATGTTGCATCCTTGTAATTGGGCCCCTTGAGATTTCAGCACCACACCATGTTTTAGTGACTGAAATAATGAACATTCTGATCAGACCGTTGCTGGCTTGCACATGTTAACCACTTGCTTTTGGTCCAATATTCCTTGTTCCCACAACATAATGATAAACTGCTCATGTACTGTTTCTTTGTTCAGCAGGAAGACATTCCTTCAGGGTCAGGAAAAGTTTGCAGAATGAATGAATGCCTTGAAGGACACTGTGACCAGCTGCTGACACTGAGAAGCCTGGTTGCACAAGGTGTTATCTCAGACTGAGGAAACACAGACTTTTCCTCTCAATCCCCCTGAACTCCCCCTTCCTCACTCTCTAGCTGCATAAAAACATTCTGCTGCTGCTTCTTTGTTGAACTGAAGTTGAGAGATCTTGCTCTCCTGCCTTCTTGCTTTGGCCAAATCGAATACAACTTTCTCTATCTCCAAGCACCCATGTGTCAGTGTTTGGGATCAGCTCCACGTCGGGTACAAGAGCATGAATTTGGGCCTCCCCAACATCTGCAGTGCAAAATATTTAACAACGGGTGTGGCACAGCCTCTGACCAACAGCCAGAACACACACAAGCCACACACAGCCATGCCTGTCAAGCCGAATGTCAACCTTGCTCATGGCTGAAATGACCCCAGGACACAGGAAGTGCATGACACACAACTGTTGACTGAATCAATGAATGGGTGGAGATGGGGGTTGGTGAGGTGAGTGCAAGGAACTGCCAACAACAGATGCTTCGTGGACCAGGGAAACCTCAGCGAGGAGAAGCCTAGCTGGGAAGGGCCTTGTTGCCAAGCATGGGGACTCGGCTTCTGGCCAATGGTGACTGATTGCAGGGTGAATGGTACAGTTCTCAGGCTCGTCGTATATGTGTACAAGGACCAGGGTGGATCGTATATGTGGACAGGGACCGAGAGTACTAAGTGTGCCAGGTGGCAGAGAGATGCACGGGGCCTGAACAGGCAAGAGAGGTGGCAGGCCTTCCAGAAGGGCAAGGAACCCAGGCGGTTCCAGACCCTGAGTCTCCCCCTCCAGGTCGTTCCCTTTGACCACAAAGAGGAATGCACACTGGGCTCCCTGCTGTGTTACAGCCCAGCTCTTTGACCCTAGGGTTGATGATTACCAAACATTCAGGAGCCAAGCAATAAGGCAGGCAGTCTACTTTCCAGGGGTGAGCAAGCCCCAGACGGTATCTCCTGGATGCCAGTGAGCGGCTGAGAGCTGAAGCTCCCTGGACACTCAAGGCTCTTGTGGTGACAGGTGAGGGGACTGGGTGGAAGGACAGTGCTCTGAGCATGCACCTTCCTTGGGATCTGGAGGCTGGGCTGTTTTTTATGCTTGGCTCTTATGCCACTTCAGCAACCTAAAAACTTACAATAAAGCTGGAGGGAGCCTTTCCTGAAACTTGTGTTGGACAGAGAATTTTTGCGATGTATGGTCCCTGGAGAAGGACAAAAGGGTTGCACGTGTGGCCTGCCTGAGGTAGGTGCCCCCTCAATGCACGGAGAAGCTGAGAGAGCCAGAAAAAGGAAACAGAAAAAGGAAGAGCGGTGGGTAGTTCATCTACCAGGGCTTTATAGAAGGCATCTTATTCAATCTTCAAAACAACTCTAGAAGGCAGGTTTTCTTCTCCCCTGTTCTATAGTTGAAGAAATGGAGGCTCAGAGAGGTTAAGTGACATGCCTAAGGTCACACAGCTAGAAAGGGATGGAACCAGATTCCAATGCAGGTCTTTCTGACCCTACCTTCTCCCAGTGGCAGAGGCCTGCTTCCTCATGGGCAAACGCGGAAAGACACACCCTTGAGCAGGTCTCCCTGTTCCTGCAAGGCTGGGAGCCATGCAGGCACTCACATGATTTTCTCTCTCTTCCCCAGTCTGACGTAAAGGCGTGCAGGGAGGCCTAGCTCTGTCTCCTGGACTTAGAGATTTCAGACACAGAAGTCTGTCCATGGCTCCTTGTCACATCCGCAAATACCAGGAGAGCGACCGCCAGTGGGTTGTGGGCTTGCTCTCCCGGGGGATGGCCGAGCATGCCCCAGCCACCTTCCGGCAATTGCTGAAGCTGCCTCGAACCCTCATACTCTTACTTGGGGGGCCCCTCGCCCTACTCCTGGTCTCTGGATCCTGGCTTCTAGCCCTCGTGTTCAGCATCAGCCTCTTCCCTGCCCTGTGGTTCCTTGCCAAAAAACCCTGGACGGAGTATGTGGACATGACATTGTGCACAGACATGTCTGACATTACCAAATCCTACCTGAGTGAGCGTGGCTCCTGCTTCTGGGTGGCTGAGTCTGAAGAGAAGGTGGTGGGCATGGTAGGAGCTCTGCCTGTTGATGATCCCACCTTGAGGGAGAAGCGGTTGCAGCTGTTTCATCTCTTTGTGGACAGTGAGCACCGTCGTCAGGGGATAGCAAAAGCCCTGGTCAGGACTGTCCTCCAGTTTGCCCGGGACCAGGGCTACAGTGAAGTTATCCTGGACACCGGCACCATCCAGCTCTCTGCTATGGCCCTCTACCAGAGCATGGGCTTCAAGAAGACGGGCCAGTCCTTCTTCTGTGTGTGGGCCAGGCTAGTGGCTCTTCATACAGTTCATTTCATCTACCACCTCCCTTCTTCTAAGGTAGGGAGTCTGTGATCTCTTTCTGTGTGTATTGGTCAGAATAGAATCCATTCAGCTGTAGCAGCAAGCAATCCCCAACCTTTCACTGCAATGACCTTTCAATGCAATAAAAGCTTATTGTCCATTCACATCTGAGTCCCATGTGATTGCTTGTGGGGTAGCTTCTGGGTTTCTGCTTCATTCAGTCTTTTTGATTCCCATCTGTTTCATTTTTCTAGTGCCAGCATAATGTTGCATAAGAACAACCACCAAATGAAACAAATATTTATTTAGTTCATGAGTCTGAAGTCAGCAATTTTGCCTGAGCTTGGCTGGGCAGTTCCTCTGGTGTCAGACTGCATTGTACAAATGCAGTGGGATTGGCTGAAAGACTAGGTCAATGGTGCTGTTTCGTTTTCCCACAGGCTACCTCAGGCATGGTTTCAAGGAAATTGCAGAGGAGCAAAAACAAAAGCAGAAACAAACAAATGTGTTTTCAAACCCCTGCATGTGTTGCATCTTCCCCAAACTCAAGGAGAGGAACCTGTCTCTGCAGTGAGAAGGGCTGCAAAGTCACATAGCAAAAGGGTGGAATGCAGCCTCGGGAGAAGAATTGGGGCCAGAGACACAACCAATCCACTCTAACTCCAGGGTCTCTGCAGAGGGAAGAAGGTGGCCTCAGAGGGGAGTGTGGGATTTACCATGGGCTAGACCTGGAAGTAGTATAACTCTTCCAGGGGATCATAACAGAATACCTGAGACTGGGTAATTTATAAGGAAAAGAGGTGTATTTGGTTCATGGTTTTGCAGGCTGTACAAAAAGCACAGTGCAGGCATCTGCTTCTGGTGAGGGCCTCAGGAATCTTTTACTCATGTTGGAAGCTGAAGGGGGAGCAGATGTGTCACATGGCGAGACAGCACACAAGAGAGATGCTAGGTGCTTTCAAACAACCAGCTTACATGTGAACTAATAGAGCCAGAACTCATTCATTATCATGGACAAAGCACCAACCCATTCATGAGGAATCCACCCCTATGAGCGAAACACCTCCCACTATGCCCCACCTCTAACATTGGGGGTCATATTTCAACATATGATTTGGAGAGAACAAACATCTAAACTATATTGGTCTGCCCCTTACCCCCAAATCTCATGTCATCTCACATTGCAAAATGAAACCATCCCTTCCTGATAGTTCTCCAATGTCTCAGCTTGTTCCAGCATCAACTCAGAAGTCCAGAATCCATAGTTTCATCTGAGCCTCAAGGCAAATTCCTTCCACCTATGAGGCTGTTATATCAAAAACAAGTTACATACTTCCAAGATATAATTGTGTTACAGGTATTGGGTAGGCATTCCCATTCCAAAAGGGAGAAGTTGGCCAAAAGAAAGAGGCAAGAGGCCCCACACATGTCTGAAACCCAGCAGGGCAAACACTAAATCTGAAACTTCCAAAATCATCTTCCGTAACTCCATACTGGTGAGTGGAGTGGCCTTTCAAGGCCTTGAGCAGCCCTGTCTCTATGGCTTTGCTGGGTGCAGCCCACATGGCTGCTCTCACAGGTTGGGATTGAATGCCTGTGGGTCTTCCACGCTGAGGTTGCAAGCTGCTGGTGACTCTACCTTTCTGCTGTCTGGAGGGCATTGGCCCCATTCCCACAGCTCCACTAGGCAATGTCCCAGTGGGGACTCTGTATGGGGTTCCAACCCTATGTTTTCCCATGGCTCTGTCCTTGTAGAGGTTCTCTGTGGGTTTCTGCCCCTGTGGCAGGCTTCTGTCAGGGCACCCAGACTTTTTGATACATCCTCTGAAATCTAGGTGGAAGCTCCCAAGCCTCCTTCACTCTTGCGTTCTGCAAGCCTGCAGACCTAAAACCATATGGAAGGCTGGGCATGGTGGCTCACACATGTAATTCCAGTACTCTGGGAGGCTGACACACGTGGATCACCTGAGGTCAGGAGTTGCAGACCAGCCTGACCAACACTGTGAAACCCCATCTCTACTAAAAATACAAAATTAGCTGGGCATGATGGTGCATGCCTGCAATCCCAGATACTTGGGATACTGAGGCAGCAGAATCGCTTGAACCCTGGAGTCAGAGGTTGCAGTGAGTCAAGATCGCACCGTTACATTCCAGACTGGGTGACATGGCAAGATTGTCTCAAAAAAAGAAAAAAAAACAACCATATGGAAGCTCCCAAGGCTTAGGGCTTGTACCCTCCAAAGAAGTGGTCTGAGCTGCACCGGGGGCCCTTTGAGCCAAAGCTGGAGCTGGAGAAGCTAGGATGTGGGAAGTAGCATCCTGAGGTGACATACAGCAATGGTGCCCTGGGCCTGGTCTCTGAAACCATTCAGTCCTCCTAGGCCTGTGGGCCTGTGATAGGAGAGGCCTTCTGAAATGCCTCTGAGGCCTTTTCCCACTGTCTTGAATATTAGCACCTGGCTCCCTTTTAGATATGCTAATGTCTCTAGCAAATAGTTGCTCAGCAGGCTGCTTGGATTCCTCCTTGTCTATCACATGGCCAGGCTGCAAGTTTTCTAAATATTTACACCCTCTTTCCATTTTAATTATAAGTGCTGTTAAAAGAAATCCATTAGACAAATTACATTTCACAGAGTTTAACTGAGCAAGAAAAATGAATAATTTGCAAATCGGGCAGCCCTCAGAATCACAGCAGATACAGACAGACACCAGGGATGCTGTGCTGTCAAAGCAAATTTGTGGACAGAAAAAGGAAAGTGACATACAGAAAATGGAAGTGAGGTACAGAAACAGCCAGATTGTTTACAGCTTGGTGTTTACCTTATCTGAGCATGATTCGAATAGTTGGCTGCCTGTGAGTGGTTGAAATATGGCCAGTGGGATTGGCTGAGACTCAGCTATTGCTAAAGAAGCATCCTCCTAAGTTAAGTTTTCAGTCTGCCTACCTACTAACTACGTTACGGTTCGCCCTTAAGAACTCAAATATGGGAATGTGAAGGCGTCCTCAGGCCAGATTTGAGTTTCATTTATCAACTCCCCCCTTTTGGTCAGACTCTCAATTTAGAGAGATAGACCGAAACTTTAGGCATTGATGCCACCCTCTCACTATTGTAATTTGGCTCAGTATGGAATTCACAAGTCTTTTTAGTCTCAGTATGGAGTTCACAAGTCTTTTTTTTTTTTTTTTTTCTGAGTCAAAGTCTCGCTTTGTCACCAGGCTGGAGTGCAGTGGCATGATCTTGGCTTACTGTAGCTCCGCCTCCTGGGTTCACGCCATTCTCCTGCCTCAGCCTCCCAAGTAGCTGGGACTACAGGTGCCCATCACCACGCTCAGCTAATTTTTCTGTATATTTTTAGTAGAGACGGGGTTTCACCATGTTAGCCAGGATGGTCTTGATCTCCTGACCTCATGATCCGCCCGCCTTGGCCTCTAAAAGTGTGGGATTACAGGCGTGAGCAACCATGCCCAGCCAGTTCACAAGTCTTTACTGGTGTCACTATGAAGTTCACAAGTCACAGCTTCACACTAGGTGAATGATTCTCTATGTTCTTGCTGACCTAGTCAAAGTGAGACCATTCAATTCTCAATGTATGGCTGCATACAAAACATTTAAGACTTGAGAGGATGCAGCACACTAGGGAACTATTATTATGACTATCAAGAGAATAATATCAAAATACCAAGATGCACTCCTTAACAAGTGTTCTTATTAAATAAATGAAACCAACTTAAACCAGTCAAAGTTCAGGCAACATAGGCAGTTCAACAACAGTAAAGTTTAATTGGTCATAGTTCTTGTTTGAAATGTGGTAGCAATTAAGGATCATAGTTCACTGTAAAGTGGCCTGATTTAAAGATGTAGCCATTTTCATTGTTGCTCTGGTAACACAAGCCATACTAACCTGGACACCTACTAGAAGACATATAAAGACTAGAAACCTTTGGGAAACCCAAGCTTGCCATCCACCATTTAGGATGCCTACAAACCAACTGTTAGTTGCTCCTGTAAACACACCATGTTTTCCTCTTGAGAGACTTCTTTATTGTATTTGGTGTCAGTGTCTAAGGAAACAGCAGTATCAGCCACCTTTACATTAAGCTTTCTGTAGTAACAAAATCAGGAGAGAGATAACTGCAGCATTCTATTTTGTTCAACACCAAACACAGGCCCCAGCTTGAGTAAAAAGGAGATATGAAGCTGTATGATGTTCCATTAACTGTAACATCTACCTCTTGTTTTTTTTTTTTTTTTTTTTTCTTGAGACAGGGTCTTGCTCTGTCACCCAGGCTGGAGTGCAGTGGGGTGATCTCAGCTCACTGCAACCTGTGACTCCTGGGTTCAAGCAATTCTCCTGCCTCAGCCTCCCAAGTAGCTGGGACTACAGGCACGTGCCACCATGCCTGGCTAATTTTTTGTACTTAGTAGAGACAGGGTTTCACCATGGTGGGCAGGCTGGTCTCGAACTCCTGACCTCAGGCGATCCACCTGCCTTGGCCTCCCAAAGTGCTGGGATTACAGGCATGAGCCATTGCACCAGGCCACATCTACCTTTTGGAGAGTAGTGTCTACCTGTCTGAAACACTGGGATGTTTGATTGGCTATAAAATCCAAGACCCCACATATGGATTAGCTTTGGATTCCATACAACTAGTATCCCACTACCACCAAGAGTGAGCCCCCAGGAACCCCACTGGAATCTTTCCTCAGTGGAAACTAGCTTATCTTTGTCTATTTCAAAGCTAGTGCTAATTTCAGTTATTGACTATTTTGGCCTCCAATCATAAGAGCTGTTAGGAGAATTTTTAGGTGAAACTATTTGAAAGGCAGGAGTGAGCCAGACCAAATAGCAAGATCTGAGCCAACGAAGAGGCAGAATGAAATATGCAGATTATCCACAGACCCAAAATAGGTCCTTGGGAGTTGAAAAACAGGGCTACCTAGTTGCATTTGAGCAGGGTTCAGTTAGATTTGTTCATTAATAAATCTGCATAGCTGCTGAACAAAATCCATTGAGAAATTGACCTTTTTGTGCCCCTCTTATAGCATGTTGTAAGGGTATATAAAACATTTGGTAAAAAGAGACCCTGTTGAATTTAATCTGGTGACATTATACAAGCAATTACTTGTACTCACATAGGTAAATCCCAAATCTTGAGTACATGATGCCTGAAAGCACAATATATCTTTTGCAGTCATCACTTGGATTGGTTTTCTATACTTTGGTAATGATCAGGTTATTAATTGAAACAGTTAAGGCAGGGTGTGGTGGCTCACGCCTGTAATCCCAGAACTTTGGGAAACCAAGGCTGGCAGATCACTTGAGGCCAGGAGGTTCAAGACAAGCCTGGCCAGCATAGCAAAACCCTGTCTCTACAAAAAATTCAAAAATCAGCTGGATGCGGTGGTGCACGCCTGTAGTCCCAGCTACTTGGGTGGCTGAGGCAGGAGAATCCCTTGAACCTGGGAGGTGGAGGCTGCAGTGAGCCAAGATCAGGCCACTGCACTCCAACCTTGGCAACAGAGTGAGACTGTCTCAAAAAAAGAAAAAAAAAAAAAAAGGAAAAGTTAAAGTGTTCTTTTTAGTGAGTGCAGGAAAGCAAGTAGCAGTGGTGTTCAGAATATCAAGGATAGCTTTCCATCCTTCCCTTGGAATTTTGGGGTGACTCTCATTGGGAACATGGAGAGGCACTGGCATTAGTGGAATTGTTTCCTTATATTTTTTTGGCAATAAACAACAAACCCAATAATCCACAAACTCTGGTTCTGTGCTACAGCAGATGCTCAAGCTAAAGGCATCCACTGGTTATGGTCCCATGGATTTTTCTGTAGGGAAAAAGAAAGAATTAGGGCAACAGGAAATGAGGAGAAAAGAAAAAAATGTAAGGCTTTCATGATGATACAGAAGTCTTCATCTGTGATCTTGGGAAAGCTGTCCACAACTAGAATGTCATCTGCTCTGGAGATTTTTCCTTAGACAGCTTTACCTTAAAGTCTCTAGCAGATGTACAGTTCCAGGAGTCTGAAGAGGTCCTTTTGAGTTGTGAGGTGTGGACCCAAGTTTCAAGGCCCTGAAGCTTCACTGCAGTGTAGGTGTTGAGAAGAACTCGGCACAGTCCCTTCCAAAGAGTTGTCAAGAGCAGCCTTCCTCTGATGTCATTTCCAGAAGACAGAATCTCCAGGTTCTAGACTGTGGAAGGTTTGATTATCCTCAATTGGTGGATCTTGAAAAGCTTCCTTTATCTGGTGAAAGCACACTTGGTATAATGGCCTTGCAGTACTTACTTATATCAGAATTTCAGAGAGAGAAAGATGCAAGAGGTTTTACTACTGGGGCATAGGCCTTCTAGTGACTATTTCATAAGGGGTCCACTTCTGTTTTTTAGTGAGTGGATCTGACTGCCATTAAATCCAATGATAGTACCTTTGGCCAAGGCAACCCAACTGATTCAGTTAACTTTGCCAATTTCAGTTTTAATATGTCATTTGTTTTTTCAACCTTTTCAGAAGACTGAGTGTGCTAGGGATAATGGTAGTACCATTGTGTCCATAAAACCTTGTTTAACTGCTTTATAACTTGCCTAATAAAATGAATTCCCCCATTGCTGGGGATTTTTCCAGGGATGCTCCATAAAGAAAACACATTTTCTAATATTTTCTTAGCTACTGTCACAGCATCAGCTTTCCTACACAGGAAGGCCTCTAACCAACCAGAAAACATGGAAACTATTACAAGAACATACTGAGACCCACATTGAAGGTGGCAACTGAATGAAGTCCATGTATAATTGTTCAAATGGTCCATTAGGTGTTGAAAATACAATACACCACCTGAATCTTTCGTTTTTCCAGGACTATGGGTTTGACTAGCCAACATTGGTTATAAAATATTCTAGCAGGCTGGGTGCAGTGGCTCATACCTGTAATCCCAGCACTTTGGGAGGCCGAGGCAGGTGGATCATGAGGTCAGGAGATCGAGACCATCCTGGCTAACATGGTGAAACCCCATATCTACTAAAAATAAAAAAAATTAGCCAGGCGTGGTGGCATATACCTGTAGTCCCAGCTACTCGGGAGACTGAGGCAGGAGAATCACTTGAACCAGGAAGGTGGAGGGTGCAGTGAGCCACGATCGCACGACTGCACTCCACCCTGGGTGACAGAGTGAGACCCCATCTCAAAAAAAAAAAAATATTCTAGCAATTTTGGAACAGTCATCCCACAAGTATTTTTTCACAACTTGGATGAATTTTTCTGTTCCATGATGAGTTGTGGAGTTCAAAGCTTTTGACAATGGAAGCTTCAAAGACTCGGGAAAGACCAGGCAGCCATCTAGGCCCTCTGCAAGTTTGCACTTAACATTGAATTTATATCCTTTTAGATACCAGTTTTGTTTTTCCAAATGAGGTGCATTGCATTCTTTATTAAATAGGTCATTGTAAGGTAGTTGGCTTGGATTAATCTTACGAAGTTCGTTCATGTTGCATATCTGAACAGTTTCAGTACTAGCTGATTTAGCATAAATATCTGCTAAGCATTCCCTTGATATTCAGGTTCAGTTCTGCAGGTATGAGCTTCGATCAATAACAGCAATCTAGTGGTTTATCTAATTGGAGTCCTTTTTTGATGGTGATCCCACTAGAAGTGAGAAACCCTTAGAGTTTCCCTATCATGCCAAAATCATGTACTACTCCTAAAGCGTATCTACTATCTGTCTAAACACTTACCGGTTTGTCTTTAGCTATATGACAAGCTCGGGTGAGGGCAAAAATCTTCGAGGGTTAAGCTGACTTATAGAGCTTAGACTAATAGAGCTGACTAATAGAGGAAGGATTCCCTTCTCTATTAACTCATTTTGGTAACAGCATATCCTAGCTGATATTTTCCTTCTGAGCTTTTGGCATAGGACCCATCAACAAAAGTATTAGCTCAGGATTGTCCAATGGACTAACTTGTAAATCAACATGAGGGGCCACTATTTCTGATGCTACACTTATGCAATTGTGGTCTTCACCATCATCAGGCAGCAGTAATACAGGGGCATGGTTAAGTAAATTGCAGTGTTTTAGATAGAGATTAGAGGGAGACAGAGCATTTCATAAGATGTTAGTCTACTTACTAAAAAATGCTGGGTTTGGGTGGAATTTAGCATGTGGGACTTCCATATTAAGTTCATTTCCTAAAACCACATCAGCTGAAGCTTCTTTCAGCCTGGTTGCTGCTGCTACTGCTTTTAAACAGTTAGGATATACCTTAGCTACTGGGTCTAATTGCAGGCTATAATATGCAATGGGCCTATGTTTCTCCCCATGTTCCTGGGTAAGAACTCCTAAATGCCTGATTATTACTTTCATAAGCCAATTAGGTAAACAGTTTAGTGCAATTTGGAAGTCCTAAAGCTGGAGGCTGTTATAAGGCCAATTTTATTTAGCTAAAAGCTTGCTCATGACTATCATCCCAAGGTAAAGGCTCTGGTACAGCATTTTTTAGTGAGCTCATACAACGGTGAGGCTATTAAGGAAAAATTCAGAACCCAGGAATTTTATATCCTGCAAGTGTAAGAATATATCCTGCAAGTCCAAGAAAATATCCTGCAAGTCCAAGAAAATATCCTGCAAGTCCAAGAAAATATCCTGCAAGTCCAAGAAAACCTCTTAATTATCTTTTGGTTGCAGGCCAAGGAAAATTTTGAAGAGTTTTTAACTTTTTAGGTGAGAGGGAAACACCATCAAATAATGTCCCAAATAATGGACTTTTTCCCCTTGAAAACTGAAGTTTTTCTACTGAAGCTTTGTGACCTTGATGTGTGAGTTGTGTAAAAGGTAAACTGAGTCCATTTCAGAGTACTCTTTAGTGGGAGAGCATACAGTAAGTCATCCACGTACTGAATGAGAGTAGAATTTTGAGGAAACTATAATGTCATTAAGTCCTGATGCAATGCCTGGGAAAACACAAAGAGGCTTCGGTAAACCCTTGCAGCATCACAATCTGGGGGTACTGTTGACTTTTCCAAGTGAAGGCAAATAAGCATAGACTCTCCTTATAAACTGGATTGTAAAAAAAGGCTGAGCAGAGAACTAATATTGTGAACCACTTAAGAATCAGCATGTATCTTGGATAATGAAGTATTAGGATTTGGAACTATAGGAAACCTTGCTACTACAATTTTGTTAACTGCCCATAAATCTTGAACAAATCTTCAACCTCATCCATTTGGTTTATTTTAACCAGTAGGATTGGAGGGTTATAAGGGCTGGTGCATAGAATTATAAGTCCCTGTCTAATGAAATCTTTTACAATTGGCAAGAGCCCTTGAATTGCTTCTAGTTTTAGTGGATATTGGGTACTTTAGGCAAAAGTTTAGAGTGGTCTATTTGGAGGTTAATAGGTGACACACTTTAAATTCTTCCTGTATCAGTTGAGGAAGAGGCCCATAAATATTTAGGTATTTTTGGAAGATCAGGCATTACAGGCCTGAGTTTCGATCCTATTAATATCTGCCTATAGAGAACATAACAATTCTGGTTCAGGAGAATCAGGAAACTGATTCTTATTCCAAGGAAAATTTTACACCCTCCCCACTTTTAAAAATTTTTTATTTTAAAAAATTTCAATAGTTTTGGGAGTACAGGTGGTTTTTGGTTACATGGACAAGTTCTTTACTGCTGATTTCTGAGATTTTAGTGTGCCCATTTCCCAAGCAGTTTACAATGTACCCAATAGGTAGTCTTCTATGCCCTTTCAGCTTTGAAAGTAAATCTCCCTCTAGCAAATTTACTGGAGCACTATCACATAGTACAACAGTGTGATTTTTTGAAAAATGCCCCAAAGTCAATTGGACGGGTTCAGATATGGGAAACTCTTGAATTTGATTTGAAACCCCAACCACAGAAATAGCCTTTTTAACTCTGAGGGATCTGTTGGCTTATGAAAGTGTGTTTTATGGTAGTGGCAGATAAGGTAGCTCTGGTATCCACCAAGACTATACATGAGTCCCCAGTTACTGTAACCTCTGTTTCTCCATATTCTTTTAAGGGTATTATGAGGAGCAATATACTGTGAAATCCCTCAGAGCCGCTTCAATGCTGATTATCTTCAGGAGAGCTAAGGTCTCTTGTGCTCCCTCTAGTGGTGAAACAGGCTGGCCTAAAGGGAGGGTCATTGGTGGGCTGATATAAAAGGGCACAATCCCTATTCCACTGTCCTGGTTGTTTGCAATAAGGCAGACATCTTAGGGTGAAGAATTTCTTGGTCTAATACCTCTTGGTTGTGATTTAAAATGAGAATGAGAAGATCCCTTTGGTCTTGGCCCCTGTAACTGTTGTAATTGAAGAGTCATAAGCTTGTTAGCCTTTTGGGTTTTTTCTTGCTCTACAGTCCTCTCAAAATGTTCAGCTAGAGCCACCAATTCAGTCATGGCTGTAACTTCCCATCCGAGTTTACGTTTTCTAATTAAATTTCTAAGTTCAGGATGAAGTCCATTTATAAATAGAGTAGTTAATACCATTTCAGTCCCTGCAGGAAATACTCCTTGTTAGTACTTTAAGCCCAGAATGTTTCACATTATTTCTAAGCAAGTTCTGTAATCTGACACTGGTTCATTCTTTTTTTTTTTTTTTGGTTTACAAGATTGTATGATGTACCAATCAACTTTTGTGGAAAAAATTTAGTATTTGAATTTAAAAGATTTTCAGCAATTTTTTTTCCTTTTTTTTTTTTTTTTTTTGAGACAGGGTCTTGCTCTGCTATCCAGGCTGGAGTGCAGTGGCACAGTCATGGCTCACAGTAGCCTCAAGCTCCCAGGCTCAGGTGATCCTCCCACTTCAGCCTCATAAGTAGCTGGGTCTACAGGCATGTGCCATCATGCCCAGCTAACTATCTGTATTTTTCGTATAGACAGGCTTTTGCCATGTTGCCCAGGCTGGGATTTTCAGCAATATTTCTAGCTCCTGTTGGGCCTTCTCATGAGGAGGCTTTGTGTGTGTGTGTGTGGGGGGGGGGGGTGCGGGGGGGGGGTGCGGGGGGGGGGGTTTTAATATCTTTCTCAGGTTTCTTCCATTCTGCTGCTGCCATCCATTTTTGAGCTTCACCAGGCCTCCATATCATATGAATAAATTGTCATATGAACCTTTGTCAGGGAGTCCTGGATCATAGTCTCCTATGAGGAGTCTAAACTCCTTAGTCAAGTTTTGAGGATTTTCTCTTAGATCAGGGAAGTCTTCTAAAATAGCTCTAAGCTCAGTTTTAGACCATGGAGTGAAAGTGGTTATAGCAGGCAGGCCTGGATAATCAGAAGGTCTTCCTTTGTGAGGCGTACATCTAATTCCTCCTTTTTCATCATCTTCAGAGTGAAAGGTTGATCTAGCAAAAAGGTTAGTAGACTCAGAGTACGTAGGTAGAGATGGATAAAGAGAAGAATCAGTTGGGGTTAGTTCAGTGAGAGTACAGTTCTCTTTCATCATGTCCTTAGCCTGTTGCTTAAACTGTTCATTTGCTTTTGCAAAGTATCTTTTAAGGAGGGAATTTTTCATTCGTTTAGTCTTTTAGAGGCTTCCATGTACCAATGAAAGACTATATCCCAATGTTTTTGTGGGGTTTTGATCCCCCTTTTTCTAATATGCCTTGCAAATAAACAATTTTATACAAATTAAAACTTCCCCATTGTGGCCATCTTTTCTCTAGTAAGGTTAATCTGTTTTTCTAAAGATGCACACATTCTGGGCCTAAAATTTTATATACAAAATTAGATGGAGTCCCAGAAGGTAGATTCCTAGAATCCTTGGATTGAGACAAACCCATTATCAAAAAAAAAAAAAAAAAAAAAGTGCCTAGTAGAGGTCTGAGGCTCTAACAGAACCCAATCCAGTTAATTGATTCAAATTTGATCCTGAACCCAGTCCACTTAAATATTGCTCAAATAAACTTGGAGAGCTCCAATTAGAACACAAATTAGTGGAACTCTGAATCCAAGAGAAAACCCATCTACAACCTCCAGTTACAATCAAAAGATCAGTGAGCACAACTGGCCTGGTCACCTGGTGTTCCTGTAGGTCACCAGAGTTTTACTTCAAACTGCACTTCCAACACCAGATCTGGTAAAAGAAAAACCTTAGACAAACTAAATTTAACAGAATTTAATTGAGGAGAAAAAAAAAAAGACAATTCACAAATCAGGCAGTCCCTAGAATCACAGCAGATTCAGAGCAACACCAGAGATGCTATGTGGTCGGAAAAAACCTTATGAATAGAAAAAGGAAAGTGACATGCAGAAAACCAAAGTGAGGTACAGAAATAGCCAAATTGGTTACAGCATGGTGTTTGCCTTATTTGAACATGGTTTGAACAATAGGCTGCCTGTGAGTACTGAAGTATGGCTGCTGAGATTGGCTGAGGCTCAGTTATTGCTACAGAAGCATCCTTCTAAGTTAGGTTTTCAGTCGTCCTACCTACAAAGTTAGGTTATGGTTCATCCTTAAGGACTCAAGTATGGGAGTGAGGAGGCTTTCTCAGGCCAGATTTTAGTTTGATTTAATAGTTCCAAATTTAAGTCAGTCCTTTGCTCCAATATCTGATCATAGGCTATTAGAAGCAGCCAGGCCATTTCTTGAATGCTTTGCTGCTTAGACATTTCTTCTACCAGATACCCTAAGTCATTACTCTTAAGTTCAGCCTTCCACAAAGCCCTAGGACATAGATACAATGCAGCCAAGTTCTTTGCTAGGGCATAACAAGGGTGATCTTTGCTCCAGTTCCCCATAACTTCCTCATTTCCATCTGAGACCTCATCAGGCTGGCCTTTACTGTACATATTTCTGTCCACATTTTGGTTACAACGACATTACAAATCTCTAAGAAGGTCCAAACCTTTTCTCATCTGTCTTCTGGGCCCTCCAGACTCTTTCCAACCGCTGCCTCATACCCAGTTCCAAAGCCACTTCCACATTTTCGGATATCTTTATAGCAACGCCCTACACCTCCGTACCAACTTTCTGTGATAGTCTATTTTGCATTGCTATAAAGAAATATCTGAGACTGGGTAATTTATAATGTAAAGAGGTTTATTTGACTCACAGTTTTTCAGGCTGTACAAGAATCACACTGCTGGCATGTGCCTCTGGTGAGGGTCTCAGGAAGCTTTTACTCATGGGGAAGGGTGAAGGGGGAGCAGTTGTGTCACATGGCAAGAGAGGGAACCAGAGAGATGCCACGCTTTTTTAAACAACCAGCTCTCACATGAACTAATAGAGCAATCAATCATAGGGAGGGCACCAAACCACTCAGGAGGGATCCAGTTCTTATGATCTAAACACCTCCTACTAGGTCCAACCTCTAACACTGGGGGTCACATTTCAACATGAGATTTGAAGACAAATATCCAGACTATATCCACCTTCTAGAGGGGACAGGGCTTCTGCTCCTGGAAATTCAGACCCAGGAATAGGACTTGGCATTCTTCTGCTCCATCTTATGCCCACTCCCCAGCCACACAGAGCTACTTCTACTTCTTCAATACCTGAAGCTCTCTTTCTGCTTGAGGCCTTTGGGCATGTTGTTCCTTTTGCCTGGAACATTCTTATCCCCACCCCATCCCCTTGTTAGTTCAGTGACTCCCTAGCTGCTGAGCCAGGAGGAAGCAGTTCATCCTGTTTTTTTTCTCCCCCCCCGGCAGTTATTGCAATTTAGTCCTTTGCTACTCAAAGTGTGATCCCCAGACCAGTGCAGCAGCCTTGCCTAGAAGTGTATTAAAACTAAGTGTGGGGTCGGCCAGGCGCGGTGGCTCACGCCTGTAATCCCACCACTTTGTGAGGCCGAGGCAGGCGGATCACCTGAGGTCCGGAGCTCGAGACCGGCCTGACCAACATGGAGAAACCCCATCTCTACTAAAAATACAAAATTAGCCAGGCGTGGTGGCGCATGCCTGTAATCCCAGCTACTCTGGAGGCTGAGGCAGGAGAATGGCTTGAATCCGGGAGGCGGAGGTTGCTGTGAGTCGAGATTGCACCTCTGCACTCCAGCCTGGGCGAGAGCGAAACTCCGTCTCAAAAAAAAAAAAAAGTGTGGGGTCTATGGCCATACCACCCTGAACACACCCAATCTTGTCTGATCTAGAAAAATAAGTGTGGGTACGACGTTTATTATGCCCACAAGATTAACATTAGCAAAACAGTATGAATCTTGCACAGCTTCTTCCTAAATGCAACACAGCAGCCACCCTCCCATGAGGCAGAGAAATTCAGGTGTGTCCTCTGCTGGTCGACGCTCCCATTGCCTGGGCATCGATGGGCAGTGCTGATTTGCTGATGGCCAGGGAGAGAAGAGGGACCAGCTGCCCTGACTGGTGCTCATCTTCCTTGGACCAAGTCTACACTCACTGCCAAGGGAGTTACAAGCACTTCTTTCCTGAAGGACTCAGATAGGAGGCCCAAAGCTGTAGGAGGGAATGCTTGTGTGTTTGTGAATTGGGGGAGGGTATTATTGGGGCAAGATAGTGGGCTCGTGGTAACAAGAAGTTAAACCGGAACTTCACACTGAGGCACTGGATATAATAGGTAAGAAATTCTGCTGTGAGATCTGACACCAAAATGAGGAAATGCCAAAGGAGGCTGTCAAGAACGGTTTGGGGTTGCCAGGGTTTGAGGGGAAGGGGATGTGAGGAGTGACGGTTCCATGACGACAGGTTTCCTTCCTGGGTAATGAAAATGTTTTGGGGCTTGATATGGGTGTTGCTTGCAAAACACTGTGAATGTACCAAATGGCAGGGAACTGTATACTTGAAAATGGCTAACTGTATGTTATGTAAATTTTGTCTCCATGTATTGGGAAAAAAGAAGAGTTTAGGTGGCTCTAAAACTCACAAGGAGTATAAGAAGGGTTAGAGAAGACACTGAGGGATTTTTTTATGGGGAGAGTTGCTGCTGTGCTGAATCTGCCCTCACCTAGCTCCGGCCAAGGGGCCGATGGGCGGTGCCACTGTGACCTCCAGACAGCTTCTTGGCCAAGGTGACTCCAAGTCCTTCTCTGCCAGGGAGCACCAGGACTGATGTTGACACTTGCCAGAGGAATCTGGAAGTCAAAGTCCACACCTATTGGCCTGGAACTCTGGCTGAGGTAGAATGTTGCTGCGGTGTGTGTGTGTGTGTGTGTGTGTGTGTGTGTGTGTGTGTGTGTGTGTGTCAGAGAGAGAGACAGAGAAGGCAGGGGGAGAGAAAGAGAGAGGAGATGGTGGGGGAGAGAGAGAGACAGAGAGAGAGAGGAAACAGAGAGTGGGGAAGAGGAGGGTAGAGAGATAGTGAAAGGAAAAGAAAGGAATGACAGAGAGGGAGAGGGAGTGATTGCTTTGCCTGAACTGGGGCTGTTTTCGGTGGCAGTGGATGAGGCCAGCCCTTGGGAATGTAAGGGCTTCCAGGGAACGGCAAATGCAGATTTGTGATTTGTACATGGAACTCTATGGGCAAGCATAGGGTAGGAGACTGATAGTTTTCCAGAAAGTAGGAAGGAGGGAGGGCATGTTCTAAGATAATTTTAGAGGTCAATGACTTGGACCCATTAGTGAGAAAATCTAGACTGTTAATTCCAAACTTCCTTTCAGCTCTCTTCAGCTAATAAGTAATTTGTTCAGTTTGAAGGATGGTATTTTATTCTGAACCTGGTAAAATTGTAATGACATTCAGATTTCCTTTTACATATTGCTTACTGGTTAAATTAGAATTTCTTTTTTTGCTTCATTTTTGTTTTACATGTGTGCACATGTGAAGATGTGCGTACATGCAGGGAAAGTCAGCCAGCCTGAGACAATCTCCCCTTCCTTTTTTTCCCCCTAGTTTTTATTATGGTAAAATATATATAACATACAACCATTTTAACGTGTACAGTTCAGTGGTACTAATTATGTTCACAATGGTGTGTAACTGTCACCACAATCTATTTCCAGAAGTTTTTCATCATTTCAAACAGAAACTCTGTACCCACTAGGCAAGAACTCCTTGTCTTCTCCTCTAGCCCCCGGAAAGCCCTGTTCTACATTCTGTCTCTACGAACTTGCCTATTCTGACAATTTCATATAAGTGAAACTATACAATATTTGTCCTACTGTGTCTGGTTTTCTTTTCCCAGAAAATCCCCCCACCCGACTCAAGGCACAGATTAGAAAATCTTCCCAGGCCTTGAGTCTCCCCCTGCAGGCGGTGTCCTTACATGGTCTGGGTGCTGCTTCCCGACGTCACCGGGATCCCTGGGTGTTTCTCTCCTTTCCCTGGAAGCCTTTCTTTCACCCACAAGGCACCGGGAAGCCTTTGTGCTACTGTTCCTCCTGCGTGTGTCCTTGATAAAGTACAGAATGGACCAATAAATTTAAATTTATCACAAAGAGTGGGCAATTTTTAGCATGGGACAGAATCAAACATTAAAAATCATTTATCTGAAATTCAAATTTAATTGGGCATCCTGTATTTGTGTTTGCCTCATCTGGCAGCCCTACTATGGACACTTCTCTAAATTCCAGACTCAAGTCCAGTCCACAGGTTGTCCACCCTTCTCAGAAGTCCAGGGATAAGGGATATGGACCAATCTCTAAAGAAAAACCTCCATTTCAGGAGGAGTTATGCTACAGGTGCCTGTGACTCCAGGTCTAGATGCTGGCTTTCACCACTTGACAGGGATTCCCTGCAATGGGAGAGGTTCAGTGGCCTGGGGCTGACTCATATCTGAGAAACCCTGAGTGTGGGTTTCAGGGCCTAGCTAGGCTGTGGCCATGAGGTGATCCTGCACTCTTAAGAGTTCACCCCAGCATAGGATGCATAAGTGTTTCCTGAGGACAAGATTTGGGACATGCAAGAGGCTGGCACTGGGCCAAGAAGACTCTGAGTCTCAGTGGAGTGACTGCTAGAAACCAGATTTGGGGAGGAGGAGGAGGAGGAGGACCAGAAGCTGGAGGAAAACCTATTGCTTGCATTGCTGGAGTTACGATCCAATATTCCAGAGGGAGGCCTCAGAAGAAGCCATGAAAACACCCAAGAAAGTCAGCTTGAGACAATGAACAGCCAGGGTGAGAGGGCAGGACGACAAGCTGTGGTCCCCATCCCTACCACATAGACACACACACACAGATGGGTCAGACACCTCCCTGTGCTGCTGAGGAGGAGAGCCCTGTCAGGCAGGGACAGAGGGGACTATGCTCCCCTAGGTGGTGCAGAGAGGCCTGGCAGGGGAAGAGAGAAGATTTTAAGTGGAACTCAAGTTGGGAGTTTCGATTATTACACTTTTACTTATTGAGTGGAGACTGGGCTTTCAGTGAAAAGTCAGCTGGGTAGAATGTGTAATCCCCTAACAGTGATCAGAACAGTCGAGGCATTACCTGAGTTCTCATCTCCAGTATAAGGAAGAAACTCCTCAACTAAGCAGGCTTACAAAAGGCCGTGAGAGACAAGTGTAGTTGGGTGCTGATATTCACAGCAGCATTGTTCATAAGACCCACACATTATATGTAGTTATAAATCTGTTTAACAACTGCTTACTGTAAGATTAGAACATATTTGATATAATAAAACATCTCACATAAATTATGGTGCATAATAAAATGAATACCCCTGAACCCAGCACCTGAATGAACTAGAAAGGTCACTACATTTGACAATACTTTCAAAGCTAAGTGTCTCTTCTCCAATCCTAGCTCCCACTATTTTGAGTTAAAAAAAAAATCCATCTCTCTATCTATCATCTATCCATCTATGTTTGATCCTAAAATGACATGGGTCCCTAGGTGTCCATGCACAACATGTTTACCTTGGCTTGCTTTTGAACCTTATGATGAAAGTATCATACAATATATTTTCTGTAGTTTTTTTCCTACTCAACATCATCTCGAAGACTTACTAACTTTGATGTTCTTTAATTTTCCCTTCTGTCTAGAACTCTTTTGCATGACATACCACTTGCTTTTTACCCATTCTCTTGTCAAAGGACACTTGAGTTGAGTTGTTTCTGGTTCTTTGCTAGGGTGAAAGGACATCTTTGCTGAAGATGTTTTTGTGAACCTTCCTGGGCTGATTATTGGTGTGCACTTTTCAGAAGTGCTGAATGACAGAGTGAATGCAAGCTTCCTCAAGCAGTGTGTGAATTCCAGTTAATCAACATCCCTGTCAACATTTAGACTGTCAGACAAAACTTTGTGCCAATCCAGGGAGTGTAAAAAGGTATTTTATTCTATCCATAAAAGGCATTTCCCTAATTAATAATGAACTCAATCTATATTTTGTGTTTATGAGCTATTTGTGTTTTTCTATAAAGTTGCCTGCTCATGAGTTTAGCCCATGTGTATTAGTCCATTTTCATACTGCTATGAAGAAATACCCAAGATTGGGTAATTTATAAAGAAAAAGGCATATCTTACATGATGGTAGGCAAGAAAGCGTGTGCAAGGGAACTGCCTTTTATAAAACCCTCAGATCTTATGAGACTTATTCACTATCATGAGAACAACATGGGAAAAACCTGCCCCCATGATTCAATTACCTCCCACCAGGTCCCTCCACAACACATGGGGATTATGGGAGCTATAATTCAAGATGAGATTTGGGTGCAGACCAATCATGGCGGAACGTGAAGGAGGAGCAAAGACACATCTTACGTGGCGGTAGGCAAGAGAGGGTGTGCAGGGGAACTGCCCTTTATAAAACCATCAGATCTCATGAGACTTATTTACTATCACGAGAACAGCATGGGGAAAACCCACCCCATGATACAATTACCTCCCACTGGGTCCCTCCCACAACATGTGGAAATTATGGGAGCTACTATTTTAGATGAGATTTGGGTGGGGACACAGCCAAACCATATCACCATATTTCTATGAATTATCTATTTGTTTTAAAGAGACTTAAATATAAATTGTGTTTTTAAAAAACTGACTCATAGAAGTTCTTTATATATTCTGGATACAAACTCTTTGCTGGTCAGATGTGCTGCAATTATCTTCTCCCATTTTGAGCCTTGTTTTTTCACTGTCTTTATGGTGCCTTTTGATAAAAAATTTATCAAGATGAATTTATCAGTCTTTTTCTTTATGGTTAGCACTTTGCCCCTTTAGACATTTTTCTGTTCTTACTCTCATGTTTTCCTCTAAAAATTGTAATGGTTTTGCCTTTCTCACTTAAGCCTTTTTTCTTTTTGGTTTTTATTTCTATTAAAATTATGTATGTACCCCTTTTAAACAGCCAGGGTTTGACGGCTCTGTCATGTGAAACAGCAGCCTCTACATTCCCCGGCACATGTTTCACAGGCTGTGTGGCTCCTGCTCCATTGTCCAGGTCTAGCCTGTCTGCTCTCAGCTGCTGAGGGTGAAGACAAGTCTCCTCCATGCATATACGCACTCCTCCCCTGCTCAGCTTCCCAGTGTGGTTAGATGGCCCTTTGGGCTACTCCACTATTCTGTGTCATTTTAAGCTAAGCTATACAGTAAACCATGATGACTTATCCTTTCCTGAAGGCTTTTGATTTGAATCTTTTCCCTTAGAATTGATACTTTTCTTTTTGCCATTGTTCAGTTTTCTGTGTATTATCACTTATTCAATGCCAAACTCTATCAGATGTCCAAATGTCTCCTCAACATTTAGATGATCTGATTTAACCATCAGATCTCCCTGGTCTTTTCCAGCATCTCTGATCTCTCATTTTGCTTGTTTATTTTCTGTGTGCCATTCAAGAAAACCCACTTAAAAAAAAAAAAAGATAGGGGTCTCACTATGTTGGACAGGTTGATCTTGAACTCCAGGCCTCAAACGATCCTCCCACCTCAGCCTCCCAAAGTGCTCAGATTACGGGCATGAACCACCACATCCGGCCACCATTCAACAAATTCTTATTGAGCCAACCACGTGCTACATGTTGTGTTATGCTCCAAAGAAACAAGGAGAACAAGATGGTTGTCATTCTTGCCTTTGTGGAGCTTACTACCAAATTCAGGGGAAGAAAAACCCCAACAAATTCTGGAGCAATGTTACTTATTCCTAATTGTTTGATTGGCTCTGGAACTGATGCCTGCCTATTGTAAGACGGCACCAGTGTGGGGGACTCCTGAGTATGAGAAGGGTCTTCCCCAGTTTCCTGTGTGGCCAAGGCTCTCTGCCTAAGTTAGGGATGAATACGGCGAAGTCTCTGAAGCACCTTCCACCTTTTCTCAGTTCACCTCTGTCTCATGAAATGAAGACTGTGATAGCCATTTTGTTAAGTCTAGCCCTACCTGTCTCATAGTTCCTTGAGGTTCCTGGACTTAGTGTAGCAATGGTGAGGCCAGACGAACACTGTGATGAGATGGCATCAGGGATCAAAGGAATATGTGAATTTGGCCATGACTTTCGGGGGACAGGCCAGAACGTTGAACCCCAAACCGCATAAGAAGTCTAGCAAGTTTGGCTGACCTCTCAAGAGGGCTCTATTTTCTCCAGAGTGGAGCCTTGGGTCTCATCTCCGCAACAATCAGAGTATCCAAAGTAAAGCCACCAGCACTGTAGGAAACAAGTCCAGGACAGAGTAAGACACACACGCACATAGGCAGAGATTTTACTCTAGTGTCTATGCAGGGAGATGGCTTGGGCTACTGAGCATTTTTTGGCCCATCATAGCTCTCTGAAAGGCTGGAGAGGAGCACATAGGGCTACGGCTGCTCAGGCAAAGAAAATTAATAGTCCACATCTATGTTCCTTGTGACTATGATCGACTTAAAATGTGGCCTAGTCAGGTTTGGAAAATAATGCCCCCATTGCCACCACCCCAGCCTTGGTGGTGGTGGAGTCTCCTTAGATCAGGACCCTCATCTTGGGCAGCTGCAAGAGCCAAGGGCTATGGAGATGAGCCATGAGTGCCCCCTGGAGGCCAATGATGCTAGCTTTAATTTTAATACCATTCCCTTTTTCCCATGCCCACTCCCCACCATCCCCTTTCATGAGTATTTCGTGAGAAACTGGGAAAGGGCTGTAAGCAAGGCTTCAGAACCAGTAAAAATAAGTCTAGTATTGGAGGTAAAATCACCCAGCTCCCAGACTCGTAAAGACATAGACTGGGTCAACAGTTCAGCTTGGCCTCACTTTCTAAGGACTGGCTGTACAGACAAGACAGGGCGGGCCCTCAGGGAGTGAAGGAATTTAATGAGTTTGAGTAATTAGCCTGTTTTAGAGCCTTCTGCCTTGCAGACGGTTTTGTCTCAAATCCTGTGTGAAATGTGGTCACCTAGTCAGTTGGAACCTGCTCCTGACAGACCCCAGCAACTTATAGATGAACTCACTTACAGTGAACTTTCCTCATTACAATGCTAAATCCTGCACCTTGGGAGAGCTATAGTTTCATTACCATAGCATGCGTCCTATGTGGTGGCACGATGATTCCCTACATCTGTGTCACTGGGACCCCTCCTCTTCATGTGATGATGCATCTTCTCCCCTCTCGATCACTGATCACTCCATAAAGCCTTCCTGTCATTTTTTCTTAAGAGACACTGCTTTGGCAAATATTCTTAGTGCTCTTCCTACTTGCGACAAGTAATAAAACTCCTATTGATCAAAACCTGTGTTCTCAGCAACTTTTGTTACTCACCAGGCAAACAAACCTTGCTTTTTTTTTGGAGGTGGTGGGGTGGGAGGGCCTGGGAAACAAATCTGGTTGATCCAGATGGGACTATGGACTGAGCCCTGACTCGATCTCTCTTATAGGCTTGCTCACAGGCGAAGCAGCAGTCTGAGGAAGCATGAGTGGGTTAAGTTGCCTAAGTTGCCGAGAGGGAGATTGGTGAAGGGGCTCAGGGACCCCCTTCCGCCCCCACCAGGAGAGCAGAAGTGGCTGCTTGGACCTTTCATTTGGTGCAACTTTGAGGCAGTAAGTGGTGGTGGTTCTGTGAACTGACTAAAAGAGTGGTTTTGGTTTTGATTATTAGGACTCTGGGTTGTCAGGTTTAGGACCTAGCTCAAGGGATCCAGGATTGTTGGGAACGGGCAGGACTCCCCTTCAGGTCTAGGAGTTGAGAGACATCTTCATCCATTTTAACAAGGGGAAGCCCTAATATAGACGAGGAGTCTCATCTTCAAGACTTTGTCCCTGTCTGGTATATCTGTAGGCTGAATGCTTGTCACTTTTGGCAATACTTATGCATCTTTGTGACCTGAATGCATGTGAAGTCTGGATTCCCTTCCCCTTAGTCTGTGGTAATCCCTAAAATAGTGGGCTTCCATTTTCCAGCAGTCACAGAAGAACTGTTATTGATTTGAAGAGGCCTAATTTAGAATGGTGCAGTTTGGGTGGGATTATAATTCCTGGAACCAAAATACAGTGATGTAGAGTTTACATGAGCAGAGCATGCACCCTCTCCCGAAAGAACACCTTGCTTACTTGATTGATTTACATACCTCCCACCACTCAAGCTGGATCCAGAACTACTCTGGAATCTCCATGAGATCTCCAGCGAAGCTACCCAGACTGAACATGATCCAGGGAGAGGCAACCCCTATTATCCTCTCCTAGCTCCCCAGTACCTCCACTCCATGGTGGCCTGGGTGTAGTGGCAAGCTGAAAGGACCAGAAATATCCTACAGGCTAAGAGTTACAGGATTTGTGTCATCACCAATCCCCAGTGGAAGCTCCTTGGAGAGTGGAATCAGCCTTCTGGGCAAAGACCCTAGAATATGGGGAACCAGGTCTCAATATGGGGAACCAGGTCTCAATACTGGAGGAGAGCCCGTTACAGTGGCTCCTCCGGCACTGAAAACTATTTGGATGCCCATATCCATGACCAAAAAGCAAATGATATATTACCGTAATGCCATGTGGCCCCATTGTTCCCTAGGGAATCAGGAGAGATGGTCTGAACATGAGTTACTTACATACATTAGTAATACAATTCTCCAACTGGGACTTATTTTGTAAGAAACAAGGTAAATGGGATAAAATACCTTATGTATAATGTCTTATGGCCCTCTATCAACACCCAGCCTTACAGAAGAAGTGCAGGATATGTAATTGGTCAAAGGACCAAAGGGAACAACGTTGCTAATTCTAGAAGCCCCTGGAGAGGAAGAACCAGTCATGTGGGGACTTGTAGGGAAGGGAATGAGAAGAAGCCTCTCTACTTCTCCTTCAAGAGAGGTGAGGTCCTTTAGTCCTACTCAAAAACTAGAACCTTTGCCAATACAGGGAAATAACTCCCCTACTTCCTCTGGAATTAAACTCTCAGCACCTCCAGGGGAAAGCAAGGGTCTTCCTCCATACTTGCCAGGCCTTCCGAATTCTGTGGAGCTGGCTGTGGCTCCTGCTATGGCAACAGCAGGCCCCAAAATAAACAACAAAAAATCAATATAAGACCAATATATGATAGAGAAAAATCAATAAAACCCAAAGTGGGTTATTTGACAATACCAGTGAAATGTATACACCCCTTGGAAAGAGTGATCAGGTAAAAATGACAGGAGGCAAAAATAATATCAGGAATAAAAATGGAACATCATTACAGATCCTAGAACCTCCAGACATTAACAAAAGGATATTATAACATTGGATCAATCAATTTGTAACTATGAAATGGACAAATTCCTTGAAAAACAAAACTTGCCAAACCTTGGCATAAAAGGAAAACTGAAATCTGAATAGCTACTGAAAAAAATGATTTCCACAAAAGAAAGTTCAGGCCCAGATGGGTTTCACTGGTGAATTCTCCTAATCATTTAAGCAATAAACTACATTAAATTCTTCTAGAGAATAAAAAAGAAAAACCTCATCCCAACTCATTTTATGAGGCTTGCAGATGTATCCCTCTTTGCCAGGCAGCACCACTCACCACTCCCCTTCTGACTGGTGGCTGGCTTACTTCCCTCATGCCTCTGAGCAGCATATTCCCATAATGATCTGGCTGTTGTTGATCCCCATTATCACTGGGGTCACACTTTGGGTTGTGTTAGGACTGACACCTCAGTAGTCAATAGATTTGGTAGCTCAAGTTACCAGCATAACAAGTTCCCTGAGAGGGAACCCCAGAGTGGGATGGTTCCCACCCAGGCAGGTGTGTGATGGAGAGGGAGGTTTTGTTTGGGTCTATGTACCTCTTACAACTACTGATTTGTACAATGAGAAATCCAATATTAAAGGCTTACCAGTGAGCCCATGAGAGTTCAGAACTCTCAGAAGGGGAATATTCTTCACACATAACCTCACCTGGTCAGACATGCAGACCTTAATGGCAACTCTGCTCGTGGTGGAAAAGAAATCTACCATCACGGGCAAAGCTAAGGAAGAGGCAGACAAAATGTAGGCTGATAACATGGGCTACCAAATCTACTTGGCTGCTGAGGTGTCAGTCCCAACAGCCGACCCAAACTGGGACTCCAGTGATAACAGGGATCATTGTAGCAATATGCTACTCAGAGGCATGAGGGAAGTAAGCCAATCAATTGGGGAAAACTCCAGGAAACAGAACAAGACCCTAATGAAAATCCATCCCCATTCCTAGAGAGATGAGAAGTATGCCTCTGGGATTATCCCCCTTGGAACCATGACTGTGGACAATAAGGAGATAAGGCGTGCATAAGAAATATTACAGCTGTTACAGGTAGTACAGTTACCTAAAAGGTTAGTGGCGGTCCACTGCTGGGGACACCAGAGGGGAATTCTGAGGTTATAAAAGGAAATAACCTAGCAGACACAGCTGCTAAGAAGGCAGCATGAACAGTTCAAAGTTTGCAAATGACCCTGATCCCCAGATTTGTCACTCCACAAGTTTTGGCCCTACTACTCAGAAATTAGAAAAATCCAAATGGGAAAGGTATCTCCCACATTTGGATTTGGAAGGATGAGCTATCAATGACAAAGGAAGACTCCAGATTCCAGAAAACCTAGGCTGGGCTGTAATTAAATATGTCCATGAATCATCACATTTTGGTATCTGTTCTCACACTGCTGTAAAGAAATACTTGAGACTGGGTAATTTATAAAGGAAAGAGGTTTAATGGACTCACAGTTCCGCATGGCTGGGGAGGCCTCAGGAAACTTACAATCATGGCAGAAGGCAACCGGGAGGCAAGCTTAGGCTTTCTCACACGGCAGCGGCAGGAGAGAGAAGAGTGAGGAGCGAAGGGGAAAGAGCCCCTCATAAATCCATCAGATCTTGTGAGAATTCACTATCACGAGAACAGTATGGGAGAAACCTCCCCCATGATTCAATCATCTACACAGGTCTCTCCCTAGGCACGTGGGGATTACGAGGATTACAATTCAAGATGAGATTTGGGTGGGGACGCAAAGCCTAACCATATCAAAACCTTACACAATTGGTTGATGAGTGTAATAAAGGTACCCGATCCAAGTGGTCAAATAGACTAAATCTCTAACAAGTGCCACAAATATGTACAGAATAATGCTCAGACCAGGCTCTCTGTGCCTCAACTAAGGGGCGGAGGCGGGCATACCAGGAGAAGAATGGCAAATAGACTTTACAGTGATGCTCCAGGCACCTGGAAACCTCATGTACCAGCTGGTTTGTGTGGACACCTTTACTGGCTGGATAGAAGCCTTACCTTGTCACACAGAAAAGGCAAATGATGCCAGAGCTTTACTTAAAGACATCCTCTTGAAGTGTGGCTTACCTTGATTGATCCAGAGTGACAATGGAGCTGCCTTCATTTCCAAAGTTAGCCAGGGGGTATTCTCTGCCTTGGAAATCAAATGGAGACTACATGCAGACTGGAGGCCCCAGTCATCTGAAAAGGACAAAGATACTAATAGAACCATAAAGGTCACTTTAGCTAAACCATGCCAGGAAACTCATGAAAGCTGGCTGAAGTGCCTCTCCATCACACTAACATGACTTCAGCTGGCACCAAAAGGGAAAGTGAGACTTAGCCCTTTTGAATTACTATATGGAAGAGCTTACCCTGGCACAATGGAACCTTTGACATGCCCTGATGGTGAGACTGAGAGGGATGTAAAACATATTGTGTATTTAGGAAAACTAACACAAGCTCTCAATCTAATATGTGAACCTGTCTTCCAGTTCCCACTGATGTTAAGCTTCACCTATATCAACCTTGAGACTGAGGTCACCTTAAGACTTGGAAATCTAAATCACCTCAAGACCAGCTAAATCCTGTCTGGACTGGGCCCTACCCTGTGGTGATAACCACTCATTCTTCTCTTAAATTGCAGGGACTCACACCCTGGATCTGTCATTCCTGAATGAAGCCTGCACCAGCGCCCTCAGACCAGGCTTCATTAGATCCAACTTATTCCTATGAACTGGCCTCTGATCTTAAGCTCCTCTTCCAGAGAAAGGACATAGATAAGTAAAATGTGCCCTTGCAATGCTCTCGATGTATCAGGAATTTCTTCATTCTTAGAGGAATCTCTATGCTCTTTTACATTCTGTAAAAACTCTTAACTGGTGCTAAATCACCATGTAGTATATACAATGAACTTGGTCTCTCTCTACTGGTTAGTCCCTTTTATTACCATGGCCAGTGGTCTCCGGGAAGACAATACAATAGTCAGTTTTCCCCACATCACAGTGAAGGGAAATAGCCTGTTCCAATGCTGGATATGCTATAGGCACCCATGAACTTGGTCTGCCCAAGTGACAGAACTTGTGGCAATCTTCACATTTCACTTTCACCCACAGAACTGGAGCAAGCTCCCCTTCCCTGTGGTTACGCTCTTCCTGGAGAGTGGGGAAATCCCTTGCATCACCTTGACTAGCATCTCTATAGCAAATGCCACCTAGGTGTCAACCTTGCTAAATGGCTCAGCTATACAGCAAGTATGCAGAAGCTGTGCAATTCCTCCAGGGCAGACTTACTACACTGACACAGGACCAGACACAAAAGGGAGGTAACCGGTCTCCTTGAACACTACCTACCACCTGCCACCCCAATATTACTTACTGGTGTCCTGACATGAACATCACTAAAAAATATTGAGGACAGAGCAGTAAATGCAGTTCATGGTGAGGAATACCAAGCCCCAGTTTCTGGTACACCCAGGTAAACAGGCCAACACCTTATAAGAATAATGTCTCAGCTGACTGCAGGGACAGGGACCACCTGCGGGGTGGGCCGGTCTCCCTTTATGTAAAACTAATGGCACCTGGAGCCAAATAGCACCACTATTAAATGTCTTTTTTTTTTTTTTTTTTGAGACGGAGTCTTGCTCTGTCACCCAGGCTAGAGTGTAGAGGCGCAATCTCAGCTCACTGCAACCTCCGCCTCCTGGGTTCAAGCGATTCTCCTGTCTCAGCCTCCTGAGTAGCTGGGATTCCAGGTGCACACCACCACGCCTGGCTAATTTTTTTATTTTTAGTAGAGACGGGGTTTCACCATGTTGGCCAGGTTGGTCTCGAACTCCTGACCTCAAGTGATCTGCCTGCCTCGGCCTCCCCAAGTGCTGGGATTACAGGTATCAGCCACTGTGTACAGCTAAATATCTTTATCCCCAAATGAGTATGTGCCCCTCAGGGGGAATGTGTTCATCTGTGGGTCCCCCACAAATATCTACCCCACGCCTGTTTGCCTTGAGGTTCCTTCCCTTTACCCCACTTGACATCGCTCATCCCTGCACGGAGGACGTTTGGATGGAAGGACAATGTACAATTGGCCTGCGAGAGCCTCTGATATTGAGGCTGTTGAGGCGGGTCTACTACAAGTCAGGTCAAAAAGAGAAATGAGTTGGCGCTGGGCGCAGTGGCTCACGCCTGTAATCCCAGCACTTTGGGAGGCCAAAGTGGGCGGATCCCGAGGTCAGGAGATCGAGACCATCCTGGCTCGATCATGGTGAAACCCCGTCTCTACTAACAATACAAAAAATTAGCCGGGCATGGTGGTGGACGCCTGTGGTCCCAGCTACTCAGAAGGCTGAAGCAGGAGAATGGCGTGATCCCGGGAGGCAGAGCTTGCAGTGAGCTGAGATCCCGCCACTGCAATCCAGACAGGGTGACAGAGCGAGACTCCAACTCAAAAAAAAAAAAAGAGCAAGGAGTTTAATTTTGGGGGAGATGGGAGCAGCATCCAGGATGGCTGCTCTTTGGGGATTTGCTTATCATGAAACCACCGTAAAAAACTTGACTAGAAAACTTGAGTCTTTAGCATCCTCAGTTGACTCCTTGGTTACTGTGGTGCTAGGTAATGGTACAGTATTAGACAATCTTTTAGTGGAACAGGGAGGAGTGTGTGCAGTTACTAATTCCTCTTGCTGTCCCTGAGTAAACACCTCAGGGGAAATAGAAGTTGACATTAAGAAGGTCTATGCCCAAGCCTCTTGGTTACACGGCTTTTAATCCACAGGGCCATAGTTCTGACTATTTGGGAAGCTATCAAATGGGCAATACCAATTACTTGGTAATATTCTGCCCCTAGTAGAACTACTAACTTTATTGTTTGTACTACTGTTGTTTGGTCCCTGGATCTTAAATCTCTTGGTAAAATTTGTATCTTCCAGATTAGAAAAATTACAACTGCAGCTTCCAACAATACCAGCCTTTGCAGCCTATCTTGGGAGACCTCAAAACACATTTAGATTTAGTGTCTAGAGATTTTCACTCCCCTAATATCTCTGGACACGGCATCCCTAATCAGCATGAAGTTACAGAAGAAGGACCTCTCAAGAATGAGGAGTGACATATCTCCAGGGAAGGAAATTTGTAGGCCAACAGGGAGGGAATCCAGGGAGTATAGGAATTTTGTCAATTCAAGCAGTCAGCCTGTTTTACAGCCTCTTGCCTTGAAGCCAGTTTTATCCCAAACCCTGTGTGAAATGTGGTCACCTAGTTGGTTGGAACCAGCTCCTGAAAGACCCTGACAACTTACAGATGAACCCCAGTGAACTTTCCTCATGACCAAGCTAAAGCCTGCACCTCAGGAGACCTGTAGATTCATTACCATAACATGCAACCTATGTGCTGGCACCATGACTCACTGCATCTGTGCCACTGGGAACCCTCCTCTACATGCGATGATGCACCCTCTCCCCTCTCCAACACCACATAAAGTCCTCCTGTCATTTTCTCTCAGGAAACATTGCTTTGGAGAACACTCCCAGTGCCCTCCTTACTTGTGAGAAGTAATAAAACTCCTTTGGTCAAAACCTGCATTCTCATGGAAAGTCATTTGTTACTTGCCAGGGGTATAAATCCTGGTTTGTTTTTGTTTTGATAACATCCAGACAATGTTCCAAACAATCATTCATTTGATCATTCCAAACACTCATTGGGAACATACAAAACACATTGTGATTTACAGTTAAAAGACTGCTTTCTTCATATATTCTCTCCCCTGAAAATACTTGCACTGGTGGTCTTTGCTGGGAGGGGCTGAAACAGAAGCTGCCCTCAGGGAAGAGGACTGACTGAATAGGCCGGAGTCTCACCTCCAGGAGGGAAGAGGGCGGAGCTTCCCAGGTTAGGTATGATCTAGGCCTAGGATGAAGCAATTCAAAAGTGAATCCCACCACAGTTAAGAACCAGGGGCAATGATGCAGGCTCCGCTTGGGCTTCCCGCACCTGTGCAAGAACAAAAACCAAACCAAAACAAAATAAGAGGCTCAAGGTCCTCCCACACACAGGGAGGTCTGATGGCTGCAGGAGTGGCTGCACGAGGTAGTGACTCTGTGGTTTGTAGCAGGTGCTCTCAGCCCCCACAGAACTGTGCAGTGTGGGAAGCCATCCTGAGCTCTGGGGCAGAACGGACACTGAGGGAGTCCCTGGGATTGTGAGGTTGATGCCTGGATTCTTCAGCCTGCACTCAGCCAAAGGTCTCCTGGCATAGGACAAGCAGGTAGACTGCAGTTGTGAGACTCTCCACAATATGTCCCCTTCCTGCCACCTTCTGTGCGTTGACATTGCCTTGGGAACATGCCCATGGCTGGTGGCCTGGGGGAATACTGTTATAATGTGAAAGCAAGTCCATAGATTTCTGGTTTAAAGGAACCCAGTGAAGATGCTAACAAGTTCTCCTGAGGAGGTGCGCCCTGGCTGGGAATGGGAGGAGCTGGCTGGCACCTGCCACCTGGGCCTCCCAGGACCAAATCTAACTGCCCTTGGAAGGTGTCTGGATGCCACAGCCTTGGGCCTAGAGAGAATCATGCTCATCATTCCTCATCAGACTCCATCTTGCCCTGGGTTCTTTGCAGACCCAGGTTTGAGACAACAATTTGTTTCTATTCTGAATAATAATGTCTCACAAGAGGTGGAAATAGTCACATTGTTTTAGAGTTTATGTAAAGAGGGGCTTAGAGGTATTAACCCTCTCATTTTACAGGTAAATTGGCCAAAAGTGCTTCATTACCTTGCCCAGCAAGAAAGGGAAGAACTATGAGTTGACCTCATGCACCATGGGTTCTTTTCCCAGTGTCCTCTTCATGGCAGGGAGCCCAGGGGGCAGGATCTGAAAGCTCTGAACCGTGCTTGAGGGCAGGGCCTGCTCTTGGATCCAGCCTCCCAGGAAGCCTTCTCGGTGGATGACTGGCCCTTGCCAATCTTTGTACTGGGGTTTGCTGAACTTAGAGTGAGGCTGTTGAAAACCTTCCTCCATTACTTTGGGCCTTAGCTATAATTCCAGGCCACATGAAAAAAAAAAAAAAAATCCTGTTACATTCTGATCCAGTTACTGGGTTAAATGCTTTATCTCATTCATTGACTCATCTTTTTCACAAGTTGTCCTTTATGTTGTAAGTGTTGGTTTCACGTGTAATGATAAATGGTCTGAGGCTTTAATCCCAAAACCGAGTGTGGGTGGAGGAAGATCCATCAGCCAAGGCTAGTGGCCTTTCTCCCCAGCCTACACAGAGAGTCCCTGGGGGAGCTGGACTGGGGCTGAAAGGAGGCTCTGGACCCAAGACACCTCTCCTGCTGCAGTCTCTGGGTGCACCCGGTGGGCATCTAACCAGACACCGTCTCCTCAAAGCCCACAACAGTGCTCCCACTACAGCACATTGTGTTTCTAAAGATACAGGCTACATTTCCTTCTAAGAGCCCATTTCCCTCAACTGATGCATTTAGACACCTCGGTGGAGACAATGCATAGCTCCTTGCATCTCTCCAGATGGGAAAGAATTGTTTACTATGAGTTAATCTAAAGTTTTTATTTTCTAAAAGTATAAAAACACATACAAAAAGGGACTTATTCTTGAGAAATGATCATATCATTGTAACACACAGGCCATTGGACAAGGCCACTATGCAGAAAGTATTGCTCCCAAACCATTAGGAATTTTAATCACCACTTTGTTCCAGACTCTTTAGAAGTTACTATTTCTAAAATACACATGGACAAAGAATAAGCTTTATTCAACCAGACTCACAAAAGTAAGGATTCTGCTTCTCTAGGTTCATAAAATAGAATTCCAAGGCTCTGAGGAAAATAAACTTGTGTCAGTCCCAGGGAACTTTTCTCCCCAGAAGTTGATTGGTCACTCTCTGTAGAAGAAAAGAAAGGCAGGAAAGAAGTTAGATATTACTGCCATCAGAGGCAGATGCCTCTCCTCCCTGCATCCATGTCACCAAGGAGAATCAGTGTGGTCCTATTCAAATCTTGTTCATTTTACTCTGCTTCAGAAACTATGGTCGTCATATAAAAAATACTTCACGAAAGGTTCAGGAAAGAGGATCTGTAATCAATATCTATTATTTCTATAGAGACACAGATAATCCATCAGTTCCCACATACAGTAGCATAAGGAGAGGCCTGGCCCTGCGATGCTGACACACCAGACAGGTGGTGTGGTGCCTGGGGCCTCCACCTGAGGCACCCGCCTGGGTTCTGGGGCCTGCTCCAGAAGCAGCTCCCATCCCACATCAGTCTGGTGACTGACAGGGTGAGAAGGAAACAACTACAGTGAAGTATATGGCCCTTCAGGCATAGGAGCCGGTCTGGTTTCTCAGAGAATTAACTGGTAACACCAACCCTGCCCCGTGAGGTTCTTGGACTTGCAGCAACGCTGACTCTACTGGGACAATGGGCAGGGCATGGTGACAAGTTGGAGGCCTCTGACCATCCAAGTGGACAACTCTTATGCCGCAGTTACACATTTTCCAGTTTAACAGTTCTAAAGGTATCTGACTCACCAATGAGGGGCATGAAATCACCACCTGGGACTCTGGAATGGAAACCTGATAATTCTGGTATTTCTACCATGATATGTCAATGAACTCCTGTGTGTGAAATTTGGTTTCACTGCAAACGAATGCATGGAAAGGGCCTTACACCATTATGGATGGGGAGTTAAACCTGATTTGAAGTCTAATTACAGATGCCTTCTTCCAAATTTCAACACTGGTCCAGTGCATTCTAAGTTCATTCCTCAAATGCGGTTCATTCTGACTTCACACTCAACAGGCAACGTGTTTTCTCCATTTCTCTTTCCGCCAATAAACCTGATCCATCCCACTCTAGACAGAGGACCCACTGACCTTTTTATATAGCTGGGCTCGCAGCCGGTATGACTTATATTCTGATTTTCTCTTCTCTTCTTCTCTCTTTTTCTGTACTTCTGGAAGCTGCTCATAAATCCTTAGAAATGGCACCAGTGAAAGGACAGAAATCGGGGAGGTTACCAGGGTGCAGAGTCATGAGATCTCCTCTCATCATCCCTCCCTATACCTCCCACTCTCCAGGAGCTCATCCCTCTCAGAAAGGCCCTGGGCCCCGTTAGATACTCCAGCACAGAAAACCCTAGCCCGGGGCTCACAATCTGGAAGGGGAGATAAATACAAACACAATAAAATCCTAATAGTGCTTACATGTGGAAAGAAGTGGGATAAAGGGGGGAAAGGAGTGAGATAAATGAAGGAGAGCTGAACTTCTACTTTCTGCTCTACATGCAAAAATGGACTGTTTCAATATAAGATAATGAACAGCGTTACTATTGTGTTTGGAAACACAAGTGAAATTATGGAAAAGTACTAAAATGGTCACACCTATAAAATGTTCTAGAGGAGAAGAAACTTGGTCTGGTGGAAGGAGGTTCGGAAAGGCTCCAGAGAGGAAATTATAGGTAAGTTGGGTCTTAAGAATAGATAGGAGCGCTGGGTGCAGTGGCTGAAGCCTGTAAACCCAGCACTTTGGGAGGCTGAGGTGGGTGGATCACGAGGTCAGGAGTTCAAGAGCAGCCTGGCCAAGATGGTGAAAGCCCGTCTCTACTAAAACCACACACACCAAAAAAAAAAAAAAAAAATTAGGTGGGCATGGTGGCAGATGCCTGTAATCTCAGCTACTCAGGAGGCTGAGGCAGGAGAATCGCTTGAACCTGGGTGGCAGAGGTTGCACTGAGCCAAGATCAAGCCACTGCTGCACTACAGCTGGGTGATAAAGTGAGACTCCATCTCAAAAATAATAATAATAATAAAAAAATAATAATGATGGATAAGAGCAGAAAGGGAATGGGGAGAAGGACAGAAGACACTCAAGGTGGGGAAAATGAGTGTTGGTAAAAATGGACTCGAGGCTTCCCAAAAAGGAGCGTAAAGGAATAGGTGGGAAACAGATGGGGGTGAGGGTGAGGTGGGCTGCAGAGAGGATCTTGTGGCCATGTGAAAAACATGGGATCTGTTCTAGCAGGGGTTGGGTGGCAATGATTTTAAGTTGGGAGAAACACAAATGTGCATTTGATAAATGCACTCTCATTGTAAATACGTTTCCAACAAAACAACAGTTAAATAGATTATGAAGTATAATGGAATGTATATGTTACAAGTATGTTTCATGTATACCAAACAAAAGTTTCAGAATTTTTAGTGTCATAGGAAAGGTTCACAACATAATGTTGAATAAAATAAAGCAAGACACAAACCTGTATATGCAGTATGATTAACAATTTGAGGGAAAAAAGTGTGTGTTATGCAGGTCTCTGCAAAATTCCCACGCCTCCCACCAAAAATTCCCATCCTCCATTAGATGGAAGGATGATAAGTGATATTCATTTTCTTTTTTCTACTTTTCTCTATATTTCCTAAAGTTTTCTATAATCTGGAAAAAAAATCACTAGATTCATGGAGGGCTCTGCGGGAAACACATTAGAGAAGGTGAAGGTGTCTCCTGAAGGCCACTCTGGAACAAGTGCTTCCAAATAAAAGAGCTATGTTCTTTCCTCTTGAAATCTTTCCTTCTCACGGGAACCTTTAAATATCTTTGGTAGAGATAGGTGATAACAAAAGATGAGTAACACAGGCTCCAGAGACACAAATCCTTAATAGGACACAATTGAAGGCCAAACACCAGGCTCTAACTCCAGCTGTGACCCTAACTTGCTGGGTTACTTCCCCTCTCTGGGTTGTAGTTTCCTAAATATTAAGAGTTACTAGATGATATTGAAGATTCTCAGATGGAAACAGATCACTCCCTTGAAAAGAGGCCACACAAGAAATAAACATGAACAGAAGCAACCTAATGAAAATGTACCAGTTTAAAAACAGTTTAAAAAGTCTCTCCAGAAGATGGGCACTAAATCCACTCATATATTTCTCGTCGAAAGCATTGATACATTTTAGGAGATGTCCTGGCTGTCTTCCTGTAGGCAAGCTTCCTAGTCCCTTACAGCAGGGACTGCTCTTGCTGAGGTGAGAGTATTAGTAGCTGCCCCACAACAAACCCTGTATGATTTCCCCTAATTCCATTTTGTGACTGAGTTAGAATGAAGCAGTGGTTCAAAAATATTTTAGACTTAGGGCCCCCTTCACACTCCCAAATGCTGAAGATCCCAATGTAGGTTTTATCTATTGATACTGTATCAAAAATTAAAATTAAAAATTAAGCAAAACTTTATTTTTTTATTCACTTGAAATAACAATAAGCCTGTGACAGGCTAACATAAGAAACCTGTATTTTTAATGGGAAATAAAGACTTTTTGAAAACAAAAAAATGTTAGTGAGAAGAGTGGCACTGTTTACATTTTTTAGAAAACTCTTTAATGTCTGGTTTAATGGAAGACAGCTGGACTTGTATCTGCTTCTGTATTAAGTCTGCTGTCCCAACCTGCTCTGGTTAAAGTATACATTAAAAAATCCAGCTTACATATAGATTTTCCACGTACTTGGAAACGAGAGAAGTTACTGCAATACTCTTTTCAGGTAACTCTTGATCTTCTTTGATACTACACCCAAACTTGATAAGTGATAGTTTCTTTTCTTTCTTTTTTTTTTTTTGAGACAGAGTTTCGCACTTGTTGCCCAGGCTGGTGTGCAGTGGCGCGATCTTGGCTCACTGCAACCTCTGCCTCCCAGGCTCAGGCAATTCTCCTGCCTCAGCCTCCAGAGTAGCTGGGATTACAGGTACCCACCACCATGCCCAGCTAATTTTTGTAGTTTTAGTAGAGAAGTCTTTCACCATGTTGGCCAGGCTTGAACTCCTGACCTCAAGTGATCTGCCCACCTTGGACTCCCAAAGTGTTGGGATTATAGGCGTGAGCCACTGTGCCTGGCTGACAAGTGGTAGCTTCTTAAAAATTAGTTGCAAGGTGGAATCTGAAAACATGTCATAAACTTTTCCTATTCTGTTACATAAAAATCCATCAGTCTATCTTTCATTATTTGAATGAATCTTCTATCTATTCCCTGATTTTGTAACAAAAAGCAACAATCATTTGGAAAATCCTGGTCCAGGGAGTTGTGCAGATCTTCCAAATGTTGACAAATGTATTTAGATAACATGAAAAACATCACATTTGTTAATGCCACCGCTTATCTCGTCAGAAAGGTCTAAGTACTAAGAGGTCATCAAGCCCATGGAGGTGAATACAAGTTTTCTAGATTTCTATTGTTGGCTTGAAAACTCACATTTTCTTTGGCAACAGATACTGTCAGACATTTTCCTGAAGTCACAGACCCACTTCTTCATTTTCAAGAAAATGTCTGCTACAAACACAAGTCAGAATAATTGGTTTTCTGTCAGTTACTCTTTCAAGTAAAAGTCATGTTCCATGAAAAAGGCAGCTGGTTCAGCTCACGACACAAACCATGGCATAAGTGCTTTTCCTTAAAACAGTCATCATCCTTCACGGTGCAAAGGAAGTGCTTCCCGTGTACCTCCATTTACACTGCTTCCTTGTTCTTCCATCACACTCCTGGCGGGAGGCTGTGCAGGATACAATGCCTACTAGACTACTACAGTTTGGTGCCACTGTCTTGAATAGTGGTAAGACACCAGTGATTTTACTCCTCCCCATTTCTCTTGCATCATCAGTGCAAATAGCCAACACAGCAAAAAAGGCACAGAACATCCTGGTGTCATTCTGAAATTAGTTTTGAGCTTGCAAATTGCCTGAAAGGGTCTCAGCAACTTCCAGGACTCCACAGACCACTCTCTGAGAACCACTGGACTAAAGCATCCAAAGCATCCCTTTGGATTGCCTATAAGGGCTGACTAGATAGAGTAAAAACAAGATTTCAAGAGGAATGCTTAAAGTTCATGAGATAAATTATTTTAAAGTACCATTACTTCAGAAGCATTATGCCAACTAAGAAACTATTCTTATTAAAGCAAGTGTCCAATGAATGCCTAAAAAAGTCAACCTTATTCTCTGGCATTCTCATGATCAATATATGAATATCTGAAATGAATTAATTTTTAAAAATTGTATTTATTATTTTTTGAATACAGAGTTTCAGTCTGTTACCCAGGCCGGAGCGTAATGGTGTGATCACAGCTCACTGCAGTCTCAAATTCCTGGGCTTAAGAGATTCTCTCACCTAAGACTCCTGAGTAGGTAGGATTACAGAAATGTACCACCACATTCAACACTCAAATGAATTAATTAACGAGTAGCTAATGTTCGTTCATCATGGCACAAAATTCAAAAATTATAAAAAGTCAAAAAATCTACTGTTATCCTTTCCAAAGGCAATCAGTATTACCAGTTTTTTCTGTCTTCCAGAAATATTCTATGCATATAAAAGTACACACATCTACATAGGCACAAATACTTATTTTTAAAGACCACAAATGGAAACAGTGTTCACATGCTTCGAAATTTTAATCTTTTAAAAAAGTTTAACTTACTGTGTTCTGGAGAACACTGTTCTTTCTCACCCTATGGGATCAATTCCTAGAAATGGGATTGCTAGAATAAAAGATGTGGTCTAAATACATATTTAATTTTATTTCAAAATAATCTTTTTTTTTAATTTTTTTGAGATGGAGTCTCGTTCTGTCGCCCAGACTGGAGTACAGTGGCACCATCTAAGCTCACTGCAACCTCTGCCTCCCAGGTTCAAGAGATCCTCCCGGCTCAGCCTACTGAGTAGCTGGGATTACAGGCGTGTGCCTCCACACCCAGCTAATTTTTGTATTTTGAGTAGAGATGGAGTTTCACCATGTTGGCCAGGCTGGTCTCGAACTCCTAACCTCATGTGATCTGCACACCTCGGCCTCCCTAAGTGCTGGGATTACAGGCATGAGCCACCGTACCTGGCCTAAAATATTCTTTATTTACATTTAGGTTTCTAATAAAGAGGAGCCTAAGACATGCAAATTAGTGAGAAGTTTTTCATCTTTTGCATATGAGTCATTCATACCATGATGTGCTTTTTTTTTTTTCAGTGCCATAAGTGAGAAATGACTCTCACAACTTTCTCATAATGTTTAAACTTGAGTATAATACATTTATTCTGGGTGCAAGCCAGAGCTCCCGACCACTTGGTGGCCTGGTTTACACTTGTATACGTACTCTTGTTTTCTTGGTCTTACCGTTTGGACCTCTGAATCATTTCCTTCTTGCTGATAGGCTTGTTCTTCTGGATAGCCAGGAAGACTAGGCAAGAGAAGAAAGGGTTTTCAGTGGACAGTGACTTAACCCAGAGGGTGTGGTGCAAGAGCTGGGAGAGGGAGCTGCTAGGACTTGGTGCCCCTACCCTGAGCTGGCAAGACTGAGTGGGGAGCAATGACCAAGGCAAGCCAGTGTAAGACTAGGGTAACAGGGACAGCAGCCTAAGGCCCTAAGGACCTAACACTCTGTAGCAAAGACTAGGCTTTGAATTAAAAATCTGGCCGGTTTCTAAAGTTGGATAAAAGAATTAGGTAGTGCTTTGTAGTTTTCACAGCTTTCATTATTTTATCAAGATCTGCTTATCATAATTGTTAAGAATGCAGACTCCAGAGGAGCACACCTGGGTTCAAATCTTAGCTTTTACTTACTAGGTATGTCATCTTGGGAGAGGTACTTAATCTCCCTTTGATTCAGTTTTCTCACTATAAAGTAGATATATTAATAGTACCTACTGAGAGTGCTGTAAGCGCTAATGTGAACAGTGCCTGGGCAAGATGTAAGGACTATGTGTTTATTATTATTATTATTACCATCCTAAGAGGTAGGCAAGCCTGGAATCAGCCCCATCTTTTCAGGAAAAATCAATATACTTTTGGAACTAACTTGCTCACAGACACAGAGCTGGTTTACGATGCAGTGACAGGGCTTAGAGTAACTGGGCTTACTTGGATCATGAATGTGCTGACGGCTAAGTTGGGGAGATTCTGCTAGCTAAGAAGGTTTGAGTCTTGGCAAGCAAAAGGTCACTGTCTGCCCAGGTAACTGGCCTGGGCTGGCCTTTAGCAGGGCTCTGCAGCAGAGCAGCAGACCTTGCCTTCTCTATTCCACTCACAGGAAAGTGAACGGGCAGGGCGTACCTCTCTTGGGCAGCGGGCACATGCGATTCTGGTGGCCCTGCCGTTCCCTGTCAATGTTGAATAGTGCATCCCGCTCGGTCTGTAACATGCTCTGCAGCTTCCTCTCCTGGACTATTAACTTCAGGCGCTTTATCCGCTCCCCAGAGCGGGAGATGAAGTCAGGTCTGTGAAACTGAAGCGATTCCTAAAAGAAAAAAAAAAGAGAAAATGCCCAGCCTCAGATTAATGATGCAATCTACTCTCCATATGCCTGGAGACACACCACCTGCCCAAGAGGTTTGGGGAAGTCTGATTCAAATGCCGAGAAAGTATCTAGCGTTGAAGAATCCTCTGACATCTCTCTATGGGGGAGAGCTGCAGCTTGGAAACCGCAGGGATCAAAGACATGCCTTCAGCATAGGCCAGGAACTAAGACTATGGCGATTACAACTCTTTGAAATGTCAGTGCAATACAGCTCTTCCCACAGTGCTATTTTAAAGATCTATTCAGACAAATACATCATTAATAACATTTCCTTTATCCCCCAAGGGACACATCAGAAGAGACCTGGTTTCCTTTAAATCCGACATGGAGCAGAAACAGGAGCTACGGACATGGAGGAACACACATGAGGCCGCACAAGCGTCAGGCCTCCGGGCCCTCCACACACAGGGACCCACAGGCCCAATAAGCAGAGATGCAAATCCTCCCTCCTGCGGCCTTGTCCCCAGATCCCGACGGTGATGCACCATCTATGGTTAGGAGTAAGGCAGCCTTTGACAGATGATGAGAAACCCAACCCTCGTGCGTGAAAACAGGTGAACTGCGGAGGTGCTGGAAAAGAGCGTCTCAGGCCTACACCTCAGCTCACCAAGTCACAGAGCCAGCTTCTCTGCGCCTTGCCCTTCTTCTCCCTACACGTAGCATTAAAGTTAAGTCAACGTCACTGCACCTGAAGGGTTGCTCTCACAAATGGCCTCAGTAGGTCTCTGCCAGCCTCTCTGCCTGGGCCTGCCAGGTAGCCCCGACCGTCCAGGTGCTGCCCCTGACAGTTCTGCTCCCGCAGTGGCTCCCTCCAGGGTCTGGTCTTGGTTATTGGTTCAAACCAGGAGATGCCAGGGCCACAAGTGTTAGGCACGTTTTCCTTCTTTGATCTAGACTCCACATTTTCCACAGGAACAAACCAGGAAACTCCTACAGGAAACAGTTTTTAGAAGGAACACAGATTTTTCACTTTTTTACAGCCCCACCCAGCTCTTATCCAGGATATGCATATAATACAGGTTCTCAGGGGTCTCAGCTGTCAGAGGCCACAGGGTGCCCTTGAGTCTGGTTTTGCTGCAGGGATGACTGTGTAACTGCCATGCTGGACTCTGAAAACCTGACAAGGTTGTGGCTGGGGGTAGGTGGGGACCACATAGAGTCACTTGGAAACACAGAGTCAGCATCGCAGGGGACTTGAAATTCACTAGTTTCTCTACTACAAGATCTGGAATGAGAAACTGACCTTCATGGGAATTCTTCTTGTTCTTTTTTAACTTTCTGTCCTCAGGATAACCGGTAAAGAGCATTTTCTCTTCACGTTTTTCTTCTGACCAAGAAGTCACATCACTGTTCTCTTCCAATTTAGCCTCGCTGGAACTTGGAGTTGGGAAAGTTATCCCAACATCTCGAGTGTGTTTTTTGGCACCGTTCACAATCTCCAAGTTACCTGAGGGGAAGGATCATAGGTGTCTCTGGGAGTAACCTTGAGGCTGAGTTGACAGATTTATTCAAGTGAGTACGTGAACCCTTTTTAATGTTTCAAAAATACAATCCCTTTGTGTGGGATGGAGGGATGCGAAGAGAGAGGAAGAGAAAGAAGGACAGGGGAGAGTAGGAGGGAAAAAGAGGGCAAAGAAAAAAGAAAGGGTTTTATTTGTAACTCATTTTAGGTATGAGAGGGAAAGAAGAATGAATATGGGTTCAAAGGGTAAAGGATTTCAACTCTGATCCCAAGTTAGAAAGACAATAAATACTTAAGAGTCCTTTTGGTAGTCACGCAGGTAAGGAAGAGGCTGACAGAAGACAGGATTTGAGGGGAAGAAACAAATCAAGATGAAAGTTTATTTATTTTTATTTTATGAAACCAAAAGGTATAGAAAGGCAATAGCTAAAAATCCTCCTTCCCACTTCTGGTCTCCATTTATTCTGTTCACAACCCCATATGGTTCCAGAGAATTCGTTTTGCACATTTAAGCAATTCTCTTCCCTCCTTTCTTTCTTTTATTAAAAAAAATTCATATTGTAGTATGCTATACACTGTTCTGTACCTTTTCTTAAAATCAATTACATGCCTTGGAAATCTTTCCATGTTAGTACAGAGAGAGCTTCCTCATTCTATGTAGAATTTCATTCATTATCTAGACATACAATAATTTATGTAATCATTCAGCTACTGAGGAACACCTAAATTCACTTTAATCTCCTGCTATAAACAATGTTTTAGTGGTTAATTTTGTACACTATTTTGCACATATGCAAGTATATCTATAGGTTAAATTCCACATATTCATAGTATATCTATAGCAGACATTTCAAAAGTAAAAATGCTGAGTGAAAGTAATTTTGATAGGAACTTTCAAATTGCCTTTCACAGTGAATCAACTTCTACTCCCACTGAAATATACAAGGGAACCCGCTTCCCTACACTCTTGCCCACAAACTTGCCATCAAACTTGAATTTATGCCAATCTGACAAGATGAAAATTGGCAGTTGGATATAGTTTTATCTTCATGTCCTTTATTATGATTGAGGTTGAGTATCTTACATGTTTAAGAGCCATTTCAATGTATTTCAATGAAAAAGTTTAGATTCAAGTAATTACCTGCTTGTATGCCCTTGTTTAACATGTGTACATTCTGCTTGTTGCAAAAAGTAGAGTTTGAGCTCAGGAAACTACTGGCAGAAGAGGAAATAGAGTCAGAAGAAATCACATGGTTTGCTACCTAGAAAAATAAAAGAGATCTTGTTATTATTACCTGCAGTCAATGTCACAGTTATCCACAGGATAAGCAAGCCAACAAGTCCTCTTTCTAATCCAATTCAAACTGTTGAGATGCATTTGGAGGAAGCTTGAGATACTGTGAACTTGCTGCCTTGTATCTGTGATAGGGAGAATGTTGTAGGTGGATAGGACTTAAGCTGTTATAAGGTGGTAAGACAAAAAAAAGCCTGGCTATTTTCACTGGGCTTGGAAAAACTCTGAAGAGAATGCTAGCCAAACATTAGTCTGATGCATCTTCAGAATGAAATTCTGAAGTGACACCTGCACATAATTTTCATGTGAGATAAAGAGGCCTGGAGATAGCTAAAAAGAGTGATGAACTGAAGAGAGCGCTCTCCAATTAAGAGCTGACTCAAACACGTATACTAAGACAAACACCAAAGACCTACAAGGCTCGTGAGACGTCCTGATGAGTAGAGCATTGCAAAAAGTATTAGAGAGTCCCAAAGGCCTTTTAAATTACGTTCAGAGCAAGTAGAGCAATGAAGGCAATTTCAGGGATTGCAGCTGATGGTGGAATGTCGGTGGATGACAAAATGATTAACAAGATATAGCTGAACAAATACTATAGTGTAAAATAGTGCTTCTTAAACTTGTTCATTGTTAATATCTCCATCGTTAATAAGGACAGAGGGAGGCTAACCCAGAATAATGAATTGGAATCTCTAGGGGAGGGGTCTGGTAATCTATATTTTGAATAAATGTTAGGGAATTTTCTACTTAGGCAGGTCTGGTGGAGGTAAATTAAAGCCAGGGTAAGGATAGGAAACTGAGCATATCTGATCCCTTGAACTAGATAAACCATATTCCAGAGTCACAAAGAAACTTGTAACAGAATTTTGGGGAGGAAGATCTATGTTAGACACTTGAAGAAAGGAAATACTTTGATTTTCGGAAAGGTAGGCATTGCAAACTAGTGGGCTGAACACTGATGACATGTAAAATTTAGGATGCATCACGAATCAGATAATTTGCAAGGAACTGGTGAAAAAAAAGATGAGCAGATTTAAGCCAGGCTCAGTCAGGCAGGCAGAGCATGCCCTGCCAGGTTAGCCTTGTTTTCTCTAGTACATAAGGTCACTTTACTGGCTAACCAAAAGAATACATAGCATACCATACCTAGATTTGAACAAAATGCCAAAACATTTAATAGCATCTTTGAGGGCAAGATGGAGTTATATGGGTTGGATGATAATACAAGTTGATAGAATCATAACTGATTGAACCAACCTTATCCAAATATAATTTCAAAACAGATGTCTTTACTGAGTGGTACATCTTGCATTTGACAACAAATATTTACTAAGCAATTACTGTGTGCAATCACTGGGTTTGGTGCTGGCTATTCCTTCTTAAGATTTTAGACATAAATGTCTTAGATATGGAAAGCAGGAGAATTTACATACAATACTCATCAGAGAGAGGGCCTCTGTCAGGATCCCAAATAATAACAGGAATGATGGGCTAAATCAGAGCATGTTTAGTAGGGGCAATTGTAAAGTCCTGCTCATTAGGCAGGAGGAATGGCAGCAACTTTGATGCAGGGAAAAAAAAAAAAAAGCTCTGTGTCAGGATTCCAAACAGCTAGGCCAGTTTCAGGTCTTCCCTTTATTAGCGGTCTCTATTTAGGCAAGCCATAACCTCTTTGTGTCAGTTTCCCCATCTAGAAAAGGAAACGAAATCTGCATTTTAGAAATAACAGATGATTTAGATGGTAAAATATAAAACACTGATATAAAACTAGAGACTAAAATGATGTTAAAAAATATATTTTTATTTTCTCCTTAAAAAAGGGAACATAAAAAAGAAGTGACTGATATGAAATACATTATACCTTCTCTGCAGCTATAAAAAAGGGGAAGAAAGCATGTTAGGTACTAAAAAAGTATATGTAGGTGTTTGCTTTTTTATTTATAAAATGTCTCTGAAAGAAAAGAATCCAGATTGAAAGGAAGAGGTAAAACTGGTTTTATTTACAAATGACATGATTTTCTTTGTAGAAAATACTAAGGAATCCTCAAAGAACTAGAACTAATAACCAAGGTTACCCAGGTTGCAGAATATAAGATCAATAAGATAAAAAAATCAATTGTATATCTACATTCTAGCAAGTGACAACCTGAAAATAAAATTAAGAAAACTATCTCACTCACAATAGCATCAAAAAGAATAAAATATTTAGGAATAAAGTTAACAAAAGAAGTGCAAGGTTTGCACATTAAAAACTAGAAAACATTGCTGGGAGACATCAGAAGTCAATATAAATGGTGAGACACTCACCATACATGGATTGGAAGTCTCAAAATTGTTAGGATGGCAATAATCCCCAAATTAATCTGTTGATTCTACACAATCTCTATCAAAATTCCAGCAAGCATTTTTCAAGAAATCTACAAAATGATCTCAACTTTATATAGAAATGGCAAGGACCACAAGGGCCAAAGTTACTGAAAAAAAAAAAAGAAAAAAAAAAAAAAAAAAGAGGTAGAGGGCTTATATTTCCTGATTTCAAATCTTATAAAGTTACAGCAATCAAGGCATTGTGGCATTGATATAAGGACAGATCTAGATTGGCCAGGCACAGTGACTCATGCATGTAATCCCAGCACTTTGGGAGGCCAAGGCAGGCAGATGACAAACTCAGGAGTTCGAGACCAGCCTGGCCAATATGGTGAAACCCGGTCTCTACTAAAAATACAAAAATTAGCTGGGTGTGGTGGCACGCACCTGTAGTTCCAGCTACTCGGAAGGCTGAAGCAGAAGAATCGCTTGAACCCAGGAGGCAAAGGTTGCAGTGTGCCGAGATTGTGCCACTGCACTCCCGCCTTGATGACAGAGTGAGACTCCGTCTTAAGAAAAAAAAAAAAAAAAAGATACAGACATATCAATGGAACAGAATGAAAATTCCAAATGAAGCCTTACATATGTGATCAATTAGTGTTCAACAAAAGGGCCAAAGCAACTAATTGGAGAAAATAATACTCTTTTGAACAAATGATGCTGGGACAATTAAATATCCCTATGCAAAGAGATGAAGTTAGACAACACACCGTACACAAAAAATGCACTAAAAATGGATTTCAGACCTAAACATAATAATTAAAACAATAAACTTTTAATGAAAAACATAGGAGAATATCTCTATGACTTTGGTTAGGCAAACAGTTCTTGAATATAACACCCCAAGTACAATCCACAATCCATAAAAGACAAACAGTTTAAATGGGACTTCATCATTACTGTATTAAAACCATTTGCAATTCAAAAGCCACAGCCTGGGAGAAGTTACTTACAAAAAATACATCTGATAAAGGACTTGTAACCAGAGTATATAGAGAGCTCTTTCAACTCAGTAGGAAGATAACCTAATTTTAAAATGGGCAAAAAGATTTAAAAAGACACTTCATCAAAGAAGATGTAAGAGTGGCCAATAAGCACACAAAATGTTCAACATCATCAGTCATTAGGGAAATTCAAATTAAACTCACAATAAGATACCACTTCACACCCACTAGAATGGCTATAAATAAAAAGGTGGACAATAGCAAGTGTTGACAAGGAAGTGGAGAAACCGAAACCCTCACACATTGCAGGCGAGAATGTAAAATGATACAGCCACTCTGGAAAACACTTAGGCAATTTCTGATAAAGTTAAACATAAACCTATCATATGACCTACCAATTTCACTCCTGAGTAAAAACCCAGAAGAAATGAAAATGTATGCCCACACAAAACTTTTACAGAAGTATTAATAGCAGCATTCACATCCAAAAAAATCAAACAATCCAAATGTCCATCAACTGAAAGATAAGCAAAATGTGGTATATCCATAAAATGGAACACTATTCAGCAACAAAAAGGAACCACTGATGCATACTACAGCACGGATGAACCTTGAAATCATGATGTTAACAAAAAAAGGCAGATGCAAAAGACCACATCTGATGCTATATACATAAAATCTCCAGAAGAGACAGAAGGCAGATGAGAGGTTGCCTGGGGCTGGGAACAAGGATTGACTGCAAAGAGGTACAAGGGCACCTTTTGGTAACGACAGAAATGTTCTAAAACTGGATTTTGGTGATGATTGCAAAACTCTGTAAATTTACTAAAAGTTAACTGTACACTTAAAATGGATGAAATTTTATTGTATACCTCTGCGAAGGAGGGCTGGGTGCTGGGGAACAGGAGTAGGAAGGACACTCTTGATCAAATATTTTGTATCATGTGGTTGTACTGTATTACCAGTTCAAGAAATGAGAATAAACAAAAACTTGTGGGGAAGGGTGTGGCAGAAAAGATTTAAGGAGTTCAAAAGGAATAACATACGTTAGGCCACAGACATGGTCCAGTCACTGAATGGAAGGTGGTAAGTTGTGTTGGTCAATACGCTCTCACTACCTGAAGCACAACAAGCTTAGCTGAGAGGGACATATTTAAAAACAAGATACCAACAAACTTATACCCAGGAAAGCTGCCAAACTCAGAAAGGAGAGTAGATACCACAGCCCATGTGGAACGGTTCATGGAGTGAAGACCTGAGAAAAAACACATCAGGAAAGGAGGTGGGGGTCCGAGAGGCAGAGGGCTAGGTCTGTTTCCTGTGCCTTCAGAGAGCAGCTCTGGGAGCAGAGCCAGGTATTCCAATGCAAGGAGATATTGGATTTAAGTTAAAGCCTTTGATAACTGAAGCCTTAGGCAAATGGAACTGGCTGCCCCATAAGTAGCACGTGAGAGGTGGAGCTATTAGAGGGTGGCCTGTCATTTGGTGCAGATGCAGCAGAAGTGTTGATGGGAGTGGGTAGGATTCACAGGACTCCAGTGGTCCCTTCCAAGTCTGAGGTTCTGTGAACATCCTGCACTTCCAAAGGACACAAGTAGTCATGGTGTGCACCACAGGGTGTGAAAAAACACACAATTACACTGGATTATATGAGGAGCCTTGGAATGTTTCCGTTTTCATTTCAAATTCTTTTTCATTTAGTAATGCTTGCCTATAAAAAGGTAAACATTTAAAAATAGAAAAGTCTAAGAATAAATTCTCTCTCAACCCAATATAATTATCCAGCCCAGTAGGAAGATGACAATCAAAGACAGAGACAAAAACAACTGTTCACTAGGATGTGGAAAAATTGGAACCCTCACATACTGCTGGTGGGAATGTAAAATGGTGCAGTCATTTTGGAAAAGTCTGGCAGTTCCTCAAATGGTTAAACATAGAGTTGTCATATGATTAATTCCACTCCTAGGTATATACCCAAGAGAAATGAAAACATATGCCCTCAAAAAAACTTCTACATGAATATTCATAGCAGTTTTGTTCATAATAGACAAAAAACAGAAACAACACAAATGTCCATGAACTGATGAATAGATACAATGTGGTATATTCATAGAATGGAATGTCCTTTGGCCATTAAAAGGAATGAGCACATGCTATGAGGTGTACGAACCTTGAAAATACTATGTTAAGTGAATGAAGTCAGTCACGAAAGACTGTGATTCCATTTATATGAAAGGTCCAGAATAGGCAAATCCATAGAAACAGAAAGTCATTAGTGGTTGCCTGCAGGCTGTGGCAGAGGTGGGAGGCTGGGGAAATGAAGATTGATTGTTAATGTTTACAGGATTTTTTTGGAGGGTGTTTAAAATATTCTAAAATCAGAATACGGTGATGGTTGCACAATTCTGTGACTAAATCAAGACCCATTAAACTGTACACTTTAAACAGGTAAAGTTTACGGCATGGAAAATATGTCAAGAAAGGCATAAAATGCACTTATTTATTGTATGCCAACTGAAAAAAATGTGGACTATGAAGTCTTGTTTGGAGAAAAAAGGTTATACTCTATAGTTCTGCATCTCCTATGTTACCGAAATCAGAAAAAGATCAACCTTGGAAAGTGATAAACAGTGTTGCCTTCATGTAATAAACAACAAACAATCCTAAAAAAAGGTGGGCACTGGATGCTATAGGAGTGATGGAGCACTACTCTAAAGCTGGGCCAAGCACAAACTGTCAGAACCGTGCCATGTGATGTTGAATCCATCCACGGATTCACAATAATCACAATGCACACATCTGCACTCATGTCCCACAATTTGTGCTGAGGACCCATCATGGGATGGAACTTTTTTTTTTTTTTTTTCCTGAATCCATTTATATATGCGGTCAGTAAACCAAAACAGTTCACTTTCCTTAGTCCGTGGGAGAGTCCCACGCATCTCTAATGATCTCCTCATCCCTCAGGCTTGGGTGTGGAGTAGCCCACTGAGTCCTCTGCAATGGAGCTGACACATAAAGATTTAGGTGACTATATATTAAATGGCATTATCAGCCACCATGGGTTAGGCTTTCTCTTGTACACAATCTTGGAAGGAAATATATGCTGGCTGGCTGCTTCTGTTTTAATTTCCACTATGAGAGCAAACTCACCTGTTGCTGTCTTATACAAGAGTAACAATGGAAAGTAAATGTACCATCTCAGAGATGTTTCAGGGTTTTTGTAGTACTCTTTAGCTTAAGAACTAAATGAGACTCATTCCCGTATTTATTAAAGACATGAGACAGACCTAGAAATAAAAGCTTTTCAATTAAAAAATTACTTGTTAGGTGGAAACTGATCTTAGAAAAACATATCCAACATAGGAAAAGGGCCATGTTTTCTGATATGACCCTACACTGCTATTCTTCAGGCAGGAGGATTGGTACTGCTGGCCTTCAGCTAGCCAGGTGCCTGCTGGGAGATGCTTTTCCTTTAGAGGCATGGGTTTACGCTAATTCATTTATAATCACTCAGGCTTAGGACCAGAGACACACATTGATAAAACAGTCAGAGTCAAAATGAGAAATATAGTCTATGGCACCAAAAGACTGTCTTTTCTTGTGAAAAGTTTATAGAACTGTGTCAATCAAACAGCAAGTATATTTTCAATAAAATTTACTCATCACCAAGGGGTGACACAATGACCAAGTGTCTGTCCAAAAAATAATGCTGTGACATACATTTAATTCCTAGTGAAAAAAGGTTGCAGAAGCAGAAACTCAGGTGGTAACTATCTATTACTTACCTTTTGGAAATTAGAACTAGTTATCTATTTCTGCCAGTGTGGTTGATCAGAAAACTATGGAAAATCTTCCTCAGAAAATTAACAATGTACTGTGCCTGCATAACAGGTTCTTGAAAAATTTATTTTGGTATGTGAAGAAGTAAAGATTGCAGAGAACAAATAATTTTGAGTGAATCCAAAATTCAAACAATAGTTAAGAGAATGTATGGCTAAAATGCAGTGGAAATTATTACAGTCAATGATCATTACAACTAAGGTAAAAAAAACTCTAATGGGATAATAAAATTTCCCAGATAATGGTAGGGCTTTGGGTTGGACAGAAAGAAAATGAATCAAGAGCTAAAACACTCAATTAACTCACAGGAAAACCAGAAGGTTGACAAATGATCATACAATTTTGTAGAGGGTGATAGAGCGAGACAGCATGTTTCCCAAAGGTTTTTCTATCAGCTTTGAAAAACTACAGCCTGGAAGTAGCCCTATACATTTATTTATTCTTTGCATTCTCCCAAATATGTTTCCTCTTGGCTTTAATAACTATAAGAATTACCACCACCTTTACATGGATGACTCTAAAATCTTCATCTCACTCATGATATCCTCATGGGGTCAGATCCATCTAGCTTGTTAGATATTTTCACTTGGATGATCTGATCCAACTTCAAGTTTAATAAATAAAACTCCTTCATGTTTCAGTCAGAATTAATTTCCTCTTCAGGTCTGTCAATTTTTATAAGGTGTCCATATGTTATTTCAGTTGTTTTGAACGGAAATTTCAAAAGAACCATGCCAATTATTTACCAATTCTAACTGATTGGAGTCTAGCTTAACAAAAGAACATTAGATTTTTCTAATAAATTAATTTATTGACATTACTTTATTTAAAAATCTTTATTGGCAACTAGCTACCATTTGGAAATAAATTTATACCTATACACACAAAAATAAATTCCATGTAGATTAAAAGCTTAAGCTTAAATTAAAGCTTAAAGCTTCCATATCCCTCAAAAAGTATCAAAAGTAAAGCAGGATAATTTTTTAAAAACAAATCTTGAGGTTGGAAGATCTTTTTTAGCATGAACACAGAAATAAAGAAATACATAACAATATTATTTATTCCAATATTAACACAATGTAATTAAGCTTAAAAATCAATAGGAAGCCAGGCACAGTGGCACATGCCTGTAGTCCCAGCTACTCAGAAGGCTTAGGTGGGAAGATTGGTTGAGGCCAGGAGTTTGAGATCAGCCTGGGCAACATAGCAAGACCACATCTCTAAAAAAGAAAAAAAAGGGGCCGGGCGCGGTGGCTCACGCCTGTAATTCCAGCACTTTGGGAGGCTGTGGGCAGATCACAAGGTCAGGAGTTTCAGACCAGCCTGACCAACATGGTGAAACCCCGTCTCTACTAAAAATACAAAAAAATTAGTCAGGCGTGGTGGTGCGCACCTGTAATCCCAACTACTCAGGAGGCTGAGGCAGGAAAATCGCTTGAACCCGCAAGGTGGAGGTTGCAGTGAGCCGAGATCTTTCCACTGCACTCCAGCCTGGGTGACAGAGCGAGACATCTCAAAAAAAAAAAAAAAAAAAAAAGTAATAAAACAGAATTTAAAAAAACAGCAACTACAGTGGTCTCCAAATATGTTTACAAAAATGAATAGGAAAAAAACCTTCAGAGAAAAACAGGCAAAGGATACACAAAGGTAATTCTCAAAGTAAGAAATGTAAATGGCAAATCTGAAACCTAATAGAAATGCAATTTAAAGCATTAGCAAAATTAAAAATTATAGTTGTTAAGTTCAATTTTACTGCATTACAGTTACAGAATATGGGCTTACTTATAAAACTTCTGCTTTGAGAATTCATCAATATTTTGTCTAACGTACAATTAATTTTGTAAATATTCCATGGGTATTTGGAACAAATGTGGATGCTGTGTTTTGACAATGAAGTTTTACCAGATATTTAAATCAAGTTTTTAAATATTGTTATAAAAATTTTCCATATATTTTCTCACTCATATATATAAATCTGAGAAAAGCTTATTAAAGTATGTCACTCTGTGCTTTTGTCAATTCTATAATTATGTTTGGATGAATGAACAAACGAATGTATTCTGGTTGAAAGCACTGTAAATTATATGAAAAACTCTCTTCCCACGGAAATTAAAGAGATACTCTAGATGTTCAAGACAAGTATCATCTCATTAAAAAGAAAAAAAAAAAACACCTATCTTCCCATGGTATAGAAACTTGTTTTACTAGTGTTCTGATAAAAATTAGAAATAATTGGCAGAGAAGTAGAAATGGAAATTTTCATGCACTGCAGGTAGGAATATGAACTGGAAAGCAATTTGGTACTAATGTAGGAAATTAAGTATACGAGCCTGTAAGCCAAGAATTCCACTTCTGGGTATATATGCTAAAGACAGTTTCAGACAGACGCATAAGGGGACATGGACAAAGACAGCACTGCCATGTTCTGTGGTGCTGGGGAACTGACAGGAACCTGGGTGCTCCTGGGTGTTCATGCGTAAGTGGGTAGATGCACTCCATGGAGCATTATGTGATTAGATATACTTACAGCAATGTAGATATATACTTACAGCAATGTAGGCAGACTTTGAAAATACAAAACTTAGCCAACATAACAAAAATAATGGTACACCTTTTATATATGATGAAAGTTCATGCATACTTAAAAAATATGTATTTTGTAAGAACTCATGTAACCTGAAAGATATTTACATAAGACTGGTTTCCTATGGGGAGACAGAAATGAGGATGGCATATGGTGATAAAATTTTAAAAAGAGGGGTCATGAACTGAGGAGTACATTTAACTCAACCCTTGGCACTGGAAGTTAAAAGAAAACTGTACTTTATCATGACACAGAAACCATGTATACTAGTTCTCTAATCCTATTATTTCACTATACTTCTAGAAGGGTTCATTATGACTAGTTTGGGAAGCTCAAAATGGTCTTTTACACCCAAAATAGAAGTCAATGAGAAATTTGGGAATTCACCTTCTAAGCTTATAACTTTTTGTGTTTATCAATCTGGCTTACCTTATTCTATTATTGTTAAACAAAAACAACTTTTATGGTTTCTTATTAGAACATAATTCTTGTAAAAAATAGACAAAAATATAAAAGAAAAAATCATAATTCATATTTTTATAATAATTTCAGTTTTTTGTTCTATGTATGACATATATTTTGTTCCGGTGATACTGATATGTATACGTATATATATATACACATAGGTATGTATATTTGGATTATAATATGTATACATAGTTTTATATCTTAACTCTTTCTCTGTAAACGTATAAAAAAATTTACGCTTTGGATTTCAGGATGCTGCTTTTGAGTGTAATTTCTCTTCGTATATAGGCATGTAAAGTCTGATATGAACTCCATTTTACAAAAATATATGAAACATTAATAAACATTTAGTTGGACATAAAGCTCTCATTTTCTTTTCTCATGGAGGTCTCTCTGTTTGGTAGTTTGCTTGTGTTGTTTATTTGCCCACCTGCTGGAAACATGAGCTAATATAAATAAGGAGAGATCTAAAATACAGAGAAATCATTCACCATCTTCAGCTTTTTCTTCATAAAGGAAAACTACTGAATGACCTTTTTTCTTCACTTTTTGTACTGACAATAGTAAACTATCCCTTCTCCCCCACCAGAAGACAACCAGACACCAAGAAACAGAACTGCAGAAGGGAGACAGGAAAGAAAAAGAGTGAAAACACACAGAGAAAGCACAGAGACAAACATAGCAATAACATTAAAGAGATAAGGGTGGGGGAGGAAAGAGTAATCAGAAGAAGAATAGAGACACACAACAGACACAGTGGGAACCAGAGAGAACGAGGGTGGGGCATGTGGGGCACAAGTGCACGTGTGGGTGAGCAGAGGCAGACAGAACAGAGAAACAGACAGAGTGCAAAGAGATCATAGAGAGAGAAGAGGGCCTGGACTGCAGAGACTGCAGGGGAGACAGCACGGGGCAGAGAGAAACACAGAAAGAGCGAGTCAACAGTTTCTTTGTTATGTCCCTTCCTGGTTTTGGTATTAGGGTGATACTGGTTTCACATAATGATTTAAGGAGGATTCCCTCTTTATCTTTTGGAATTGTTTCAGTAGGATTTGTACCAATTCTTCTTTGAATGTCTGATAGAATTCAGCTGTGAATCCATCTGGTCCTGGACTTTTTTTTGTTAGCAGTTTTTTAAATTACTGTTTCAATCTCACTACTTGTTATTGGTCTGTTCGGAGTTCCTATTTCTTCCTGATTTAATATAGAAGGGTTGTATATTTCCAGGAATTTAATCATCTCCTCTAGATTTTCTAGTTTGTACATGTAAAGGTTTTCATAATAGCTTTGAATGATCTTTTGTATTTCTGTGGTATTGGTTGTAATATCTCCCATTTTGTTTCTAATTGAGTTTACTTGGATCTTCTCTCTTCTTTTCTTGGTTAATCTCACTAATGGTCTACCAATTTTGTTTATCTTTTCAAAGAACCAAAAGACCAATATCCCTGATGAACACAGATGCAAAAGTCCTCAACAAAATACCAGCTAACCAAATCCAACAGCATATCAAAAAGATAATCCACCATGGTCAAGTGGGTTTCATACCAGGGATGCAGGGATGGCTTAACATGCACAAGTCAATAAATGTGATACACCACATAAACAGAATTTAAAATAAAAATCACATGATCATCTCAAAAGATGCAGAAAAAGCATCTGGCAAAATTCAGCATCACTTTATAATTAAAACCCTCAGCAAAATCGGCATAGAAAGGACATACCTTAAGGTAATAAAAGCCATCTATGGCAAACCCACACCAAAATTATACTGAATGGGGAAAAGGTTAAAAGGATTTCCCCTGAGAACTGGAACAAGACAAGAATGCCCACTTTCATCCCTGCTATTCAACACTGTACTCGAAGTCCTAGCTAAAGCAATCAGACAAGAGAAAAAAATAAAGAGCACCCAAGCAGGTAAATAGGAAGTCAAACTGTCACTGTTCACCGATGATATGACTGTATACCTAGAAAATCCTAAAGACTCATTCAAAAAGTTCCTAGATCTGACACATGAATTCAGTAAAGTTACAGGATACAAAATCAATGTACACAAATCAGTAGCACTGCTATGCACCAACAAAGACCAAGCTGAGAAACAAATCAAGAACTCAATCCCTTTTACAACAACTGCAAAACAAACAAATAAACAAACAAACAAAAAAAAACACAAAACCTTAGGAATATACCTAACCAAGGAGGTGAAAGATCTCTACAAGGAAAATGAGAAACACACTGCTGAAAGAAATCATTGATGACACAAACAAATGGAAACCTATCCCATGCTCATGGATGGCTAGAATTAATATTGTGAAAATGACCATATTGCCAAAAGCAATCTACATATTCAATGCAATTTCCATCAAAATACCATCATCATTCTTTGCAGAACTAGAAAAAACAATCCTAAAATTCATATGGAACCAAAAAACAGCACACACAGCCGAAGCATGACTAAGCAAAAAGAACAAACCTGGAGGCCTCCTTATTACCTGACTTCAAACTATACTACAAGGGTATAGTTAACAAAACAGCATGGTACTGGTATAAAAATAGGCACCAAGACCAATGGAACAGAACACAGAACCCAGAAATAAAGCCAAATACTTACAGCCAACTGATCTTTGACAAAGCAAACAAAAATATAAAGTAAGGAAAGGACACCCTATTCAACAAATGGTCCTGGGATAATTAGCAAGCCACATATAGGAGAATGAAACTGGATCCTCATCTCTCACCCTTACAAAAAAATTAACTCAAGATGGATTAAAGACTTAAATCTAAGACCTGAAACCATAACAATTCTGTAAGATAACACTGGAAAAACTCTTGTAGACATTGACTTAGGCAAAGAGCTCACGACCAAGAACCCAAAAGTAAATGCAACAAAAAACAAAAATAAATAGATGGGCCCTGCACATCAAAAGAAATAATCAGCAAACAACCCACAAAATGGGAGAAACTATTTGCAAACCATGCATCCGACAACGGACTAATATGCAGAATCTACAAGGAACTCAAACAAATCAAGAAAAGAACAAATAATCCCAACAAAAAGTGGGCAAAGGACAAGAATAGACAATTCTCAAAAGAAGATATACAAATGGGCTAGGTGCGATGGTTCATGTCTGTAATCCCAGCATCTTGGGAGGCCGAGGCAGGTGGATCACTTGAGGTCAGGAGTTCAAGATCAGCCTGGCCAACATGGTGAAACCACTACTAAAATACAAAATACAAATACAAAAAATTAAATACTAAAAATACAAAAAATTGGCCAGGCGTGGTGGTAGGCACCTGTAATCCCGGCTACTCCAGAGGCTGAGGCAGAAGAACTGCTTGAACCCGGGATGCAGTGGTTGCAGTGAGTGGAGATTGTGCCATTGTACTCCAGCCAGGGCAACAAGAGCGAGACTCCGTCTCGGGGAAAAAAAAAAAAAAAGGCCAAGAAGTGTATGCAAAAATGATCATCATCGGCCAGGCGTGGTGGCTTATGCCTGTAATCCCAGCACTTTGGGAGGCTGAGGTAGGCAGATCACGAGGTCAGGAGATCAAGACCATCCTGGCTCAGACAGTGAAACCCCATCTCTACTAAAAATACAAAAAAATTAGCCAGACGTGGTGGCACCTGCCTGTAATCCCAGCTACTTGGGAGGCTGAGGCAGAAGAATCTCTTGAACCTGGGAAGCAGAGGTTGCAGTGAGCCAAGACCATGCCACTGCACTCTAGCCTGGGCAACAGAGTGAGACTCTGTCTCAAAAAAAAAAAAAAAAAAAGCTCATCATCATTAATTGTAAGGGAAATGCAAATTAAAACCACAATGAGATACCACATTACTCCTGCAAGAATGGCCATAAATAAAAAAATAAAAAATAAAAATAGATGTTGGTGTGGACGTGGTGAAAAGGGAATATTTTTACACTGCTGGTGGGAATGTAAACTAGTATAACCATTATGCAAAACAGTATGGAGATCCCTTAAAGAACTAAAAGTAGAACTACCATTTGATCCAGCAGTCCCACTACTGGGTATCTTCCCAGAGGAAAATATGTCATTATATGAAAAAGATACTTGCACATGCATGTTTATAGCAGCATGATTCGCAATTGCAAAAACATGGAAGCAGCCTAAATGCCTATCAACCAATGTGTAGATAAAGAAAATGTGGTACATATACACCATGGAATACTACTCAGCCATAAAAAGGAATAAAATAATGGCATTTGCAGCAATGTGGAGTTGGAGACCATTCTTCTAAGTGAGGTAACTCAGGAATGGAAAATCAAATATTGTATGTTCTCATTTATAACGGGGAGCTAAGTTATGAGGATACAAAGGAATAAGGATGATATAATGGATTTGGGAACTTAGGGGGGAAGGGTGGGAGCGGGGTGAGGAATAAAAGACTACACATTAGGTGCAGTGTATACTGCTCAGGTGATGGGTGCACCAAAATCTCAGAAATCACCAGTAAACAACTTATCCATGTAACCAAAAACCACCTGTTCCCTCCAAACTATGGAAATAATAAAGAAAGAAACAAAGCAAGCAAGCATATGAAACATTAAATACTGGTAATCCAGAAAAGAGGAGCAAAATTAACAGTTTTGAATTAAGAACTGTTAATCAAAACTTTTATATCCAACTCAGTTGTTGTTCTGGTACATAAAGGTAATAGTCTCAAATTTGCAAGAACATAAAAGATGATCACTCCTGAACATTTAACAGTCTAGTCAAACAACAGATTGAAATTAACAAACTCATAAATAGGTATGTGAAAAGACTCCTGGTAAATACTGACCCTATATTTAAATACAACTAATGTAAAATAACTCATGATCTTATAAAATGTAAGTAAAATGTTCTAATTCTTGAAACAGAAGCTAGTCAATATAGTAATACTACTACTATAAATGAGCTGAGACAAAATTCACAAAATATAACCACTATTGGTTAGTTGGGGAAAATTATGTGGGGGATAGGTGGGAAGAAGTAAAATCAGTTTCTTAATTTTTCATATAATAGAGCCAATAGATAGTTTCATATCTGACACTGACAGATTGAGAAAGTGGTTGAAGCATATTAGTTAATTAGATTACATAGTTGCTAAGTTATCAAAAAACCAACTCGAAGAAACATGCATTACATAGCAATCAACAAAAAAGATTGGAAATAGCAAGAAATCATTAAAAATGATAAGAAATCCTGAATAGCCAAAACAACTTTGAAAGACAAGAACAATGTTGGAGTATTCACACTTCCTGATTTGAAAACATATTACCAGAGGAACAGTAATCAAAATAGTGTGATATTAGTATAAAGACAAACAAGCAGACCAATGAAATAAGAAAACATGCCCAGAAATAAACTCTCGCATATATGTTCAAATGATTTTTGACGAGGGTGCCAAGACCACTCAGTGGGAAAAGGATAGCTTTCAAATGATGCTTGGATAACTGGATATCCACATGCAAAAGAATGAAATTGGACCCTTATCTTATACCATGTACAAAAATTAACTCAAAATGGGTTAAAGACCTAAATGTAAGACCTAAACCCATATAACTCTTACAGAAAAAGCTTCATGACATTCAATGTGGCAATAATTTTTTGAATATTACACCAAAATCACAGGCAACGAAAGCAAAAATAGACAAACAGGACCACACTAAACTTAAAAACTTGTACATCAGGGGACACAATCAACAGAGTGAAAGACAACCTATTGAATGGGAGAAAATATTTACAAATCATGTATCTGAGAAGGGGTTAACATACAGAAAATATAAAGCAGTCGCAACAACAACAACAAAAATCAAATACCTAACTAAAAGATGGGCAGGCCAGGTATGGTGGCTCATGCCTATAATCCCAGCACTTTCGGAGGTCAATGGGGAAAGACTGCTTGAGCCCAGGAGCTCGAGACCAGGATGGACAAAACAGTGAGACCCCACCTCTAAAAAAAAAAAAAAGTAAAAGTGGACTTGAATAGACATTTCTCTAAAGATGACATACAAATGGCCAAAAAGCATATAAAAAAATGCTCAGTATCACTAAGCATAAGAGCAATGCAAATCAAAACAGTATTACCTCACACCCATGAGGATGGCTACTATAAAAAAAAAAAACAAGTGTTGGTAAGGATGTAAAGAAATTAGAACCCTTGTACATTGTTGGTGGCATTGCAAAATGGCACAACCACTAGGGAAAACAGTGTTGAGGCTCCTCAAAAAGTTAAAAATAGAACTACTATATATGATCTGGCAATCCTTCTTCTGGGTATGTATCCCAAAGAATTGAAAGCAAGGTCTCAAAAAGACAGTTACATACCCATGTTCACAGCAGCACTATTTACCATAGCTAAAAGGTGGAAACAACCCAAATGTCCATCAATGAATAACAGAAAAACAAAATGTGGTATATGTAAACAGTAGAATATCATACAGAATTAAAAAGGGAGGAAATCCTATAACATGCTACATGGATTATATGGATGAATCTTTAAGATCTTATGCTAAGTGAAACAAGTCAGTCACAAAAAGACAAATCTGCATGATTACACTCATATGAGGTATCTAAGGTAATCATTCATAAACAGGAAGCAGAATAGTGGTTACCAGGAGCTGGGGGACGGGGACAAGGGCAGTTGTTGTTCAATGGGTATAGAGTTTCAGGTTTGCAATATGAAAAAGTTCTGGAGATTGGTTTCAACATAGTGTGAATACATTTAACATTATTGACTTGTACACTTAAGAACAGTTAAGAAGGGAATTTTTTGGTATGTGTTTTTTACCACGCACAAGAAATTCACCCCTCTCCTTACTTTGAAATGAAATTTAGTTGAACACACCTTTATTTAATAAATACATCAGAATGAAAAAAAGCCAAAATAATAAAATTTAAACCAAACATTTACAACAGTAAACTTAAATGGAATAAATTTGTTTCAAAAGAGAGACCTTCAGATTGGGTGGGAAAAAAGTTAAATTCAGATGTTACTAACACTTGAGTAAAGTGACTCAAAAGGCTAAAAGGATGGGCAAAGAGCAATAGTGCAAATGCAAATTTAAAAAAAACTGTACTGGATGAAGTAAAATCAAAGGCAAAGATATTAAAAATGTAACACAGGCTGGGCACAGTGGCTCACGCCTGTAATCCCAGCATTTTGGGAGGCCAAGGCGGACAGATCACGAGGTCAGGAGATCAAGACCATCCTGACCAACGTGGTGAAACCCTGTCTCTACTAAAATACAAAAATTAGCCAAGCATGGTGGTGCACACCTGTAGTCCCAGCTACTCGGTAGGCTGAGGCAGAAGAATCGCTTGAACCCAGGAGGCAGAGGTTGCAGTGAGCTGAGATTGTGCCACTGCACTCCAGGCTGGGCAATAGAGACTACGTCTCAAAAAAAAAAAAAAGAAAAAATAATTGATGTCACTCTAGTTATTTTGATGGTCAGAGGGACACACAACTCCACCTGGGAACGACAAGCAAAAATGGTAGAGTAGAGACCTCCAAGGGAGAAAGTGCCTTCTCTAGAAACACCAAAAAATACGGAAAACTGTCAAAGCCAACCTTATCTGAACTTTGGAAGATAGTCAAAGGTTTATAGTAACCAAGTGTTTGCTAAACCAGGAGAAAGGCCATCAGCACAAGGTAGAAGAACTTTGTAGCATTTTAACTTAGCCTTCTGCTATCCCCTTACCCAGCATGGTGGTCTTAAAGACGGCAGCCCTTGGTCCTGATGTAGGTACCTGCTCCCAAAGACAGCACGGAGTAGTACCTTGTTCCCAAGGAATTGTGTTTGTTTTGACATGTCTGAGTATTAGCCGTGGACTGACACAAGGGACCTGCCTTAGTTTCACCTAACATAACTCTCTTAGAGTGAAAAAGTAGTTTTATAGGGGAAGAATGTTCCTTGAAAATACTGAAAACCAAATGAACAAGGCACTACTGCCTGGAGCAAAAATTAACAGTTCAAGGGAAACAATAGACATACTAAAAGCAGGAAAGAAAAACTGAGAATCTTTGGGGCATAAGGGCTTGGAAAATTTCCCATGTATACCAGGGAAACTAGAAAGTGCATGCACAGAGCAAGATGCATGTTCAGAAAAGACCTGAGAAGACCAGACACTTTCACCACTGGTTGACCTTTAGGCTCAGTACAAGTAGGAAGCAAGGCTAAGGCAGAGAGTTGTGAATGGCCTGGCTAAGCATTGAAGGAGTGTCCGAATGCAGAAAATCTGCAAAGACTTGGGGAATTTTCTTTTTTCTTTTGCTTTTTTCGGCCCCAGGCATTTAAGAAAATCTCTATCAAACAAGTAGCCAGCTACTAAGCTAAAGGAACAGAAATATCACACAACAACAAAGAGTACAGTCGTTACAAACATAATTTAGAAAAGTCACTAAATAAACCAACAACTTTAACTTACAACAAGCAGTAACTACAAACCCTAGAGAAGGGGAGGAAAATCTGATGTCCAGAGTTATCACATCATAATATTCAAAATGTCAAAATTTTAACATAACATTATGAGGCATGAAAAGAAACAAGAAAGTATGGCCCATTCATGGGTTAGAGGAGAGAAATAAATAGAAATTGTCCCTTAGGAAGAACACACAGTAGACTTACTAGGCAAAAGCTTTAAATCAACTGTTTTAAATGTGCTCAAAGAGCTAAAGGAAACCATGGATAAAGAACTAAAGGAAATGAGAACAATGTCTCAACAAAGAGAATATCAATGAAGACAAAGAGGAATCAAATAGAAAATATGAAGCTGAAAAGTACAAGAGCTAAAATGAAAAATTCACTAGAGCAGTCCAATACCAGATTTGATCACACAGATGAAAGATCAGTGAACTTGAAGATAGGTGAAGATAGGTGAAATGAAATTACGTACTCTGAGGGACAGAAAGAAAACAGAATGAGATGAGTGTGGTGGTGCATGCCTTGTAGTCCCAGCTACTCGGAAAGCTGAGGCAGAAAGATTTCTTGAGCCCAGAGTTCGACGCCGCAGTGAGCTATGATTACATCACTGTACTCCAGTCTGGGATAGTGTGAAACCCTACTCTAAAAAAATAGAAAATGAAAGAAAACAGAATGAAGAAAAATGAACAGAGCTTAAGAGACTTGTAGGATACCATCAAACTTACCAACAGATGCATATTAGGAATCCCAAAAGAAGAGAGAAAGAAAGGGGCAGAAGGAATATTTGGAGAAATAATGGTTGGAAACTCCTCCAACTTGATAAGGGGAAAACATTAATCTAAACATCGAAGTAGCTCAATGAACTCTTAGTAGGATAAACTGAAAGAGAGCCACACTGAGACATGTTATAATGAAAATGTCAAAGCCAAAGACAGAGAATCTTGAAAGCAGTAAGAATAAGGGCGAGCACAGAAGGGATCCTCGGTAAAATTAATTGCTAATTTCTCACCAGAAACCATGGAAGACAATAGGCAGTGAAATGACATATTTGAAATGATGAAAGATAAAAAGTGTAAGACAAGAAATCTACCTCCAGCAAAACTTTAAGAATAAAGGAGACTTTGGGAGGCCGAGGTGGGTGGCTCACCTGAGGTCAGGAGTTCAAGACCAGCCTGGCCAACACGGTGAAACCACGTCTCTACTAAAATACAAAAATTAGCTGGGTGTGGTGGTGTGCACCTGTAATCCCAGCTACTCAGGAGGCTGAGGCAGAAGAATCACTTGAACCCGGGAGGTGGAGGTTGCAGTGAGCCAAGATCACGCCACTGTACTCCAGCCTGGGCGACAGAGTGAGACTCCATCTTAAAAAGAAAAAAAAAAGAAGGCCAGGTACAGTGGCTCATGCCTGTAATCCCAGCACTTTGGGAGGTCAAGGCAGGTGGATCACCTGAGGTCGTGAGTTTAAGACCAGCCTGGCCAACATGGTGAAACCCCATCTCTACTAAAAACACAAAAATTACCCAGGCATGGTGGCAGGCACCTGTAATCTCAGCTACTTGGGAGGTCGAGGCAGGAGAACTGCTGGAACCCGGGAGGTGGAGGTTGCAGTGAGCTTAGATTGTGCCATTGCACTACAGCCCAGGACGACTCCGTCTCAAAAAAAAAAATAAATAAAAAAAGAATAAAGGAGAAATTAAAGACATTCCCAGATAAACAAAAGTAAATTTGTTACAAGTAGACCTTCCCTATAAGGAATGATAAAGAGAGTACTCCAAGGTGAAATGAAAGGACATTTGACAATACCTTGAAGTATACATAGAAATAAGGCTTAAGGCATATACATAGAAATAAGGCATAAGAAATAAGGGTAAGACAATTACATAGGTAAAAATAAAGTCCCTATTATACTTCTGGTTTGTAACTCTTCCCTTTTCCCTTATCTGATTTAAAAAACGAATGCATAAAATAATTATAAATCTATTTTAGTGGGGACAAAATGAAGATGTAATCTGTGACTATAACAATTAAAGAGGAAGGGATGGAGATGTCTACCCACAGTTTTTGTGTATTATTAAAGTTAAGGGGAAGAATAGAGATGTATTAACAACAGTGTTTGTATATTATTGAAGCTAAGTTGGTTTTATTTCATATCAGGCTGTTACATGTTTAAGATATTAATTGTAATCCTCAATGTAACCCGTAAGAAAATAACTATGAAATGTTAAAAAAAAAATGAAAAGGGAATAAAACTGGTACACTACAAAAAATCAATTAGATACAAAGAAGGCAGTAGAAATGAAAAACAAAAAAGATATGACATAAAGAAAGCAAACAGCACGGGGAAAGTAAGTCCTTTCTTATGAAATTAAATGTAAATGGATTATACTCGCCAATTAAAAGGCAGAGAGGGCAGAATAGCTTATAAAAAATGACCATCTATGTTATGTCTAAAAGAGACTTACTTTACATCCAAAGACACAAAGAGTTAGAAATTAAAAGGATAAAAAAGGTATTCCATGCAAATAGTTACCCAAAAGAGAGCTGGGGTAGTTACCCTAATATCAGACAAAACAGACTTTACATTAAAAATTGTTACAAGAGACAAAAAGAGGATTTTGTACTGATAAAAGGATCAATCCATGAAGAGGATATAACAATTATGAACATACACACAACTGACAACAGAGCCCTAAAATATATGAAGCAAAAAACTGACAGATTTCAATGGAGAAATAGATAGTTCCACAGTAATAGCTGGAGACTTCAATAATCCACTTCTGATAGCCATAGAAAAACTGGACAAAAGACTGATAAGGAAATAGAGGACTTGAACAACATTATAAACCAGCTAGACCTAACACAATAGAGAACACTCCAAACAGCAACAGAATACACATTCGTCTTAAATGCACATAAAATTCTCAAGGACAGATCATATGCAAGGTCATAAATGAAGGATTGAAATAATACAAAATATATTCTCTGATCACAATGGAGTAAAACCAGAAATCAATAACAAAGAAAGGTGGGGAATTCACAAGTAGAAATTAAACAACACTGTCCTAAACAGTCAATGGTCAAAGAAGAAATCAGCAAACATTTTGAATGAAAAAGAAGACAAACATACCAAAACTTATGGCAAGCAATGAAGGCAGAACTTATCTACAAAAGCAAGGCTTAAAGAGACATTTATAGCTACAAATGCCTACATTAAAGAATAATCCCAAATGAATAACCTAACTTTGAATCATAAGAAATGAGAAGAAAAAAAAACATACTAAATCCAAAGCAAGCAGAATAATGTAGATTCAATGGAGATAAATGAAACAGACTTTAAAAAAAAAGATAAACAAATTTCTAGAAACACAAACTACAGAAACTGACTCAAGAAGAAACAAAATCTAAATAGACTTAAAAGACATTGAATCAGTAATGAAAAAAAATTTCCCCAAAGAAAAACACAGGGCCAGATGGCTTTACTGGTGAATTCTACCAACATTTAAAGAATTAACGTCAATCATTAACATTAATCCTTCTCAAACTCATTATCAAAAACCAAGAGGTGGGAAAACTTTCTCATTCTATAAGGCCAGTAGTACCCTGATATAAAGGCAGTAAAGATATCACAAAGAAACTATAGACAAATATTCCTTGTGAATATAGATGTAAAAAGTCCTCTTCAAATTCTAATAAACTGAATCCAGCAGCATATGAACAGAATTTTATGATCAAGTGGTATTTATCTCAGGAATGTAAAGTTGGTTCAAAATATGATTATCAATAAATATACACCATATTAACAGAATAAAAGAAAAAAACAGGCCAGGCACAATGGCTCATGCCTGTAATCCCAGCACTTTGGGGAGACTGAGGGGGGTGGATCACCTGAGGTCAGGGGTTCAAGACCAGCCTGGCCAACATGGTGAAACCCTGTCTCTACTAAAAATCCAAAAAAATAGCTGGGCATGGTGTCAGGCACCTGTAATCCCAGCTACTCGGGAGGCTGAAGCAGGAGAATTGGTTGAACCCAGGAGGCAGAGGTTGCAGTGAGCTGAGATCACGTCATTGCACTCCAGCCTGGGCAACAAGAGTGAAACTCTGTCTCAAAAAAAAAAAAAGAAAAAGAAAAAGAAAAAACTAGTAATCTCAATAGATGCTGAAGAATTTGGCAAACACCAAAATGCTTTGATGACAAAAACACTCATCAAAATAGAAAAAGAAGGGAACTTCCTCAACATGAAATCCTAGAGATCCTTAAAAATCCACACAAAAAAAGAGTTAATAAATTCAGCAAAGCTGCAAGATACAAGATCAGTATGTAAAAATTATTTATGTACCTATACATTAGCAATGAATAATCCAAAAATGAAATTAAGAAAGAAATTGCACATATGGTAGTATTAAAAACAATAAAATATTTACTAAAATTCATGAAATCTCAAGGGAAACCAAACAGCCAAAATAATTTTGAAAAAAGAACTAAGTTACAGGTTTCACACTACCTGCTTTCAAAACTCATTTTAAATACACAGTAAATCAAAACAGTGCAGTAGTGGCATAAAGAGAGATATATAGACTAACAGAATAGAGAGCCCAGATAAAAACCCTCACGTATATGGCTAAACGATTTTTGGCAAGAGTGCCAAGAACATTCAATGGGGAAAAAAAGTCTTTTCAACAAACGATGTTGAGAAAACGGGATATTCACATGCAGAAGAATGAAGGTGGACCCTTATCTTACACCATACACAAAAATTAACTCAAAATGGATCAAAGACCTAAAAGTAAAAGCTAAAATTATTAAACTCTTAAGAAGAAAACTTTCACGACACTGGATTTGGCAAATATTTCTAAGATATGACACCAAAAGCACAAAAAACAAAAAAAAAATAGCTAAATTGGACTACATCAAAATTTAAAACTTCTATATGTCAGAAGACACGGTCAGCAGAGTGACTGTGAAAGAGGCAACCTACAAAATGGGAGAAAATATTTGCAGATCATGTATCTAACAAGAGATCAATATCCAGAATATATAGAAAATCCCAACAACTCAAAAACCAAAAAATCAAACAGCCAGATTTAAAATGGCCAAATGACTTGAAAAGACATTTTTCAAAAGAAGATATACAAATGGTTAAATAAGCACATAAAAAGATGTGCAACATGAATAATCACTAGGGAAATGCAAATCAAAACCACAATGATACTAACTCACACCCAACAGGATGGTTAGTTTATATATTAAAAAATGGAAAATAAGTGTTGGCAAGGATGCAATAAAATTGAAACCCTTGTGAACTGCTGGTGCGAATATAAACTAAAGCAGTCGCTGTGGAAAAAAGGAGGAGGGTTGGAGGAACCCTTATACACTGCTGATGGGAATGCAAAATAGTGCAGGTACTATGGAATAGTCTGGCAGTTCCTCAATAAGCTAATCCACAGAATTACCATATGGCCCAGCATTTCCATTCCTAGATATATACCCAAAAGAATTGCAGACAGGTGTACACAAACGTTCTATATCAATTCTATTCACAATAACCAAAAAGTGGAAACAACCCAAATCAATAAATGAATGGATAAACAAAATGTGGTATATACATGCAACGGAATAATACTCAGCTATAAAAAGCAACGAAGTATTGATACATGTTATGTCATGGATGAATATTCAAAACACTGTGTCTAAGAGAGAGAAGCCTGATACCAAGGTCATATATTAAATGATTCCATTTATATGAAACAACCAGAATAGGAAAATCCTCAGAGACAGAAAATAGATTACTGGTTGCCGGGGGCTGGTGAGAAGAGGGAACAGAGAGTCACTGCTTAATGGGTACAGGGTTTCCACTGGGTTAATTAAAAATTTCTGGAAATAGATAGTGGTGATGGTTGTAAAACACTGTGAATATACTCAATGCCACAGAATTGTATACTTGAAAATGATCAAAACTGTAAACTTTATGTCATGTGTATTTTACTACACACACACAAACCCTCTCCTGGATCCATTTATCTATCTCCCCTATGGAACAAAAGCCTTACTCTGTACCATTCCCAATTCTTCACTTACTTTAGAAAAAAAGCATACTCTATTATTTATATATGTAAACACTGCCAAAAGCTCAATGAGGAGAAATAATATTTATAATAAATTGTCTGAACATCTCATGCCTCCCTTTCTCTAGACCAGTGGTCTCCAATTTCTTTTGATCATGTAATCTGACAAAAATTTTTTTAGCACAAGTTGTCAAAATAGATATTTATTTATATGTTATGTCACTACTGTACTCATAAAATATACACAAAAATATAAATTTTAAAAAGTTGGGGAAAATGAATATAAATTCAAATATTTTTCGTTCCATACTCCACTGAACCATTTTGCAAGCATCCTTCTTTGGAGAGCATGTCTAGTGATACTTGAAATTTTCCTCTTGGGTTAAAGCAATGGCCTACATTTATTGACCCCTTGAGATCTCCCTTATTAACACCCTAAACTAAGGAATGTGATAATGGCCTTATAGGAGGATACTCTTTGTTGCACTGTGGTGCCTTCTTTAAGAAGACAGATGAGAGAAATTTATTTTAGGTCTCTTATCAGAAATCTGTAATGTTTCTAAAAATTTTGTTCTCTTTTTATATTAAAAAGTGAATGTTATTGATCACAAAATTCTAGCAACACTAAGTGCTAGAAAACATAAAGCCAAATTTGTAGCTCTTTTCTAGCGACCACATCCACAAGGCTTATTTATCTTCCTCCTGGCTTTGACTTGTCTTTCCATTATTCACAATTCCTTATTTACTCATTTTTAAAAAATCATATTGTAGCTCACCCCAGCTTCAATTTTTCAAATCAACTCCATTCTTCAATTACAAAAAAAAAAACCCTGTATTATTTATGTGTTTGTCTGTGTGTGTGTGTTTAAAAGAACCTCAAATATATTTCCTGAAAGACAGAGAGGAATGAATTAAAAAAAAAAAACCCAAATAAACATAAACCCAGCAATATTGTTCAGGATAGAGATCATTCTAACCTCAAAGCTCCCCCATTTCAGGGGTAAACTTTGCAGACTGTGAAGGATCTAGCAGCAAAGCCCTTCATTCAAAAGGTAATTCGTAAATGAATGTTGATGAAAATAATGACAACTCACAATAGCACTGTACTACACTTTCTCACTCTTTTCCAGTTGGTAAGAAATGGTATAGAGAGGAAAGGGCAAATGGCTTGTTTTTTTCACCTGTGTGCAAAGCTTAACTAAAAAGTCCATGAAGAGGGCAGTCACATTGCCAGATGGAATCTGTAGCCATGTACCTGGATGTGTCTCCTTCTGGTGTGCTCAGAAGTCACTAGGGGATGACCTGTATTCAGCACTTTCTTGCTGTGTTTGCTCCGCTTCTCAAGGTATCTCCTCTGTTGGTTGGTGATGCTGCTATATAATTTAATTCGTCTGGGTGACAAGCATACTCTTTCATGGCCAAAAGCTTGAATCAGCCGGGCAGTGTCAATAGTGGAAACAGAGCTACTCCTTTCGTGCAGAGCCACCTCTCTATCTGTTTGGGTCAATATATCTGATTCGACAGTAGAAGTGGTGCCGGAAAGGATGTTGGTGGTAGTATCTGTGAGCAGCTCACTCTCCTCTGAGGGCCGACAATCCGAAGAAGTGTTGCTTATATAATTAAAACCTGGCTGTTTACTCAGAATATATTTATCAAATTTAATCTGTTCAATTTTAATTTGATTAGACCTCCCAGCTCGATGATGAGAAAGCACCTTGCTTTTTTTAAGCTCGCCTGTATTTTTATGGCTTTTCTCTAGGCTTTTAAACCGCTTCTTTTTCTGAAGCTTATTTCTCTGCTGTTGTCTACCACTCCATTCCTTCACACTTCGTTCCCCTCTGCTATCATCATGTGTACTTTCTGAGACCTGGAGAGAATGTGTGATTGGATTCTGAAGAATTTTAGCCAAACGATCAAGTCGGTCCACCAAGGACAGTTCTTTCCTGTCACCCAACTCAGGCTGTCTCTGTTGCCTCTGTCGCTCCCGATACTTGTTCCACAGTTCATTCAAACTCACAGTGTGCTGAGTTGTTTGCTCTGGGGTGACCTTCTGATCCCTTTGTGGATCACTAATTTGTCCATTATGTTTTGGATAATCTCTAACTTGACTTTTAGTAGTATCCATCACTTCTTTGTTTCCCAAATTCACATTGATGCTGAGGCTCTTTATTCTGGTATAATCTGTCTTAGTCTTGTCCATGTTTTGATAAGGAAGAGGAAGACACATGTGTTCTCTATGTTTGTCTGGATGATGCTGAAAGAAATCTTTCCAAGAATGTCTCATGAAAACACTCTTTCCCAAAGATTCATGGCAAATATCTTGATCACTTGGTAGGTGTACGGGATGATGAATGTAAAACTTTGCTGACCTGAAGACAGAACGGGTAGTATTTTCAAATTCTGAATGACATTCGGACTCTGAAAAGGAGAAAAAAAGATTTTGAAAGAACTTAAAAAATTAGCATTCTGTTTAGAAATACTATTCACAATTCTTTAGATACAGAACAAAGACTAAAGGAAAGAATAGTTTATATAAGGTATCAGAAAATTCACTGCCTGCACAAAAGACTGATGCCTTGTTCTTAGTAGCCTCGCTGGTACAGTAAAAGTTTAAGAGACATGAATTTTGGCCTGGGCTCTGCCACTGACCGGCTACGTGACCTGGAGGAAGGCACTTCAGTTCTCCAGATCATAAAAGCAACTGCTATATGTATTTACCACCTGTTCTGTGTAGGGTGTTATGACATATGCTCTGCATCTGTTTTTTTTTTAATTAATCCTGCTATTAAACCTGACAGATATTGGTAACCCCATATTCAGCTAAGAAACCTGACACTTCATTCTCATAGTCAGTAATTAAATGGATAAATTTTTTAAAAAACCCTTTTTACATGTTTTAGAGCCCTTTGAAATTCCTTTTCTGTGGACCATCTTGACTTTTTTTCCAAATTTTTTTTTATTGTGGTAAAAAACACATAAAATTTACCACTTTCTATCTTCATTTTTTGACATTTTTAGATGTAATATCTTACAATTTTCTATGGTTTGAATGTTTGCGTCCCTCTAAGATTCATGTTGAAACATAATCCCCAATATAATAGTATTAGGTAGGAGGTGATTAGGTCATGAAGGCTCCACCTTCATGAATGGGATTAGTGCCCTTTGGCCTGAAGGCTCCTGTTTGGCCTTTCCCTGCCTTCCACCACGTGAGGACAAAGCAACAAGACACCATTTTGGAAGCAGAGACTGGGCTCTCACCAGACACCCAATCTGCTGGTGCCTTGATCTTAGATCTGCAGAATTTTGTTACAGCAGCAGGAATGAGCTAAGACACAATCATAAACCCTAATTCTAATCTCTGATATGACATCAAAACACTGTTTTAGAGTTCTACATCATGGGCAGAAACAAAGATACACACATGCAATGATGGGATCCTTTTCACCCACACTATAGATTACTGGCAAGCAGAGTTTTCATGAAATACTCTAGGAATCCCTACGGACTTCCCCAGAGTAGAGTGGGACACACAGGGCCTGCATTTATACCTAAAGTATGTAGACTATACAATTTTAGAATTATCTAGCAACATTTAAAAATTGGGAGATTTCATTTAGATTCTACAGGTTCTTGAGATTGCAGCTTCTGCACTGAACAAATGCAAACAAATATATAATTCTAAATTAGGGGCTACAAAGAACAAAAACAAGCTGATATAAGAGAAATTTTACTGGGAAATGGTAGCTAGAGAAGAATTCTCTGAGGAGGATGAGATGTGAAGTAAAAATGAGAGCTAAACAAACAAACAGGAAGAAGAACATTCTGGGCTGAGGGATCACTTTCTGTGGATGTCCTGAGGCAGCTGCCACCTATGCCAATCCACCTGCTCCCATAACCTTTCTGGATACAGAGACAACACCACCTCTCCCATTCTTTTAAAGGCAAGTTCCTCCAATGCTGCTCTGGAACCCAACTCATCTTCCCTTCCAGACCTTGCTTCCTTTCCCTATCATATCTCTCTTCTATCTTTCAGGGTCATTTCCATTGGCTTGAAAACATCATTTAGTATGTATGTTTAGAAAATCCTCACATCTTCCTCCAGGTACTGGCCCACTTCTCTGCTCCTCTTCATAGCCAAGCTTCTAAAGAGGAACCTATTTTCCTCTCCTTTACCTCTCTCCCTACCCCAATTCCCTCTTCAAATTACTGCAGAGTACAGCCATACTTCTGGACTAAAAGTGCTCTTGCTAATATGATCAATGACCTCAATGTATGGCCAATTTCCAGGAAATGTTCTCAGTCTATATTCTCTTTCTAGGTAATCTCATCTCTCCCTGTGGCTTTTAGTACCATTTCCATGCTGTTACTTATTTTCAAATTTGCATTTCAAGCTACGATTTTTCTTGAGTTCCAACTATATACATGATATATCCACTTGGATGTCACAGCCATCTAACTGAGCTCTATTCTAGCCTCCTTGACAACTGTACCTTCCCTAGTCTTCCACATCTCTGTGAATGGCACATCATCCTACTGCCCAAGCCAAAATCTGGGAGTTATTCTTGATAGTTCCAACTCCCTCCTCTTCCTGTTCCTGTCATTAATCCTTCACCAAACAATCACACATCTATTTCTATTTCCTGTCACAATACTGCAAGTCTCTAATAGGTCTCCTGTCCCTTCTTGTACCTTTCCAATCTATTTGTCAAATAGTGGTCAAAGTAGTCTTTTTAAAATGTAAGCTGGACTTGTCATTTTCTATTTAGCAATTTTCAATGACCTTCTCTTACACTAAGAACAAAGCCCAAACTCCTTAACAAGAAGTACAAGTATACATAACTTTTCTTCCTCATTTTGTACCACTCTTCCTGATAACTATACTATAGTTGTGCTGGCCTTTCCCCTGCTTCATCAAATAGCATGAGCAAAAGCATAAAAGTAGGAAAGAACTGAGGCAATAAGGGAGAGTGCAAATATTCAGTATGTATGGCTTATTTCATTTATAAAGCAGAGGAAAGTAAGGTAGCAAAGGTTATTTGGGGCCAAATTCTACAGGGCCTGGAACACTAGGCCAAGGACTTTAAATTTTATTCTTAAAAGAAATGAAGAGCCAGTATACCATTTTGAACAGGCGAGTAACATAATTATGGCTGTATTTCAGGAAGGATACCTTGGCAACAGAATAAAGCAAAAATTTGAAGGCCTATCTAGAATTCATTAAAGCAGTAAGTAAAACAATAAGGAAATAGATAACATTGCTCTAAAATGTTTATTCCCTAATATCAGTATTTTCAATGAACATAGTCCTCCCAGCCTGGGAATGAAGTAAAATACAGAAAGGATAGTAGAAAATAAGCAAGCTGAAGGCTGGGCACGGTGGCTCAGGCCTGTAATCCCAGCACTTTGGAAGGCCAATGGGGGTGGCTTACTTGAGGTCAGGAGTTCAAGACCAGCCTGGCCAACATGGTGAAACCCCATCTCTACTAAAAATACAAAAATTAGCCAGGTGCGGTGGTGCACACGTGCAATCCCAGCTACTGTGGTGGCTGAGGAAGGAGAACTGCTTAAATCCAAAAGGTGGAGGTTGCAGTGAGTCAAGACCGTGCCACTGCACTCCAGCCTGGGCGACAGAGCGAGACTTCATCTCAAAAAAAAAAAAAAAAAAAAAAAAAAAAAAAAAAAAAGAAGCAGAAGCAGCAGCAAGCAAGCTGAATTCCTTAAGTATAAAGGGCTTTATAAAACAACAGGATTTGATAATCACCATCATCTCATGGCACTTTGTTAAGAGTAAAGGTCAAATAAGTTGAAGTAGTTATTTACTTCTGATAATGGAATTAATTTTACTCATAACATTTGCAAAATTCTCCCCGAATATATAAAAGTACATGAAAATATCATTTACTGCTTTTCATTTATTTTTAAATATTTCTTTCATACCTAGAACTGCAGACTTTTAAAAATTAAACATGCAAAATATTCAAATAATGCAGACAAATTTAATATGAACAGTAAAGTTCTCCCGGTTATCTCTGAACCTCCTAGTTCCACTTTCTGGTGATAACCAATATTAAACAAGTTTTCTTATAGAAAAATTCCTGCCAAGTAGAGTAAAACTACTTGTTCAAAGCAAGATTTTGTGCATCTACAAACATTTTATATTAAACTGATTTACTTTACCAAAATTTAACTAAATATTTAGGTTGTTTCCAATAGTTTATTCTTCCAAAGCATGCTGCAGTGAACATTTGTTTGTGCGTTTATGTGTAGCTTCATTTTATTTTTCTAGGTACAACTTTATCTGTGTATCTGTTATTCCCTTAAATGGAAGTCTGGGTGAAAAGGGAATATTTATTTCAACATTAGTTAGATATCATCCAATTGTTCCACACTTTCAAAAATGTTGCAACAAATTTGCACTTCTAATAATAGTCTTATAAGAGTACATGAATGTTTCCCCATGTACTCAACAATACTAAGGATAATCAAATCTTTTCATCTGTGCTATTGTGACAGGTAAAACAAAATTTGTGGCTTAGTACATTCTTTATTAAGACAGTTAAGTATTTCTTCATATCTTTAATGGCCATTTGCATTTCTTTTACTATAAGCTTTTTGTTCAGGTCCTTTGTTTTCCTTTTAGGCTGTCATTGATTTGTAAAAAGCTCTTTGCATAGTAAGAAAATTAGCCCCTTTTCTCAGTTTCTCAATTTTTTAAAATTGTTTTCCCATTATTCATTTATAAATTGATTTTGCATTATGATATTTTCTACCATGAAGACACTTTAATTTTAATATATACATTTATCAAATCTTTGGCTTTATGACTCCAAGATTTTGTCAGACCTTGAAAGCCTTCTTCTGCTCAAATTTATTAGAAAAGTCAGAAAACCAGAACTTTTATGATCTCTTTTTTATACTTGGATCTTTTATACTTGCATTTTGGTGACAGGAGTAAAGTAGGGCTACAACTTAAAATTCTCACGATACTCTAAATGGCTAGCAAAGCATCTTGGCATTATTTGTTGAGTAATCCATCTTTTTACAAATGGATCTGAAATGGCACCTTTATCATAGAGTAAGTGCCCACTGTATTTAAGTATTTTCACTGATGTATCAGTCTCTTGTCCCAGTAGCATCCTTTTACTATTATCACTGTATAATTCATTTAAATACCCTGTAAATTGTAATACTGTGATATAATAAATACATATTTTGCCTTAACCCTAGCTCCTGGCCAGAACTACTAAAACTCTTGTAATTTCCATTTAGGAAAACGGGATAACAGCAATAGGGGCATCTTTTATTATGACATTTGGTTTTTGTACTTGGTTCTTGAAACAGTTCAAGAGCGAGTGATAAAGGTTCAAGGAGGGTCTGTTATTCAAAACAAGTCACTTCTGATTGCACTTGAGTTTACATTAATGAGGTGAATTTTGGAAAGCCCCTTAGGATGGGGGGCCTGTTTACCAAGGGAACAACCATATGTTTAGAGGGCTGGAACTTCCAGCCCCAACCCCTGATCTCTGGGGAGGGGACAGGGACTGCAGGTTGAGCCAATCACCAATGGCCAATGATTTAATCAATATTGCCTATGTAATGGCACCTCCATAAAAACCCTAACAGACAGAGTTTGAAGAGCTTCACATCTGGTGAACACAGGAGAAGCTGGGAGGATGGCAGGCCCAGAGAGGACATGGAAGCTCTGTGCACCTTCCCTATACCTTGCCCATGTATCTCTTCATTTGGTTGTTCGTGCGTATCCTTTGAAATATCCTTCATAAAAAATCAGGAAATGTAAGAAAATGTTCCCTAAGTTTTCTGAGCCATTCGAGCAAATTACCAAACCTGAGGAGGGGGTCATGGGATTCTCCCCACCACCCCAATTTGGAGCTAGTTGGTCAGAAGTATAGGAGGCCAAGCCATGCAATTGGTATCTGAAGTGGTGGGCAGTCTTGTGGGACTGAACCCATAACCTGTGGGGACTGTGCTAAGTACAGGTTGTCAGTGTCAGAACTGCTTAACGTGAGGGGAAACCCCACACATTAGGTGTGAATACAGTAGTCCCCCTTATCTGTGGTTTTGCTTTCTAAGGTTTCATTTACCCATAGTCAACCATGGTCCAAAAATATTTAATGGAAAATTCCAGAAACAATTCATGATTTTTAAATTGCACGTCGTTGTGAGTAGTATGATGAAATCTCTTGTCATCCTGCTCCATCCCACCCTAGGATGTGAATCCTCCCTTTATCCAGCATGTCCGTACATTTACACTACCTGCCCCTTAGGCACTTCATAGCTGTCTGGGTTATCAGGGTGACTGTCATGATACTGCAGTGCCTGTGTTCAAGTAACCCTAACTGTAGTTAGTAATGGCCCCAAAGTGCAAGAGCAGTAACGCCAGCAAATTGGTTATGCCAAAGAGAAGCTGTAAAGTGTTTTCTTTAAGAAGATGAAATTTCTTATTTATCATTTATCTATCCACCTGTTTTAATGTCAGAATGCATTAATTTTTTAAAATAAACTTTTAATTTTAGAATAATTTGGATTTACAGAAAAACGGTGACAACAGTACAGATGATTACCTATACCCCATACCCAGTTTCCCCTATTAACACCTTACATTAATACAATATATTACCATGAATCAATCAATAAAGTTACATTATTATTAACCAAAGGCCATACTTTGTGTTGCCTTGTTTTGTACATACTGTTCTTTTTCTGTTCCAGGATTCTATCCAAGACACCACATTACATTTAATTATCATGTCTCCTTAGGCTTCTCTTAGGTCTGTGAGAATTTCTTAGGCATCCCTTGTTTTTCATGACTCTGACAGTTTTGAGAAGTACTGGTCAAGTATAAATGTCCTTCATTTGAGTTTGTCTCATGTTTTTCTCATTAGACTGGGGTTATGGGTTTTTGGGAAGAAGATTTCAAAGTTAAAATATATTTCTCATTACATATTAAGGGTACATACTATCAACATGACTTACCACTATTGATGATGATCTTGATGACCCGGCTGAGCCAGTGTTTGCCAGAATTCTTCACTATATAGTTATTCTTTTTCCCCCTTCCTATAAAAATACACTCTTTGGAAGGAAGTTAAGTTACTATGTGCAACCCATTAGTTAAGAGTGGGAGTTATGTTCCACCTCCCTGATGGTGGAATATCTACATACATTATTTAGAATTCTGCACAGATTTGTCATTTCCCCCCATTTATTTATTAAATCATTTACTTTTATCAGTACAGACTCATAGGTATTTATTTTATACTTTGGTTATGATCTAATACTATTGCTATACTACAGAAACTGTCCCAGCTTTAGCCACTGGGAAGTTTTTTACTTGGTCCCTGTGTTCCATTGACATATTCCCCATCCCTGTGCATTTTTTTTTCTTTACTTTCTGGCACCACAAAAGGGTTCAGGCTCATCTAATATATCTCCTGTCCCAGTCTGAGAATCAGGCATTTTGCCAAGGAATCCTGGACATTTGTAATTGTGGGTCTCATTTCTGTTTCTTGTTGTTGATACTGTTTCTACTAATAGTGCCTTGACTATGAGCTTGGTATTTTAGGGAATTTAGGGTATTTTAGGTCTGGGTTGAAGTTTCTTCAGAGAGATGTGCATTTGCATCCGAAAGGCATGTGAGTCTGCAATACCAACCTACTGCCATTGTTAAATTCTCGGCTTGAGATTTTTCAGAACACACCTGTAGTTTACTGCACTAATAAATTATACCAGTACAAAATTAATGACTGTAAATCTGTGTGAACACTAGTTTGTGGTTATAAATTCTGAGGATAAATTTTGTCTTCTTTCCCCAAACTCATTATCAAGGTTAAAACAGGCAGTTTTCTTACTGTCCCCTTCTACATGGACGTGTTTATCTTTTATTCTTATAGTAAGAGTGTAGCCCACTGGAGGCCTACTTTACATGGGAATTTCCTTTAACATTTTTCATTATGGGCGGGCCCTAAGTTTCATGTTATGTCCCCAACTTAATGGTCCCATTTGTATGAAAGTCCAGAATAGGGAAATCTACTGAGACAAAAAGTGGATCAGTATTTGCTTAAGTCTCAGGGTTTCTTTTTTGAAGTGAAGAAAATATTCTAAAATTGATTATGGTGATGGTTGATTGCACTTATCTGTGAATACAGTAAAAATCATTGAATTACATGTTTGATTTTTTTTTTTTTTTTTTTTTTGAGACGGAGTCTTGCTCTGTCGTTTGGACTGAAGTGCAGTGGCGCGATCTTGGCTCACTGTCGCCTCTGCCTCCCAGGTTCAAGTGATTCTCCTGCCTCAGCCTCCTGAATAGCTGGGATTATCGGCATGCACCGCCATGCCCGGCTATATTTTGTATTTTCAGTAGAGACGGGGTTTCGCCATGTTGACCATGCTGGTCTTGAACTCCTGATCTCAAGTGATCCACCCACCCTAGCTTCCCAAAGTGCTGGGATTATAGACATGAGCCACTGTGCCCAGCCTTACATATTTTAAATGGGTAAATTATATCTGAATAAAGCTGTATGAAAAAATTTTCTATGGTCTTTTGGAAAGGGTTTTTTTTTTAAGTTTAACCCATATAGGCTTATGCATGCATGCACACACACAGACACACACACACAGCCACACACACCCCACATCAACCTCATTACTTGTATTATTCCCAGGTGTTTTTAAACTTCACTTACAAAAAAAATTTTCATCTCCACGATCTGTCATAAGCTAATTATGTGTGTTCAAGCTCCCCAGTATTATTTTGTATTTGTCCATTTCTCTTTGAAGATTTCCTAGGGTTGTCTGTTTTATTTTTTTTCTCCCTACAAGCAAATTCCACCGTCCAATCCCCCTGTTAAGCACCTTTTGCCTCACAATCCATCCTAAGAGTTGTTTTCATATAATTCCATACCTTCATTTTTTATTTTTATTTTTTTTTTTTTTTTTTGAGATGGAGTCTCGCTCTGTCACCCAGGCTGGAGTGCAGTGGCGTGATCTCGGCTCACTGCAAGCTCTGCCGCCCAGGTTCATGCCATTCTCCTGCCTCAGCCTCCTGAGTAGCTGGGACTACAGGCGCCTGCCACCACGCCCGGCTAATTTTTTTGTATTTTTAGTAGAGACGGGGTTCCACCATGTTAGCCAGAATGGTCTTGATCTCCTGACCTCTTAATCCGCCCGCCTCAGCCTCCCAAAGTGTTGGAATTACAGGCGTGAGCCACCGCACCCTGCCCTCCTTCATTCTTTTTTAAGGCAACATAAATTTCCTTATTGATTGAGCTCCTGGTTTTCGTTTTATGAATTTTTTATGCTAAGTTATTTGATGTTTAAAGATTTATGCAAAATATCCTCATTGTGGATTGCAAATCAGTATAAAAATATACCTCTTCAATTCCTGCAAAACTTTTGGTGAATTTAACCTCATCTATATTAATGTCCCCAAATTTCTTTTTGATACATCTCTAAGTTTTCTTTTTGCTTTCCACCTTTCTCAGTAATTTTACTTTTGATATGTTTGTTATATAGCATGGAACTGGGTTTGTTTTTTAATATAATCCAAGAAGTTTTTTTTTTTTTAATATAGGTGAATTTAGTTTACTTATATATAGACTTGCATGCTTTGCTGTCTTTCATTTTATGGCAATTTTTTGTTTTTGTTACAAATTTACTGTTTTCTTTTTCCCTCCCTTTACCTCCAAGCTAACCTGTTTTTCTAAATATTTTGGATGTTTTATAGTTTAATTTTAACTCTTTTAGGGGTAAATTTTATAATTTTCTTTTTTTTTGAGATGGAGTTTCACTCTTGTTGCCCAGGTTGGAGTGCAATGGCATGATCTCAGCTCACTGCAACCTCTGTCTCCCGGAATCAAGCGCTTCTCCTGCCTCAGCCTTCTGAGTAGCTGGGATTACAGGCATGCACCACCATGCCCGGCTAATTTTGTATTTTTAATAGATATGGGGATCCTCCATGTTGGTCAGGCTGGTCTCAAACTCCTGACCTCAGGTGATCCACCCACCTCAGCCTCCCAAAGTGCTGGAATTACAGGCATGAGCCACCGCGTCTGGCCTATAATTTTCAACCCTATAATTACTTACACATGTATTTTTTGATTTTACAACTTTAAAGGTGAAGTTTGCTCATTTATACCTCCTTTAACCTCCCTGTCCTCTGCCTGTCCCCCTGTCTTTTAGCATTTTCTACTTGTTTTTTTCTGTATGGAGGCCTGCATGATTCATTCTTTTTCTTTAAAGTTCAGTACTATCGCAAACATACATCTCAGTATTGAACACTATATACAAAATTTTCCTAGGACTTGGTACGTCCTTTTAAATTACAGGTTCAAGCCAGGTGTGGTAGCATGTGCCTACAGTCCCAGCTACTCTACAGGCTGAGGTGGGAAGATCACTTGAGCCCAGGAGTTTGAGGCTACAGTTAGCTATGATCACACCACTGCACTCCAGCCTGGGCAACAGAATGAGACTCCATGTCTAAAAATACATACATACATACATACATACATACATACATACAATTGTAAGTTCCATTCTTCCTTATATCTTTATTTTTCTATTATCTTCTTTAGAGGCAACAACAGATATCATTGTGTTGGATTTTCACTGTCAGCCTTCAAATTCCATCATTTTTTTTTAATTGCTTTCATCTCTTTCTTCTAATTGGTACTTTTTTTTCATTTCATTTTGTTCTATCCCCTAAATCTCCCTTTTCATTTCATTATTCTATCAATTTTTATTTCATATACTTCATGTCTTCTAAAATTATTCAGAGTGTAAAACATTTAGAAAAATTTTTCTTATCTTCTAGAGTATGCTTTTACAGATTATATTTCCATCTTTCTTTTGCAAGCTATGTCTCCCACACTAACCCCTGCAAAGTTGCAATGTTATATTTCTTCATCTTATGTATTATTTTTGTGTGTGACAAATAGTATGACATTAAATTAACCACCTTAGCCATTTTTAAGTGTACAGTTCAGTAGTGTTAAGTATATTCACATTGTTGTGCAACAATCTCTAACTCTTTCATCTTGTAACACTGAAACCCTACACCTACTAAACACTAATTCTCTGTCCACCCTCTCACAAGCCTGGGCAATCACTATTCTACTTTCTGTTTCTATGATTTCAGCTACTTTAGATATTTCATACTGAGGTGGGAAATTAAAGAAAAATAAAATTAAAAAGAAAGAGAAATAAGTTTTCCTGCATTAGGCTGACTTGTCCCAGAGGCAGCAACAGGCACAGCCCAGACCCAGGAAAAGTCTTGATAATATTATGTAATGTGCTCTGGAGACTCTCCCAGCACTCCTTCAACACAGGGAGAAGAAAAAACAAATTTTCCTTTGTTTTATGGAATGAGTTTATAGATTCCTGTTCTCTGTAACTAGTGACTTCAAGTATTCTGTTTTATCTAAGAAGTACAATGAAGGTCATGAGAAGCCTGAGTAGGCCTGAACTACAGCTGCCTGGGCACCATAGTGAAGGTTATGGGATAAGCCCGTGCCTAGACAAACCTAGATAATGGACATCTGGGTTGCATAGCAACGGTTATGTGCAATCCTGAGTTATGAACCTGTTACAATTTGATTAACTGTCTTTGTCCTGCTTCTGTATTCCCGCTTTCACGCCACTGTAAGCTTGCTTCAAGCTAGCCCATCCCCTTTTGTGAAGTGTGTATAAAAGTCAAGTGCTGTCTTTGTTCTGGGCCCAGCCTTTGGACGTGAGTCTGCTGGGCCTGAGTGCACTCAATAAAAGACTCTCCTGTTTAAACCCAAGGTCTCTCTCATCCTCCTAAATCCCTCAACATTTGCGAGAAACCATATGGTATTTATCTTTTTGTGACTGATTTATTTTACTTAGTATAATGTTCTTGAGGTTCACCTACCTTGTAGTATGTGATAGGATTTCCTTCTTTCTTAAGGCTGCACAATACAAATATGTATGTAACATGCTTTCTTTATTGACAAATAATTCCCATTTTCTTAATACATTCATCTGTTGATGGACATGTGGGTTGCTTCCACCTCTTGATTATAAATAACGCTGCAATAAACATGAGTATACAGGTAGCTTTTTGAAGTCCTGTTTTGAATTCTTTAGGTTATATGCCCAGCAGTGGCAGTGGGATTGCGGGATCATATACTAATTCTTTTTTATTATTCTGAGGAACCTCCATAATATTTTCCATAATAGCTACATCATTTTACATTCCCACCAATGGTGAACAAGGGTTTCAATTTCCTTGCATCCTCACGAACATTTGCTATTTTTTCTTTTGATAGTGGTCATCCTAACAGGTGTGAGTGATATCTCATTGTGGTTTTGATTTGCATCTCTCTTATGATTAGAGAGATTGGGCATCTTTTTATATGCTTGATATGGCATTTGTATATCTTCTATTGTCTATTCAAGTCCTTTGCTCATTTTAAAATAAGTTACGTGTTTTTAAAAATAAGTTGTTTGGGTTTTTCTTGCTATTGAGTTGCATAAGTTCTTTATATATTCTGAATACTAATCCCTTATCAGATCCATGATTTGCAAATATCTTCTCTCATTCTGTAGAATGCCTATTCACACTCTTGTCTACTTTGTCATGCAGAAGTTTTCAAGTTTGATGTAGTTTCATTGGTCTATTTTTGCTTTTGTTGTCTGTGTTTTTGGTGTCACATCTGAGAAATCACTGCCAAGTTCAATGTCCTGAAGTGTTCCCCTTATGTTTTCTTCTGGGAGTTTTATGGTTTTAAGGTCTTACATGTATGTCACTAACCCTTTTTGAGTTAACTTTTGTATGTGGTGTAAAGAAAAGGTCCACCTTTATTCTTTTAAATGTGGATATCTAGTTTTCCCAACACCATTTGTTGAAGAGACTATCCTTTCCCCATTGTGTAGTCTTGGCTATTGTCAAAAAATCATTTATTTTGTATATTCTTGATGTAAGCAGTTGAACCCAGACTATTTCCAAAATCCAGTATGGGTAGTTTAGCTCCTTGACTCTTTTCTCTCCTTATGTAGGCTGTTCCATCTTCCTCTAAGAGGTAAAGCTTGATGGCTAGGTAGTAATGTCTTGTGTTCTATACGCTTTTATGTCAGAAAAAGAGACCCATGGACAAACAAAAATAAATGTGATTTTATTGTAATTTTTTAAAAGTTTGTATTGATGGTCTCACTATCTTTGCTATAGTCTTCTGGAAGGCCTTTAAGGTTGTCTCTGGGGACTGAGACAAGATACTTCACTTCTAAAACTATCAGCCTTAGGTATTTATTTATAATCCTGTTTCTAAGTTGCTAATATCTTTTCCAAAAAGTAACAATTACTTTTTGGAAATCTATATATATATATAGTAACCTAATAGTAGCATCAAAGTACTTTACACAAGAAAGTTTTAAAAAAAGAAAAGGAATTTTTGTTTAATCATGAGGCTATATTCTCATCAGAATGAAATGGAAACACTAACACTGACCCTCACATACACACAAAGACACACACACTCATACACAACCCAATCCCATTACCTTCAATATTGATCTGTAGGGATTCTTTATTGTTTGGCCAGGCTTCCTCGGGAACTGTCTTCTTCCTATGGATCTCCTCTTTCTGTGTAATGGCTTTAGTGTCTGGCAAGTTCTTCATTTCTGGGTCTCCTACTTGAGCTGAGTGCTCTGCAGCAGCAGCAGCACTGGAATCTACGAAAGGGAAATTAACACACTATACAGACAGGAACTTGACATAAAAGATTTTTAAATGTCTCTCAAGTACGTATTATGTGAAAGGCTTTGTTACTGATATTGAAGAAAAAAGATGACTCAGAAATGCGTTTAGAAAATAATTGAAAATTGGGGCAAAAAATCACATACGTAAACAGATATACTGTAAGAAACAGTCAGAAAAAGAGGTAGCGGTATTCAAAGAAAGAAAAACTAATTGCAGGTGGGAGTACCATAGAACTCTAGACAACTGATTTTGGCATTAGAAGAGAGCTAAGATGGGATACACATTAAGATGGAAAAAAAAGGTGACTACATAACACAAGAATGGTGTCAGGAAAGTAACTTAGCATCTAAGAAACAGAGCAAGTATATAGCATTTGATTATAGAATTTATAAGGAAAAGAGGTGAGAACTAGTGTTAGAAAGTTGTTTGAGAGTGGACTCTACAGTTCTAGAAGACAGTGCTAAAAGAGTTTAGATTTTATCCTTACAGGCAATGAAACACTAAAGTTTTTGATTAGGAGATTAACATGATCAAAACTGTTTTTGGAACATTCATTTAGTAATAGTAAAATGGGGTAAAATTCAGAAGTGTTGCCCAGAATACAATCTAACCTTTTTAAACAAGCAATACCTAAAGAAGAGAAGCAGCTAATCATGTTCTAAAATGTTTTAGTTTACAATTGTGGCAGAAACTATCAATACTATCTGTCCTCTAATATCCACTTTCCTTTTCCTCTAAACAGAACCCTAACTTTAGCTGGGCACATTGTTATTAGAATAACAACTCAATTTCCCAGCTTCCCTGGTACATGTGACCATGTGTCTAAGTCTGGCCAATAGAATGCAAAAGGAATGGTATATATAGCTTCTCAGAAGTATCCTTAAAGGAAGGAATGTGCTTTTTCCTTTCCTTTCTTCCTGCTGGTTGCAATATGGGCTGATGGCTACAGCTTAAGAATGAAGGCCAAAAATGTTAGAGTAACAAGAGAGCAACAGCTTTGTTCCGATACTCTGGAGTACCAGGTCAACTCTGGATGCTTACCTCTGGAGTTTTACAAAAAAGAGAAAGAGTTTTCTGTCTTCTTCAAGCCTATGTTATTTTGCTTTTGTTTTCCTCTCTGAGTCAAAACTAATCCTAACGTAAATACACTATTAGGGTTATTTAAATCAGCATAATCCCTTTGAAGTAAAGTAACTGATAGGTAGGAAGTAAACAAGCTGAATTCCTAAATAAAGGATTATGTACAAAAATGGTATTAGAGGGTCCGTGTCTCACAGAATTGAGAGATTTTATCAGCGGAGGTAAAAAGTCCATTAAATGAATTTCTGGAAATTAGATTAATTTGTTTACTATATTCAAAACCCTCCAGAAATATCACAAAGAACTTTAAATATGTTAATTTTACCTGCCAAAGTATATAAAAAATATAGCTAAACATACCTTAACTATTTCATATATACATGAGATAGAAGAGAGCTGAAGACAGCAAGAAGAAAATAGAGAATATATTTCTGTTTCTGTTCTTAAGGGAATAGTCTCATTTTAGAAGACCAGAAGAAAATAATACGCAGACAATCCAGTTTAGCTACCTGCAGTATCTTTCTGCAAAGATTCTTTTTCTTTAGCCTGGGCAGCCTCAGTCACTGCCCTTGTACTGTGAATCTCTTGCTGTTTTTTGTCTGAGAGGTTCTCATCCCCAGTGATTAGCACTTGAACTGAGGCATCTGGAATAACGACATCATTTGATTTCAGAAAAGGAAAGATAATAAACACAACAGACAAGTAATCCTCCCCCACAATTACAAACAAAACCCCAAACCCATTTACATATTAGGAAAAAAGTACCTCTTAGGCTCCACCTGTGTAAAAACTGTGACATGAATTGAAAAATTTTTCATACTTTACTGTGTACAACAACAGTTTAAATAAAATAACATTCTAAAGCCGGGCGGGGTGGCTCACACCTGTAATCCCAGCACTTTGGGAGGCTGAGGCGGGTGGATCACTTGGGGTCAGGAGTTCGAGACCAGCCTGGCCAACACGGTGAAACCCCAACTCTACTATAAATACAAAAACTAGCAGGCGTCGTGGTGCACGCCTGTAGTCCCAGCTACTCAGGAGGCTGATGCAGGAGAATCACTTGAACCCAGGAGGTGGAGGCTGCAGTGAGCTGAGACTGTGCCACTGCACTCCAGCCGGGGCGACAGTGAGACTCTGTCTCAAAAAAATAAAATAAAATAAAAACATTCTAAAAAAAATCTGTTCCTTGATGGTTTGATGCAACAGTAAAAAAAAAAACAAAAAAAAAAAGGAAAGATCAGGTATGTTTTTTCAAAGGAAAAAAGATGTGAACAATGCTTTCAAGTTCTTTGGCCTATTCAAAGTTTTTACCACTTATGGAGTCAATTTTTATATTTCATATAATCCAAGAAAAGCACTTTTATCATCTAGATTTTAAATACAGCATTCTCATACAATTTTTTAAAAATTTCATGCAGTTATAGCCTTTTAAACTTGTCTAATACTATTTCTCTTTTCTACTTTTTTGATCATTTTTGATTTTTTTATCTGTAAGTATATTTTTCAACAAAGAAATCAGAAAGGCAATAGAGATTGCTAAAAATGCAAAGAACCAGTTAACTCTTGCTACCTCTTTTAAATTCACACATTTTTCTTACTTCTTATTACTTCAATCCTCCTAATCTCTTTTCTCTAAATGTCTTCTGAAATTTTTAGATCATTAAAAAATGTTTTAATGTTAATAAAATATTTCAGGCATACCAAAAATATAGGCAACAAAATGAACACCCAAGTATTTACCATAGAGCTTAAGAAATAAAATATTACAAATATAATGTTTCTTGTGTAAAGTGTTCCCAATGATGCCATTCTCACTTCTCAGTAGCAGCCTTTACACCAAATTTACAGTTTATCAATATCAAGGATGTTTTGTAATTCTTTACCACATTGCATATATTAACCAACAGTGTACAGCATTGTTTTGCAAGTTTCTTTAAACCTTATACGAAGGGTACAATACTGTCTGTACCTTTACGCACCATGACTTTTTCACTCAATATTATGATTTTGAGAGTTAGTCAATTAATATATGTCTTTGATTCTGAACGTTATGTATTATTCTACTGTATTAATATATACGAATACACCTCTGTTGATCAACTTAAGGCTATTTCCTATTTTGAAAAGCACTGCAATGAACATTCCTGTGAAATGTCTTTGCAGGTGGTGTGCATTATAAATATCTTCTCCCAGGCTGTTTCATGTCTTTTAATTGTTTGATATCGTTTAGGCAAAAAGTTTTTCAGTTTAATAATGGCATATTTATTATATTTTCCCTTTAGGGTAGGTGCTTTGCGTGTCCTGATTAAGAAATCTTTTATTATCACATGGTCATAAGGACAGACCATCTAAATTCTAAAAACTTAGTTATCCCATTTACTTTTAATATGCCTGGTATACTATACATTTCTGTTTAGTGTGTGGCAGTGATTTATCTGATTTTATTTTTTCCAGATATATATTCATTGGTTCAAACTCTATTGAATAGTTCCTCTTCATCCTTTCTCCACAGATTGTTATGCCATCTCTGTGTATGTTAGGTTTCCACATTCATGGATATGTTTCTGGGTCACCATTCTGTTTCATTTTTCTTTCTGTTTATTCCTTTGTAAATGATGTCTTAAATAAGCTACACATGTAATAAGTCTTGATGTCTGGTATGGCAAGATCCCTTATCTTATTCTTTAAATATACGTTTTTTGATTTTCCATAAATATTTTAGAATCAGCCTGTCAAGTTCCACGAAAAATCCTACTGGAATTCTGAGTAGCAATGCATTTAATTTAGAAATTAATTTAGTGACATCTTTATTATTACAATTGTGTAATTTTCCAACTATTTAGGTCTTAATATATTTCAATGTAGTTTTATAATTTTCTCTTAAAATAGTTTTACATGCCCTTTAAGATTCATTCCTAAGTACCGTATTGTTTATCTTACAGACCCTTTTAGATTCATTTCTAAGTACCATATTGCTTTTTAAAATATCTTTTTAATTGTACAGTGGAAAATATGGGGGAAAACGTGCACATAAAGAGTTCAGTGAATTACAAAAAGCAAGTGTATATAACCTTACCCAGGTTAGGAAATAAAATCTGGCTAGAAACTTACACGCTCCCCTCATTCTTCCTTCCATCTCCCCCATGCTGAGGGTAACACCTGATTTTAAATACGACAGGCTGGAGTGCAGTGGCGTGATCTTGGCTCACTGCAAGCTCCGCCTCCCAGGTTCATGCCATTCTCCTACATCAGCCTCCTGAGTAGCTGGGACTACAGGCGCCCGCCACCACGCCCGGCTAATTTTTTTTTTTTTTGTATTTTTAGTAGAGACGGGGTTTCACCGTGTTAGCCAGGATGGTCTCGATCTCCTGACCTCGTGATCCACCCGCCTTGGCCCCCCAAACTGCTGGGATTTCAGGTATGAGCCACCACGCTCAGCCCTACTTTCTCTATTTCCTGGTCTTTCACATTTCTGAAATGTACTGTTGAATTTACCTACACATTCCTGTAATTTTTCCTGAATATATTTGAGAATATACATATAAGCTCACAATTTTATCTTTCCTGGTATATTTGACCCTTTTATTACTATGAGATAAACTCTTGTATCTACCTTTAATTTTTTTTTTTTTGTCCTGGAATTATATTTTGTCCATATCAACACTAGCTTTTCTTTAGTCAGTATTTGCCAAATGTATTTTTTTCTTCTTACTTTTTTGAGGTGAAGGACAATATAAATTCTGATTTAATAAAAATAACAATGTATATGTTTTAAAAGTCAAATAGTTTCACGAGGCTTACAAGAAAAGTCAGCAGTTCCCTCTCCTATCCACTACAGATCCCCAATTTCTAAAGGCTACCATTTTCAACTTCTTTAGCCATTTATTCTAGGATCAATATCCTTATTTCCTAATAACATGCTTTATACTACCATATCATTTTATGTTCCAGAAATTATCTATTGATTTCCTTCTAAGATCAATTACAATCTCACATCTTTCAGTTCTGGGATTTATTCTTATACTATATACTAAGATCTATGGATTTATCTCATTATAAAACCCTCCTACCCATATATATCCTTTCATCCTATCTTCTGAAAAGTTTTAGCCCTATATTAACATTCAGTGTTTATATGTCACATAAATAATGGTCTGAGTGATTAAATCAATATTCAATTAAGTTTATATTTAGTATTTACATATGATTGTTTATATAATTATTATTCACAGCTAAGCCAGCTAGTATACTGTAATTACATTTATTTTCTATTACAAACTTCTGCTTTCCTGAAGAGTTAATAACCGCTTTGTTTTTGCATTTTCTGAGTTTCTATGTGCCAATCCCTACTTCATCCTCATAGCTGCAAATAGAACTGAAAACCTCCTCTAAGTATAGTCAATCACATAAGGTATCCTACAAATTCGACTTTTTCCTTGCAGGCTTCAAACTGAATGGGTTCTAGGCCTTGTGTACCACCGCCACAGTGAGAATTCGTTTCCCATTTCCTGTGTTGGCCCCCTCCATTTCCTCAATCCCACCATGTTTTCTTTCTTTCCTTCTTTTGTAACTTAAATAAACTCCCTTGTTTTAGTGAAATAATTTTCTCTCAGAATTCTAAGGTATTACTCCTTTGGTTTCTAACTCTGTTTATCACTTTTGAGAAGTCTGATGCCAGTCTCATTTCCATTTCTTTATATGGAATGTATGTTTTCTTTTTGGAAGCTGTTAGAATCTCTTTTCAAATCAGTTTTAAAATGTCAAGGTCATGTGCCTCGGTGTGTATTTTTATGTACATGGTAGTCCCTTTTAGTATGAAAACTCACATCTTTCAGTTCTGAAATTTATTCCTATACTAGTCCTTTGGTTCTTTCTTTTTTGCCTTCTCTATTGTCTTTACAGAATACCTGCTTTGAATGTTGAAACTTTGGGGACAATCTTGAATTTTAAAAAATCTTTTCCCTTCTCTTTATGTTCTATTTTTGAAGAGATTTTCTCACTTTTATATTCCACCCCTTCCACTGAGAATTTTACTTATGATATGATATTTTATGAGCTCATTTAGCTATTACATAGGTCATTGTTCAGTTTCCCAGGCAGGCATTCTCTCCTCTATTCTTCTTTAATTCTCTAAGGCAAGAGGTTCTGAGGCTAGGCTTCTCTCAAGGTGAAATGGCTACTAAGGACTAAGCCAGGAGGAGGGCTTTTCCTTAGGATGCAAAGTCTGTAAGTAGACCAACAGATGGGAGATTGTAGAGGTCCTCAGATAACTGAGCCTGACTTTATTTCAAATGTATCATCCTTACCAAATGAAGCCTGGGAGTGAGGTAAAGCTGGTGAGTTCTTTGTGCAGACTTCTGACAGAGTTCACTTCTTTCCTGCCAATTTTTCCACATCTACACTCACCTGAAGTATCTGACACTGGGATCTTAGGCTTATCTGTTTCAACCAAACTGCCACTAGCATATGGATAGTGGAAAACACGTAACGGATTCCCTGGTGCAGAAGAGTTTTCATTTATGAACTATATTTTGTAAAATTATTTCTTTTTATTTACTTGGCAGTCTCAATGTTAGCTGGTAGATATGCTTCTCTTATTTCAAAAGGGATTTATAAAAAGACTTCACTGTGTTTTGAAGTAGAACGAAATTATCTAAAAAAATGGAGGGATAGCTTTAGGAGATATACCTAATGCTAAATGACGAGTTAATGGGTGCAGCACACCAGCATGGCACATGTATACATATGTAACTAACCTGCACATTGTGCACATGTACCCTAAAACTTAAAGTATAACAATAATAAAATAAAATAAAAAAAACCATGCAGATCTCATTTATTTTTCTCACAAAGGCACTGATGCTATCACACAAAGTCATTAACACTATGCCAAAACTAGAACATAGAGCCACCCTACATTTAAAAACTGCCCTGGGATCAGTAGCACCTATTTAGCTAATAGTTATACACAGGAATAAAAAAGTATAAATGTAACAAACACAGGCAATTATACACACAGAATTTTCAGTGGCTACTGGAGTTTTCATTTAATAAATATTATCATCTATCAGCTACAAAAGTATAATGGCAGGGGTGCAGAAGAAAAAAAGCTTTTATAAAACAGTGGGGGCCAGACACGGTGGCTCATGCCTGTAATCCCAGCACTTTGGGAGGCCGAGGCAGGCAGATCATCTGAGGTCTGGAGTTCAAGACCAGCCTGGCCAACATGGTGAAACCCCACCTCTACTAAAAATACAAAAAATTAGCTGGGTGTGGAGGCGGGTGCCTGTAAACCCAGCTACTCGAGGCTGAGGCAGGAGAATCGCTTGAACCCGGGAGGTGAAGGTTGCAGTGTGCCAAGATCGCGCCATCGCACTCCACCCTGGGCAACAAGATCGCAACTCCAACTCAAAAAAAAAAAAAAAAAAAAAAAAAAAAGATTGAAACTCAAATACCCACAGTGATCAGCAGACAGATAAGGTGGATGAATGAAGCAGACTGGGTCTCAGAGCTGTGGAGATGGAAGCAAACAAGAGAATGGATGTCCTGCCTGCAGGGGGACAGCCATGGCTCAGCTGCAGCTGATTACCACCATGAATGAATGCGAGCCAAAGGGCAGTCAGATTTTCTGATTTTTCAAGGAAAATCAAAAATCTTAGTTTTGAATGTTGGTGGAAAATTTTAAAAATTTTAAAACAACATGGGGGCTGGATGCGGTGGTTCATGCCTGTAATCTCAGCACTTTGAGAGTCTGAGGCTGGTAGACAGCTTGAGGCCAGGAATTCAAGACCAGCCCAGGCAACATAGCGAGACCCCCATCACTACAAAAAACCCCCCATCACTATAAAAAAATTATTAGCCAGGCATAGTGGTGTGTGCCTCTGGCCCCAGCTAGTCAGAAGGCTGAGGTGGGAGGATCACTGGAGTCCAGGAGTTCAACACTGCAGTGAGCTATAATTGCATCACTGCACTCCAGCCTGGGTGACAGAGTGAGACCCTGTCTTTAAAAAAATTAAAAAAAAAAAATCATGTCAGCTACATATCTCCCTACAGAATCCAGCCTATAAGACATTACTTTGTAATATCTGACAGAGATAAACTAATGTGGCATTTAATCAAGATTTTCTGTGGATCTTAGTATCTAAAACATACTTGATTGGGTATTATTTCATTTCAAAAGTTGTATCATATTTTATTATCCGTTGTGAAAATGAAGTTTATAATTTTCAAAAATCTCTGAAGCTTATGCTTCCTTTATTATTAAAGGATTTTATGAAATTTTGCCTTCTTGTATATGCTCAATATAACAGCAAGGAGAAAAGCTTGTATAACAAAACAGAAAAAAAGGATAAAGATTGGATAGTAATCTCATTTAGGATGAAAAGGGGAGAAAAAGCTACAAAGTATACAAAGCCAATCCAGTTACCTGCATTTTCATTCTGCAAGGGTTTTTCTCCCACTGGCAAGGATGCCTTAGTCACTACCCTCTTACTGTAGATTCCTTCTTTATGTTTAATGTTAACAGTGGCTGAGAGGTCATCATCTCTTGTGCCTAGCACCTGAGCTGGGAAGTCTGGAGCAATGGCATCATTGGATCCTACAGAAAAACGGGGAAGTAATACAAAACACAAATAGCGACATGAGATTGAGAAAGACTTTTTAAAAATTTGCCTCTTAGACCAATTCTATGAAAAAAGCACTACAGGCCAGGCACGATGGCTCATGCCTGTAATCCCAGCACTTTGGAAGGTGGAGGCAGGCGGATTGCCTGAGGTCAGGAGTTCAAGACCAGCCTGGCCAAGATGGTGAAACCCCATTTCTACTAAAAATACAAAAATTAGCCAGGCGTGGTGGCAGGTGCGTGTAATCCCAGCTACTTGGGAGGCTGAGGCAGGAGAATCGCTTGAACCTGGGAGGCAGAGGTTGCAGTGAGCAGAGATGTTGCCACCGCACTGCAGCTTGAGTGGCAGAGTGAGACTTGGTCTTAAAAAACAAACAAACAAACAAACGAACAAACAAAAAAACACTACACTACAATGGGTAGGATAATCAGAAGGAAACGTCAGTCAAACTGAAGTTGTAAGCCATGTAAAATAAATTCTAATAATACAAGGCAGAGATGCAAATGATATAAAAGAAGATGTAAAATGGAGAATCAGTTCAGGAGAGAGAATATTTCCAGCTCATGATGGTTTTGGAGGAAGGAGAAAATGGATTGTATCTTGGAAAAAAAGTAGTTTTTTGATATAGAGAGGAAGGAAGAAAGGCATTTTAGGCAGAAGTTATAGCATAAGCAAAGAAAAGAAGTATTTAAAAATAGTGGACACTTTATGGTCAGGTTGGATTGCAGAATACATTAAGGACAGTGGTAGAAGATATTAAAAAATAGTTGTTTGGGACAAAATTCACCAGTGCATGGGATCCCAAGCTGAAGAGTATAAACTTTATTGTATATAAAATGCAACATAACGGAAGATTTTTCAACAAAATAATAATATATTTAGCTATGTTTCCAGAAGATTAATCTGACAATACAAAAGACAAAACACTGAATGGAAAATGACAGATGATAAGTAAAAGATTTGAAAGTATTTAATTTTCTTTTAAAATATATTTCAATATTCCCACATTCCTTGATAAAATAAATTAATCTATAATCCATGCCACATCTAACAGGCAAAAGAACATTTCTGGACATATAAAGGCTTATACTAATCTCCTATGAGATGATTTTTCTAAGATCCTCTATTTCCTGAGCTCCTAGTATGTATATGGCAATAAGAGCTGGGTAAGTACCTGTATCATTAGTACAGTGCACAGTAAGCCCTGAAGAGTTTTGCAGGACAGACTGCAAGGAAAACACCAAGCCTTCTGGGCCAAATAGATTATATTGGGTTCTTCTCAACTTCTGTAACATCACTTTCTCTTATTTGCCTCTTACCTCTCCGGAAACTTATTTTTTATATTTTCTTCTACCAAATCTCTCAATGGTGGAGTTCCTTAAGGAGTCGGAACTGGCCTCTCTTCTCTTCCTAGGTAAACTTATCGACCACCAAGGTATATGCTGATGACCAACAAATAATGTACCATTGCCCAAGAGTACCTTTCTTCTGAGCATCCGACTCCAGCATTCAGGGACACGGCTAGCTCTTACAGCACTTTTATGGAAATTAGAAAAGATGTGTCTTCTTCAAATCAAAATGTTTAAGTTACTATATATTGTAGTACAACACAAACAACTGTAAATGGTGGTCATTCTTTTCACAAATTCTCCCAGGGAGTACACACCAGCAGCAGCATGTGCACGCACAGTCTGCACCACCACCCCTCGTTCTCCAAGAGAGATGACCCTTTCAAGTTCAGAGTCAGGTGAGGAACAATTACATCCCTGAGAGCAGTGGGTGAATAAGCAAGAGAATCAACCTCAGAGGAGGTGAGAGGCAGCTGAGAGAGTGCAGCCACACATGTGTGCGTGTCAGTGAATGTACATATACTTATTTTCCTGTACCTGTGCATAGCTATAGTATGTGCGAGTATAGATTTATGTTTGGGGCAGCACAAGAGTTAACATTATTGCTCCAGAACTCTAACTAAAGATCTGGAATATTCATGCCCATCTGTATGTTTTCATAAAAGTATATATTTATAATGTGAATAATGCCACCTTATATGTGGCACTATTACCTTAACATGTGTAAATTAACTCTGCCTACATTCAATTGTAGACCCAACATCTCTATGTGGATGTATAATAGGAATCTCATTTTTAACATGTCCAAAGCAGACATTTTGATCATCTTCCCCAAATCTGCTTTTTCCTCAATCTCCACCTCAGTAAATGGCACCTCTATTCACCTAGTTGCTCACGCCAGACATTTTTTTCACGCTCTTCTCCCTCACTCTCCATACTCCTATCACCAAATCTAGGAGAAACTATTTCTAAAAGGATGCTGACTGTCCATTTCTCCCTATCTCTATAGATAACACTGTGATACTCATGCTACCATCTCTGGTACTGTCTAAAGCAACAGCCTTCTAACTAACTGGTGTCTCTACTTGCACTCTAACCCGCCCCGCCATGGCTCTCCGCCTTCCCATCTATAAACCATTTCTCCATATAGTGGCAAGAATAAACTTTACAAGTATAAATCAAACCATAATTGCAGTAGTACTAGAATAAAATCCGAACACTTTAATACAGTTGATAAGATCCTGCATGATCTTGAACCCACCTATCTTTAACCATATCTACCCATCACTATGCTCTACCCTGTTAAATAAAATTTATGGGAGTCCATTGTTTTAGACTGAGCTCCTGCACTAAGCCCCAAGAGACCAAACCAAAATGTAGTCACTTGTACTAAATGCCATACAATCCAACTGAAACTTTAAGAAAGAAGGAAAGTTCCAAAATGGACCAGTTTTTTCTAAAAACAAGAGATTCACAGCAACTAACTGAAAAAGGGGCCAGTCACCCTGAGCTGGCGTAAAAAGGAACTTATCTCTGCTTTAATCTTTACCAGGTAAGTAACCTGATGTTAATCAATATGCTTTTTTTGGTATTACAGATGATCCACCACTTACAATGTAGTTATGTCCTGGTAAGTCCATCATAGGTTGAAAATACTGTTAGTCAAAAATGTATTTAATGCCCCTAACCTACCAAGCATCATAACCTAGCCCAGCCTACTTTAAACATAATCAGAACATTTACAATAGCCTACAGGTGGGCAGAATCATCTAACATGAAGTCTATTTTATAATACAGTATCAAATAGTTCATATAGTTTATTAAATACTGTACTGAAGTACGGTTTCTACTAAATGTGTATCATTTCCATACCATCATAAAGTCAAAAAATAGTTCAACGGAACCACTGTAAATTGGGGACTGTCTGTATTGTGTTTCCTTGTTCCTGGTCTGGCTACCTTACCAGAACCAACTCTCTCCCATGCCCAGTGCACCCTTTCCATATTATAGAATGGGATGTTGCCTGATTCATGAATCACTACAAAAACCAATCAGATCTTTAAATTTGTTGGAATTTCAACCCACGCTGCCTTCTTTCCATTTGTCAAATGCATCAAGCTCTTTTCTGCTTCAGGGGCTTTCCCCATCTTCTTCCCTCTCGCCGGAACATTCTCACACTCCACTCTCTGCCTACCTAATTCATTCCCATCCTCTAGAGTTCAGCTCAAAAGTTTCTTCCTGGAAAAGATCTTCATAAGTTCGTAAAACAAAACTGGGTCTACTTGTTTATCTTGGAACTCTTCTTATTTTCTTAGCATTTATCACTTGTAATTACGTACTTATTTATGGTTTATTTGTTTAATATCTGTCAACCAACGTGAACATAAACTCCATTATAGTTTATTTTGAGCAATACTGAAATTGTAACACCTACCACAGTGTATCTGCGTGGAACACAGTAACATCTTTAATACCTATTGTTTGAATAAACAAATGAACGTGAGCTGACAGCTTCCCATCATTAAAAACAAACAAACAAACAAAACAACCTGATCATTGTAGAAAATTCAGGAAAGTATGAAGGAAACAATAAAAGAAAACCCAACTAAACCTTGGTTATATATCCTACTAAGTGAACATTTACAGGGATCATACCATATACAGTCTCATTACTATTTTTTCACTAAAGTAGAGATACATTTTAAATGGAATTCAGGGTTTAAAGTCAGCATGTGAGGTGAAAACCTTGCTATAGAGGGTCAAAATCACCCTTGAAGGTACCTTAGGAAGGCATATGTTGAAATTGACATCGTGTCTGCTCAAGAAACCCATGAGGGTCCACTTTTTCCTCCAAGCTTGTAACATAGCACTGCACCTGAATCTGAGCACCTGATGAAGTATCTGATATTGTACCAAAAAGACATTTCTTCAAACTCTAGAATCATACCCAAATAAGCAAGATAAGATGCCTACACTACAAAAGGCAAACGAGGACTACAATTAATTTTGAGAATGAAGTTTCCCATCTTTCATTACATATTCTTCCGTAGTCATATGTTCATAAAGGGTAGAGTGCATGCACAAAACACCTGCACTTTTAAAATTCTTTCTCTCCTCTTTTGTTAAGTATATTTATTTGAACTTGCTTAAGTTAAATACATGCATGAGACAATATCAACATATGCTAAAATTATTTATCACAGCTAAAGACATCTCACCGAATTCCACTCATCTGATTTAACTGTTTATGCTATCTTAAAGTTTCCTGTATTTCTCGTTCTGTTACTTTGCTAATTTCGTATACTCAACCCTGATTTGGAACATAGACATCTACTTTTAAAATTCAATTAAGATTTTTGGTAACTTCTTAAGTTTTTTTAACTGTGGTAAAATATACATAAAATGTAACCATGACCACGTGCGGTGGCTCACGCCTATAGTCCCAGCACTTTGGGAGGCTGAGGCAGGAAGATCACTTGAGGTCAGGAGTTTGAGACCAGCCTGGCCAACATGGTGAAACCCCATCTCTGCTAAAAATACAAAAATTAGCTGGGCGTGGTGGTGGGTGCCTATAATCCCAGCTACTCAGGAGGCTAAGGCAGGAGAACTGCTTGAATCTGGGAGGCGGAGGCTGCAGTGAGCTGAGATTGTGCCACTGTACTCCAGCCTGGGTAACAAAGCAAGACTCTGTTTCAAAAAAAAAAAAAAAAACCACAAAAAATTAATCATTTTTAAGTGTACACTTCAGTGGCATTAAGTATATTCACACTGTTATGTAACCATCACTACCATCTATCTCCAGAACCTACTCATCTTCCCAGACTTAAACTCTGTACCCATTAAATAGTAACTTCCCACTCCCCCTAGCCCCAGCCCCTAGTAAACACAATTCTACTTTGTGTCTCCATGAATCTGACTTTTCTAGGTACCTCATATAAGCAGACTGGCTTATTTCAGTTGGCCTAATGTCTTCAGAGTTCATCCATGTTGTAGCATGTACCAGAATTTCATTCCTCTTTAAGGCTGAATAATACTCCATTACACATATATGTCACATTTTGTTATCCATTCATAGATCAATAGACATTGGGTTGTTTCCACCTCTTGGCCACTGTGAATAATGCTGTTATGAACATGGGTGTACAAATAGCTCTTGAAGATCCTACTTTCACTTTGTTGGGGTATATATTTAAAAGTGGAATTACTGGATCATACTATAATTCTATGTTTAATTTTTTGAGGAATAGCCACAATGTTTTCCGTAATGGCTATACCATTTTACATTCCCACCAGCAATAAGCAATGGTTCCAATTTCTCCATGTCCCTGACAACACTGATAATTTTCCATTCTTTGCTTTTTTATTTATTTATTTTTTTACTATACTTTAAGTTTTAGGGTACATGTGACAACGTGCAGGTTTGTTACATATGTATACATGTGCCATGTTGGTGTGCTGCACCCATTAACTCGTCATTTAACATTAGGTATATCTCCTAATGCTATCCCTCCCCGCTTCCCCCACCCCACAACAGGCCCCAGTGTGTGATGTTCCCTTCCTGTGTCCATGTGTTCTCATTGTTCAATTCCCACCTATGAGTGACAACATGCAGTGTTTGGTTTTTTGTCTTTGCAATAGTTTGCTGAGAATGATGGTTTCCAGCTTCATCCATGTCCCTACAAAGGACATGAACTCATCATTTTTTATGGCTGCATAGTATTCCATGGTGTATATGTGCCACATTTAATTAATCCAGTCTATCATTCTTGGACATTTGGGTTGGTTCCAAATCTTTGTTATTGTGAATAGTGCCGCAATAAACATACCTGTGCATGTGTCTTTATAGCAGCATGATTTATAATCCTTTGGGTATATACCCAGTTAATGGAATGGCTGGGTCAAATGGTATTTCTAGTTCTAGATCCCTGAGGAATCGCCACACTGACTTCAACAATGGTTGAACTAGTTTACAGTCCCACCAACAGTGTAAAAGTGTTCTTATTTCTCCACCTCCTCTCCAGCACCTATTGTTTCCTGACTTTTTAATGATCGCCATTCTAACTGGTGTAAGATGGTATCTCATTGTGGTTTTGATTTGCATTTCTCTGACGGCCAGTGATGATGAGCATTTTTTCATGTCTGTTGGCTGCATAAATGTCTTCTTTTGAGAAGTGTCTGTTCATATCCTTCGCCCACTTGTTGATGGGGTTGTTTGTTTCTTTCTTGTATATTTGTTGGAGTTCATTGTAGATTCTGGATATTAGCCCTTTATCAGATGGGTAGATAGCAAAATTTTTCTCCCATTCTGTAGGTTGCCTGTTCATTCTGATGGTAGTTTCTTTTACTGTGCAGAAGCTCTTTAGTTTAATTAGATCCCATTTGTCAATTTTGGCTTTTGTTGCCATTGCTTTTGGTGTTTTAGACATGAAGTCCTTGACCATGCCTGTGTCCTGAATGGTATTGCCTAGGTTTTCTTCTAGGGTTTTTATGGTTTTAGGTCTAACATGTAAGTCTTTAATCCATCTTGAATTAATTTTTGTATAAGGTATAAGGAAGGGATCCACTTTCAGCTTTCTACATATGGCTAGGCAGCTTTCCCAGCACCATTTATTAAATAGGGAATCCTTTCCCCATTGCTTGTTTTTCTCAGGTTTGTCAAAGATCAGATAGCTGTAGATATGCGGCATTATTTCTGAGGGCTCTGTTCTGTTCCGTTGGTCTATATCTCTGTTTTGGTACCAGTACCATGCTGTTTTGGTTACTGTAGCCTTGTAGTATAGTTTGAAGTCAGGTAGCGTCATGCCTCCAGCTTTGTCCTTTTGTCTTAGGATTGACGTGGCGATGCAGGCTCTTTTTTTGTTCCATATGAACTTTAAAAGTCGTTTTTTCCAATTCTGTGAAGAAAGTCATTGGTAGCTTGATGGGGATGGCACTGAATCTATAAATTACCTTGGGCAGTATGGCCATTTTCACAATATTGATTCTTCCTACCCATGAGCATGGAATGTTCTTCCATTTGTTTGTATCCTCTTTTATTTCATTGAGTAGTGGTTTGTAGTTCTCCTTGAAGAGGTCCTTCACATCCCTTGTAAGTTGGATTCCTAGGTATTTTATTCTCTTTGAAGCAATTGTGAATGGGAGTTCACTCATGATTTGGCTCTCGGTTTGTCTGCTATTGGTGTATAGGAATGCTTGTGATTTTTCTACACTGATTTTGTATCCTGTGACTTTGCTGAAGTTGCTTATCAGCTTAAGGAGATTTTGGGC